>NC_000009.12:110720552-111345552 GCF_000001405.40 Homo sapiens
AACTCTGAGCAGACCAATAACAAGCAGAAAGATTGAAATGGTAATTTTAAAATTGCCAAGAAAAAGCAGTCCAGGACCAGACAGATTCATAGCTGAATTGTATCAGACATTCAAAGAAGAATTGGTACCAATCCTATTGACACTATTCCACAAGATAGACAAAGAGGGAATCCTCCCTAAATTATTCTATGAAGGCAGTATCACCCTAATACTAAACCAGGAAAGAGCATAACCAAAAAAGAAAACTACAGACCAATACACCTGATGAACACAGATGCAAAAATTCTCAACAAAGTACTAGTGAACTGAATCCAACAACATACCAAAAATATAATCTACCATGATCAAGTGGGTTTCATACCAGGGATGCAGGGATGGTTTAACATATGTAACTCAATAAATGTGATACACCACATAAACAGAATCAAAAACAAAAATCACGATCATCTCAGTAGACACAGAAAAAGCATTTGACAAAATTAAGCATCCCATTATGATTAAAACCCTCAGCAAAATCAGCATAGAAAAGACATACCTTAAGGTAATAAAAGCCATCTATGACAAACCCACAGCCAACGTTATACTGAATGGGGAAAAGCTGAAAGTGTTACCCCTGAGAACTGAAACAAGACAAGGATGCCCACTTTCACCACTTCTATTCAACATAGTACTGGAAGTCCTAGCCAGAGCAATCAGACAAGAGAAAGAAATAAAGGGCATCCAAATCAGTAAAGAGGAAGTCAGAATGTCACTGTTTGCTGATGATATAATCTTATACCTAGAAAACCCTAAAGACTCATCCAAAAAACTCTTAGAACTGGTAGATGAATTCAGCAAAGTTTCAGGATACAAAATTAATGTACACAAATCAGTAGTTCTCCTATACAGCAACAGTGACCAAGCTGAAAATCAAATCAAGAACTCAACTGCTTTTACAATAGCTACAAAAATAAAATAAAATACTTAAGAATATATCTAACCAAGGAGGTGAAAGACCTCTACAAGGAAAACTACAAAATACTGCTGAAAGAAATCATAGATGGCACAAAGAAATGGAAACACATCCCGTGCTCATAGATAGGTAGAATCAATATTGTGAAAATGACCATACTGCCTAAAGCAATCTATAATTCAATGCAATTCCCATGGAAATACCACGATTACTCTTTACAGAACTAGAAAAAGCAATCCTAAAATTCATATGGAACCTAAAAAGAGCCCACATGGCCAAAGCAAGACTAAGCAAAAAGAACAAATCTGGATGCATTACCTTACCCAACTTCAAACCATACTACAACGCCACAGACACCAAAACAGCATGGTACTGGTATAAAAATGGGCACAGAGATCAGTGGAACTGAATTGTGAACCCAGAAATGAAGCCAAATACTTACAGTTAACCGATCTTTGACAAAGCAAACAAAAGTATAAAGTGGGGAAAGGACACCCTATTCAATAAATGGTGCTGGGATAATTGGCAAGCCACATGTAGAAGAATGAAACTGGATCCTCACCTCTCACCTTTTACAAAAATCAACTCAAGATAGATCAAGGACTTAAATTGAAGACCTGGAACCATAAAAATTCTAGAAGATAACATCAGAAAAACTCTTCTAGACATTGGCTTAGGCAAAGACTTCATAACCAAGAACTAAAAGCAAATGCAACAAAAACAAAGAAAAATAGATGGGACTTGGCCGGGTGCATTGGCTCATGCCTGTAATCCCTGCACTTTGGGAGGCCAAGGCTGGCAGATCACTTAAGGTCAGGAGTTGAAGACCAGCCTGGCCAATATGGTGAAACCCCATCTCTACTAAAAATACAAAAATTAGCTGGGTGTGGTGGTACGTGCCTGTAGTCTCAGCTGCCCTGGAGGCTGAGGCAGAGGAATCACTTGAAACTGGGAGGTGGAGGTTGCAGTGATCCTAGATAGTGCAACTGCACTCCAGCCTGGGCAACAGAGCGAGACACCATCATGGGAAGAAAAAAAAAAACATGGGACTTAATTAAACTAAAAAGCTTCTGTACAGCAAAAGAAATAATCAGCAGAGTTAACAGACAACCCCCAGAGTGGGAGAAAATTTTGCAAATAATGGATCTGACCAAGGAGTAATATTCAGAATCTACAAAGAACTGAAACAGCAAGAAAAAAAAAATCCCATCAAAAAGTGGGCTAAGGACATGAACAGACAATCTCAAAAGAAGATATACAAATGGCCAACAAGCATGGAAAAATGCTCCACATCACTAATTATCAGGGAAATGCAAATCAAAACCACAACGTGATATCACCTTACTCCTGCAAGAATGGCTATAATAAAAAATAATAGATGTTGGCATGGGATGTGGTGAAAAGGGAACACTTTTATATTGTTGTTGGGAACGTAAACTAGTACAACCACTATGGAAAACAGTGTGGTGATTCTTTAAAGAACTAAAAGTAGATCTACCATTTGATCCAGCAATCCCACTACTAGGCATGTACCCAGAGGAAAAGAAGTGATTATACAAAAAAGATACCTGCACATGCATGTTCATAGCAGCACAATTTGCAATTGCAAAAATATAGAACCAGCCCAAATGCTCATCAATCAACCAGTGGATAAAGAAAATGTGAGACATATAAATACACACACATACATACATATACACACACACCATGGAATACTACTACATATACATACACACACACACACACACACACACACACATACATACCATGGAATACTACTTATCCATAAAAAGGAATGAAATAATGGCATTCACAGCAACCTGGTTGGAATTGGAGATCATTATTCTAAGTGAAGTAACTCAGGAATGGAAAACCAAACATTGTATGTTTTCATGCATAAGTGGGAGCTAAGATAATGAGGATGCAAAGGCATAAGAACGACACATTAGACTTTGGGGACTCAGGGGAAAAGAGTGGAAGGGGGATGAGGGATAAAAGACTATATATTACGTACAGTTTACCCTGCTCAGGTGATGGGTGCACCAAAATCTCAGAAATGAAAAAATTTTAAAAACTACAACAATGTCAAATTGTTTGTATTAATCCTCCTATGCAATCCCAGTGCCACTTGAAAGGCAGTCTTCAAGTACTTCTGAAAAATACTCATCCCCAAAACACAGGCAAAAAATTTTGATTCAGTAACCTAAATTGTGTGTCTGGCATTTAATTGTTTGTTTGTTTGCTTGCTTAAACTTCATAAGTGATTCAATGAATTTCGAGTTTTAAAAGCCACCACTTTAACTGATCTGGGGTTTCATGTATTGCTTCAAGCCTAGAAAATCTCCACCACTATGTCTTCAAATATAACCTCTCTGCTCTTCCTTCTCTTCTCTACTGCTCACACTCCTGTAAGCATATATTAGAGCTCTAAATCTGTTCTTCCCATCTTTTAGTTAATCTTTCACATTTCTGTCCATCTTTCTCTCTGGCCTCAGGGCTGTATGATGGCTTAAGTGCCATCTTCTGATTCATTAATTCTTCACTTGACCTTGTCCAAGCTTGAGTTTATCATATCTTTTGTGTCTCTGCTTGTTATTATCAATTTCTAGCATTTCTACTATTATATGTATTTCAATTTTGCCTGTTTGTTTTATAATTTATTTTTATACATATACTATTATTTAAGGTTCTTAAACTCCTTTTGAACTTCTTTGTTTTCTTCCAGAGTAAATTAATCCCCCAGTTACTGAATTCATTAAGTTGAAAGTCAATTTATTATTGCTTAGCAATTGTTTTCCTAATGTGCTTTGAAATTATGATTTGCCACTGTAAATCTTATCATCATCTCTCTGAAATGATTTATTCCTTTTCCAGTAATTTTGGGGGTTGCCCTCTACTTCCTTCATTCATATAAGATATTTCAGGGAGCAATTTTAGGACTCTATTCTGTAATGTTTTGACATTCAATCCAGACCCAGTCACTAAACCGTCAAAAGCATAACACATGTTCTGACTACGATACTATGACTGCTTTGGTTTCAAGCAGCGAGCCTCCAATCCCCCATCTCATATAGTACACTTCTAGAGAAATCAAACTTCAAGCCCCTTTCTCTGTTTATAGAATTGGAACTCAGCAGTGACTACTTATCTGTTGTGTTTTGTCTACTTTCTTATACACTGAGATATTCATCTTGTTTTTTAATATGGCTTTGTCTTTTTAGGTAGCAAAAAATTATATCTTCATTATTGCTATGTACTTATATTCTACCTAGATGACTGAATTGTAATATCATAACACCAACTTGAGTAGTACTCTTTGTGCTATAATTATTATATATCATCATATAAATTCTATCCAGCTGAATATATAAAAATAAAAATTTATATTATTGTTTGAAAGAGGTCAAAAGTATTGATGTTTAAAAGTGATATTTTTATCCATCTAGAAAACACAAGAGTATCAACTCCAAAGCTACTTTAACTAATATGATAATTAATCCTATTTACAAATAAAATGCACTTATGTACACATATATTAACAGTTTTCCTATATAGCAGAAATAACGCATTAGAAATTAATTGAAATAATGGCATTCACAGCAACCTGGTTGGAATTGGAGATCATTATTCTAAGTGAAGTAACTCAGGAATGGAAAACCAAACATTGTATGTTTTCATGCATAAGTGGGAGCTAAGATAATGAGGATGCAAAGGCATAAGAATGACACATTAGACTTTGGGGACTCAGGGGAAAAGAGTGGAAGGGGGATGAGGGATAAAAGACTACATATTACGTACAGTTTCATTCTTGTTAGGTGGATAGAAGTGGGAAAAGGGTCTTATAGATAGTAAGTATAAAGAGATTGGTTTTGGTTTGATTTTGATTTACAGATATTCTCTCTCCTTTACAACACAGTTGATCAAAATGGATTGCTACTATGGTACTGAGTTTCTCATAAATAAAACTTTTCAAGAAAATTATGGATTACTATTTACCTTGGATGTTGAAGTGAAGTGAATAAATTATATCTCAGATTAGTCCAATAAGAGCAGTCATTGATTATTCTAAATACCCTATTGGACAGTTCCAACAAAATAGGATGAAAATGCCCCACTAATGCAACTGGCAAATAACTTGTTTAACAATAAATGTGTTCTTCTTTCTACAAGAGACTGTGCTGGACTTTAGAGGAAAATAAAGCAGCAACAAAAGTCTGATACTAATCCCAGTTTAATTCTAGCCCTAACCTCCCTAAAGAAGATTACAAATCAATTTGGAAGACAAGAACAATGCATTACATATAAAGCAGTTAAATAAAAATTTAGTAATTAAATGGGAATAAAGACTATGAAGCAGAATATTTTAAAAATGATAAGTGGTAAAACAATAAGTTCAGAAGTCAAGAGTGATCCTAGTAGGCTAGGCGAGCAGGATATGTGGAAAAACTAGGACTACTGTTTGAGCTCGAAATGACCAAAAAAGTCATACAGCGAATAACTATACCTGAGCTTAAATAGGCCTATAGACTTTTCTTGCATAATTTTCTCTAATTTAAAGTAACCTCAATTGTGTGTGCATGCATGTAAATGTGTGTATGTTAATGCATAAACATATATAAATTTGTATCTATAAAGAGGTATAATATATTTGCATTAGAAAGAAATTTTGATAGTCTATAACTGAAACTATAATTTCTGGTAGAACTTCTAAGCTTCCTCCCAGGAAAATGACAAATCTTAGACATTCTTTCATGTCTTGAGTTCATCCACTGTTTACTTACAGTGGATGAAATAGGTGTATTCTTTCAAAATTTTGCACTGCTTCCAATCCCAAATAAGGCAAAATGAACAATAGTAGCAACAATAACATCAAACTGAAAAATTTCAAAGGAAAATTAATATTATCTAAAATTGAGCCTACGCTCAAAGTAGAGTTCAAGTATAGTCCTGTATAGATCATGGAGTGAAACTGAAACGAGACTCAGAATTGACCTGCAGTTGCCCTTGAACCCTGACAAAGAACACTCTAAGAGAAGAAAATGACAAGTGAATATAATTCTCAAAATTTACTAATGGAAAAAGTTTACTGATACTCTTTAACTTTAGTGGAATAAAGTTTTGGAGATACCACAGTTGCAGAATAAAGACACTTAATATCCCTATAAAAACACCATGGCCATCCCAACCACTCTAAGTTACTTGGCTGATAAAGGAAATAGAAAAAGAGAGAGAGGGAGAGAGTTTTTGTTTTGTTTTGTTTTGTTTGTTTGTTTTTCCAAACTTAGAAACAAACACATTGTTCTGGGGCTCTAGAAAGATGTGTCCAGCCCGAAGGCATTCAAATGCAATTTTTCAAGTCTAATCTGGCCCAGTCATGGACCTTCTTTCATTTCTCCTGATTGAGGTATGTGATACAGACAGGGAATCTGCAGTTTCCTAATGTCCAGATGACCAGTTTTAAATATGAAAGAAACTAATATTTATCCAATACCTATGCTTTACCAGGAACCGTTACGAATATTGTAAAAAAAAGATTTCTTCATTTGAAGGTACATTTGACAGACGACCTCTAAATCTCCTTTTAACGATAAATATATTCAATTCAGAAGTTTTAAATAGTTTTTGAACTTGATGCTTATAAACAAAAACCAAGAATGTACCACTGAGTTGATGGAGGTAGGGAAAGTTCAGACAGTAGAATCTAAATGAGGAATCACAAATTCACTTAAATGTAAGGGGATTGGGTGTTAAGTGTAAATATGAGACCTTCTCATTGGGAAGACTCAATGTCTGAAAAGGGGGTTGAATTTCTGGCTCTGCACCTGCAGCAAATCTCCAAGACTTAGATCCTTTGTCCGGAAAATGGGCTAATTTTGGCGGGGAGGAAGTGAAGGGTTTCACTATTTATTTATGACAAATATTCAACACTCACAATTCTCTCCAATCAGAAGTTCTTTGAGATGCTGTTGGTCTTGACCAGTCAGAGAATGGAGTCATCTGACTCACCCATTCTGAGAATGGTCCTACAGACACTATAGGTTTTAAATTGGCCATTAAACCTGCCTATAACCTTGTCAACCTTGGCTAAGTTCATCTGGATGGATGCATGGTCCTTGGCACCCATGATGCGGTTGCTGGCGGAACATTTCCACTGCATGTTCAGGTCCACAAACTCAGGCTGGATAATATCAATTATGTTCAATTACAGAGACATGGGGAGAGTCAAATGAGATCGAGTAAAAAATGTGCATGAAAATATCCACAATCTGTGAAAGACTATGCAAGTGTATTATTGTCATTGAATGTTGTTAGCAATAGCATGGCCATTTTTTACTTACAAATAAATATTGCAGTTGACATATTACTAACTCTAAGAAAGGTTCAAATTTACATGAACAAATAAAACTTCAGGAAAGAAAACTAGAGTTCCACTTGGGGACTACGTCTGACATGGTTATATTAAACATTTTGGAACAATTAATTTGGTTTTGTTGTCTCTCTTCTAGGATTTTTAAACATTTATAAATTCTCAATTCTTTCTATTCAATCTAAACATTTTACAATATCCTGTGGACCTTACTTCCTTAGTAGATTCCCAGAAGGTAATGATTTGCTCCTTTCTGCTCTCCAAGCAGCTTCTGTGTTGGTGCAGAGTTGCAGATCTCTGTTGGTGGTAGGTTCTATTCTGCAGAAACCCCCTAATCCTCTGTTTACCACAACATGAGTCTATTGCCATAGAAATGATAGCTGAGATCCCAGATTGAACACCACTGACTTCACAGCAGGGCCTGGTAAGAGGAGACTCTAAGCTACAAGGGGGGAACGCAATGTATGAGAATAGTAGGCACTCTGTAGCCTTGAAAGAAAGGGTAACTGTCAACATTAGAATAAAAATTCATGAAAGAGCTACATTGTTAGGTATGCTGTAGTTTATTTTCTGTATAATACTGCCTGGCTAAAAGTAATCATTCTGAAATCTTATGTCATTTAACAGTTTGCTTTCAAAAGGTCTGCAGTTTTCCTTGATTGCATTTGTTTCTTATTGAAATAAGAAACAAGCAGCTTCTAATTAATCTTGTTGCACAACTGATGTTTCTGTGGTCAAAGATTTCCCTTTTCATGATGTGTTGTTTTGTTTGCGTGTTTATTGTGTGTGTTTGTTTTGTCTTGTTTTTATTAACAGAAGAAAGTGAACCCGAACAAGATACTAAAGGTATTTTTTTTTCTTTCTGCATGGCTTCTTTTTAATTGTGTAGCTCTTTTCAATTGTTTATTTTTGTTGACCTTATAAACAGCTCTAAGTGCCATTTTTAAAGAAATAACAAACAATGTATGGGGAATATTAAGTCACAGCACTTAACGGTGTTATTAGATAGGCTTCTTTATTATATAATATGCTTACTGACCATTTGCATTTCTTAAGCAAGATTGAGTTAAAAGTAATGTTTAAATTTGGTGTCTCTGGAAATACAAACAAAATGAAATGAAATAAATCAGCATGAGAGTATAAATCCCACATAGATTGGAAAAGAAAGATACCCTTTGACTAAAAGACTTTTGGTGGGGGTTGGGGGGCTTTACAGTCTTTGGATAAATGTTAGGATGTCAAGGTGCCAATTTGGTTTTTATTGTGATGATTTCAACAAGATCAGGAGTATTATGCAATTGCTCCAAATCAATAAAAATTAAGTTATTTTAATTGCACAGAGACATATGTTTGTAGTGGAATATGTTTAGAGGAAAATAGCTGGAAATTAAATTTGTATGGGAAAAATTCTACTTTTTCCCCAACAGTTTTCTGTCAACAGTTTCTGTTTTCTGTAAAAAAAAAAAAAAAAAAGAAAAAAGAAAAAAAAAAAAGGTACCTTGCATTCTGATTAAGCCCCAAACTTTGTGCTCTTCTAACCTAAAATTTGATATTTGGGGGATGAAATTTGTGAGTTCTCATGTAATAGAGTTGACTGTAGGAATTAATCTCAAACTGGTATTATTTAAAACAGTACCTCCTTATCTTAGTATCTCATATAAAGTACAGATAATGTTTTCTTATTTTTAAATACCAGGTTGCTTACAATTAAATACAGGTAAAAAAGCATTTTACCTGGTCCTATGTGAATTTTTTTTCTTAATTTATTCCTATCAGTCATTGCTGGTTTGAATCATGTAACCTAAAAACCCTTTTCAAAGGAAGCTAGAAAATAACAAAAGAGGAAGGGAAAATAAAATCCATGGGAGCTCCTTGTGTCCTTTGAAATAACTGCTCAGAAATAGAAATTGATAAGAGACTTAAGTATTCCTCTGGCACTGCTCCCTTACCAAGAAAAGAGAGGTAGTTCATCTCCAGCCAAACCACTCATTTATTTCAGGACTTAACATGGATGCCCTGTCCCTTGGGCTTTTTATTACACTCCAGTGCAATTTCAGAGTGAATTATGCCTTTATCTTTTTACTATACCTTACTCCTTAAGATGACAATCAATAATAAAACTGATTACATATCTGAAAGTGCTTTGAAATAAGGAGAGAGAGAGAATATAATGTGGGTATGTTATAAAAGATTTTAGAATTGCTGGCTTCTTGAGCCCAATTTTGAATATAGGATTCTCCACTTGCAGTTAGCCTGCAAGTCTGCTCAAGAGACATTAAAGCCCCAAACTCATGAATAGATCCCATGAGAGAAAACCCAGAGTTAAATATATTACCTTGGTCTATTTTCCATGTTGCAGATGCACTTGCTTACCCACAGGAAACCAAGTGGTTTAGGGCTCACAGTGAATTGGAGAAGGATGGATAAGACTATGTACAGAAAGAGGGGTTTGATGATTTTTTTGTTTAAAAATCCATATCAAAACAGTTATAAATGCTTTCCAACTTACTAAGTAATTTAATGTTCCTTCTATTAAGTGGTTTAATTGTTTATGTAACAAAAACACTTTTATATTCTTTTATGCAGATAAAACACAAAATAGGGATATTCTATGCCCATTTTATTTAATAAGAAACATGTCATATAACTTTTTAAATTGATGACCTAGAATGCATTTTCAGATTGTGACTACCACTGAAATAATGGGATTTACTGTTGACTTGTGTCCAAGTTTGTTATTGCCGGTGTATTATTATTCATGGAGGTTAATCTGGCATTTATTTTTAATTGCAACTGACTTTATTGTTTACAATGCTTGAAAAACATGTCAAAATTTCCCTCATCACCTTTTTACCTTTCATATTTGAAAAATGGTAAATTTGAGTATTATGCAATTGCTCAGATAGAGTTGGGTAAAAACATATCAGCTTTATTGCTGATAAGGCTGGAATGAAAAATAAAGATTTCTATTCCATGTGAGGATTAGACTAACATAACTTATGTTTCCTCATCCTCTTCCTCCCCACCCCACTCTTTCCCCTTGACTCTTAGTTGTAGGATGAAGAAGCCCTGACCTGGTAAACTTACTTACACACATCAACCCTATATCCTTCTTAGATGCAAGAGAGCTGGGAGACTGATAGCTCAGAATAGGATTGAGATACACATAACATATCCAAGTCCCTTCCCCCAACCTTACCAGAGAAGTCATCATGTTCGTTCATTTATTTATTCGTTCACTCAGCAAATATTCATTGAGTGCCTACCATATATATATACCATGCAGGGTTCTAGAAATAGAGACAGATATGTAGATAGATATATAGATTGTATCAGTCAGCTCATGTTAAAAAGCAAAGCAAACCTTGCCCTTGTGATGCTTACATTCTAGAGAGGAGAGACTGACAAAAAACAAACAAGCAAACAAATAAATCAGTAATTACCAAATGATTCAGATAGTGGTGATATGATACAATATAAACAAGGGTAAGGGGAATGGGGATGAGAAAGTACTATGATAAGGAAACATTTGAGTAGAAACCCAGAAGACATCTGCTATCTCCTTTGAGAAGGGAGGAAGACTGGGAGGAAGGGTGGAAACTAACTTTCAATACTGAAAAAAGGGGGTTGAGTTTCTATTTTATCATTTAGAGAGCATGTGAGAGTGCAGGAGAAAGCAGCTTCCCTTTAATCCCTGGCCTTATTGTCCTCTTAACCTAATCCACTGCACTTAATGAAACCCATGGTCAGCCATAGCCTATCTGCCCCCTTCAGGGAGAAGTTTATCAGCAGTCTCATATTCATGAAGCTACCTATAATGTCAGCAGTACTCCTGTACCTGCCTGTGCCACACTGGAGCCCCCAGAAAGTTCCCATGGAGGGCAGAGTATTACATTAGTTAAATTAATTCCAAAGTCACGTTGAATTGACTCTGTTTTATTTACCATACCACACTATGCTTAGTTGTGTTGTGCAATGTGGATAATCAGAGGTTTCACAATAAGCCCAAATGATATTCCAAATATAATAACAGCCAAAAGAAAAAAAACTGCTATAAATTAGGACAAAATAAAACCTTTCCAAGAAGAATTTAAAGTCCCCAAATTAAAACTCTTGGCTTCATAAATTAAAGCAGCAAAACATAATCGAAATTACATTATTCTCCAATTTTTTATTCTGCTCATCTTCAGCCAGAAGGCTTTCATTCAAAAGGCGTTTTTGATTCAAAAAGTTCAAGGGTATAGTCAATGTTACTAGAACAGTTTTCTAGCACATGTGAGGTTGAAATGTGCTAGATTTTCCAAATCTCTCAAAGATCCTGCTTGTTTCAGATTCTCGGGCAGTGGGATCCATAGATGGTCATGCAGTAGTCCCACACTCAAAAAATTTAGGAAACACAAGCATAGCCCCAACCCCTACAAGAGTTATTTTAGCCAGATGATGCACATGGACTCTAAGTCTCCATTATTGTAACCAGAAAACATTAGAAGAGTACCTGGACGCACCCTCACTACGATGCCTGTCAGTGTTAGTTGTCAAGAGTCTGTAACGTGTGAATTTAGATTAAGTTGGGAGAATAAGAATCCAAGCAGAGGCACACATTGCATTTGGGTGATATGTCTCTTAAGTCTCTTTTAATCTATAATGGATCACTCTTTCTTTTTTACCCCCTAATGCTAATGATTTTCCCTGTTAAATATCTGGGTTTGATTGAATTGCATCTCCATAGTGTTCTTTGAAATGTTCCTCAACCCTTTAATTTTTGTAGATTGTTAATTGGACCCCAGGACTTACTTAAAATCAGGCTCAATTTTGCTTCTGGGGGACAGATTCAGCTTCATTTTAAACATTTGATAGCATTCTTTGTTATTTTTTAATAATCTCTTTTTGCCTTGAAGACAGCACCTTCCTTGCATTTCTTTTCTCCTGGTTTTGGGACCCACATTTCTATATCTAAAATATCAATATCAAAAGATAGGAAGTCAAATTAATTTAAATCTGCAAAAAGCCCCCAATAGTCAAACAAATCAAATGTTCCTTAATCTCTTTAAATTATGCAATGCTTTTTAAGAGGTACTCAACAATGAGACCAACTGGAAACACTACTCTGGACCTGTTCTATCATTGTCCTGCGTATCTCCTTATGTAGCACATGTGGTCTCCCATACTTTAGTTTAGAATCCAATATTCACAAATTTCAATTTAACTAGAATTAAGTTTCAAAGCATTGTGCTAATTGGGGCTTCATACTCTAATATTATATTCTGTGCTTAAGTCCTAGAAATCAAAAAGTAGGAGCATAAAATATACTTACAGTATAATAGGCCATCCAAAAGATTCCGTAATAGTTTAAACAAACACTGAATTTGAAGTCAGAAGACTTGAGTCCAGGTTTCTCACTCATCATTCTTGTTACCTTGGGAAACCAACTTACTTAAATTAACAAAGATTTGGTTTTCACTGCTATAAGATAAGAACAGGAATCTAGCCAATCTCTGGAGTCTCTTCCAAGTTTAATGATTCTGTGAATCTAAGTACCCTCCAATTTGTAATGCATTGTGAGCCTCAATCCCACTGTTTAGTTAAAGGTAAAATTTCTTCCTACATCAAAATAACCTCCTCTTACTTAATCAGTGGGGATTCAGGGTCAGAAAGGAATAGAAATTACTCATTCTGCTGCCTACACTTTATCTAAAATATCCTTTTTTTTTTTTGCCCAATATATCATCTGAAAAGTTTGACACAATTTGTCTGCCCTCCCACTATGATACAGTTGAGGGTGTAAAGTGTAATTATTTGATTAATTCAATAAAATACTATCCTGTGCTTGCTCTGGTCAGGAACTCTGCCTGAAACAATACAGCAGTCAACGAAAGGCAAGGCTTTTGGCTTCAAACAATCTAATGGGAAAGGGGAATAATAGACAAGTAAAAAATAAATAAGGTAATTTCAGATAGTTGTAAGGTCTGTAAAGACAATAATGTAGGCTGATGAAAAGTGAATGGGGGGAGGATTACACTTGATGTTGTGTGAGTAAGAAGGACCTTTCTGAGAAAATGTCACTTAAACAGAGACTTGAATGATTCAAGGAACCTACTACTTGAGGATCTGGGGGATGAGTGGTCTAGGCAGAGGAAGAACAAGGGCAAGTTTCCATGTTAAGAACAAGCTCAGTGTGTCCTTGAGTGGTGAGAAATATAGGGTTATAACATAAAGGGCTTGGAGGCTCGGCCATGGCATGTGGTATTATCCTTAAAACAGAGCAAACACTGAAGAACTGCACACAGGGGAACATGGTCTAATTTGCATTTCTAAAAGACCACCCTAGCTTGACCATTTCCTGCAGGAGCGTCACTCACCACTTCTGTCTTCCTAACAGTTTTTGCCAGGATCCTGCGGGCTCCTGAATCCCACAATGTCACCTTTGGCTCCTTTGTGACCCTGCACTGTACAGCAACAGGCATTCCTGTCCCCACCATCACCTGGATTGAAAACGGAAATGCTGTGAGTGTCATGTGTGTGGGGACTTGTCTGGGGAAGACCCATTGGTGGTGAACTTCAGGATAGACCATATAGTTGTAGTTACCCAGATCTCTGTCATTGGTCTCACCTACACCACTTTTCAAAGCCTCCCAATATCTTTGTCCTAGAAGCCATTGCCATAGAAATCAAACTCCAAGAGTTTGCTTCCTTCCATGTATCATGAGGAATACTAGAAAACCAATTTCTTTCTTTGTGCCTTTGTGTAAATGGGAAGTGGTAATAATATCTTCCCATATAAGTAAAATAATTTTCATTAAACTCATCACCGAAAGATTAGTTCCCTGCTAGAGGCTACTTTGATGGAAAGTAATCCGGAGTTAGAATCAGTGTCAGTTCAGCATTCTTTTCTTCATTTTCAATAGTGGTAATAATAACTGATGTATATTAAGTAGTTATTTTCAGCCAGGCTCTATTCCAAGCACTTTACCTACATACATTTATTTATTTATTTATTCATTCTACAAATATGTATTGAGCTTCTGAACATCAAACACTATTCTAGGCCCTGTGGATACAGGAGTAAACAAAACAGGCAAAGTTCTCTGCCCTCAAAGAGCTTACCTTCTCATGGGGAAATACGGGAAAATATATGTTGTATGTGTATGGTGTCAAATGCCATGCAGAAAAATAAATCAGGAAAAGGAGACAGAAAGTTCAACCTTAGGAGAAATCAGAACTCTCCTACACTGTTCATGGGAATGGGAATTACTACAGTCACTATGGAAAACAGTATGGCGGTTACTCAAAAAGCTAAAAATGGAATTGCCATATGATCCACCAATCCACTACTGGGTATACAGTCAAAAGAAAGAAAATCAGTATATCTAAGAGGTATCTGCACTCCCATGTTTATTGCGGCACTATTCACAATAACCAAGATATAGAATCAAACTAAGTATCCATCAATGGATGAATGGATACAGAAAATGTGGTACATATACACAATGAAAGAAATATTACTAATCCATAAGAAGAATAAAATCCTGTTATTTGCAACAACATGGATGGAACCGCAGGACATTATGTTAAGTGAAATAAACCAGACACAGCAAGAAAAGTATTTCATGTTCTCTTTCATAACTAAAAAAATTGATCTCATGGAGATAGAGAGTAGAATGATGGATATCAGAGGCTGGGAAAGGTAGTGGGGAAGGGAGGATAAAGAGGGGTTCGTTCATGGGTACATAAGTTAGAAGGAACAATATTGAGTGCTTAGTAGCTTTATTAGTCAGTTCTCGCATCGCGATAAAGAAATACCTGAGACTGGGTAATTTATAAAGAAAAGAGGTTTAATTGGCTCATGGTTCTGCAGGCTATTCAGGAAGCATAATGGCTTCTGCTTCTGGGGAGGCCTCCAGAAACTTACAATCATGGCAGAAAGCAAAGTGGGAGCAAGACATCTCACATGGCCAGAGCAGGAAGGAGAGGAAAGGTGCCACACACGTTTAAACAACCAGATCTCACAATTCACTCACTCACTATCATGAGAACAGCACTGAGGGGATGGTGTTAACCCATTCATGAGACTTCTGTCCCCATGATCCAATCACCCCACGCCAGGCCCAACTCCAACACTGGGAATTACAATTCGACTTGAGATTTGGTGGGGACACAGATCTAAACCATAGCAATAGCACAACAGGACAACTATACATAGTTCACGATATTGAACTACATAGCACAATACAATATTTAAGTATTTCAAAATATCAAGAAGAGTGGAATTGGAATGTTCCTAGCACAAAAAAATGACAAATTACTTAGGTGATGGATATCCCAATTATCCTAATTTGATCATTACACATTGTATGCTTATATCAAAATTTCACATGTACCCCATAAATATGTACAACTATTATATATCCATAAAATTTTAAATTAAGAAACATTTTAAACAGAAAGTTAGACCTCAGGAGGAAGATTATATTTTTAAAAGAATGATCAGTGAAGGCTCATTTGGACAAAGACATTTGAACAAAGATCTGAAGGAGTTGAAGGGTGAAGTTACATAGATAACTGGGGGAACATAACTAGACAAAGTCTCTGAGATAATGGTATACATGGCATGTCAGAAAAACAGCAAGGAGACCAATGTGGTTAGTGGGGAGTAAGCAAAGGGTCAAGAGATGAGAGGCAGGCATTGTGGATCCTATAGGCCGTGTGGTCATTTAGACAACTTTGCTTTTATTTGAGTGAGATGAGGTGCCACTGTAGGTCTGTTTCTGTTGTCTGTTTTCCCACTGATTCTTGTTCATTTTGTGTTGTTTCCTTGTGTGCCTAGCTATCTTTGATTACCTGCTGTGCATTGTTTTGTATAAAAATATCAGGAACTATTTTGAGGTCTAGATGAAGGTATTTTCCTCCAAAGAGAATTTTGCTTGTTTCTGCCAGGGACAAGAGGTTACTGCTAATCTTGTACCACCTTCAACTAAGCTCAAGGTATGAAGCTCCTTGGGCATCCCAGATAATTATAACATGACCAGTAATTCATTATGTGGACTATTTAACTTGTAGTTCACACTGATAGCTCCCTGATATCTAGTTCTTTTATATCTTAATTTATTATATCTCTTATTAGACTCTTAAGGGCATGAAGTTTTGATTTATCTCCTGACTCCCTAAGGCCATCCAAAGGAAAGTTCAAATTTTCTGGGTTTGGAAAACTCTCTAAGGGTAAATAAGATTTTCTTAGTTTGTTACATCTGTTAAAAATTTTTTTTTCAAAATTTTAATTTTCTCACTGTGTAGCTTTGTCTGAATAACCTAACATCAACATCTGAGACAGAAACCTACCATGGATTTTTATTGTCATTATATAGACTTTAACCACTTTGGTTTGCACCGAGTCTTTAGTTTCTGATACTCTTTATGAGGTTAAGAAAATGTATTTTTATTCTTAATTTGATAATTATTTTTAATATAAATATATTTTAAAATCAATAAAACACTTCATCATCAATTACATCCTCTTTTTGATGTCATTTTTCACTTTAAATTGCAAAGTTTCCCTTATATTGAACCATTCTTTCATTTCTGAATACATTGCTTTTTTGTTTAATTTTTTAATTGTGTTGTTTCAATTTTCTGTATTTCTTTCAGGATTATTTGCATCTATTTTCAATAACAGAAATGGTTTTGTCTTTTAGTAGGCTATCATGATCAGGCTTTGTTAATATTTTTCCAATCTTATAGAATAGACTGCCAAGTTTACATAGTTTCCTTTGATACAGAGCTTGAGGTGAGAAAGTTGAGATGCAAGTCTTTCTTATACTCCAAGACATTTTCCTCTACTATACCAATAATTACTGCTTCTCTCTTCTCCACATCCTTTCTATGTAGACTCCATTGAAATGAATTTCTTTCAAAACTTCAATCTTTCTCTTCTTTATGCTCTGCATATGTTTGTGGAGGAAATAGGGGGCCCTATTTTATCTGTCAGGTTATTCTCAAGCTCTAGTGTCCACCATG
Organism: Homo sapiens; assembly: GCF_000001405.40. NCBI lineage: Eukaryota > Metazoa > Chordata > Mammalia > Primates > Hominidae > Homo > Homo sapiens. Next base: position 110,737,883 of record NC_000009.12, read on the forward strand.
ATTGTCAACTATAGGAACCCACAACAGAAAATCTCATTCGCAATCTCTATCTCACAGGTAGATGCCTCAGCCTGGTGCCATATGCATACATTATAGCTCCCAGAGTTCTTCAATTACTTTGCTGACTTTCTTAAAGTTGGCTCCTGCTTACAGCCCCTGCTATCTGAAGTTTGAAATTTTCCATGACTTTGTAGGGAAAATGTATCCATTCTCCTCTCAGTAAACCTCTTCTTTTGTGCTAGGTTTCAGCTACTTAGTTGATGTTAATTTTTCTATCTATCAAATCACCTCTTTTTATCTTCCAGAATTTGCTGGAAATATCTGATCCTTTGATTATAATACCATCTTTCTATATATTTACTTTTCTTAATTTTGTATTTATCTTTTAGGATTTCAGGTCCATAAACAAGGGTTAAACATGTGAGCTAAGATTATTATTACTGTAACTCTGATGTTAATGAACATGACTTGCATAGAGCACTATCTTATTATTTTCTTTGTCATTTAAAAATATTCAGCAGAGCAAGTTCTTTTGCTACTATCTAAGCCTACCTTAAGCAGGCTCTGTGATTTTTCTGGTTACTATTAGATGATTTGAAATCATTAACATTATCCCAACTTAGTCATTTAAGTGTCTAGTCCTAAGTAATAACCAAAGCATCCAATGGCATTCACAGTTCCTCCCTTCTCAGGGATATTTCAGCTTAACTTTCATATAAGAAAAAATTGCAGTTGGCTTCTTACCTCATGCTCACTCATTCTTCCCCCATTTCCTAGCTGCTCTTTATGACCCCAGAAGGGGTGGGTGGGAGGTAGGGAGGAGCAATAACTGGTGCAAGAGAGCTCTAATTCAACTGATGCACTTGTAAGTTGGCTTTATACCTTCTGTGCCTGCCAGATATTTAAAACTGACTCTTACCCTCATAGACCTATTCATGATTCTTCAGAAATCAGGGAACATTAAGATGATACCAGTGATGCATTTTCCTCAGGCTATCCATCTTTGGCCACATTAGCAAGTCCCCAATTTGTTAGTTGATGGAAAGTCTCTTTGTGTTGGGGTCTAATCAGTCCCCCAAAAAGTCATCTTGGGAGGACTGAAAATGACTCCCAATCAGATCTTCTATAAAACCTTTTTATTGACAAACTCTGGAAGCCCAGACCATTGGACTCTGTCTTCTTTGTTCCTTCCATTGGAGCTGCCAGACATCCTTTAGATTTTACAGGTGGGAATTACATACTTGTCTAATGTGTCTCCAAATTGCAAGTGTGTTAGAGTCCCCAAGATCACATTCATGTCTGATGATTCATGAGAAGGACTCACAGATTTTAGATAAGCTGTTATGATTATGGCTTATTGCAGGAAAAGGATATAGATTAAAATCATCAAAGAGGCATCAGTTTTCCTCTTCTAGTGAAGTTGCATGGACAGCACTTCATTCTCCCAGCAACAATGTGTGACAGCATGCATGAAGTATTGTCAACCAAGGAGGCTCACCCTAACCTTGGTGTCCAGAGTTTTTACTGGAGCTCAGTTACATAGATGTGGAGTGCTCACATAACTAGTCTTAGCTAGTTTCCAGCCCCTCCAAAGGTCAAACTAATACAACGTGGCCTAGGATTCCAAGTATTCACTATCATTCACATTATTATCATAAACCATCCAGCATTGCCCAAAATCTCAGATATATAAAGATATTCTTATTACACAGGATATTCCAAGGGGCAGAGGTCATCTCTCAGGAGCCAAAGGCCAGACCTTTCTTTGGAATGTGTAGGGTTTGAGCACCTCGAGCCCATTGAGTTAGCCCTTCAACTTTTTACTGCACAGCAGTAAAACACATTTATAACTCTCCGGGTGGTCCCATGGAGGATACTTTTATCCCTTAAGGAGATGGGTGCATGTCCAACCCAGTCCTTTGGGTGGATTGAGAATGGCTTTCAATATGGCTGAACAACCCAAACCTTTATAACTCATCTAACTGGTGGCTATTTTCAGTTTTCATTTCCTCCAGGACAGGCTGTCCAACTTTTTGGTATCTTGGCTGTAGTGAACATATATTATCATATTACAATATATTAATGGTACCATTTGGAGATCAAAGAAGTGTCCCAAATCGGGACACTTTAATATCCACATCATCCCAAATTGTGTTTAATGCAAGCATCACAACAAGAAAATGGGGGACTTCTTTTTAAGGAAGGCAAAACCTTATGGTATAATTCAAATGATATTAAGTATAATTTCTACCCAATCCAAGGCACATTCCTTCATGGACTTGAACTATTTCATGTCTTCATGACTTTCTCTTCTCCAGGATTACATTAGTATTTAGGGCTGCCATAATAGAATACCACAGATAGGGTGTCTTAAAAAACAGAATTTTTTTTCCTACAGTTCTAAAAGCTGGAAGTCCAAGGTCAAGGTGCTATCAGGGTTGGTTTCTGGTAAGGCCTCTCTTCCTGGCTTGCAGATGGCTTCACATGGTTATCTCCCTGTATTCTCACAGGGCTTTCTCTCCTTGTGTGTGCACTTCTGGTGTCTGTGCCTACAATGATGAGCGCCAAAAATCCCAGAGTGTTTTTTCATAACACAGTTCTCATTCCAAAATAGTTTTTATTCCTCTCTTTTATAGACCATTATAAGGTTTCTTCCTCTAAATTAAATAACAGTGACTAAAACTAAGGCAAATACTCTGGAGCAAAATAAAAACTAAAAAACAGATAGCCTTAAAGCAGGAAGTTACCCTGTCACTAGGGCTTGGCATACTGTAGGCTTTAGAAGCATTTCGCGGCATGAAAGAATGGTAACCCTGAGGCATCTCCATGTAATAAGTTAATTTGTATACTGCTTTTAAATAAAGTTAAACAACTTACAGTTTCAGAAAGATAGAAGGGAAGAGCATTCGGAAGACTGGGAGTGAAGTTTCCCGGGCCTGAACCCTTATTCAAAGGCGTCTCGACATGGATAACCTCGAGAACATTATGCTAAGTGAAATAAGCCAGATACAGAAAGGCAAATACCAAATGATCTCACTTATATGTGGAATCTAAGAGTTGAACTCATAGAAGCACAGAATAGAATAGTGGCTGTCAGGGATGGGAGGATGGGGAGATGATCATCAAAGGGTACAAAGTTTCAGTCATGCAAGATGAATTAAGTACTGTAGATGTAATGTACAATATGGTGACTACAGCTAACAACACTGTATTGCGCACTTGAAATTTGCTAAGAGGGTAGATCCTAAGTGTTCTCAAAACACACACACAAAGGTAACCATGTGAGATGATACTTCACTAGCTTGATTGCAGTAATCATTTCATAATATACATATATATCTCAAAACATCACCTTGTTCACCTTAAATATATACAATTTCTATTTGTGAGTTATACCACCAATAAGCTAAAAAAAATTAAAAGTCTAAATTTTTTTAAAGGAGTTTCAAAAACTAATGCTTTGCTCTATACTTGTACCTGGCCCCACCCTTGTCTCTCTAAAGCAGGGTGCCCTAGGAAGACTGATTGGCTGTAGCCCCAAAAGGTGAGAACTAGGACATAAGATAAGAAAGGGAAGAAGGGAAAGGGAGAGAAGGAAGTGGGGAACAAAGTGCGTCAATGTGTGAAATTTTAGTTGGATGTTGTAAAACAGGAAAAAAAATGCCAAATTCTATGGCTACCCCAATAACAAAGAATGTCTTATGGCAATGGCACCCTCCAAGTCATATAATTCATTTATTATTGTCACTTTCACTATTGTTTTCGCTGAAGTCTTTTTTCTGTTACTTGAACAAAATCATTTTTTTCGTAATTTGTTAATAAAATTGTTTCATTTTATCTGTCTATCCTACATCCCTTCAAATACAGTACACAAACAAATGAACGTGCTTTTCCAGCTTGTAACTTGAGGCATGGTAGAATGAGAATTAGATGGGGAGTTGGAAGACTGAGGTTGTAAATGCCCCTCTTTAGTTAATGTGATTTTGGGGTCCGTTTACAACTCAGACACTGATTTTCTCATATCTATCTACACTAACACAGACGTCAGGTGGCTGTCAAAGATGATCTCTAATGGTATAATTAGAGACATCAGGGCTAATGTTCTCTAATTTTGTCCAGTTATGATAAAGTAACTTGGAGTGCCTGTTCTTTACCTCTCTAAGAACGTTTCAAGTGTCATTTAAAATTTGATTCTTATTTGTCAATGTGTTTTTTGGCTCCTCTGTGGAAACTGTTATAGTCTTAAGCCTGTCAAGGGAGTATAAAGACATCCTAAGAAAATTTGGAGACTGGGCCGGGTGCGGTGACTCACTCCTGTAATCCCAGCACTTTTGGAGGCCAAGGTGGGAGGATTATGAGGTCAGGATGGAGACCATCCTGGCTAACACGGTGAAAACCTCGTATCTACTAAAAATACAAAAAATTTAGTCAGGCGTGGTGGCACATGTCTGTAGTCCCAGCTACTTGGGAGGCTGAGGCAGAAGAATCACTTGAATCCAGGAGGTGGAGGTTACAGTGAGCCAAGATTGCGCCACTGCACTCCAGTCTGGGCAACAGAGAGAAACTCCATCTCAAAAAATAAACAAAATAAAATTGGGAGACTGACAATATAACTTCACTAATTTGTCTATGTAAAAATAGTAATAAAGAAAATGGAAAGGTATATACTTTTTAAATTTCTAGTATTTTCAAAAGATTCATATGAGGTTATAAATGGAAGATAAATGATTATTCTCTGTCGAAGTTTAGGAATAACAAGAGTAGGATAGTTTAAGATAGTTGAGGCCTTATTGAGACCCCAACTTATTCATTCAACATGTGACTCACAAAAAGTGAAAGGCAAAATAGATTTATCACCTCAGATTCTAAAACAGGAATAAAACAAACAAAGTGACTTTCATCCAGGAAGAAAGCAAAAGTACATCCGCAGTTCTTACGGTCAGAGAGTGTGTGCTGCTCTTAGAGCCAAGTTTAGTTCTTGGTAATTCTACCCAAGTCTGAAAGGAAATCAAGATGACTGTCCACATTGACGCAAATCACAGGACATGGAGGCAATGTCAGGCATTTAATGTTGTAAAAGTTGCAAACCAGAAATCCCATGGAGGAGAACACAGAGAATCCTATAGTCCTGATATCATTTTTGGTGGAATGAACAAAGACGAACGCAGAGCTGGGAGATATTTGGCACAGAATGAAACAGAGTTTGAACTGTGGCTCTTCACTCACTACGAGTTAGTAAACTAATGCCATAGCACGCTGCTCAGTACAATGGGTACTCTGAAAGAAGTGAGTGCTCCCTTTCTCCCCTGCTGTGAACCTGCCAGTGAACCAAAACCCTTAACAGTTAGAGCCAAAGAGCAGGAGAAAGTCCAGCAACGTGTCCCAAAGTGATTAGAAACTATCTTGCTTTCCTCCTATGGAAATACCAAGCATTTTTTGTGGAAATCTGAATTCACAGATGAAGTTCAGAGTGAATAGTAACATTCCTTTTGTTTTACAATCTTGGAAATAGTAGTTTGGCATGGAAAGAGCAGAGCTTACTTTTTAAAAAGAAAATTATTTGTATTTTTATAACCAGATTTATTTATAGTTATACCAGTAATATCTCTGTTATTTTGGCATGCAACTAAAAAATATAGAAAAATTTCATGTCCCTCTTGCTTTGTCCAATAAATATAATTTCTAAAATATTGTAGAAGTTGAATAATTTTAACTTGTTAGAAGAATTTTATAAAATAAACAGCCAAATCACCTAGGTTGAAGGTTGTCTTTTAGAATTTTCTTAAAGGGAGGCATATCTATATTTAGACATATTTTTAAGAGGCAGTAGTTTTGCTTTAAAATATATGACCTGTGAAGTCCTTTTATCTTACTAGCTGTGTAAACCAAAATAATTACATGTAACAAGTCTTATGTGGAATAATTCAGCAGCCAGTTTGAAAGAGGCTAATTAATATTTGTGGCTACATTAATCAGAAAAACTATGGAAATGTCTCTTGGTTTATTATCCCTTTTTCTATGATTCATAAACAGACATTATTACAACTGCATAAACATGAACCCTACTGGGCAACATCCTTTTTTTTTTTTTTATTTTTTTCCCCAAGATGGAGTCTTGCTCTGTCATGAGGCTGGAGTGCAGTGGCGCGATCTCAGCTCACTGCAACCTCCACCTCCTGGGTTCAAGCAATGCTCCTGCCTCAGCCTCTGGAGTAGCTGGGACTACAGGTGGGTGCCATCAAGCCCAGCTAACTTTTTGTATTCTTAGTAGAGACAGGGTTTCACCATGTGAGCCAGGATGGTCTTGATCTCCTAACCTCGTGATCTGCCTGCCTTGGTCTTCCAAAGCGCTGGGATTACAGGCATGAGCCACTGCACCCGGCCCTGGGCCATATTCTAACAGTTCCACAGGATATTTCCAGCCAGCTGGAACTATCTGCAAGACAGGGCCATTGAGGCCAGAATACCTTTCAGAGGTCTTCCCTAGCTAAGGTCAAATCATAAAATTATCGGATTATCCATAGCTGGGGGTGGATTCTCTCAAGACCGCATTAGTAATGTATTAATGATACATTAAGAAGTACTCCACAGGTCTATAACTGCTCAATCACCTTCAAAGAGTTTTTACACACATTATGTCAGGCATGAATTATTATGCCTATTTAATAGAGCTTCCTATCCTACTGCCTCTTTTTAGAAAAAAAAGTTTTATTGTGATCTTTATTGTATACATTTAAGGTACAAAACATGATGTTTAGATAAACATATACAGTGAAATGATTACTATAGTCAAGCAAATTAACAAGTCCATCTCCTCACATAGTTACAGCTAACTTAGAAAGACAGAACATCACACCCAGAGCAGGGAGCTGTGTCTCCAGCTCCCTCAGGTCCATATACCTGAGTGACTTGGAGAAAATCATGCATTTCCTGTAACTACCAGACGTAGTCACCTCAATTAAGTAATCTGTTTTGCTTAGGCATACCTTGGTAAAAGCTCACAGTACTAATCTGGACCCACCCCTTTGATCTTTGAAACCTGAGGTGCGAAAAAATATCAAAATGGAGGGCAGAGGGATTTGTTTTTATTTTCAGATCATCAAAAATACTAAACTGTTGATCAGAACCATCCATGAAGAAAGAAAAACAAATTCAAACTATGACTAATGGGGCCTGCTGTGCGTGAGTCACAAACTGAATCAAGCAAGGCCTCTGGAAGCAGGGGGAAAAGCATTCAGGAGTCACTTTGTACTCAAGCATGAACCTCCTAAAGTGTTGGTCTCTTTGCTGAACTATTTCAACACCTGGATGAAGTCCAGGAGAAGAGACGTCAGGCAGTTTAAAAATTGCTTCTCTTTCCTACTAAGGATGTTTTCAGTGACCTTGAGGAGGTGTTTAAGAATGACTTTCTTAGGTGTGAACATGAAAACAGTGGGACTTAGGGCAACATTTGGGGAGATTCCTTGCTTCAAAGTTGTCTCTAAGGCATTGCACATTCCTACTTCTTGCAGGAGGGAACTGTCTTTCCAAAGGATTTTGCAAACTGTTCTGCTTTTGCTTATCTAAACTGGAAAGAGATATATAAACAAAATATAAAATACAAAATAACATAAAGTCTGTTGATTGAGCATAGAGGCTTGGGGTCTTTAGCTTTTTTTCTTATTGTTGCTTTGTATTAAAATTCAAGGGAGTCCAAATATTTTCAGTCCCCTTGATCTAACTGGGATACTCATACAATGAGACATTGCACTTCTGATAAATATGATAATGATGAGTTTAGTTTGAATTCCCAACTGAGTGCATGTCTCTTAAAAACATTTTTCTCTTCACTTTGTAAATTTCTTATAGAGTCTAGGTTGCTCATCTGGGGAAAATGCCACAATACTTGATCTGACCTGGAAAGATTCCCAGTGAAGGTAAATTGATACTCACATAAGCCAGTTTTTATCATAAGAATTGAGACTAGTACTGAAGGTAAAGAATAAAAAGCTAGTTGGACAAACGTTCACTGCATGATTGCTACACAGTGCTTGGTGCCAGGGATAGCCAGCCACCTGGCAGCTAGGAAGAAAGCTGGCCTTACCTCAGAGCTTTCTTCTTCCTGGCTAGTCAAACTGTGAAAATCCTTTCTCATGCAACACAATAAAATAATTGGCTCCAAAATGTCTCATTCTCAGCCTCATTCCCTAATACTGGACACAGGAATCTCTTTCAGCCAAGCAGCCAAGCTCAGGCCAACATGGGACGTACCTCCACTCCTTTAAGATAAAGTCAAAGCATAACACCAGCTGATTCCTTAACTGTCATTTCACTCCAGTTTCCCTCAATTGGCATCATGTTTCCCTGATATAAGCAGCGTTAATTAAAGATTAGTTATTGAAAAGGTGGTATTGTGCTCAAGAAAACAGTGAAAAAAGAACCACCATTTAAAAAAAATGCCACCACCTTAACAATGACATTTGTCAGATATGTATTTTGTTCATGGTTGGTTGATTTGTTAAGGTAGTTGTTACTCTTGTTTTCTAATGACTGCTCATTTGTTCTCTCTTCTAGGACTAGGGAAGGCACTGTAACATAATGATTAAAAGCATAGGCTTTGGTGTCAGACACGCTAGGATGCAAATTCTAACTATGCAACCTTGTAAAATGTGCTGGGCAGCTATCTTTCCTACAGAGTTGGAGTAATGTTGACTAATATATATGCATTTGTATAAATTAAGCTGTTAATTGTGTGTCAATATTGCATTGATATCTTGGCTCTTTAAGGACATTTGATTTTCTGGTTTAAGTAGTACCTCCTGCATGAACTTCCTGACGTGTTGAACTATTTCAACACCTGGATGAAGTCCAGGAGAAGAGAGGTCAGGCAGTTTAAAAACTGCTTCTGTTTCCTACTAAGGATGTTTTCGGTGACCTTGAGGTATTATGTATGTATTATGTATGTCATGCCTCAGAGACAGACTTGGCTTCACAACCATTTTTCCTGACAACCATCCACCTATCTGACATGCATTTATGGGGAACTGAACAGGAGTTATGAAAATAAGTCCTTAAGTCTGCAACCTCTCATACTTAACTGTCATCTGTAGGACACTGAAGACATATATCAGAGGATCCACACCGTATATAATTCATGCCTTGTATTGGTTATCTATGGTTGTATCACAAATCAGCCCAAAGCTTAGTGACTTAAACCAATAACTATTAGTGCTCACAAGTCTGTGGTTCAACTGGGTGGTTTTGCTGATTTGGTTTTGCTGCTGGGCAGGACTGCCTGATCTTGGCTGGTCAAGTTCCTGTGATCGGCAGATTGAAAAGGTGGTAGTTGGTTCAGAATAGCCTTATGCGTACCTTGGATGGTTGTTGTTGGTTCCCACCTGGGGCAGAGGGGATAAACGGGCCAGGTGTGTTTCATCTTCTACCATGCTGGCTCTTGCTTGTTTATAGGCAGTCCCAGGTTCCATAAACAAGAAAGCAAGCCACAATGTGCAAGAACGTTAGTTTCTGCTCATTCATTCCAAAACACATCACAAGGCTAATCTAGATTCAAATTATGGAGGAAAATGCTACTTCTTGAGGGAAGAGCTACAAAGTCACATTGCAAGGGCATGGACACAGGGAGGGAAAATCTTTTGGCTATGTTTGCAGTGTACCACATGCACTTGATTATAATCTTAATGCTTTTCCCTTCAAATCTACTGACATAGTATAGTGGGAAATCCTTGACTGAGTTCTTTTATTTTCCTTTACTCTGTCAGGTTTCTTCTGGGTCCATTCAAGAGAGTGTGAAAGACCGAGTGATTGACTCAAGACTGCAGCTGTTTATCACCAAGCCAGGACTCTACACATGCATAGCTACCAATAAGCATGGGGAGAAGTTCAGTACTGCCAAGGCTGCAGCCACCATCAGCATAGCAGGTAGGATGCCCCTTCACATTTGCGTTGTTCCAGGAGAGGGGAGAGTTGATACTATTCTACAATATCGAGCATTGGAGAAAATCTCCCTTTTCTTTTATCTCTTATTTCAGTTGCATTTGGGCTATTTCCTCCCCCATGGGGATACTCCGGAGGTGACCTAGATATGGATTTTGGCAGATTTGCTGCCTGGAAAACTAAATCCTCAATACCTACCCAAGTGGTAGGTAACAGCTTCCAGGAACTCACTTCTTCCTTCCTTCTTGTTTTTCTTATCTTTTTTCCTTTTCTCCATTTCTCTTTCCTCCCTCCCTCCTTCCCTCCCTCGCTCCCTTTTTTCCTTCCTTCTTTCCTTCCTTCCCTTATTCCCTCCTTCATTCCTCCCTCCTTCCCTCCCTCCCTCTTCCCTTCCCTCCCTCCCTCTTTTCCTTTTCTTTAATTTCCTTTCCTTTTCCCCACTCCTCGTTCTCTCTTTTGGTTGATCAAACTTTCCAAGTCTCTCATGGAGAAAGTTGGCAGACATTCAACATGGTCATGCCAATTTCTGCATGGCTATTTCTTGCGGGCATTTTTACCTGTGAGCATGATCCCTGTGGTCTTTCCCTTCCCTGCTTCAGCAAGCCACAGCAGGTCTTACAGGTGTTTTCAAGAAAAAGGCTGACACACGGATTTCTAGGATGTTTGTGTTGAGTTCTAAAGGTTTATTTTTAAAATGTAAATGTCCCAAAGGCTTCTGAGAACATTTATAGAATTCCTAGAGATGGAAATAATCCCTGTATCAGGAAATGCCAGGCATATTAGATTCATAGCGTGCCTAGGGCTCAAGGGTCAGGAGAGAGGTGCTTGGCCTGACATGTAAGGCAAGCACGGATAGAGCTTGTGCCTAGGGCCAACTCCCCACAGCCTGCTGTTTCTTATTACAGTGCCACCTCTTTGATCTTCCCTGATGGGGAACTTTCCAGTAATGTCTGTGATTTGTAATATGAGGTGAATAAAAACCACAGATAAATGATAAGGAGCACTGGACAAGGCTGGCCCTCTGGGACTGCCTATGAAGGAAAAGGAAGACTTCAAAATTAAGGTTCCCTCTCCTTTCTCCCCCCAGTGATATCTCTGCCTACCATGTCTTCAGACACCATATCAGTTATTCTAGCATTTCCACAGGTGGGAAATTATTTCTCCCAGAAAATGAAAAGTCTTCTAAAAGTAAATTCAACTCAATTTAACAAATAATAATAATATCACATAATAAGTAATAGTATAATCATATAATATAAATAGTAATAAGAATTACTATTTACATAGCACTTTGCTGTTTATAAAGCACTTTTACATGCATTTATCAAATACTCTAGATGACGCCCATTGTGTTGGGTAGAGTAAGAGATGAAAAGTTAATTTAAAAATGGGTCCTGCCTTCCAGGGACTCTGCATCTAGAAGGAAGTCAGTCAGTCACGTATATTATGGCACTGGCTGTATTCTATTGCAGAAGCATACACAAAATACAACAGCAGAACAAGAGAGGCAGGATGTCAGGGAATCCTTGGAAAAGAGGTATCATTGGAGCAGAAGATGTGGATATGAGATGACTAGGTTGAAGTCAAACCTTTCAAACCTGTTCAAAAAACAGCAAATCAGTGGTCAAGGCTAGACCACGAGAGAGACAGCAGGGAGGTGGAAAGTGGAAACAAAAGTTGAAACATGGGCTCTAGCCAGGTTATGAAGAGCCTGCATAGGTTTAGTATATTATTTCATTGATGAGAAGTCATTTAATGATTTAGAAGAAATAAGTGCAATAGATATATCCTCTAGCAAATTAACAGATGCTGAGGTGTTAGGAGGTTGAGAAGTGCGGCAAGCTGTCAGGAGGCTCTTCCAGGTGTCTCAAAAAGTCATGAAGGTCTGAACAGCAGCAGCAGCATTGGTTCAAAGGGAAGAGGAGAGATGCACAGGACAAATCAGGATAGAAATAAGGTTTGCAAATGCTTGAAAATGGCAGTGGGCTAGAAGGATGAGTTCAGATGTGTCTGATTTTGAAAGGTGCCCAGGACAAGCAATAATATATAAACACAAAGCATATGAACAGGAGAAGGTCCAGGAGATAATAGAATACTCAAAAATGTTGATGCCTTTGAATTACCTGGAATTATTCTGGTCTCACTGTCTTTGTATTATTTGACATTTGATCAAGACCTACTGTTAAATAAACATATATTTATAAAAATCTATCAATATATATTTATATAACATATATGTATGTATGTGTGTTTATATACACACACATGGAGAGAGAGAGAGAATCACATTTAAATATGAATACTCCATCCAAGAAAATAAACTGATCTACTTTAATTTAACCTGCACTTTCACTGGCAGAAGAAAAATACTAATGTTACTAATCTTAGGAGAGTCTCATTTCAGGTCATTATTCAGTCACTCAAAGATACCCGTGCCAGAGCTCTTTCTCCCTTTTCTTCCTTCTTTCTCTTTCCCTAGATGGCAAAGGAGAAGAGGATTTGTATTTAGGCAGTGGTGTCTTCTGGACACCCCCCACACCACTGCTAACCCCCGGATCTCTAGTGAAGTCTGCAGCTGAACTTGTGATTTTATCTCTTGGCTTGGTTAGGGCCCAGGGGACCTCCCTGGCTGGCTTAGCCTGTTTGAGACATCTTTTGGAGCAGCACAGCCCTCTGCATCTCAGCCAAATCCTTCATCATGCCATTGTCTACACTCTGCTCTGCAACCTCAGAAGCTAGGTCTCCCTGTCTGTCCCTACTGTGGCCCTGTGGCTGGCCTGCTGAATTCCAACTCAGCTCCTTCAGTACTCCTCACAGGGCCTGAAGCAACTTCTAGATCACTTTCAAGGCATACAGAATTCAGGAGAGATTTGGGCTTGCTAACTCAGTTCTGCTGTCTGCCCAACCTTGTCATGCTACCATTTTCACATTAATGTTGCCATCCATGTTGGAGTAAGGGATCCCTGTGGGGTGTTTTACTTATAGCATCCTAAATAAGAAGTTAGAAAAACTCCATCTGCTTTTGGCTTTTTCCTTAATTGATCAATACACCTCTATTCTAGGATTTGCATTCAGAAAAGGGATCTATAAAATCTATAAAATATCCAAATTTTTAATCTCCCTACCTTCCTCCTTTTCACAGCATATGAAGCTGGAAGAGCAGGTGGTCAGGAATCTCCCCCAACCTTCAGTGCAGTAATCTTTAGAGCCTACTCATCATAAGTACAAAGGTGGTTGTGAAGGCAGTGCTATAACCACTGAGGGGAACCTAATAAAATGGGTATATCTACTCCACACAAGGGAAGATTCATCCCATGGACACAATCTTTAAGATGCCGAGAGGACTACAGGGCATGATTGCCACCATACTATATGCAGCAACATCATGACTTCATTCCTGTCCTAGCCCAGATGAGAACCTGATCCAACTCCATAAACGGAACACCAACAGGGAAATCTGTAACCTTAAAAAAACGGCATCTTCCAGTGGTAGAAAGAGCCTAAAGGTCTGAGACAGGCAGTATAGGAAGGCCATGTCCTAGGGTGTAGGGAGAGGTCATCTTAGATATCAGTGTTGAGAAAGACCAGAATGAGGATGGGGACAATCAGCAATGGCCACCCAGGAAAAATAACAGTGGAATTTGCATGGGGGAAGGGATGGTGGGAGCAATGCAAAGATTGGCATGTGGCAGCAGAGAGCAACTTGCAATCTGCTGCAGCAGCAGAGGTGAGTGCCTATGAAGAGCAGTTATCTCTGTAGGAATAATGGTTGTGTAGACTAGAACCAGCTATGACTTTTCATGAGCTTGACAATGGCAGTGCGATGGAGGTCAGCTTTAGAGTGGGGAGAAGTTGGGGACCCTGGAAGTGAGGCTTGAAGCCACTCTGGACAGGGGTATGTTTACAGTAGCTACCCAAGGAACTTGGGTAGAGGTAGAGAAGGCAGCATAAGGAGAGGGTTAACCTATAACTGGGACCTGGGACTTTGCTCTTCTGAACCACAAAGGCAACAATTAAATCTGACCATATACAGAATCATAGTGCTGCACGATGTTCGGAGTCAAGTAAAGAAATGAGAGTTGTTACTCGAAAACTGAAAAATGGAAAAGACTAAAAAGGTCTAGAGTGGATATGATAAATGAGAAACATGCCTATTAATTAAAAAATTGCTACACATCTAGTGTTATTCCCTGGAATAAGACCCTTTTGTCCAACCCCTGATTTGTTTGTCTGGTTGATTCTCACTGATTATTAGGGGACTTGACACTCCTCGACTTTTCCCAAAATTTCCCGAGGCAGACCTAATAAGGGTGTGTCATGAGTGTGATTGAATAAGACTTCTGAACTCCCATGAGACAACTTCCATTTTCTCTTCCTCTTTGACCTGCTCTTGTGAGTTAGACCTGCTAGAAGCCCCATGAAGGTCCCTCTGGAATCACTGAGGAAACTACCTCCCAACACTGGGGTGCTCCGTGGACTGATATTTTAGGGAAATGAGGCTACTTCGATGAAAAAGGGATCCTTGGAGCCTCTTTCATTCAGGGTCATTTGAAAGAAGCATGGCCTTATGCTCCCCAGATCTCCCAGAACTCAAGTATGGTATCTGCTTTCTCCATTTCTGCTTTTGGCCCCTCTCTCGGCATCCGATGAGGCTGGCCAGAAGTCCAGAACTTCAAGTCAGACATGGCGCCTCTTTTGCCATTCTGGCAATGCTTCCTTAATGCCAAACTCTGCTGTCTCATTTAACCATCTCCATCCTCCCCTATGTGACTAGTACCCCTAGTAGTCAACAGCCCCCTCTGTCATGTTCCTCGTGTTTCCCTTTGAAATTTCTACTCCATCTGTTTATTTGCTCTTCCCAGCAGGAAAACTGGAAATGGAAAAAGCTGATCTTATGCTTATGCTTAGGATTATGTCTAATGATATTTCTAGTGTTTGAAGGACAACAAAAAATAAAGATCAGGCTTCATTTTTCCAAAACCCTTCCATGTGTCTGCCCAAATCCTTATGCATTGTTTTAGAAATGTGATATATTTCTTTCTGACTCATTTACATTTACTGTTAGTCATCAAAAGGAGTCAGAA
Source organism: Homo sapiens (assembly GCF_000001405.40). Lineage (NCBI taxonomy): Eukaryota > Metazoa > Chordata > Mammalia > Primates > Hominidae > Homo > Homo sapiens. The sequence goes on from NC_000009.12 coordinate 110,752,900, forward strand.
AAACTTTTGGAACCTCTCCCTATGAACCAGGAAGTTGCATTTCCCCTCCAGTCACAACCCCATAAAGCCTCAAGTTGCAAAGTAAACTTGCCAGGATGCTGGGCATTTGGCAAGATGCTTCTCTTTGTCATCAGAACCCTCAGCCCTGTGGAAGAAAGCAAGACAGCCTATGATACCAATAGTGAGCATAGTCCTAAAACAGCCGGAGACCATGAAAATGGACACAGGGATTCAGAAGAGAAAAATACAGGCCGGGTGTGGTGACTCACACCTGTAACCCCAACACTTTGGGAGTCCGAGGTGGGCAGATCACCTGAAGTCAGGAGTTCGAGACCAGCTTGGGCAACATGGTGAAACTCCATCTCTACTAAAAAATACAAAAATTAGCCAGGTATGGTGACGCATGCCTGTAATCCCAGCTACTTGGGAGGCCGAGGCATGAGAGTCACTTGCACCTGGGAGATGGAGGCTGCAATGAGCTGAAATTGCACCACTGCACCACGGCACTCCAGCCTGAGCAATAGAGTGAGACTTCATCTCAAAAAGGAAAAAAAAAAAAAAGAGAGAGAGAGAGAGAGAGAAATAAAATACATATTTGTATTTCCCATTCTCAATGGCACCAACAGGTCCTTCATCAGAGAGTGCAGTCCATGGTTCTATCCATGTTTATCCAGTCTCAGAGTACAGGGACGAGCCTATGGTCACACACCCCTCTAATGTAAGCCGCTCCCCATTCTACCAACAACCCCCACTTTCTATATTGCCCCTTCTTTGAATCGACCTCAGGGTCTAAGCCTTTTGGTCACTAAATTTAAAAGTCACATGAATACAAGTAGTATCAAAACTGAGCAGGAGGGAAAAATCTGATGTGGTAATACTGGAGTCTCCCAAACTCCCCAGATGAACCACATGGTTTTATTTTTCTTATTTCAAAAGAGGTGATGTTTCACACTACTACAGAAAAAAAAAATGGAACTTTGAACACTATTTCATAATCAGTATAGCTGATTGAATGTACTGACATGTTTCATGCTCTTTCTCATGTCTGATAGCCACACTCCTGTTTCCTCCCAATGTTGGAGATAATTCTTGAGACTTGGTAACAGAGCAGTAGCACGTAATTTGCTTTACCACTCAGTGCTTCAACCATCATAGGTAAAGAGTGTTCTTATCAACAAAACAGACACCATCCCTGGCATTCCATGCTGGCTTTCTCTGGTTTTAAATTAATTAAAGTCATTTTGTTTTTGTTCTTAATAAAAGGGAAAAGGATAAATGAGTAACAGCCAGTAGCCACATTAAATTGCTACCAGATGTTCTGCAGTTAGGCATAAAAGGTAAGCATCCTTTTACAATCAGGCAGCTTTCTTATATTAGAACAGTTCTGTTTCAGAAGAGAGCCAATGTTTTTGCTGACTTCTAGATAATTTTAAAGATACTATAATATTGGTGGATATTTTAAGAATTTTTAAATACTACAAATATTGGTGGGATATTTTGAGAATTTTTTAAAATTGAATTCTGAGCTTAAAGCACTTTATAGTTGCAAGGTTCTTGGACCCCTTCCTCATCTCCTAGCCATACACCCCCACAAAAATAAAAGAAAATGCAAGTGGAGACATTTCCTATAGAAGCTCATTATCCCCTCCCAGGTACTATGGCTGGATTCTCTTTTGCATTGGCTTATCTCCATGCTCCTTCCACATTACAAAATGAGGGCTCTATCATTTACATAACCTTGGCCCCCTTGCTTTTCAATAGATCTTCCTGCTCAGCTGCTATTAGAATCTGCCTTTGTATTTCCAAATTATATGCCATTTTCTCTGGAAGAATTTTCCAGTGTTCCACTGTCTTTCTTCCCACTATTGTATTTGTATAATGGCAGAACTGCCATGAGATTTGGGGGCATGAAGGCACTTCTTTCCTGAGTTCAGCAGTGACATAGAGTTCTCTTCATTCTCTTTCATAGCCTTTGGTCATTTTAATTAAGAGACTCTTGCAGGCCTCTAGCCCGGTTCACTAAAATTTAAATTCTCTCTAATTTATAATTTGTTGACATCATTGGCATCACCTCTTAGATGATCAAAATGACAATCCTATAACCCAGCCTGCCTATCTCAGTAAAACAGAAAGAATCTACTAGATGTTTTTCAGAATGTAAATAGATATAACATTTATAATGATTTTCCTATTGTCCAGCAAATTATCTCGCAGTTGGAGTCCTGCAAATGTTAGAGACATCTTGATGTTTCCTTCATAGTCACTCCAGAGTCTGTTAGTTCTTATGTATAAAGAAATTTCACAAAGAAATCCAGCTTTTCTCACTGCTAAAAGGATGTGGCCTTCTGTCCCTAAGCAAAGTGACCCATTTAGGGGAGGGATAAAATTTTAGAGCTTATTATTGGCTAAAACCCTACTCTGGATCAAAAGTTTGTTTTTAAAGTGCATTGTAGATTGCAGAACAACTATGAATCACTCATAAAGAGAGGTAACAAAGACCTGAGGCTATATGTGTAACCAGTGTATTGAACAATTTAAACCTGACAGGTACACAGAGAAAATGGTGTTTTCTCCAACCAATGGGGACTGAGGAATTATGCCTTTTAGAATCTCCTTGCCCTTCTCAAGAGCAAACCCTTTACAAACTTTCAGGCAGATTCCATAATTTCCAGGTAATGTTTAGAGATTAAAAACCCAGCCTGATCTAGTTTAAAACTCTCCTCTTACATAATTTAAACCTCATCTGCTTCACTCTCTCCACTGCCAGCCAATCTTCCATTCAGGAACATGGAGAGTAGACAAAATGGGTCTGCTACTATTATACACCCTTCCCTTCTTCCCTTTCCTCCTGTTCCTCTTCATCTCTGGCATATTTAAGGAGAAGAGGATTTACAAGGAAGGCGGCAAATGTGTTTTCCTAAATGGAATATGTTTTAGTTCTTTCTCTGTTAATTGTTATTGCTTCTCTGACTAATAATAATAATGTTAACAATTGCAAGGTACATTCTCAGTGCCCAGTGCCATATATATATACATATATATATATATATACACATATATATATACATATATATATATACATATATATATATATATATGAATTTATTTAACACCCACAACTCAATGAAATGGATACTTTTATTATCCCCATTTCACAGATGAGCAAACTAATGCTCAGAAAGGTGCCCAGTCTGACACAGCTAGTAAATGGCAGAACCGGTATTGAAACCCAGCAGGTGCAGCATCCAGGCTTTTAATGCCTTGATGGGTTATTAATGTCTCTCTATTGCAGGTGGTACCTGAATACTGACTGTCTCCTAGGACATTTGGGTTCTTTGGAGGGTCCTTCGGAAGACTGTGTATTGCACAGTGCCCTGATGTGGGAGATTCTTTACTGGTTCAACCTCTCATAATCCCCAGTCCTTGATCTCAATCCCTATTGAGGTAACCTGCAATTGCTTATGACTGGGGTTCTTTGTCTGGTGTCCAGTCTTCTTGGTAACTTAGCTACCTTCATAGCATCCACTGAACACACAGGAATGTCCCATGTCCCTACCATCCCAATGGTGGGGAGTTCTATTCCTGGACCCTCTCACTCTGCCCTCAGATTGTTGCAATTCTTTTTAGACAGTAATATTATTAAAAAAAAAAAAAGACAAAACAAATGCTTTCCTTGTCTCTGAGTCCTAGTCTCTTAATTCTTAGGCAGTTGAAAAATGACTCCATGAGATGTGTTGTTACCATTTACATTGTATCATTCAAGAATGAGAAGATCTAGGGAAATAATTCATCCCCTTTCTCCTTATATTTGCTGAGATGCCCTTCATCTTTACTTGAAGGCTGAGAACCAAAGCTATTTGTCTGGTTATAGGGCCTACAAATTGCAACAAAGGTTGGGGTGATTGTGCCTTTTAGTAAATTCCAAGGAAAAATGTCAAGTTGTATGTGTGTGTGTGTCTGTGTATGTTTACATATTTCCTACGTGTGTGTGTCTGTGTGTGTGTGTTTACATGTTTCCTATAATCATTTGTCTTGCTTTTTGAGGGCATTCCAACTACTGGTGGAAAAAATAAATAAATACAAGGGGGTCCATGCTGTGAGTAGTTGAAATGAAAATACTGGTGTTTTGATGGGATTAATTCAGTACATTTATAATAGACTAATTCACCCAAAATCAACTTCTAAAACCAGTTTGCCTTAACTCACTTAACTCAATTTCAGTTAGCCTGATGACTATTGCATCTAATGTTGAAAATTCAGAATTAAAAATGAAATATTGGCTGGATACAGTGGCTCATGCCTGTATCCCAGCACTTTGGGAGGCTGAGGCGGGTGGATAATTTGAGGTTGGGAGTTCGAGACTAGCCTGGCCAACATGGTGATACCCCATCTCTACTAAAAATACAAAAATTAGCCAGGCAGGGCAGCAGGTGCCTGTAGTCCCAGCTACTCAGGAGGCTGAAGCAGGATAATCGCTTGAACCTGGGAGGCAAAGGTTACAGTGAGCCAAGATTGTGCCACTGAGCTCCAGCCTGGGCAACAGAGTGAGACTCTGTCTTGAAAAAAAAAAAAAAGAAAAAGAAAGAAAGAAACATTTACCAAATAATATGGCTGAGTATTTATGACTAATTTTTGTATTGCTAATACTTTATCACATATAGGGAATCATGAGATTGTTACATATTGTTGTGACTGTCTTTTTCTGTTCCAGTCATTTTGAACACTTGCATTATTCTTTAGCCAATTTGTCAAAAAAAAAAAGTCTTTTTCTTTACAATTTTGAATTTCTGCTAAAAATATTTAGTGGAATGAAATTTATTCCATTAAAAAAACGAACCTTTTGATTATTATTGTCTCCTTGCTACTTTCCTTTATTATAAGAGTCTATGAACTCTACATGTATGTGTATATATATACATATGTATGCATTAACCAAATTAGCATACTCTCAGAGCTCATTTCTGTTTAGTGAGGTATTCGTATTTTAAAAGAATAAAGAAAAATGGGTCCCTCTTTTGATCACCATTCCATGTTATTTATCAAGAGATGTAATTGATAAAGGTTTTATTTTGTTTTGTTTTGAGACAGAGTCTCTCTCTCTTCCTCCCAAGTTGGAATGCAGTGGTGTGTGATCTCGGCTCATTGCAGCCTCTGCCTGAGCTCAAGAGATCCTCCTGCCACAGCCTTCCAAATAGCTGGGACTACAGGTGTGTGCCATAACGCCCAGCTAATTTTTGTATTTTTTGTAAAGAAGGAGTTTCACCATGTTGCTCAGACTGGTCTTGAATTCCTGGGCTCAAATGATCCTCCTGCCTGGGTCTCCCAAAGTGCTGGAATTACAGGCATGAGCCACCATGCCTGGCCCTAATTGATAAAGTTTTAAAATGCAAAATGTGCATCATTTCCAAATGAATTTATAGTGAGAATCATAACATTTTGAAAAACAGTTTTCAAAATGCCACTGGAGTGTTAACAAATTAATACCATCTGTGATGACTTTTCCATTCTGCCAAAACCTGATAAAGCTCTGCTGAAGTAAAGAAATTGGTTTCACAGAGCCAGCACACTGAATGGGCAAAAGCTGGAAGTATTCCCCTTGAAAACCAGAATAAGACAAGGATGCCCACTCTCACCACTCCTATTCAACATAGTACTAGAAGCCCTGGCCATAGCAATCAGATAAGGGAAAGAAGTAAAAGGCATCCAAATAGGAAGAGGGGAACTCAAAGTATCCCTGTTTGCAGATAACATGATTCTATATCTAGAAAACCCCATAGTCTCTGCCCAAAAGCTCCTTGAGCTGTTAAGCAACATCAGCAAAGTTTCAGGGTACAAAATTAATGTACAAAAGTCAGTAAATTCCTATATACCAACAATCACCAAGCCAAATCAGAAACACAATCCCATTCACGATTGCCACAAAAGAATAAATACCGAGGAATACAGCTAACCAGGAAGGTGAAAGATCTCTGCAATAAGAATTACAAAACACTGCTCAATGTGCTTAAAGCAATTTATAGATTCAATGCTACTGCTATCAAACAACCAACGACATTCTTCACAGAACTAGAAACAAAACTATTCTAAAATTCATATAGAATCAAAAAAGGGCCCAAACAGCCAAGGCAACCCTAAACAAAAAGAACAAAGCTGGAGGAATCATGCTATCTTACTTCAAACTATACTACAGGACTGCAGTAACCAAAACAGCATGGTACTGGTACAAAAACAGACATATAGACCACTGGAAGAGAATAGAGAGCTCAGAAATAAAACCACACACTTACAACCATCTAGTCTTAGGCAAAGCTGGCAAAAACAGGCAATGGGGAAAGAATCCCTATTTAATAAATGGTGCTGTGATAGCAGGCTAGCCATATGTAAAAGATTGAAGCTGGATCCCTTCCTTACACCATATACAAAAATCAACTCAAGATGGATTATAGACCTAATAAAACCTAAAACAGTAAACCTGAAAGATAACTTAGGAAATACATTTTGGCCATAGGAACTGGCAAAAATTTCATGATGAAAATGCCAAAAGCACTTGCAGCCAAAGCAAATCTGACAAATGGAACTTAATTAAACTTAAGAGCTTCTACATAGCAAAAGAAACTATCAACAGAGTAAACAGGCAACTTACAGAGTGGAGAAAATATTTACAAACCATACATCTGACAAAGGTCTAATATTTCAGAATCTACAGGGAAATTATACATACAAGGAAAAAAACAAACAACCTCATTTAAAAGTGAGCAAAGGACATAAACAGACACTTTTGAAAAGAAGACATACATGCAGCCAACAAGCATATGAAAAAATGCTCAATATCACTAATCATTAGAGAAATGCAAATCAAAACCACAATGAGATACCATGTCACTCCAGTTAGAGTGGCTATTATTAAAAAGTCAAAACATAACAGATGCTGTCTGAGACCAGCCTGGACAACATGGCAAAACCTCGTCTCTACTAGAAATCCAAAAGTTAGCCAGGTGTGGTGGCACATGCCTGTAATCCCAGCTGCTTGGGAGGCTGAGGCAGGAAAATAACTTGAACCCAGGAGGCAGAGGCTGCAGTGAGCCAAGATCACACCACTGCACTCCCTCCTGGGCCACACAGTGAGACTCCACCTCAAAAGAAATAAAAAATTAAAAAATAACAGACACTGGCGAGGTTGCTGAGAAAAGGGAACTCTTATACACTGCTGCTGGTGGTGTAAATTAGTTCAACCACTGTGGAAAGCAGTGTGGTAAGTCCTAAGATAACAAAAACAGAACTACCATTCGACCCAGCAATTCCGCTACTGAGTATATATTCAAAGGAATATAAATCAGTCTACCATAAAGACACATGCATGCAAATGTTCGTTGCAGCACTATTCATAATAGCCAAGATGTGGAATCAACCTAAATGCCTATCAATGACAGATTGGACAAAGGAAATGTGGCACATATACACCATGGAATACTACGTGGTCATAAAAAATAATAAGATCATGTCCTTTGCAGGAACATGTATGGAACTGGAGGCCACTATCCTTAGCAAACTAATGCAGGAACAGGAAACTAAATACTGCATGTTCCCACTTATAAGTGGGAGCTAAATAATGAGAACACATGGACAGAAAGAGGGGAACAACAGACACTGGGATCTACCTGAGGGTAGAGGGTTGGAGAAAGGAGAGGATTAGGAAAAAAAAAAATAGAACAACTTTCGGGCACTATGGTTAGTACGCGGGTGATGAAATAATCTATACACCAAACTCGCAAGTCACAAGTTTACCTACACAACAAACCTGAATTATGTACCCCCGAACCTAAAATCAAAGTTAAAATATTCTTCAGGATCACTGAATAAAAAGCTCATAAAGATTCAAAAAAGTCATACACTCAAAGTTATAAAAACCTTCTAGTTACCAACCCTCACCAATCTCAAAGAGAATGATTAGAAATACAAGCTCATTGTATTTTAAGAAGATTGACCTCTCAGAGAAATTCATGTTACAGCCCTTAAAAATCCCCCCCAAAATAACACCCAAATGGATCTAAAACCTTCAAAACGGAGTTAGACCTCAACATTAGGAGAAATTTTAATATGGCAAATTGGTTTTAGACAAAGCATATGTTTTACTGTTTATTTTCGTAATGAGGGTTGAGAGGACAGGACGAAGTAACCATAAAGCACTTGGTAAAGAGTGTGAAGTTTTTAATTTACAAGAAAGAAAATGGAATAATTCAGAAATGCTGGTTATATCACACCCTTGCCGGGATTCTCATGCCTTGGCAGAGTCTGAGTTGGGGCTGTTTGTCCTGGGAATCACATACCACCAGAGGAGAGGCGTATTCTCCTCAGAGCCCTGAGTTTTTACATCCGTGAGCATGGGCAGCTACATAATTTGCAGGGCTAGGTGTTCCAAAAACGGTAAGGATTTCAAGGTAGGGAGAGCAGAACATTAAATTAAGCCCGAGGCCCTTCTGAGTGCAGATGCCATGCAGCTACCCAGGGCACACAGCCTTGAGGCAGCCAGGTCTATGAGAACAACCATTGCCTACTTTCTCTTCTACCCTCTCTCCTCTGCATGTTCTTTTCTTTTCTCCTTCTCCTTCTTTTTTCTTTTTTTCCAAGTCTGCTTTATGCATCTTCTCTGTTAACCTCCACATCTTGCTTTTTTTTTTTTTTTTTTTTTTTTTTGAGACGGAGTCTCGCTGTCGCCCAGGCTGGAGTGCACTGGCGCGATCTTGGTTCACTGCAGGCTCCGCCCCCCGGGGGTTCACGCCATTCTCCTGCCTCAGCCTCCCACGTAGCGGGATTACAGGCGCCCGCCACCTCGCCCGGCTAATTTTTTGTATTTTTAGTAGAGATGGGGTTTCACCGTGTTAGCCAGGATGGTCTCGATCTCCTGACCTCATGATCCGCCCACCTCGGCCTTCCAAAGTGCTGGGATTACAGGCGTGAGCCACCGCGCCCGGCCCACATCTTGATTTCTTAATGTAAAGTCCCTGGGTAGCTAATGGAGGGAAATTCTGAGCTTAGATATTGCCTTGGTGGATGTTACCCATGATTGACTCAGTTTGAAAAGAACCTGCTTCCTAAAGATACTCAATATTTTCTTCATTTCCTCCGAATCTGCCCATTAATGCAGCATCTGGCCTCCTAGCAGAAGCGGAGAACTTTTCAGAAACTTAGAGATCAGTAGTATCAAAACAATCTCAGCCAAAGCATAAGATGAAAATGTACTAACGTTCTTTCTTTTCTCCTTTAATTTGACTTCCTGTGGGAACTTCCTTTCCTGTTAATAGAATGGAGGTAAGAAACTGTTATTGTAACAATTGTTTCCAATGTTTTGTTTTGTAGGGATTTCGTTTGTTTGTTTTTGTCTGTGAGAGGGTCTTGTGTTGCCCAGGCTGGAGTGCGGTGGAGTATGTTTTGTTTTTGTTATTTGACATGCCATTTATTGAGTGTTTACTATTTGCTGAGCACTGTAACATTTTAGAAACTTTCTAATTTCTAATCCTTTTAGTAAGTATGATGAAGTGAAAGACAGGTAACCTCTACTGAATACTTACTATGGATCGGGCACTGTGCTGAGCTTCACATGCATTATTTAAATCTATCTTCAAGACATCCCCATGGAATGGGTATTATTGTTATCTCTATTTTGCAGAAAAAAAAAATAAAAAAACCTAAGAAAGTTTCTTTGAACTGGAGAGTTCAAGTGGCTTACACAGCCAGTAAATGATAAAGTTAGAAATGGAACCCAGAACTGCCAAACTCCCCCTTATAGCTCTAACCTATATATAAGAAGGTATCCCTTGCAATATAACCTTTTGCAACTTACAGTGTTTTATTTGCAGTACTTTTAAAACTGACCTTCATAAAACTCTATGGAGTGTAATTAATTTTAAGACAGCATTCTTAGCACATAGCCTACGTTTAAAAACAGGCAGCAGGATACAAAATTTTGGTTAGATAGCAAAAATAAGTTCAAGAGATTTAGAGTACAATACAGTGACTATCATTAATAACAATGTATTGTATTCTTGACAACCACTGAGAATAGATTTTAAGTGTTCTCATCATCAGAAAATGGTAAGTATGTGAGGTAATGCATTTGTTAATTAGCTCAATTTAGTCATCCCACAATGCGTACATGTTTTAAAACATCATGTGGTACACAATAAAAAAAACAGTTTTTTTTAACTAAAAACACCTTTTAAAGTTTTACTGTTAAAAAGGTCTTAAGAAATACCATTTGGATGTATATATTGCTCTGAAAAGCAGTGAAAATCATGATACACATTATATGAAAAATTAAACTAGTTTTAAGTATATAGGATAGTGATTTGTCATAATTGACTGCATTCCAGTTTGTTAATGTGGTATCAAAAATTCTCAGTTCAAAAAAAAGAAAAAATTCTGAGTCCATTTTTTAATCTAAATATTGCTTTAATAATTTTTATTAACAATTTTGGAGCTACTGCCTTAGCAGAGTAAAGTTTATCTAAACTAAAATTAATAAAAGTGCCATTTAATAACCCTCCTTCTGAAAAAAACAGGCAGCAGGCCAAATTTGTCCTGTGGGTTGTACTTGCTGACCCCTGCCTTGGAGAATAAATTATATACAAAGACACTAGACGCGAAAGAATAGAAACAGTTCCCGTTTGCTTTGAAGGTTGGAAGTAGCACAGAATCTGTCATTACCTTTGTTGGGAATGTTCAAGGAGAGATAAGGCAGTTGCTAAAAAAGGGAAGATTTGTCTGAAGCAGAGGAGAGGTACAGCTGTCAAGTGTGCCTGTGCAGGGAGGGAGGGAAGTAAGGTGTGGAGTTTCCACTAGAGTCTTGGGGTTGTCATAACACAAACATGCCATGGCTGGTCATCTGGAATGCCCTTGGGACAAAATATTATGTGTTCAAAGGGAGTAGACATCTCCCTCAGAGAAACTTGAAGATAACATTTTAAAATGTTCTATTGAATGTGATTCATGCGTTTCAAAGTAGAGAGAAATAGGAGTAAGAGGTGCAGTGAGAATTCTTTACCTACTCCCTTTGACCACATAGGGTTGTCTGTTATAAAAGAAGTTGAAAAGGAGATCCGAGATCAAATATCCATTATTGCCTCTACAAGAAAGGGAACTTTTCTGAAAGAGAAGTCAACTGAGTTTATATTGTAAGGAGGCAAGAGAGGGACTGTTTCCATGTGCAATATTAACTAGCATTATTAGAAGCTAGTCTGGCTGATGATTCCGAAATAACCAGCATTCTGTGAATGGATCCCTGTGACCTCTGTCCCACGGTTCTAATGAGCAACAGGACCAGCTGCTTCTAGTGTTGCCCCATCAGCAGTACCACGAACTGCAGGCAGAGAAACACAACTTTAGCTGGACATGGAGGGGTCTTGTCACTTACAAAAGACAACAGAAGACACCAATGGAAATTATTTGCATTTATCTCATTCCCCAGTTCTTGCTGTGAGCTCCTTTTAAAAATGTTTGAAGTGATAGATTTAGGGGTTTGAGGGACAAAATGTTCCAGTTGGCCTCTGTGTCTTGCATCTAGAATTTGATCACTGTGTAAAATTGAAGGCTTATATTTCTGCACAAGAGGAGAGGAAAAGGAAGTGGTTGAAACACTGAAACTATAGGTAGTTGATAGATAAACAAATTCAGATATATATAAATTTAGATAGATAGATAGATAGATTAGATAGATAGATAGATAGATAGATAGATAGATAGGTAGGTAGATCATCGGTCTTGTGTGTGCCTTACCTTTTAGAGCTAATCCAAGCACTGATATAATACCAAAGCCAAGTCCTTAATTATTCCAGGAACATCATAGAAATGAAATGTAGAAAACTAATAATAATCATATACTTTGTATGTGTATGTTTTTTCCCAGCACATAAAGGGTTTGTATAAGCTAGTGGTCATCAAGCTGTTAGGAAGAAAAAGCAAAATTAAAACTAAGATCTTCTCATTTCTATTCAAAACCTATTGTCTTTTTTTCTTTTTCATTTTTATTTTGCATTATATACTTAATGCTGTAAAACTAATGAGGATTCAATACTAGCAGAAATTCAGACAGAGGGGTTCATTATTAGTTGATTGTTAGTAATCCTTATCTCTGAAGTTATTTTCATTAATTTTTCTTTTGTGTACTTTTTCTTAGTTTCCAGTTTTTTAAAAAAGTGTGTTTTGATGTATAATTAAAGGAAACATCATGAAATGTCTATTATTTTTAAAAATACTCATGGAAAATGAGTAACAGCATCATTGAATAGTTAACACATGACAGCAAAACCTGAATGAATAATTCTCAGCTCGGAGACACTGAGAAATATTTAATTTTTACATGGTGGAGTTTTTTCTGTTAAGCGTAAAGAGTCACACATGCTCTTATTCATCCCCCTTTATGCCGAGATATTACGTCAACATGTGAGACCATTTCGTAAACCAGTTTGAGATATTTCTGGTTACTCCTTATTATATAGTTTCTTAAAGCACAGTGTAGAAGCTGGTTAGGGATTAATTCCTTTCCTTCCCATCCTAACAGTCATGGCTGACACCTATATAACAATGACAGGTTAACAAGAGAAGAGCATAACAAATATGTTTGATCACAGTTTTACATAACATGGGACCCTTCAGAATAAAGACCCCAGATACAGGGAAAGCAATCCTTTTTTTCTGAGACAGAGTCTCGCTCTGTCACCCAGGCCGGAGTGCAGAGGTGCAATCTCAGCTCACTGCAACCTCTGCCCCCCAGATTCAAGTGATTCTCCTGCCTCAGCCCCTCGAGTAGCTGGGATTACAGATGTCCGCCACCACGCCCGGCTAATTTTTATGTTTTTAGTAGAGACTGGGTTTCTCGATGTCGGCCAGGCTGGTCTCAAACTCCTGACCTCAGGTGATCCACCCATCTCGGCCTCCCAAAGTGCTGGGATTACAGGTGTGAGCCACCACACTCAGCCAAAGCAATCCATTTTTATGCTTAGGTTCAATGAAGTATGAACAGCTGTGTAGAAATATGATTAGACACAAAGGGTATGATCTAATGCTAACAGGCTGAGTGGGGAAACTAGCCCATCCTGCTTGTTCAGATTTTTCTCAGCCCCTCTGTGCAGCACTCACTCCTCCCAGGCAAGAGGTAGGATCCCTCTGGAATGAGGGTCTGAATTTCTTTATGGCCAGGTGTTACACAGAAAAGCTGGGGGTGGGTAGAGTAAATGTTTAGGTTTTATGGCTGGCCTTGAGGAAAAGGCGTTCTGGTGTCTGATCTGACTTGGAGAAGAGGGATTCTAGTGTCTAAGGTTTGCCTGAGGGAAGAAAGAGAGGAGAGACAGGAGGGCAGAAGGTCTGTTTCTGAGGCTGCTTCTTAGGCCTTCACCTTGGGGTGTCGTTTACTGAGCCTCAACAACAGCATCCTTGTTTCTGTCTAATTTTCTCTGGGGGTTTTCTCACCTTTACCTTGAGAAAGTTTTTGTGGAGTTTTGTGCTTTCTTATTCAAGGCCTTCATTTTAAATATTCCCAACAAACAAAGGGATACAGTAAAACTCATGTTGGCTAATTAGAAAAAGGCCAGTATGAATTAAAGGAAGACTCTATATTACAAAATATTGTTTTAAAGTATAGCTGTGTTTCTTGGAAGTTCATCATTTTACCTGAATGTATTATATCTCATTCCAATGAATTTGCTTTAAAGACCTGCCAGTGGTGGTTTGTAATTATAGTATTAATTTTTTAAATTCAATTGGGGTCACGTAACAATTTTAAAATTTGACACAAATTCTAATTTGTTTAATTTTCTTACTTTAAATTCTTTATATAAAGACAATGAAAAACTAAATTCGATAGTTGTACAAATCTAAATGAGAATATAACTTAAGAGTTTTCTTAAGTCATTACTAACACTATGGAAGATCTGATAGAACACATAAGAATATACTGAGACCATCACAGTGCCTACACATAATAAGTATTCAATATATGTTTGTCAGGTGAGAATATGAGTTGTTATAATTCCCAGCATTATATTAAGGGAACAAGTAGATGTGTGAAGAGAGTACCAATAGCATTTTCCATTCTCCCAATTGTCTTCAGTTATTATAGCAGATAAGTTTTTAATCCTATGTTTGTGCTAGCACTAGCATTTACAGGTTTCTCCCTGATATATGGCCCATTAACACACAATAATCCGAGTTCAGAGTAATTACTTACATCATTCAACAGAATAGATCACTGAGGCACTGGGTGACCAGTTGACTTTCCATGTGATGAGACATGATGAGAAAACAGCAAAGCTGAAGGTGCTACTTGGCTCCTCTGGAAGCCATATTTCTGCTTTCTCCTCCCTACATCACTTTCTTTTTCTTTAATGGAATTCTAGGAAGATGTGTGAGTGGGAGAATCTGAGTGTGGAAGGTGTTGCAAAGATGTATATGTTGTCAAAAATTAAGGTAAACTATCATAACACATAAATAAACTATGTTCCTAAAGCTGCAAACTTTTTAGGTGAGAGCAATTATTCTTATGCTCAATTATTTGTTAACCATCATGATGAAATGTCTTCCAGATGCATCTTTGCTTATATCAGCTTATTAACTAAGAGTAGTCAGATTCTATTTATAATGTAAAATATTAAAAATACCCAAATCTATTCAGTCCTTCATAGTTCCCAAAGCTTTCCACATCTATCGTCACATTTGGCCTTCTCAATAGCCCTGTGGAGTAGCTAGAGATGATATAATTGCAGCTGGAAATGAAGACAATATTCAAATGGAGCGTGTCAACCAATTTACTAGTACAATTTTCTCCTATTTCTGAGACACAGATGTGAAAACCAAAAAAAAAAAGAAAAGCAGAATGAATGCCAAGAAATAGCATGTGATTAGAAATGTTGTTCATTTCTTCTTTCAGTAAACCACAGAAAGATAACAAAGGCTACTGCGCCCAGTACAGAGGGGAGGTGTGTAATGCAGTCCTGGCAAAAGATGCTCTTGTTTTTCTCAACACCTCCTATGCGGACCCTGAGGAGGCCCAAGAGCTACTGGTCCACACGGCCTGGAATGAACTGAAAGTAGTGAGCCCAGTCTGCCGGCCAGCTGCTGAGGCTTTGTTGTGTAACCACATCTTCCAGGAGTGCAGTCCTGGAGTAGTGCCTACTCCTATTCCCATTTGCAGGTAAAATCTCAAAAATAAGTCAAAGGAAAAATTCCATTTTTCTATCTGCACAACAGAAGGAGTTTTTGAAAAATGTTGTAATATGCAACAGTAAAAGGAAAAGCTGGTTTTCATCCAAAATAGGAGGTTAATGCCTGGGTGCAGTGGCTCATGCCTGTAATCCCAGCACTTCGGGAGGCCGAAGTGGGTGGATCACTTGAGGTCAGGAGTTTAACACCAGCCTGTCCAACATGGTGAAACCCCGTCTCTACTAAACATACAAAAATTAGCCAGGTGTGGTGGTGCACTTGTAATCCCAGCTACTCGGGAGGCTGAGGCAGGAGAATCACTTGAACTGGGGAGGCAGAGGTTGCAGTGAGCCGAGATTGCACCACTGCACTCCAGCCTGAGTGTTGAGACTCTGTCTCAAACAAACAAACAAATAGGAGGTAATTAATCAGACAATATTTCTACCATATAAATCACTAAAGATAACCTAAAATACAAGTACTTAGAACCTCTAGAAAATATCATAAATGGTGTAATATTCCATTACTCTTGTTATTGTTCACATTATTATCATATCCATAAATATCCCAGATTTCTATCAGATGAAAGGAGAAATCTTAAACATGGACCTCATTAGTAAGCCAAGATAGAGAAAATAAAAACTGTACATTATTTGTCAATAAATGAGATCATGCCAAGCATCTCTGAATGTTATTTTAAAGTACATTCCATCCAAAATTCTAAGTTCTGATGCTGTTGCCTCATTTGGGTGGTTATAGGAAGGAATTAGATTATAAATAGATATTTTGTTAAACTCCCATACTTTTTAAATATTGAAATTGATAAATTTATGTTCAATAGAATTATCTTCATCTTTAATTACTTCTTATGTAGAAAAAAAAGAATCTAGTTTTTGAGCTAAATAGAACAAAGTTCAAATACTGTTAGTTCTGCTTTCTCGATGTGTGTGGTCTTGGCTAAACTTCAGTTTCCTCATCTGCACGGTAGAATTGAGAGGATTAAAGGAAAAATCACACTCATGGAATATGTCAGAAACTAGATAGACATTGTTATTCCTAAATTTTCTGTTGAGGAAACCCCATGACAACAACCAACACAGCACATTTCCACTTCTATTTTGATAAAACCAGAAACTATTTAAATATTGCAATAATTTGAGGACACTCTCTATTTAGCATTCAATAACAACAGTATGGTCATTAAATTAGAGTTTTGTATTCCTCAATTTACTGCAAAGTTTGAGGGTTTGGAGACACTATAAGAGTAATATAATTTGTTTATTCATCTAAGAAGATTGTATTGTGATCAGGCATGTTATCTAAAAATCTCTAGGGACTTCAGCATTGACAGAATAAGAAGGGGAAAGAGAAGGAGAGAAAAAGTAAAATTACTGCAAAAAAAAATGGGAAGAGTGGGTGAGGGGCAGTAAAATTTGTTTTAATAGAACTTAAGAAATACTGATGCTATTTCAACTGTCCTTGCAGTTATTTGAAAAAATAGTGTCTCTGTTAATTATCACTTCTTTAGTTTAGATTTCTCTTTCTTGGGCTTCTTTATAGGATTCTCCAAAATTGTTTATTTGACGTACTGCTCAACAGTGAAAATCCTTTTGCTAGAAAGTAGCACGTGTATAATAAACAGAATGTAACCAGCAAAATAAAGTGACAGTAGATTCTATCAGCTTTTCCTTTAGTACTACTAACATAATTTGTGGTGGCCACGGGATAGTTATCATACTTACACAGTGACACTCAGGCAAATCAGCTCAACACCATGGATAGATGCTTGAGAGAAATAATAATTAGATTAGAAAAATTCTCTGTGTGTGTGACAGCCATTGTGGTTTTCTGATTACAAAACCCACAAGACTCCATTGTATAAAAAAAGAACACAGTACTTTCATTGCTAAAACCCAGAAAGTTGGTCACTACTGAGGTGTGTGTTTACTTATATTTACTTATATCTATATTTCTGTACTCTGAATTCTATTTCATGGATGGTTTCTCTATTTTTGCATTAGAGACTTTGGGTTTAATTACTGTCTTTATAATTAATTTCAATTTGTGCTACGAATTTCGCAGGTTTTCATCTTTTAAAAAATTATTGTTTACTCATTATATAATTATTTTTATTACATGTTGACATTGGCAAAATGTTTCTAAATTTCATATTTAAAAATAATTATATAAGTTATATAATACAATTATATATTAACTTAACAATAATTATCAATAATAATTAATAATTATTATATTAATAATAAATAATACTTAATATGATATAACTAATTATAAGCTATATAATTATATATTATAGTATATAACTTATATAATTGATATAATTTACAATTATATATTAATTATATAACATATAATTAATATATAATTATAATTATAGTTTATAATAATATAATTATATATTATATAGCTCACTATATAATTATTTTTAAATATAAAATTTAGAAACATTTTGCCAATGTCCACATGTAAATACCATTTAGAATTTGATCAGAATGATGCTAAGTTTATACAATTAACTTAGGGCACAGAGCTATATTTACATTACTGAGTATTCTCATTTAGGAGTATGGTATGCCATTCTTTTTATGTAGATCTTGTATTATGCCTGCTAGTAAAATTTGATGATTTCTTTCTTACTTTTTTTTAATTAAATTTATGACTAGGTGTGTTTTATAGTCATTGCTGTTGTTGCAAGAGTATTAATTATAATATAGTTATTACAGGAGGCTAGAATGTCCATAAAACATAGAGATGCAATTAATTCCCTTGTTCCTTATTTTAATAAAACTGCCATTAATTTCTTTAGAATTTGTACATTTTAGAGTTGAACTATGTAATTTTTTGGATCATATTAATCAGATTTCTAAAAATGTATTCTTTTTTTTGAGGTAGTTAGTTGATAGAAGTATAATTTATATACAAGAAACTGTGCCCCTTTTAACCATATAGTTCAGAGTTTGACAAACGTATACAACAATGTAACCACTACCCCAATCAAGACATAGAATGTTTTCACCACCCATAAATTTCTCTTATGCTCATTTCCTTCTTTTTTTTTTTTTTTTTTTTTTGTCCCTGGGTTCAAGCAATTCTCCTGTCTCAGCCTCCCAAGTAGCTGGGACTACAGGCACCTGTCACCAGGTATTTTTGTATTTTTAGTAGAGATGGGGTTTCACCTTGTTGGTCAGGCTGGTCTCGAACTCCTGACCTCAGGTGATTCACCTGCCTCGGTCTCCCAAAGTGCTGAGATTACAGGCGTGAGCCACCGCGCCCAGCCCTCTTATGCTCATTTCTAATCAACTTCCCATTATCTCTAAAGGCATCGTCGTTCTGATTTCTCTGACAACTAGTTTTGCTTGTTCCTGAATCTCATACTCATGAAATTGTATAATATATACTGCTTTGTGTCTGACTTCTTTTGTTCAACATGTTTTTGATATTCATCCACATTGCTACATGTAACAGTGGTTTGTTCCTTTTCATTGCAGCTTTTATTTGTGTGGTTGAGATGGAAATAGTTATGTGAAGAAGTAGGTAGGGTCAAGCTCCCCTTCATGCTGCCTAAGAATTATAAAGCAATTAATTTGAACAACTGCAGTATCAAAAGGAAAGTTAGTATAGAAATGTTAGGCCACTCAAGATGACAGACTCATCAGCCACAACAAAAAAGTCAGATACCAGCTTTAGACACAAAGGATCAACCAAATAATTTATTCCTGCAATTTGTAGTTTATTCCAATTTTGTTTGGTATTATACCTCCTAATTATTGAGAGGAATCAAGTCTCATCAATCATAAATCATTAATCCTTGCCAACAAATGTGTATTATTTTCCATTTTGTTAACGAGTTGTTACTACTATATAATAAAGCCATTTCATTTTATTATATTTATATACAACAACCGCTTTACAGTATTCTATTAGATTTTTGATTGATAGTCTATGGTTCCTCTGATGGAAAAATATGGTCTATAAATTATTATATATAGTTTATATATAATATAAAACTATAAATCTTAATTAGATTCTACTCTTTCTTAATTGAAATTTCAGAAATTTTTACTAGAATTAAAATTAAATTTTATCTTCATGTGCTAGCACAAAATACATTTATTAACTTTCCAGCATTTATGTCCCAGATCAGTTTACATGCCTGAGCCACAGATGTTCTTTCTAATCTTGAAAATAATTCACCTTTTTGAAAGAAAAAAATCCCTTTCATTGAAATGTTAAATTTATTAGAAAATCATAGTTATTTCCTAAATCTATGTCATTCACAGTATACATTTAAATTTTTTTTCTAATTCCCATTGTTATTTAAATAAGTAGTTTTATTGGGAAAATGTTATTTTTTAAAATCCTCATCATCAAATATTTTGTTCCCATTGAAGTAAGAAAATATAATCTAAAAATTTTTACATTTTAATATTTTATAGAGGTTTTTTCTCTGATATATAATAATAAAAATTGGCATTTATAAAGACTTAGTCTCTTCCATTAACATACAAAATTCATATATTTATGTTCAATCCTTTCTGCTCTTAAATGAGTATTAGCTATTTGGTCCAATAGTTTAATAGTGATGCGTCAAAATTTTCACAATTGTGTTTCCAAGAATGTTTTCTTGCAATTCTGACTCCTGCTTTTTGCACCAAGAAATATTAAACTAAAATTGAATTTACTGCTGATAACTGGTAAGTTTGATCTTCATTTTTTTGTTATATCTTTTGAAAAAGTCTCTACCTTTATTCATCAAACTAGTTCAGAAGTTGTCAACCATTTTATATTCTACTTCTACTTGCTTGTGATATTTTTAAAAGCGTGCTATCACTCATGGTTTTCTAATTATTAGGTTGGTACAAAAGTAATTGTGTTTTTTTTCCATTAAAAGTAATGGCAAGAACCGCAATTACTTTTGCCCCAACCTAACATAAGCAGTCATTCAATGATGTGTGCCTCTTTTCATGAACGACATGGAATTTTATTGTCTAACAAATATTTATTGATCTCCTTCTGGGCTCCAAGTACTACACTGAGCATTTGGGATATATTAATGAACATAATAAACAACTTATATATAACTTTAGAAGGTGTTAAATGTCATGGAAAAAGAAAAAAGGAATGCTTTAAGGAAGACCAGAAATAACAAACGGAGAGGAGAAAGTTGTAACTTTAAAAATAAGGTGTTCAGGGTAGACTTAATTAAGTTAGCATAATTGTACTGAATCTTCCACACTTGTTCTTTGAAACTTTACCTGAAATTATCAACCGTATTTGTATTGTTCAATTATATTTTATTTGCATATGCTCAATTTTTGGAACATTATTCTTAGCTTTTACATTTGATTTCATAATCATGTATAAGTAGATACTTGGAGGAGCTTATACTATGTTACTTATCATTGATACTCATTGTCATTCATTTCAAATAAAATATTTCTTTTTCTTAAATTCCTAATTTAAATTCACTTCTTGTTCATTCATCTCATCTTTACTCATCTCTCATTCAGCTGGAGTAGGTGTTTTTCACATGTAAAAAAAAATTCTGTCATTGTACATATGTGTTTTTGACTGGGTATTTAAGTCTGTGTTAACACAAGTGTTAGCTTTTGCGTTAGTTCTCCTCACTTGTGTTACTTATCCTCAAAACTGTGGACTCTGACCAATTATTTTCTGGCCATGTTGTAATAAAGAGGAAGAAGAAAGCAATCCTGACTTTTGTTCCTTTGTAAGGAACATTTTCCTCTCTCCAGATTGTAGAAAGATTATTTCTTTAATTGTTGAGATTCAAAATATTTGTAAAATTCATTTGGGGATAGATTTATTCTCATTGTTTTCTTTCATGTAATATAAATAATATAAAAATAATGGGTAATATGCCCTAAACATTGTGCCCTTTTCATCTTAAAAATGTTTTCTTATACCACATCTTTGATTATTTTCTATTTTTTATGTGCTCTGGTTCTCTTGCTAAGAAACACTATTATTTGATTTTGAACTTCTTACTTGCTCCACCTTATCAGTTATTTCACACATTATTTTCATCTGTTTAGCCCTTCTTGCATTCAGTTAGGTCCTTTCTTTCTGCATTCAATTGAATATTTAATTCAAATTTGTTTATTTCTTGCAGTGCCATTTGTTTTCTATTTTCAATGAAGATTGTTAAGTGTTGGTTTTATTTTTTGTGGTTTCTATTTTCTGTAGTTACTTCCATGTTCAAATTATCCTACTTTTTAGTCTATAGTTCATCTTGATTTGTTTTTTCTTGTGAAAAACTCTGCTATAGAGGGCATGCTTTAGTGCATGGCAATGAAAACAAAGCAAACCAAAAGCCATTCATTAATGTGTTCTTCTGTTTAGAATAAAAAAATTTCCCAGGTATTTGCTTCTTCTGCCTAATGTGGAGTATGGAGTTGTTTTCATATGTCCCATATTGATTTACACTTTAACTATGCTGTCTGCGTGCAAAAAAATGTGCTTATACAACCCAGGGGTGGAACCAAGCTAAGCAACTCTCCTCAGGTCCTTTACCTGCTCAGAAGTCTTGAAAGCCCCATTATACTCCCTTCTCCCTTACGCACACCAAGAATTATAAATCCCATTGTTTTCTTCATATAAGAATATATTTGCATCTCATCACATTCATATGCACAGCCTTTTATTCTATGCATACTCAATTAGCACATATTGGCAAGTTAGGAAAGTAGGAGTGTGGGAATAAGTATGAAAAAAGACACCATTGTGGCATATATATACACACACACACACACACACACACACTCTTACAATTTCCTCCTCTCTGAATCCTTCAGATACTGAATAAAGGACATCTGCTATTATTATGTTTAATTTATTTAATTATCTTTAATTTCCTCTTATTATTAACCCCAAATACCTTAATTTGAAATTAACCAGGTTTTTCCTATGCAGTTTGTCCTATTTTCTATCAGGCTTAAACAAATACTAATCTGCAAAATTCCAAGTAGTCCAATTAGTGTTTCTTCAGCCCCTTCACTCATAATACAACATGTAGATGAACATAACAGCTTCATATTCAAACAGATAATACTTTGGCTTTCTCAGATGGAAGCACGCAGAGCAATGGGACAGGATTCCGTGCCTCAAAGTAAGGGCTGAGTAAGGACCCAGATGCCCTCCTATAAGCTGCCAGGGAGGTGGTGGTGTTCTGTTTCAGAGGACAAAGCACACAGAGGCCCAGACTGTGTTCCTCGAGCCCTACCCATTAGCCCCAAGATCATAGAAAAATCTTCCAAGCTGGAAACTGGTTGACAATGATCCTGACTTTCAGTAGGTGTGTTTTTTAAACTCTGTATACCTTTTTCCTCTACCTGTGTTGTTATTTGAATATGAAGTTGGGAGAAGACATATCAGAGATTCCCAATCTAATACGTTTTAAATTTGACGTTTTTTTCCCTTAGACTAGCATTAATTGTGTTTCACAACAAAACGAGATAGCATTTCATCTCACGGGACAGTACACTAGATTTCATGAGGTCTCATATTATTTACAGTAAAAAGTTTCTTTCATAAACGCGCTTTTTTCAAGAACAATTTACCATGATGATGTCTTGAAAACACAGAATTTAGGCTCTGCCACAAATTTGCTTTAACATGTAATGATTCATCAAGTTTTGTTCTCCATATACTATTTTAGAGAGTACTGCTTGGCAGTAAAGGAGCTCTTCTGCGCAAAAGAATGGCTGGTAATGGAAGAGAAGACCCACAGAGGACTCTACAGATCCGAGATGCATTTGCTGTCCGTGCCAGAATGCAGCAAGCTTCCCAGCATGCATTGGGACCCCACGGCCTGTGCCAGACTGCCACATCTAGGTAACACAGAGTTCTCCCAAGACTTTGGAGGTTAAGAGAAATTTACTATTTTGAAGAAACTAAGGTGTGAACTTAAAGCTTCTAATATTTCTAGGCATTTCTAATTTTTTTTTTTTGAGTTCTGCCTTCCTTAGATACCTACTAGCGGAATCCTAATGCTATCCTAATTGTACAGATTAGCGTAAAGATTTATTTCATTTGCTCTAAAATAAATGAAACAGCACTTTTAATTACTGCTTGACATTTTAGATTCTTTCATAGGGAATCTTATGAGAGCTTGTAACATTTTCTGGAGTGTGTAGAAAAATGGCTAAGAAACATCTTATATTTTGTCAGCAGAGTGGAATAAAGGAATAAAGTCCTTTTTCTTAGCCAAGAAAGCATGCTAAAATAAGACACATGTTTGAAAATGCTGATCTCACAAAACAAAATTGAATTGCTTCATGTTGCTTTAATGAACTTTGTTTGTAAGGAACTATGTTGTTATCCCTAACAGCTGGTTTAATTTCAAAGACCCAATTCTTTCACATTCGAATGCAAAGAATGTTTTCCAGTTGTATATTAAAAAGCTGAGAGAGAACTTGCATTTCTTAGCACTCACTCTCTCACAGAATATGTGAGATATCTGGATGCTCACTTAAAACAAATTTTTATCCTTTCCCCTTCAGATTATAACAAAGAAAACCTAAAAAGTAAGTAATTGTGTTTGTGCCCTTGAAACCTTATGTGTATGTAATTGGATTCATGCATGTGTGTTTACACTTATATTTCCTGATGCCCAGAACAGAATGTACAGCCGCTCTCAAAGTCTTCTCACCATACTCATCCAGGGTATAACATGAGGGAAAATCATGGAAGGTCTCAGTTTATAACTTTTAATTAGACCGTAGAGAGTACCATATTTAGTGAGTCATACAAATGCTATCTCCCACCTCAAGGTTTTTAGTCTGTTTTATTTCTTATATGGCTATAAGTAAGCCAAATTTAAAATGTCACCTTTTGATTTTATATTCTTGATTCAGTATAATCTAATTATGTATAGATGAAACCCAACATTTATTTCTTCATTGAGCCAATTCATGATCTTCATTTGTGACAATAGATCCCTCTTTTGGAAGTTAGGTATTTTTTTAAGACAGCTGATTTCCAGTATAAAGTTTATAGGATCAAATCAAATGGCTTTAAAAAGGTCATCACAAAAATCTCTGGGAAAGAATTCAAGAAGGTTGCTTGAAAAGGGATGTCGTACAAAATAACTTGTATCAGATAGTGCTTTAACCTGTCAGAATGCAGAAATCCTCAGGATGAAATTAGAAAAGCTTTTCATGTCAACTAACTTCCTCTGGTCTCAGCGTTCTAAGGCTTAAATCACACTTACTTCCTGTAATACATATTCCAGCCCTAATCTCCTCTGCATTTGACTAGGTGCCAGGACTTGATTTTACCAGCTTGCTTAAAGGACCAACACTTAAAAGTATTAAAAGCAAGAATGCTACTGGTCCTAGTTGAATTACTCAGAGGTATTAAACAAGAAGAGTTATGGAAACCTTAAAAATCTATTATTCTGGTAGCCTGTCAAATTGTTATTCCCAAATCGAAGGAATAAAAAAAAATTTCAATTCTTTGTTATATGAGCAGCCAAAGTTTACTTTGATTGGACTTTGAATTGATTACTGTGCTCTTTGTTATCCATCGATTGCTCACTCATCCATTCAAACATTCATTGAGGGTTTGCTGTGTGGAAGGACCAGACCATTCATCTTAAATTAGACAGGAACAATACACAAAAAAGCATCCACATTTCTGCCTTTCACACTAATTATAAAGGAATTTTGAGCAGCACAAACTAGCTACAATAATAAATTTTCTAGTCTTTAAAAAACAGCTTTATGAAATCTTCGATACATGTAAGAAAATGAGCTCCTAATGTCATGAACTAACCATTTAAACTGAAAGTAGGGCAGGGAATATCTGAAAGTATGCTCCTTGAGTTAAGGCAATTATTATTAAAAGAGTTGGCTTTAGCAGGTCAATAGTGGAGCAAAGAAAACATCCTTATTAGGCAGTGTCCCATATTTTATAGGGGTGTGTAAAGACCTTAAGTATTTTCCAAAGAGTGTCTTGATTTCTGAGTAAACTCTAAAGAATATCACCAGCTCATTTGGAGGGGTCACAAAAGAGCTGTTAATCATTTGTTTATCTTTGCATTATTTTCTTCTTCCTTGAGCATAGGGACTAGAATTTCAGTAGTTTTTCTTTTTTATAATTTCTTTGGCTGAAGTGAAACATCTTTTTGAGCAGGCAATGCCTTTGTGCTATTTACATTATTTGTAAGCAAGGATTACACTATTCCTCTCTTCCGTGAGACTTCACATACTTTATTACAGAAACACTCAGCAGTGAATCTGTCTTCTATTTCAGAGCTTCTGTGGAGAAAAGGTTAATTTGTCTTAATCATTGAAATAATTACTTTTCTCTTGAATTCTCTTTTTCCTTCCATCTTTGCTCTTTCTATACATATACATGGAGAATAAAGGACCCAATGAATGTACCCAAATCCAAACTGACTAGTGTGATACATACATTATCTCTCTTAATACTCCCAATAGTTCTACAAAATTAAGTACTATGAACGTCCTCCATTTTACTTACAACCCAACATGAGAAAGAGAGATTAAGCAATGTGTCCAATTTTACCCATCTAGTAAGGTGATAAGCCAGAATTTGAACTGAAATCTATCTGATTCTGGCTCTGTCTTCAGAGCCAGAATGTTATACCTGATGCATTTCTGTTATTACTAATGTTTCTTAAAAAATTCCAAGACCTCATGTGTAATAAAGCTTAACTGATTGTTTAACTGATTCATTCTTGAATAAATTCCACTACCTTTTCACATTTGTTATAATTGATTATTCTTAAGAAGCTCTAATTGATAAAAATTTTATTGTTCACAATTTTAAATCACCCAGGCCACTTGATGATTTGACTTTTTGTTAACATTTAAATGAATACATGCTTTGTGTCCCAGACCATTTTTCCATAATGATCAGCTACTATTTTGCCCACGAATGAAATCATGAAGCGTCAGTGTCTCTGTGTGTGTGTGTGTGTGTGTGTGTCTGTGTAAAACTCATGAATTATTTCATAATTTGAAATGTGGTTTGGGTAATTTTTGTGGTAATATTAAAGTTACAAGTTCTTAGAAAATTGGAGTTTAAAGTAACTTTAACAGTTATTTAATCTAAAGTCTCCCACAATGAAAGAATCTTTTCTAGAGCATCTCTGACAGAAACATTCCATTTTCCCTCCTGAATTTATTTCTCAATTCCTTTGTAGAATACATTAATTATTTCAACAATTTAGCTATGTAGAACTAAATTCTGGTTCTCTAGAACTGTCAACAACTGATCTTCACTCTATTTCTTTGATTTATTTATAATCTGTATGATAGTCCTTAAAATATTTGGAGACAGGCACTCAATCTCTCTGTAGTCTTCTCTTCTTCACATTAAATATCTCCAATTTTTAACTTTTTCTTTTGCAACTGACTTCCAAAATCCTCACCTCCATGTTTACTTTTTACTGGCTGCCACAAGCTTGAGAATATCCAGAACTGAACACAAAGCACAGAACATGATCTGATCAGAATTGCAATGCAACCATATTTTCTGTGATAAGGCCTTGTTCTTTTATGAGTATAGATTAAACTCATGCTAGCTGTCTAATAATTTCATGACATTAATAGCCCTTCTATACACATATGGGTTTACTGATTTCCTTGATTTTCTAATAAATTTTCTACTAGACCAATCCAATTCATAATTATTTTTATTACATTCTTCTAGCATTTATAATAATTTGTACTTTACATGTTTAGTTACTATGTTCTATGAGGCATAGTGATCCAAGACACTTTTCTTTTTATATGAAGCTCTTTACCAATGTAAAATGTCACTCTTGTCTTGTTTTAGTGCTTTTAGCTTTAAATTTCTAGTATTAATAATGGTAATTTTTTCCTTGTATTTATGTTAACCTAGCACCTCTTTGTTCCTCTTTTATTTTTCTTTTCTTATAAACAACATATACCTGGGTTTACTCCAATCAGATAGCCATTTTCTATTAATAGGAGGATTTAGCCTGTTCATATTTTATATCACAACTGATATACTCTATTTTATCCCTACTATCTTAACTGTATATTTTCTATTCGCTTTACGTTTTTGCTTCTTCTTTTTCTTTTTCTTTACTTGTTACTGGTTATGTTTTCTCCACTGCTAAGTGAAAGTCAGACACCAATTCTTTCTACACATCGCAGTGCTCTATTTATTCTTCATTTCTGCCCACCCCATGGGACTTTCAGAATCTCCAGGAGATCCTCAGACTGCTTGGATCTTCTTCCTTACCTCCCCTGGTACTCTTAGGTTTCTCTTTGCAGAGTGATTCTCAATATTGAGTCTTACCTAGCGAATTAGCCAAGACTCCACCCATCACAGCCCCTTCACATGTATCCTGAAGTTATTTTCTGATTCAATTGTTATTAAGAGTCTCCTCATGTATTTCCTTAGAAGGGAAAGTGTCTTGGGAGACAGAATCCCTGAAGCCTTGTGTGTTATCAAATTGTTTTCTTTTATTTGGGTAGTTGAAAAGTGTATTAACTGGGTATGGAACTCCTGAGTGACATTTCTTTGGGTGGTTTATAGATGTGATTTCACTCTTTTCTAGCTTCTAGTGTTGGAAGCAGGTAGTCTGGTGTGAATTTATTTTTTTCCTGTAAGTAATTTATTCTTTCTATCTAGGCAGAAACTTTTTGATTTTTCCCTTTATCCGTGATATCTGTATGATAAAAATTGTTTAATCATGTGCTATTGAACATCTCTTTCCAACTCCATGATAGGGCTTCATGTTGGGAGCTTGAGATAAGCTATGATGGGAATCTTTATCCCATTGAAATCAGGATGGTAGACAGACCTTTCTAATGCAAAAAGTTGATCATGCTATTCCACCTCGTAAAACACTCCTATAAGACCCTCCATTTGCTGCAGGGCATAGTCCAAATTACTTAAATTGGTATACAAGGACTTTTATCACTAAACCTGATATCTGCAGCTTTACCTATAGATACTCCCCAACTCCAACAATGAAACTTCTAGGTGCACTTTTAGAAAGGCATCACATCTGCTTAGTTCAGATCTTGGTATATGCTATTACTTCTTTATAGAATACTATCTCTCTACCCTGACTCCATTCTACTCTCTTAATTCCCCCATCCCACACACACGTTTGTGTGTGTTTTTTTGTTTTGTTTTGTTTTGTTTTGTTTTGTTTTGTTTGAGACGGAGTCTCACTCTGTCGCCCAGGCTGGAGTGCAGTGGCACAATCTTGGTTCACTGCAAGCTCCGCCTCCCGGGTTCACGCCATCCTCTTGCCTCAGCCTCCCGAGTAGCTGGGACTACAGGCGCCCACCACCATGCCCAGCTAATTTTTTGTATTTTTAGTAGAGATGGGGATTCACCGTGTTAGCCAGGATGGTCTCGATCTCCTGACCTCGTGATTCACCCGCCTTAGCCTCCCAAAGTGCTGGGATTACAGGCGTGAGCTACTGCTCCCAGCCCACACCTTTTCCTTAGTCTGTTCAGGTTGCTATAACAAAATGCCACAGACTGGGTGGCTTATACACAGAAATTTATTTCTCACAGTTCTGGAGTCCAAGAAGTCCAAGATCAAGGTGCCAGCAGATTTGGTATCTGGTGAGGACCCATTCCTCATAGACATAGCTGTCTTCTCCCTGTGTCCTCACATGGCAGAACGGGCGAGGGAGCTTTCTTGGACCTCTTTTATAAGGGCATTAATTCCATTTATCAGGACTCTACCCTTATTCATTTCAACACATGAATGTGGGGGAAAGACACAAAGACTCAGATCATCATAACCTTCAACTGGTTACTGGCTACTCACCATTTATGTTTAACTTACAGTTACTCACTCTAGAAAACCTTCTCAGTATGTCTAAACCTGAGTTAGTGCCAGCCCTGAACGAGACTCACAAGCATCGTGTTCTTACTACTCCTATAATGCTTCTTATATTTTGTTTTATTTCTCCATTTATTCACTTGTGTCTCATGACAAGCAAAGACTTCTCATGTTCACCACAGTGTTCTGGATACCTAACAGTCACTATTGATTTAGTGAATGCATTTACATATGGATGAATGAGTGTATAAACTCCCGTAGTGTTCAGAGGAAAAGAATCAAGACAGAAAATTGGTGAGAGAAAAGATAAAAAGGAAAAAGAATGACGATTCAAAGTGATCCTTTAGACCCAAAGAGATCATTGATGTAGTTCAAGGGAAGATCAGATCAAATCAGAAGCAGTCATCAAGGAATAACAAAACAAAACTATCTTGAAGGAAAGAAACATTTAAATCCATAAAGCAAAATTATTGTTCCAACTATGTCATTTCTTGCATTTTAAAAAAACTCACTAAATCATCATAGATTTTTCTTTTAACATGACAGTAAATTCTACTTTCTGATTCTTTTTAGAAAAACTAACCTTATATTTACCAGTGAAATTACACTACCAACTTTACTAATTACATTATATTCCCTCACATGTTATATATGGTGTGAGATGCTCTGTAAACTCCAAATACAAAAATAGTTATTTCTCCCTATCTTTTAATAATTGTTCCAACTTTATTATTAGCAGAAAGCAAAGCTCGTCAATTTAAGCCACCCCCTACCACCACCACCCACCCATCTTAGATCGAGAAAACTTGGGATGACTCAGTCCAAAGAGAATCAGACTAGCTTTCAAGTCAGTCAGAGAGGAACCTGGTCAGTCTGTTGAGTCCACCACTCCTGTGGTGCCGGATGAGGCATGCTGTCACTGATCTTGCGCAGATGTTTTATTGCTGTGCTGATGTTCTTCCAGTTCCAGGTGCCTGCCTGAGTCACAGTGGTGACCAGGCCTGGCATCCGCAGGCTTCAGAATCACTTGCTTAGCCATTGGTACTCAGGGCATAATCACTGGGTCCACTTCATGTATGACTAAGAAGTCATACATGAGCGTCTCTTGTAGCCTCCAATTTTGCAAGTGCCCTATTTCAAATGCTTTAGGCATCTACTGCCATAAAGGTTTTATTTTGACTTTGTAATATGTTATATTAATATGTCCCCTTCTATTAAATCATTATTCTCTGACTATGATGTAGTCAGTTGCTAATATTTCGTTTAGGATCTTCTAAACTTAGGTTGTATAATCTATGTATGCTCTTTTCTTCTGTGCTAACATTGCCAGGTTGTGATATTGGTATTATAATAATTTCTAAAATAATTTGAAAGAATTTTCTCTTACTGGAACATATTATAAATATGGAAATTTTATCTCTTTCAAGACTAAAAGAATGTCTTTTATAATGTGATGACTTAAAAATCTAGTTTCCTGCCTATGGTAATATTTATATTTTCTAATGCTTCAAATTTGGGGATTAATATGTTCCTATCATTTTCCTTAAGGTGTGAAATATAATAATTACACATTATTTTAATTAACTTTGAATCTGTTATAACTTTTTTATCATTTCTAATTTTCTGTTTGTACCTTTTCTCTTTAATTAAAATTCCATTGATTAGACTACTATATGAATATTTATAAAACCAACTATTGATCTTTTAATTCTATCATTTGTGTTACGTGTATTCTAACTTATTAACTTCTGCTTGTGTATGGCTGTTACTTTATTACCTATTATCTTTTGTTTTCTGTAGTTATTGTTTCTTACCCAAAGTCTTGGGTTAAATGTTCAGTTCATTTACTTTCATTCTTTTTTATCTAGTGGAAGGAGATAACACTATGACTTTATCTTTGAGCACAACTTTGGCTAAATAAAATACACACTATTAAGAGGCTTGTGTCTAATCTATAACTATAGTTACTCTCTAGTTTTTGATCAAAAAGTCATTGATTTTTTTCTTTTTAAAAATGTCCCATTGGATTTTATTTAATCTATTATTAATTGCACTTTGGCCATTAAGTAGATATGCATAATTTCTGCCTTTAAAATTTATTGAGATTAATCCACAAATATTTGAAAGGAAGGTTTATTCTCTATTTTTGGGTACAAAGGTCATTCTTAGCTATTAAAACATTGTTGCTGATTATTTTAAAATACTCTGTATCCCTGTTTTTGTCTTTACTCAATCTGTTAAGAGGATTTAAATGTGATTAATAAGGTTCTTTTAATACATATACAATGGACTTTGTACTCTACAAATAGTGGTATGAGTATGGCATCTTTTGGTTTCCAACAGTAATGCTGATTTTACTTTATACATATCACATCGGCCTTTTAAATTGAAGTTTGACAGGAGTTCAGTTTTTAGATGAATTAACTTCTCATTTGTCTCCTAATATTTTCATTTTTCATCTTCTTTCATGATTTTTCTTCTGTTTGTAAACTGACAGTAAATGTATATAAAAGCTCAGCTCTAGACAATCCTGATGTCAAGTGTAATTATGTGAAAATATTTTATTTGATAATTTCCATGATTTATGTCAGGTCATAGATAATATGATTCAGTATAAATGGCACCAGCCCAAGATCTACATTTATCTCAGAAAAAAAAAACCTATTTCCTCTCTCTGAGTCTCATCTTTAAAATTCTATTATTCTATAAGCTGGATTTACTTACAACTAGACCTTACTGAACTTTATAAATATATAACCAGGGAGAACCTGATACATAAATATATTATTATCATGAAATTTATTTTACTGATTGCTTAAATACAAAAAATTGCTTCTTAAAGGTTTGAGAATGAATGAAATAATTATTCTTTACTTACAGCATTCCCACCAATGACGTCCTCAAAGCCAAGTGTGGACATTCCAAATCTGCCTTCCTCCTCCTCTTCTTCCTTCTCTGTCTCACCTACATACTCCATGACTGTAATAATCTCCATCATGTCCAGCTTTGCAATATTTGTGCTTCTTACCATAACTACTCTCTATTGCTGCCGAAGAAGAAAACAATGGAAAAATAAGAAAAGGTGAGATTCTAGTTTCAGCTAACCATGTGTAGTAATATTTTAAAGCCTTGTGTTTTATGGAGTTGGTATGACGTGAGGAATATATATGACACTGCAACTCTCTAAATATATCCGTAGCCCTGCTTTAAAATTAAGCACCCCCATCATGATCTTTACAAATGTCAATGACTTTTTGGCATGGGATCAAATCAAATGCCCTAGGGTTACTGTTTCACAAAAGGTAAAATCTAAACAATAATTTGGAGGAAAATGGCTATTCCTGCTCCTTGTCTTCTCCTCAGGCCTGTTGCCATTGCTGGCTTGGAGAGCTAAACATTTCTGAGAAAATGTGCCTTTTGACTCTAGACCAAACAAAATATTTTATTGCTCTCAAAACGAAGGATCTTTGGCTGCCTTAGTATAACTTGTTTTCATTACTCTTAAATGCCATATTTCTTAGAATCTAAGTCTAAGTACAAAGATCTAACCTGCTTCTGAGCTCATTCCTGATCTTGCCTGTCTTGCCTGCAGAGAATCAGCAGCAGTAACCCTCACCACACTGCCTTCTGAGCTCTTACTAGATAGACTTCATCCCAACCCCATGTACCAGAGGATGCCGCTCCTTCTGAACCCCAAATTGCTCAGCCTGGAGTATCCAAGGAATAACATTGAATATGTGAGAGACATCGGAGAGGGAGCGTTTGGAAGGGTGTTTCAAGCAAGGTAAAGTTACCTATGGAAAAAAAAACTCCATTGAAATATGTTATGTCTGAAAAGCTACCAAACTATTAGCTTGGTATATATATAATATTAGCTTTATATATATATACACACACATATATATATATATATCAAGCTAATGATATAGTACATATATATGTACACTGTGTGTGTATATATATATACACACACACATATACATATATACACACAGTGTAATATACAGTATTATATAGTATTAATACAATATTATATATGTATTATATGGTAATAATATACTATATAAAATAGTTTTTATCAAGTTAGTTAATTCTGGCCAGGTGCGGTGGCTCGTGCCTGTAATCCCAGCACTTTGGGAGGCTGAGGCGGGAGGATCACCTTAGTCAGGAATTCAAGACCAGCCTGGCCAACATGGCGAAACCCCGTCTCTACTAAAAATACAAAATTGAGCCAGGCATGGTGGTGCACAACTGTAGTCCTAGCTACTCGGGAGTCTGAGGCAGAAGAATTGCTTGAAGCCGGAAGACAGAGGTTGCAGTGAGCCAAGATCGCGCCACTGCACTCCAGCCTGGGTGACAGAGCAAGACTCTGTCTCAAAAAAAAAAAAAAAAAGAAAAGAAAAACTAGTTAATTCTTTACATCATTAACCTTATTTGTATTGCATAATACACTTCAAATCTTAATTTCCCCTCTTTGCTGGAAAACAGTAGCCTATATGGAGATAATATATTTTACTGCACTTAAAATAGGTAATTTATTGGAGATGTAAATGTGTCTTCACTTCTACGATTTTTAAATTATAAGAAATTAGTAATATAGTTCAATAATATTTCCTTTTCAGGAAAGAATTTACCATATATTTTTAATCATAATTTCTTACATTGTTTTAAATAACTCCTTACATTATAATATAATGTATAGATATTAAGTAGATGTTCATGAAATGACAAACAGAAAAGGAATAAAAAGGCAAAAATTTATAAAAAATGAGCTCAAGAAAGGAGTATGTATTAGGGCCAATATTAGCCTATGTATCACCTTTGTGCGAATTGGAATAAAATACCCTTTCTGCTGCATGGATATGGCTCCACAGACACACAGCTGAGCCAGAGAATATGAATTTGGTTTTAATCTCCAACTGGCACTTCGGCCTGGTGCTCTTGGGCAAGACACAACTTAATCTCCACCCATGGTGGCCCTGGCGTAGAGGTTACATGAATAGTGAAAATCTCACACAAACATGTCTTGGAAACCAAAATTTGCAAGGCACCACTTTAGGCTCAATGGAGGGTACAAAGATGAGTAAGCCATAGTTCCTACGTCATGGAATTTAGATTCTGGACAAAGATTAAAAGGTTAGGATGTGGCTGGGCGCGATGGCTCACACCTGTAATCCCCGCAGTTTGGGAGGCCGAGGTGGTCATATCACGAGGTCAGGAGATTGAGACCATCCTGGCTAACACAGTGAAACCCTGTCTCTACTAAAAATACAAAAAATTAGCCAGGTGTGGTGGCGGGTGCCTGTAGACCCAGCTACTCAGGAGGCTGAGGCAGGAGAATGGTGTGAACCCAGTATGTGGAGCTTGCAGTGAGCCTAGATCATGCCACTGCACTCCAGCCTGGATGACAGAGTGAGACTCTGTCTCAAAAAAAAAAAAAAAAAAAAAGGTTAGGATGGCAATGATAATCCTATTGGGGGTGTATACTTCAGAATTCCTATAATTTGTAAATAATGCATCTTTCAAACTTCATTGTTTGAAATTGTTGAAAATAACACCAGTGATTTTTATTAGTTGACATCAAGGAGTTTTAAGTATGTTGTCTTTCTTTGATTCTGTGGCTCTGGGAAAGGCTGCGTGAGACTTAACCAGCCTTTTACACAGGGGAGGTGGGAGGATATGTATAAATGTGGGTAGGTATAAAGATATGATGTCCATGATCTTTGGTTTCTTTTTCAATAAATGTATCTCTCAGGGCACCAGGCTTACTTCCCTATGAACCTTTCACTATGGTGGCAGTAAAGATGCTCAAAGAAGAAGCCTCGGCAGATATGCAAGCGGACTTTCAGAGGGAGGCAGCCCTCATGGCAGAATTTGACAACCCTAACATTGTGAAGCTATTAGGTATGAAAATACAAGTGAGGATATGTATTTCATCAGAAAACAGAGGCTTTCCAAGTTTTTCTCCCCTTGTTCGTGCTTTTTCCTTTTCTCCTTGATCAGTGAGACGTTTCAGTTCCTTTTCAAATTTAGCTTCTTCACCTTGGTCTATCCCAACCCTATAGGACATTCATGGCTTAATGGATTATCCCTCTTTAAATTCATCACTTCAATTTGTCTCTGTCTTTGCTGCCTCCTATTTATAAAAATGTTTAAAATGTCCCCATTGTAAAAAATTAATACTGCTTCTCCATCACAAAATTTATCAATATTGAAAAGTCTATATATTTTACTTATTTTGTTTCTCCTCTTTCTTCCCTAACTAGAATGTCATGAGCAGCGATTTGTATCTTTTCTGTTCATTGTTGAGTTCCAGTTTATTCCCAGATTCATAAATTCAACACAAATTTTACAAATATTTAGTTTGTATTAATTACACAGCAATTAATAAAACTTTTCAAAAATCTGTGCTCTCGGCTGGGAGCAGTGGCTCATGCCTATAATCTCAGCACTTTAGGAGGCCGAGGCAGGCAGATCACTTGAGGTCAGGAGTTTGACACCAGCCTGGCGAACAAGGTGAAATCCCATCTCTACTAAAAATAGAAAAATTAGCTGGGTGTGGTGGTGTGGGCCTGTAATCCTAGCTACTCGGGAGGCTGAGGCATGAGAATCGCTTACACCGGGGGGGCAGAGGTTGCAGTAAGCCAAGATTGCACCACTGCACCACAGCCTGGGTGACAGAGTGAGATTCCATCTTTAAAAAAGGAAGAAAAAAAAAATCTGTGCTCTCATAGAGCATACATTCACTCTATATGAGGAGACAGATAATAAAAAAAAAACAAAAATATGGGATGCTGGATATTAAGTTCTACAGACTTTTTAAAGTGTTAAAGCAGAGAAGTTGGAATGTGAGCTACAAAGTTTGAAGACTTCAGTGAAAATATTACATTTATATAAAGACCTGGCAGAGGCAAGGGAATAACAGTGTGGATATCTTGGGAAAGAACATTCCAAAAAGAATGAGAAGCATTTGCAAAGGTACTGTGGCAAGAGCAGATGTGGCATGCTTGAGGAATAGCAAGGAGATGAATGTGGCTGGAGCAGAGTGAAAGATGGGGAGAGTTATCAAAGATGAGATCAGAGAGGTAATGGGGGAGGTAGGCAGGTCCTGTCAGGCCTTATTAAAAACATTGGCTTTTAATCTAAGTTGGGAAACAAATGGAGAGTTTCAGCCAAGACATGACATGACACAACTCACATTTTTTCAGATCTTCTCTGGCTGCTTTCTTGAGCATTGCATGAAGGGAAGCAATGAAATCAGGAAGACAGTAAACAGGTATTGCAATGATGCAGCAAGAGAAGATGATGGCATGGGCCAGGTGGTGGTAGTGAAGATCGTGAGAAGTGATTCTCTTCCATGTGTAATGTGAAAGTAGAGCCAAATAATTTGCTGACAGACCAAATATGAGATGTGCAAAAAAGGGAA
Source organism: Homo sapiens (assembly GCF_000001405.40). Classification (NCBI taxonomy): domain Eukaryota; kingdom Metazoa; phylum Chordata; class Mammalia; order Primates; family Hominidae; genus Homo; species Homo sapiens. Next base: position 110,789,361 of record NC_000009.12, read on the forward strand.
AAGTCAAAGATAGTATCGAAGTATTTGGCTGTGCAGATGAGTGAATGGAGGTGCCATTGGCTGAGTTGAGGAATACTCAGAAGGAACAGGTTCCTTTAGTGGAGAGAGTGGGAATTCATTTAAAGATGTGGTTTTTGTCCAGGCACTGTGGCTCACGCCTGTAATTTCAACACTTTGTGAGGCCGAGGCGAGCAGATCACCTGAGGTCAGGAATTCGAGACTAGCCTGGCCAACATGGTGAAACCCCATCTCTACTAAAAATACAAAAATTAGCCGGGTGTGGTGGCACACGCTTGTAATCCCAGCTGCTTGAGAGGCTGAAGCAGGAGAATTGCTTGAACCTGGGAGGCGGAGGTTGCAGTGAGCCGAGATTGTGCCATTGCACTCCAGCCTGTGTGACAGAGTGAGACTCCATCTGGGAAAAAAAAAAGACGTGTTTTTTGGCGATGCTTATTCAACATCCACATGATCCACATGAAGTTAAGGATGCATGTGGATATGGAGGCCTAGAGTTCTGGTAAGGATGATCTGGTTAGACATGAATCCAAGGCTATTGCAGTACACAGAGTATTTAAAGCCATGAGGTTGAGTAAGACACCTAAGTATGGAGAAAGCAAGCCAGAACAGAGAAGAGGTCCAAGGACCAAGGCCTGGAGCATTCCAGTATTTAGTGTGAGAAAGAGGAGATGAACAAGAAAAACAAACTAAAAACGAGCAACCAATGAAATAGAAGTAAATCAAGAGAGTGTGGTGTCCTGGATGTCAAATGAAGTATTTTAAATAGGTGAAAGTGAGCATGTCATATGCATTAAGTCAAGTGAGAGGAGGACTATAAAGTGACCTTGAATTTGTAAACATGGATGTTCACTGGTAACCCCGAGAAGAGAGGTTTCTTAGGAATGTTGGGGGCAGAGGAAATGTAAGTGAGCTCAAAAGAAGAGGAAGAGAAAATCTGGAGAAAAAGTATAAACAACTTGTTTTGCCATAAAGGTGAACCAAGGAACATGGATAGAGCTGAAGGGGGCAGAAAGAAGCATGCTTCCTTTCATGTGGAAGTAATAGCACATTTGTAAATTAATGAGAATGATCCCGTAAAGAGAAAAATTGATGACAGGGTTGGCAAATAGTGGAAGTAACATCTTTGAACAGTGAGAGGGAATGGAATCTTGGCACTGTTGGATGGATTGGCCTTTGTAAAGAGAATGCTCAGATCAACCATAGTAATAAGAGAGAATTGGCTGGAGATTGTAGCCAGTCTCTTCTGATTGATTTAGTTTTCTCTGTGAGGTAGGAATCAAGATCTCATCTGAGGGTGAGGAATGGGAGAAGAGTTGAAGATTTGAGGAAAGAGAAGAAATAAATTGTCATCTAAGAAAATCCATTTTTACATAAAATATAAAATGGACTAGAGAAACATAATATGATTGGCAAGAACATTAAAAGCTTACTTGAAATTAGAGATTACACATTTAACATGAGACTGGTCAGCATGGTTGTGTATTTATCCAAATGCTGCCAGCTGGGCATAGACTCGTTAAGAGGAGTTAAATTTTACCAGAATTAGCATTTTGCCACACAAGTAAGTTGAAGTCAAATTGAGGCAAATAAGAGAGGTGTATGCAAAGGAGTGATTATTATGATTGATCAAGGAACTTAAGCTGTTTAAGGAAGGAAGACAAAACGTGAAGAAAGTAGGGATCATTAAAAGGGGGTAGGATCAATAGATTAAAAGTTTCAGGGGGAGGAGCCAAGATGGCCGAATAGGAACAGCTCCGGTCTACAGCTCCCAGCGTGAGCGACGCAGAAGACGGGTGATTTCTGCATTTCCATCTGAGGTACCGGGTTCATCTCACTAGGGAGTGCCAGACAGTGGGCGCAGGCCAGTGTGTGTGCGCACCGTGCGCGAGCCGAAGCAGGGCGAGGCATTGCCTCACCTGGGAAGCGCAAGGGGTCAGGGAGTTCCCTTTCTGAGTCAAAGAAAGGGGTGACGGACGCACCTGGAAAATCGGGTCACTCCCACCCGAATATTGCGCTTTTCAGACCGGCTTAAGAAACGGCGCACCACGAGACTATATCCCACACCTGGCTCGGAGGGTCCTACGCCCACGGAATCTCGCTGATTGCTAGCACAGCAGTCTGAGACCAAACTGCAAGGCGGCAACGGGGCTGGGGGAGGGGCGCCCGCCATTGCCCAGGCTTGCTTAGGTAAACAAAGCAGCCAGGAAGCTCGAACTGGGTGGAGCCCACCACAGCTCAAGGAGGCCTGCCTGCCTCTGTAGGCTCCACCTCTGGGGGCAGGGCACAGACAAACAAAAAGACAGCAGTAACCTCTGCAGACTTAAGTGTCCCTGTCTGACAGCTTTGAAGAGAGCAGTGGTTCTCCCAGCACGCAGCTGGAGATCTGAGAACGGGCAGACTGCCTCCTCAAGTGGGTCCCTGACCCCTGACCCCCGAGCAGCCTAACTGGGAGGCACCCCCCAGCAGGGGCACACTGACACCTCACACAGCAGGGTATTCCAACAGACCTGCAGCTGAGGGTCCTGTCTGTTAGAAGGAAAACTAACAACCAGAAAGGACATCTACACCGAAAACCCATCTGTACATCACCATCATCAAAGACCAAAAGTAGATAAAACCACAAAGATGGGGAAAAAACAGAACAGAAAAACTGGAAACTCTAAAACGCAGAGCGCCTCTCCTCCTCCAAAGGAACGCAGTTCCTCACCAGCAACAGAACAAAGCTGGATGGAGAATGATTTTGACGAGCTGAGAGAAGAAGGCTTCAGACGATCAAATTACTCTGAGCTACGGGAGGACATTCAAACCAAAGGCAAAGAAGTTGAAAACTTTGAAAAAAATTTAGAAGAATGTATAACTAGAATAACCAATACAGAGAAGTGCTTAAAGGAGCTGATGGAGCTGAAAACCAAGGCTCGAGAACTACGTGAAGAATGCAGAAGCCTCAGGAGCCGATGCGATCAACTGGAAGAAAGGGTATCAGCAATGGAAGATGAAATGAATGAAATGAAGCGAGAAGGGAAGTTTAGAGAAAAAAGAATAAAAAGAAATGAGCAAAGCCTCCAAGAAATATGGGACTATGTGAAAAGACCAAATCTACGTCTGATTGGTGTACCTGAAAGTGATGTGGAGAATGGAACCAAGTTGGAAAACACTCTGCAGGATATTATCCAGGAGAACTTCCCCAATCTAGCAAGGCAGGCCAACGTTCAGATTCAGGAAATACAGAGAATGCCACAAAGATACTCCTCGAGAAGAGCAACTCCAAGACACATAATTGTCAGATTCACCAAAGTTGAAATGAAGGAAAAAATGTTAAGGGCAGCCAGAGAGAAAGGTCGGGTTACCCTCAAAGGAAAGCCCATCAGACTAACAGCGGATCTCTCGGCAGAAACCCTACAAGCCAGAAGAGAGTGGGGGCCAATATTCAACATTCTTAAAGAAAAGAATTTTCAACCCAGAATTTCATATCCAGCCAAACTAAGCTTCATAAGTGAAGGAGAAATAAAATACTTTATAGACAAGCAAATGCTGAGAGATTTTGTCACCACCAGGCCTGCCCTAAAAGAGCTCCTGAAGGAAGCACTAAACATGGAAAGGAACAACCGGTACCAGCCGCTGCAAAATCATGCCAAAATGTAAAGACCATCGAGACTAGGAAGAAACTGCATCAACTAATGAGCAAAATCACCAGCTAACATCATAATGACAGGATCAAATTCACACATAACAATATTAACTTTAAATATAAATGGACTAAATTCTGCAATTAAAAGACACAGACTGGCAAGTTGGATAAAGAGTCAAGACCCATCAGTGTGCTGTATTCAGGAAACCCATCTCATGTGCAGAGACACACATAGGCTCAAAATAAAAGGATGGAGGAAGATCTACCAAGCCAATGGAAAACAAAAAAAGGCAGGGGTTGCAATCCTAGTCTCTGATAAAACAGACTTTAAACCAACAAAGATCAAAAGAGACAAAGAAGGCCATTACATAATGGTAAAGGGATCAATTCAACAAGAGGAGCTAACTATCCTAAATATTTATGCACCCAATACAGGAGCACCCAGATTCATAAAGCAAGTCCTGAGTGACCTACAAAGAGACTTAGACTCCCACACATTAATAATGGGAGACTTTAACACCCCACTGTCAACATTAGACAGATCAACAAGACAGAAAGTCAACAAGGATACCCAGGAATTGAACTCAGCTCTGCACCAAGCAGACCTAATAGACATCTACAGAACTCTCCACCCCAAATCAACAGAATATACATTTTTTTCAGCACCACACCACACCTATTCCAAAATTGACCACATAGTTGGAAGTAAAGCTCTCCTCAGCAAATGTAAAAGAACAGAAATTATAACAAACTATCTCTCAGACCACAGTGCAATCAAACTAGAACTCAGGATTAAGAATCTCACTCAAAGCCACTCAACTACATGGAAACTGAACAACCTGCTCCTGAATGACTACTGGGTATAGAACGAAATGAAGGCAGAAATAAAGATGTTCTTTGAAACCAACGAGAACAAAGACACCACATACCAGAATCTCTGGGACGCATTCAAAGCAGTGTGTAGAGGGAAATTTATAGCACTAAATGCCTACAAGAGAAAGCAGGAAAGATCCAAAATTGACACCCTAACATCACAATTAAAAGAACTAGAAAAGCAAGAGCAAACACATTCAAAAGCTAGCAGAAGGCAAGAAATAACTAAAATCAGAGCAGAACTGAAGGAAATAGAGACACAAAAAACCCTTCAAAAAATCAATGAATCCAGGAGCTGGTTTTTTGAAAGGATCAACAAAATTGATAGACCGCTAGCAAGACTAATAAAGAAAAAAAGAGAGAAGAATCAAATAGACACAATAAAAAATGATAAAGGGGATATCACCACCGATCCCACAGAAATACAAACTACCATCAGAGAATACTACAAACACCTCTACGCAAATAAACTAGAAAATCTAGAAGAAATGGATACATTCCTCGACACATACACTCTCCCAAGACTAAACCAGGAAGAAGTTGAATCTCTGAATAGACCAATAACAGGCTCTGAAATTGTGGCAATAATCAATAGTTTACCAACCAAAAAGAGTCCAGGACCAGATGGATTCACAGCTGAATTCTACCAGAGGTACAAGGAGGAACTGGTACCATTCCTTCTGAAACTATTCCAATCAATAGAAAAAGAGGGAATCCTCCCTAACTCATTTTATGAGGCCAGCATCATTCTGATACCAAAGCCGGGCAGAGACACAACCAAAAAAGAGAATTTTAGACCAATATCCTTGATGAACATTGATGCAAAAATCCTCAATAAAATACTGGCAAACCGAATCCAGCAGCACATCAAAAAGCTTATCCACCATGATCAAGTGGGCTTCATCCCTGGGATGCAAGGCTGGTTCAATATACGCAAATCAATAAATGTAATCCAGCATATAAACAGAGCCAAAGACAAAAACCACATGATTATCTCAATAGATGCAGAAAAAGCCTTTGACAAAATTCAACAACCCTTCATGCTAAAAACTCTCAATAAATTAGGTATTGATGGGACGTATTTCAAAATAATAAGAGCTATCTATGACAAACCCACAGCCAATATCATACTGAATGGGCAAAAACTGGAAGCATTCCCTTTGAAAATTGGCACAAGACAGGGATGCCCTCTCTCACCGCTCCTATTCAACATAGTGTTGGAAGTTCTGGCCAGGGCAATCAGGCAGGAGAAGGAAATAAAGGGTATTCAATTAGGAAAAGAGGAAGTCAAATTGTCCCTGTTTGCAGACGACATGATTGTTTATCTAGAAAACCCCATCGTCTCAGCCCAAAATCTCCTTAAGCTGATAAGCAACTTCAGCAAAGTCTCAGGATACAAAATCAATGTACAAAAATCACAAGCATTCTTATACACCAACAACAGACAAACAGAGAGCCAAATCATGAGTGAACTTCCATTCACAATTGCTTCAAAGAGAATAAAATACCTAGGAATCCAACTTACAAGGGATGTGAAGGACCTCTTCAAGGAGAACTACAAACCACTGCTCAAGGAAATAAAAGAGGACACAAACAAATGGAAGAACATTCCATGCTCATGGGTAGGAAGAATCAATATCGTGAAAATGGCCATACTGCCCAAGGTAATTTACAGATTCAATGCCATCCCCATCAAGCTACCAATGACTTTCTTCACAGAATTGGAAAAAACTACTTTAAAGTTCATATGGAACCAAAAAAGAGCCCGCATCGCCAAGTCAATCCTAAGCCAAAAGAACAAAGCTGGAGGCATCACACTACCTGACTTCAAACTATACTACAAGGCTACAGTAACCAAAACAGCATGGTACTGGTACCAAAACAGAGATATAGATCAATGGAAGAGAACAGAGCCCTCAGAAATAATGCCGCATATCTACAACTATCTGATCTTTGACAAACCTGAGAAAAACAAGCAATGGGGAAAGGATTCCCTATTTAATAAATGGTGCTGGGAAAACTGGCTAGCCATATGTAGAAAGCTGAAACTGGATCCCTTCCTTACACCTTATACAAAAATCAATTCAAGATGGATTAAAGATTTAAACGTTAGACCTAAAACCATAAAAACCCTAGAAGAAAACCTAGGCATTACCATTCAGGACATAGGCGTGGGCAAGGACTTCATGTCCAAAACACCAAAAGCAATGGCAACAAAAGCCAAAATTGACAAATGGGATCTAATTAAACTCAAGAGCTTCTGCACAGCAAAAGAAACTACCATCAGAGTGAACAGGCAACCTACAAAATGGGAGAAAATTTTCGCAACCTACTCATCTGACAAAGGGCTAATATCCAGAATCTACAATGAACTCAAACAAATTTACAAGAAAAAAACAAACAACCCCATCAAAAAGTGGGCGAAGGACATGAACAGACACTTCTCAAAAGAAGACATTTATGCAGCCAAAAAACACATGAAGAAATGCTCATCATCACTGGCCATCAGAGAAATGCAAATCAAAACCACTATGAGATATCATCTCACACCAGTTAGAATGGCAATCATTAAAAAGTCAGGAAACAACAGGTGCTGGAGAGGATGCGGAGAAATAGGAACACTTTTACACTGTTGGTGGGACTGTAAACTAGTTCAACCATTGTGGAAGTCAGTGTGGCGATTCCTCAGGGATCTAGAACTAGAAATACCATTTGACCCAGCCATCCCATTACTGGGTATATACCCAAAGGACTATAAATCATGCTGCTATAAAGACACATGCACACGTATGTTTATTGCGGCACTATTCACAATAGCAAAGACTTGGAACCAACCCAAATGTCCAACAATGATAGACTGGATTAAGAAAATGTGGCACATATACACCATGGAATACTATGCAGCCATAAAAAATGATGAGTTCATGTCCTTTGTAGGGACATGGATGAAATTGGAAACCATCATTCTCAGTAAACTATCGCAAGAACAAAAAACCAAACACCGCATATTCTCACTCATAGGTGGGAATTGAACAATGAGATCACATGGACACAGGAAGGGGAATATCACACTCTGGGGACTGTGGTGGGGTCAGGGGAGGGGGGAGGGATAGCATTGGGAGATATACCTAATGCTAGATGACACGTTAGTGGGTGCAGCGCACCAGCATGGCACATGTATACATATGTAACTAACCTGCACAATGTGCACATGTACCCTAAAACTTAGAGTATAACAAAAAAATAAAAAAATAAAAAATAAAAAATAAATGCATGAATACCCAAAAAAAAAAAAAAAAAAAAAAAAAAGAAGGCATTTCAGCATGCAAACAAGTAATACTTTTAGGAATTACACTGACTTCATTGTAATGCATAGGAAAAATAAATAATTCACAAATAAAAAACAAACAAACAAAAAAAAAGTTTCAGTGGGGTCAAAGGATTTTTAGAGTTAGGGCAGTCGAGGCAGTGAACTAGGGTGAAAAAGGGAGGAAGTGATGAACAACAGGTAGAGTAACTGAAAATGAGATTATGGGAGGTATACAAATGTATGGAATGACAAAGTCAGGGGTATGACAATGTGAGTGATTAGCTGAAGTTGGGCAGAGGTCTAAGGAAAGGAAGTAAAGTAATTTAGTGGTCAGGATATTGGAAGGAATCTAGATAAATATTAAAAGCAAGAATTTCTATAGTAGTATCTCGAATAGTTTCTGGCACATTGTAGGCACTCTATAAATATTTGTTCAATAAATGAATAAACGATATTAAGTACATAACAATTCATCTTGAAAACACTTCTTCCATTTCCTCAACTCCTAAACATTCATTTATTCATTCTTCATCACACAAAAATCTGAATCTGGCTTCTGCCCCCTACCCTCCTTATTTACTTTCTCAAATAGTATACATTTAGTCATTAAACAAACATACATACATGCATATTTTCAAGATTATCAAGCAATTCCTGTTTCAACTTTTCTTAAAATGTTGACTCTGTATTCGTATACAGTTTATAACATCCTGAATTCCTGAAATTGATTCAAACAGAAACTATGTACAGTTTTCCAATTTAACCACAGTAGCATGCTTATACATCACTACTTGGAGTTTTCTCTCATTTTTATTGTCCAACAAGAACTGAAACTTATGTTGCCGTTTGTTAAATGCTATATCTAAATTCCATTTGGATATCCAATGAACACAGGTTCTATTTTTTATCAAGTATACATAAGCAGTAATCATTCATGCAAGTGATTCCACTACTCTCATAGTTTCTTGTAAGTTAATCCCAGTGAAATAAGATGACAATAGTGGAAGAAAGGGGAATTGGGAAAATCCATAAAATTCACTTCTATCAATAAAAGAAATCTACTTTGTTTTATATATTTGATACATCAGCCACTTATTGAACATGTTCGTATCTTAAAAATTGTTTCCCTTTTATTGAAATCCTAGTGGATAATGGTTTTGTAGTCATAAATTGGGAAAAATGGTATAACTAAAGAAATATGCAGAATTTTAGAATGGGAGTAGGCATTGAATATTATAGACTCTTACGGAATATTCTGGCAGTGGAGCAAACAGTAGAACAATCAGGTGAGATTATTCATTGAAGATGTCATGCTAAAGTTTAAAGACATGGCTTGGGCTAGGCATGAGGTTTTCTTATGCCCATCCATCTATGCATCCATCCTTAAATCTATCCATGCATCCACCTATGCATTAATTCATCCATCCACCCATCAACATATATTGAAAACCCATAGTGAGCCATGTGTAGTATTAGACCTGAGGTTACAAGGATGAATAAAATACAGTCTTCCTCTCAATAATTATTATATTTTGAAGTCCCACCTAAGAGTTGGGTTGGAGTAATTACAATATAGAAAACATTTTGAGGTCTTAAATAAATGTATATACATATATAATTGTAAATTATATCTATACACATGTATATATAATTGTTCATAATAATCACAAAGTAGAAATCTTTTGTATAGTATTTTCTTTATCAGAGTGGAAAATTTCATTAAATCAATTTAGTTCAAAACTTTATTTCTCAGAGAAATATTTTGTCATTTTTTTCCAGTATAAGAAATTATTTTTAAATCAACTCAACCAGCATAACAATGGTAAAGCCAGTTGATGAGATAGGTAAGTCCCTGTTAACTAAAGATTATCCAAAAAGGATCCCACAGAAGAAACTTCTAAGTATTATCCAGTTGGTATTTCTTTATTTTTTCCCTTTAGTTTACAGAAATGTGCTAATTGAGGTCCTTGGAATTAAAAATTAATGCCAAAATAAATAAGCCAAGATAGCAGTATTCCTCATTTCTCCTCTTTTTCAAACAGATACTTTTAACTTTTGCCTGAAAAAACCCAATAGATCTAATAATCTATTTTTAAGATGATGTGAAATTATGCCCATCTTATCTAATATTCCAAGTTCTCCAGTTTCCCTCTCAAATATATCAAGACTTTAAGATTTGAAAATGATCTTCTGGCTTTAAATCTAAGACTTTATTTATATTAACTTTTTTGGTAGCATGAACATTGTAAAACCTAAATTTCAAAATGTTTTACTGCAGCAACTTAAATACTTCATCTAAGACACTTGAATTGTATTTGTTATTGTTTCCAAACTTGATACATCTTTCTTATTAACATCCTTCATAGAAGTAAACAGAAACAGACAGCAATTACATTACATACTCAGAGCAAGCATCCATTCATAAATTAACTCACCAAACATTATGAGGCATCTGCTCTGCCAGACACGTGGTAGGTGTGGGGAATTTTTAAAGAAGAATAAGGTTCAATCTCTCCTTTCAAAGTGCTAAAACGTTGGGGAGAAACCTCAAATAGTCAAATGATTATAAAATAGGATGGTAGGTTCTCTGTGAAAGGATGACAGTAGGAAAATCTAACAGTTACTGGAAGGATCAGGAGCTGAGGCACCCTAGGGAGAGTGATAAACTGAATCTTAAAGGCAAAGAGGAGATGTTTAGGCAGAGAAATAGGGTCAGGGTTCAACCATGGTGTTGTCAACAAAAAACCAGGGCCTCCAGATTTCAGAGAGAAGAGCCACTCCAGAGAACTGATACACCATGTACTTATATGCACCATGAACTTGATGCACCATGTACGATGTACTTATGACAAGTGCCCAGGACAACAGCGCTCTGCTGGAAGTCCTCAAAAACTTTAGCCAAGGGACAGAAACCCCACTACCCAGAGTGCATTTCCTAGCTGAGACTCCTTTTGTGTTGTGATTAAAAGGATACAAATATTAAAAAACAAACATACGACAACAACAACAAAAAACAGGGCTTCATATGTTCTGACATGGTCGTTTGCTTTTGGAGTGCTCTTTCCATTGTTTCATTGTAGAAACTGAGACTAACAGGGATGGTCTTTTGGTTCCAGGAGTGTGTGCTGTCGGGAAGCCAATGTGCCTGCTCTTTGAATACATGGCCTATGGTGACCTCAATGAGTTCCTCCGCAGCATGTCCCCTCACACCGTGTGCAGCCTCAGTCACAGTGACTTGTCTATGAGGGCTCAGGTCTCCAGCCCTGGGCCCCCACCCCTCTCCTGTGCTGAGCAGCTTTGCATTGCCAGGCAGGTGGCAGCTGGCATGGCTTACCTCTCAGAACGTAAGTTTGTTCACCGAGATTTAGCCACCAGGAACTGCCTGGTGGGCGAGAACATGGTGGTGAAAATTGCCGACTTTGGCCTCTCCAGGAACATCTACTCAGCAGACTACTACAAAGCTAATGAAAACGACGCTATCCCTATCCGTTGGATGCCACCAGAGTCCATTTTTTATAACCGCTACACTACAGAGTCTGATGTGTGGGCCTATGGCGTGGTCCTCTGGGAGATCTTCTCCTATGGCCTGCAGCCCTACTATGGGATGGCCCATGAGGAGGTCATTTACTACGTGCGAGATGGCAACATCCTCTCCTGCCCTGAGAACTGCCCCGTGGAGCTGTACAATCTCATGCGTCTATGTTGGAGCAAGCTGCCTGCAGACAGACCCAGTTTCACCAGTATTCACCGAATTCTGGAACGCATGTGTGAGAGGGCAGAGGGAACTGTGAGTGTCTAAGGTTGAAGACGTTCAAATAAAATGCTGCAGTTTCCTCTCAGACTCTGTGAGCCAGGGGAATCCTACACCAGAGGCCCAACAAGACCCACATAGGAAAGAGTAAGAGTAAACATGAGTAGTGTGTTGTTTGCTTCCCAGGGAGAGCAAAGACAGTGCAAAACCCATGTGGTAGACGGACCCATTGAAAGCCAGTGATTGGAAACACAGGCTAGGAAATGTGTCAGATAATGGAGACAACTATTCTTCTTCATGAAGGTTTGTAATACACACTGCACAGGGAAGAATGTCATCCTGTTCAGTTTCCAAAGTAGCTGGTCACAGAGTAAAGCTCTGCTGTATTAAATTTTAATATGAAATGGGATTCAGAGCTTCATTTTTTAATTGAGTTAATTCCTGTCCATTGTGAAAGTAGCTTAATCGTCATGTAAGACACTTAGGTGAAGTACAGAAAACTAAAAAGAAGGAAAAGCCACTCATTCTGTCTCCCCCCAAAGACGAGTCTTAGTGTTTTATTAAATCTTTCTTGCATTTAATGCATAATTTTATATTTGTTTGTATTCTGCAGAGTTGTGGTTACATTTTATTGATAGAGGGTTTCTAAGGAATGAAACAGCAAATCAGCAAGCCTGTAACTCTGAGTTCCCTTTTCTGTCCTGTGCCCCTCCTTTTTTCCTTTCTGTGCATTTGTCATGAATTAAGTCTGCTTATTTTATTCCTCCAGTTTTCTTGAAACAAGTTTTTGTATCTTACTGATTTACCTTTTCCTTTAAAAATTGTATTGGTATCTTTTCCATTGCTTTAATCTTTATTTCTTCTTCTTTCCAGGACTTCTGTCCTTTTTTAGTTATTAAGCTATTTTTTTCTTTTATTTCATTCATGTAATAAACACTCTGGCAGAAATAATAACATTTTAAATACCATTGTAGATTGATATGTATATGCCTTTTGCAAAGTATTACTATTTTTCCTGCATTTGCCTTTGAAGCCACACATTTCAACATTCTCACCTATTAATATTATTACTAGAGTCTATTTAAATCTCTTAAACCATAATTTATAATATGAGATTTCACAAGATACACTTGTGGCTCTGAGTTATTTCAAAACTGATATTTCTGTGCATTCTGACATTTTATTCCTTTTAGAAACAAATTCAGTTGGCTGTAGAATTAATATCGTTCTGCTTAACAACTTTGTGCATGACATATTAACTGATTTTGTTGTATTTCATGATTTAAAAAAAAAAGCAGCAGCTCTGGAACTCAGATTCCTGGGGGTTCAGATTTTTTCTCAGTGGATCCTCACACAATACATCTTTATCTAAGTCCATACATGATCTGAGTTTATTTCTGATATAGCAGGAACCCAAATTCTCCTGAAAACGAACAGGGAAGAGAAAATAACAGTCTACTCTATACCAGCTTATCTTAATTCAGACTAATTGGTAGTTAGGGCATTGGAGGAATGGTGTGAATTCTTGAAAGTAGATTTTCGCTGTCTGCTGGAAAACTCTGCCTGAAATCCCCAAATCTGCCTCATGTAACAGCTTGACATCTTTGGTGGGAAACCTGCCATTTCTTATTCATAGTGTCTCCAGGCAACCAAGACAAAAATGTAGAAATTTTCCTAGACTTTGCCCTCTCTTTCATCATCAGTTTTCTATTAGTTTTACTTCCTAAAATCCTCCTGCTGACATCCTCTTCCCTTCAACCCAAGAGCCAATGACTCAACCTCTACCGTTGCCCACCCTGTCTATTAGCTGGCCTTCCTCTCATTTCAGACCTGAACAGATTCTGTAGGATACAACGACAGTAAGGCGGTCCTTAGTCACAGTTCTGGTTCATAAATAGCGAGGTCAGCATTTAGGACTGAGACCTAAAGAAGTGCTTCAGATAAAAATCATGAGTCTAAGTCCAAAATTGATACTGTAATCCAAATGACTGAATAAAGAATAAAGTTGCAGCGTGTGTCTAAAGCAGAAAGTCAAGATGCCAACAAAGCAGAAAAGTTGGAGAGGGCCACCAGCAAGTCTAGAACTTGAGCATAGATATCCATGGCTTATTTTAGATGGTTCATGTATGCTCTGCAAAATTCAAAGACAGCTTCGGGCTTTCTCCGCTGATAAAGTTTTGTTGTAAAAGACAGACATAGAAGTCAGGCTGACAGAAAATAGAGTAACAGTAATCATAAAAATTATAATATCAGCTAGCATTTATTGAAATCTTACCATGTGTATTCTGAGGCCTTTAAATATATGAACTTAAACCTCACAACATCCCTGTAATGTTGGTACTATCATTATATACATTTTAGTTTTGCTTTGTTTTGTTTTGTTTTTGAGACGGAGTCTCGCTCTGTCGCCCAGGCTGGAGTGCAGTGGCACGATCTTGGCTCACTGCAAGCTCAGCCTCCAACAGTCACAGAGAGATTGTGCAACTGGCCCGAGTGCACACAGCAACAGAGCCTACTTTTTGACCAAAAGAGGCCGAATTCTCAACCACTATACTGTAGAGCCTCTGTACATGATAGAAGCAATAACTGAACCTCAGTAACTCTGTGGAAGTGATTTGTAATTTGCATGTCGTTTCAAGCACACTCTATATCTATATTTTATTCTATTAACTTCCTAAGTCTTTTTAATGAATAGCAAAAAAAGTATATTTCAGCATTATCAATTTAAGTTAATCATAACATCTAATAGGTGACATGTTTATTTTTTCATGAGTTCTAATTACATTTTCAAGTTAAGATCACTGACTTATTCCCTAAGTGCTCGATCTAATGTTCTGAATCACAGGAGTATAGATGCATTATTCACCAATATTGTTTACTTTTTTAAATAAGATTTTTTTTCATGGTAGAATCATCATATACATTCAAAAAGGTAGACAAAAGAGAGACACTCACAGTGTCACTGTTACCAAGTGCCAGGACAGATATCAGTAAGGCACCAGCAGTCATTTTTAGTGATCAAATACCAAACATGGTAAGATACCAGAGTATTTTTCACATGACACCCAAAAACATATTCTCTGCTATCGTGGTAGAGCAGAAAAAGAACACTTTCTTTTCATTTTACAGTATATTACGAACCTGTTCCACGTCATTAAATATTCTTCTAAAAACCCAATTTTGGAATAATATTCTATTTTATTCATATACTGTAATTTAGCTAATCAATCTTGTATTTTTGAACATTTAGGTTTTTTCCAATTTTTATCATTATAAAAAATGCTGTAATTAACATCCTTATTTGTTCATGTCCACATTTCTTTTTATGAAAATTCAGAGAAAGGAAATGTCTGGACCAAATGGCATGTACAATATTAACACTTCTGTTATGTGGTTTCATATTCTGCAGAAATATTACTGCCACTTCTACATTGTACAAGAGATCTCATAGCCCTAAACATTTGCTTTCATAGATAATTTTCTGTTTTTTAGAAATCTTTTGTCTCTTTGGTTATAGAAAAAGAGAACCTCTTTTTAATTTTATTTTTTAAATTACTAGTCAGGTTGAATGTTTCTTGTTCCTAGGTCATTAACAGTTTTTATTTTGGCAATTGTCTACAGCCCATTTTTCTGCTGTGTTCATTTTCTAATCGAATTATGGGATTTATCTTGTAAAAAGCCTATTAAGCCTTTTTCATACTTTACACAAGAGATCACATCTACTTACTTTACCTTAAAATAACATTTACTTATTTTCTTATAAAAGTAATATATTATGTTTGAAAAGAAAAATAATATGCAATAATATACAATAATATGTATAATCATAATAGACAATAATAAAAATGAAAAAACACCAACCAGAGGTAATTAACATTAACATCATAATATTCTTCCAGGCTTTTTCAGATAGACAGGTAGGTAAGTAGGTTGGTAGGTAAATAGATAGATAGATGATACATAGAGAGAGATAGATAGATAATTTAAACAAAAATAAGATCATACTGCTACATTACTTCAAGCCTTGCTTTTATCACTTAATATATCTTAAACATCTTCTACATGAACAAGTATTCATGTGCAACATTAATTTTGATGGTTGAATAGTATTATACAGATTTATCGTAATTGACATAACTATTCTACTGTTAGACATTTGGTTTATTTCTATTTTTCCATTATAAAATGTAATGTTTGGATCATCCTGTTGCTAAATTTTGTAAGCATTTATCTTAAGTGATTTCTTTAGCTATAACTCCTAGAAGTGAAATTTCTAGATTAAAGGATAAATGCACTTTTAATACTTTTTAAATATATTAAAAAATTACCTTCCTGAATTATTTTATTAACATGTACCTCTCCTAGTCAGATAAGACAGCCCATTTATTTCAGTCTCACCAATACTGAGTATAGCATTTTAATCATTGCCAATATAATAGCTAATAGCTTAAAGTTATTTCATAGCTTATATTTACACTTCTTTAAATACTAATAAAATTGAACATTGTTTAATGTTTTGAGGATACTTGATTGGTGATTTGCCTCCTACTATTATTTTTCTACTGGGTATATCTTTTTCTTGTTGCTTTGTAAGAGCACTTTATATATTAAGGAGTTAAATTTTGTGATATATGTTTCAACTACTTTTATCATGTTAAAAATATAGACTTCTATTTGTCTTTTATTGTAGGTTTTATCAATCAGAAAAGAATGTTGACTTTTCCGTCCATTCAGATGATTGTGGCTTTTTTCCCTAATGGATTTGTTAATATGTTCAATTGTATGAATTTATTTCCTAATGTAGCGATATCCTTGTCTTCTAGGAATAAACTTTTTGGGCGAATCATATCAATCTTCTACTTAACTACCAAATTAATTTACATATATTTGCATCAATATTAAGTTCATAAAATTAAAAGTTTATCATTTTCATCTCTGTTAGAGTTTTGTATTGGCATTAGCATTTGTATTAGCATTGTATTAGGAAAAACTCAGGAGTTTTTCTCTATAATCTTGGTTAGTTTATTTTTAAATAATTGTTATTTATGAAAGTAATACATAAAAATGTTGTTTAAAAAAACTCACAAGAGGGTAAAAATTAAAAAAATAATAAAAGTTCCCTTCTTCCTTTTCATCTCTAGTCCCAGCCTAAGTGCTAACCACTTCACCCATTTATAGTGTTAGTTCTTCTGGTGATTACCAGTGCAATTCTAACAAATAGGTTTGCATTTCTCTTTCTGAATTGATCAATTTTTTAAAAATATGCAGCACTCTGACTCAAACTCCCTTTCTTTTTCCTGAGATATGTTAACTTCTAATGTTATATTGTTTATCACAACTTTCACAAATATTTCTAAATAAAGGTTACCTACTGATTCTGGATTGTGCTACATAAAATTAGAGCTTCCAAATTTCCCTCCATCACTTCTCCCTGCTCTCTACTCTCACAATCAGTCAACTATACACCTATTTCTACGCTGTCAACTATATGTTCATTTCTATGAATCTGTAATATTTGCATTTTGTTCTGGAACAAATTAAGATTTAGGTGCTTTGACTAGATTGATTCTAAACATCAAAAAACAAAAATAAAATATCTGCAATTATGTGATCATGTATTTATGCATTGCCAAATAATGGTATTCCATTATTTTAATTTGATAAGATAAATTTAATATACATTAATTCTTATTTCCTCTATTTTATGGAAGAAATATTTTTAAAAATCACAAAACTTTTACATTCGCTTCTCTTCCTGATATTTATTTTTCCTTTTTCTTCTGCCTCTCTTCTTTCGTGCCCTTTTTTCCGAAAATTATTTTGATGATTTTTT
Organism: Homo sapiens; assembly: GCF_000001405.40. Lineage (NCBI taxonomy): Eukaryota > Metazoa > Chordata > Mammalia > Primates > Hominidae > Homo > Homo sapiens. The sequence goes on from NC_000009.12 coordinate 110,806,774, forward strand.
TTATTCACCATACATAATTACAAATGAAGAGTTGCTCTGGTTCGTATTGGTAGTAGAAGTGGGGTCCCTTTGCTGTTTTGTTGGTATATTCACCCAGTGTGACCTCTTTTCCGTGGGATGGCTACCTCTGGGCTCTGATTATGTGGCTCATAGGGAAGTATAGGCAGCCTGAGTCAGAATCCCCACAGTTCCAAAGTGATGGAAGACTGTACTCTGAGATACAATATTTTGACGTATTTCACTCCCAGGGAGAGCTACTTGCTATTCTTTCACTGCTTCCATTACCCAAAAGAGTATGATATTCTCCCCATTTTCTGTATTGCCTCACACCTAGGACCCTTCAAACCCACACCAACGACCTCTCAGGCAAATTGATCTATTCAGATAGCAGTTTACAGGGATAGACATGAGGCCTCTTGGCCCACCTGCTCTATACACAATCTTCTAGTCGACCATCCTGATTGACAACCCACAGCCCACCCCTGTCTCTGTATTTGCTGACTCAGAGCATGGAGACTTTATACATGTGAAATCACATCTCCCCTCCCCTCACGCTTGGCTTGTGTGTATTGCAAAAGCTGCAATTTAGTTTTTCCTGTGCCTTGTCTTACCCATGGATAAGAACACTAAGATACTTTCCGCTTTTTGAATATTTGTCAAAGTGATGGCACTTGGATTGGTTTCAGCATGTACATAGATTGATTCTTATTCATATACATTTACTGTCATATTGGGGAAATCTTGAGGGGAAAAGAAAAGCCTCTTACTACCATGTTCATCAAGAGTCCTCTCTGGAATAGTTGAAATAGTTTAGGAGTTATCGGTTCACTCCTTCGTCTTGTTTGCCTCCAGATTTCTTTTTTCCTTCTTTTCCTGTTTCTTAATGTTGGAACAGCCCACACCTCAATCCTTGGATGACATCTCCCTTTTATCTGTATTCATCCCTAGTGATCTCTTCTGGTTGCAAGGCTATAAATGCCATCTGTATGCTGAGATTTTTTTATTTTTAGTTCAAACCTCTCTCCCCAACTTTACACTCACATTTCTAACTGTGTGTTATAGATGATAGCTTTAGATTCTCCTCCTCAGGACTAGGCTTTCTGCTTGATCTAGGAGCAAAGCTGAAAACTGCTATGGAGCTTGGTGTTGCCTTGATACCGAGGAGGAGTCTCAGAGCCTCTCCAGTGCAAATACACACTTGCAGTGTCCTAGTGCTGCTGACTTACGTACTCATTCTAAAGAGGGTAGATTGTATCCATTTTAATAGCTCTCAATACCCTTGCCCATTCCCATTACAGCTGGCAGAAATTCCCCAGCTGCAAATGGGTTGCATTTATCTGTTACCCATTCCTGATTTGCAGCACGATTGACTGTTTCCTTTTCTGCGTGGTCTATGTGTCACTCCATGAGAATCTGGGAGAGGAGAACTCGATATGGTGCTCATTCCATCATTTTAACCATAGTGTTCTTTATTGTGAAGAGGTATCCCGGTTAGAGTGGAGTCAAAGCTTTATAGCAAGTGTATTTCAGGTAACTATTCTTTTACTTGTTTCAGATCTATTTCAGTAGCACAGCCACCAAGATAGAACACTTATAAGCCCTTATTTTGGTATAGATCACCAGAGAAACCACTCACCACTCGCACTTGGCCTTCAGTACTGAGTCATTACATATTGGAAGGTCAGAAACTACATCAACAGGAAAGACCCATAGGTGTGGGGGTCTGATATATTTGCCAGTACATTTCTTATCATTACAAACAAAGATTTATGTGTGTCTAGATGTTTACCTTGCCTTCTAAGAGGTCATGTCCTCTGAATGAAGCAAAATCAAGGTAAGCCTTTACCTGTAAGCCGTTACATGTCTTCTTTACAGAATCCCTCTTAATTAAAAACTTCTAAGAGATTCAACAGGGTTAGTTTTTCTTACAACCTTCATCGTCAGACCTGTAATTATGCAACTGGCCAGCATTGCTCTTTCAAACCACAGTCTCTGGAAAGTACACACCGTATATAGCATTTTGCCCATAAGAAGAGAAACCACCTGTAGTATCTAAGGTTACGTCAGAGAGATGTTAACCACAAAAAAACCCAGACTTAGATACACACTATCATTTTCTGGGTGTGTTCTTGACCATTTAGAGCTGTGATTAAAATTAGAAGTGTTGGCATGACACTGCTTTCTGACTTTCTTTTTTAGCCATGTTGACACCGTGGTGGTTAGTGTGATGCTCCTTCTTATTTCAATTGATGCTTTACTCAAGTATGGATGAAACATAATTTAAAGTCACCTCTTCTTCTGCTATCTTGATTTTTAAAATTATTTGGATGCATTATATTTAAGAATCTTAAGACAGTCCATTAGTATTATGTATTTATCTTCTCTTCACTCGTTTAAGTCACTTTCTGACTCAGATCACCTTCTCAGGAGACTCTCAGCATCATTCTGCCTGACATCACTCAGTTGCTTTGTTTATGGCAACCTAAAAAAGCAGCTGCCCTAATTTTAGCCCATTCCCAGAGTACCCTCAGAAGTGACAGGTAAGAAAAAATAAACTGATCAAAGATGAGAGAAAGACTTACAGAGGAGTGACACTGAGAGAGCAAAAAACCACAAATAAATTTCATTTCTAAGAACAAAGCAAAGATGACCAGGAAATGCCTGAGGAAACACATTTTTTTTTTTTTTTTGGAGGCAGAGGGTATTATATTCCTTTTTTTTCTTCAACTTTCATTCTAGATTCAGGGAGTACATGGGCGAGTGTGTTATGTGGACATGTTGTGTAGTGCTGATGTTTTCAGTACAACTAAACCTGTCACCCGGGTTGTAAGCATAGTACCCAATAGATAGTTTTTCAACCCTTGCCTCCCTTCTTCAGAGACCTCCCCCTTCTTGTATTCCCCAGTGTCTTTTGTTCCCATCTTTATGTCCATGTGTACTCAATGTTTAACTCCCACTTATACTTGAGGACATTTAGTATTTACTTTTCTGTTTCTGTGTCCATTTTGCTGCAAAGGACATGATTTTGTTCTTTTTGGCTGCATAGTATTCCATGGTGTATATGTATCACATTTACTTTATCCAATCAACCATTGATAGGCAACTATGTTGATTCCACATCATTGCTATTGTGGATAGTGCTGCAATGAACGTATGGGTACAATGTGCCTTTTGGCAGAATGATTGATTTTCCTTTAAGTGTATACCAAAGGAAATGGGATTGCTGTATCAAATGGTAGATCAACTCTTATTTATTTCTCATTCATTTCTCAAATAATTTCTCAATTATTTGAGAAATCAAGGAGACACTTTTTTTTTTTTTTTTTTTTTTTGAGACAGAGTCTTGCTCTGTTGCCTGGGCTGGAGCGCAGTGGCGTGATCTTGGCTCACCAGAACTCTGCCTCCCAGGTTCAAGCAATTTGGAGACATAATTTTTAAGACATTTTTAAATAATAAACCTCAAATATTTTAGGGAAAACATCTTTATCTCTGTTTCTATAACTGTCAACCTCTTTCTAATAAGCTTTGCAAAGCTATATGAAACTAGTTTTTAATTTTTGTATACTTGAGACAATTTTGGAAGAAAGTAGGTATCTACTCATCCAATTTCAGAGAACTCTGAGAAAATTTAGTTATTCTTATGAAAGATCTATTTTCTTATTGCAATAACTGTGAATTTATCTGGCACTTGGCCAAACTTAGCATTAACAGGTAATACATTATATTCACAACAGAAACTAGAAGATGATTCCAGAACAACACAGCCCTAAAGGAAAAATCATTAATTGTTTGACATAAATATTCTACACTTCAAAAATCTACACTTAGATTTTTTTTCTAAGATTGTTTTGTATTATTTACTAACCTAACAGCTTTCCATTAACAATAAATTTAGAACTTTTTTATATTTTAAATATCAATGTGTGCATTATTTTGGTGATGACATAATAAATCATTAGATGTTGCATACATGTTATCAAATGTATATGGAGGTTGCGTAAGTGTTATCAAGACAGGCAGCAGATGGAGTGTTGAAATATATGGACTCAGGGCTGAGTCTGCTGCCTGTCAAATCCTAGCAATTTACTTAACCCCTTTGTGTTCAATTTTCCTCATTTATGAAAAGAGAATAAGAATAGCACCAAGCTCATAGGTTATTGGAAAGATTAAATGATTTAATAAGTAGAAAAGGCTTAGAAAGGTACCTAATACACAGTAAATACTTCCAAGGACTTTGCTAATATAATTGTGTCTAATTTTTTGCAATTATATAGAAAACTGACATACTATAGCTAAATCATTACACAGATCTTTTTACTATTTCCTGCAGATACAGCAATAGAACTAACATAATTAGGTCAGATGCAATAAACCTTTTTAGGAATTTTAATATATGTTACAAAATTACCCTCCAGAAATCTTGCAACAATTTACACAACCAATAGCAATGTTTGAAAGTGCTTATTTCTGATACTTCAGCTAATTTAGCATGTCATCAAATTTAATTCTTAGCCAGTTTGATAACTGAGAAACTTTAGCTCCCTGTTTAAATTTGATTTTTCTTTTAAATTCCTGCAGATATTGTTTGCTTTTCAGATTTTTTACCAGCTGTTTTTGGGCAGTTTGTGAATTGTCAAGTATGTTCTACTGTTTGTCTTCTACTGATTGTTCTCCACCTGGACTGAGTGTGGATCCTGGAACAGTCTAGTTTTTCTTGGGAATCCTGTTACAATGTATGTTCTAGATCTACCCTCCATATTTATTATCTTTAGCCTCATTGTATACATTTTATATCAATTTCTTCTGAGATAGGTAAATGTCTTAATCTGATTTTGTAATTCATTACATCTCCTATCTGCTTTTTACTGTTTTCATTGCATTATTTTTTATTTAATTATTTTTAATAGTAATACATTCACTTGGGTCAACATTCAAAGATATAAAAATCTACACAGTAGACTTCTACTTATAAGAAGAGGGGGTGGATGTGCTTTTTCCTCTTCCTTCCACTAAATACAACTAAAAACCCGAACATCACATAGAAAACCAACGTGGAAAAGTAGAGAGAAGTAGACAGTTCATCTAGGAAGAAGACAGAGTCAAGGAATGACATTCTGGTGAGCTCTCTGGGTTTTCTTTGGGCCTCAGCTATCTCAAACTTGAAGCTGAAGAAGCCAGCAACACAGAAACGCCAGCGGGCATATACCAAAAAAAAAAAAACCAAACAAAAAAAAAGCCCCAACTAAAGCCTGCTATCTTTAGACAAAACACCAGGAAAAGGGCACCTAGCAAGACAGAAACCTTTTAGACAATAATTGCTCTCTTCTAGCCAAACACCACGCGCGCACACACACACAACAAACAAAAAAAATGGCCTCACCTCCACCCACGCCAGCAAAGACCGAGTGTGGATCCTAGACTTCTCCCTCACCAGGTGTAATAAGGAGCTCAAACTTCCCACAGGTGTGAGTCAGAAAAGTCCTCTTCCACAACTCAGACTTTCATGCCTCTGAGCTCTAAATGCATATAGAGGAAATATTTAAGGCAATATATTATAAACATAGGAGGCTAAAGCGATATAAAAGGAGGTCCTTTCTACACTTTGTTTGAACTGGTAAAATGTCGACACTAGTAACTGTGATAAGTTACATACGTACTGTATAATGCATGTATAATGTAATCCCTAGAGCAACCATAACAAAACTCCACAAAAAGATACACTTCAAAACACTATTGGTCAGGTGCGGTGGCTCACACCTGTAATTTCAGCACTTTGGGAGGCCAAGGCAGGTGGATCACCTGAGGTCAGGAGTTCAATACCAACCTGGCCAACATGGCAAAACCCTGTCTCTATTAAAAATACAAAAATTAGCTGGGTGTGGTGGCACATGCCTCCCAGATACCTGGGAGGCTGAGGCAGGAGAAAAGCTTGAACTCGGGAGGCAGAAGTTGCAATGAGCCGAGATCACACCACTGCCCTCCAGCCTGGGTGACAGAGCAAGACTGTGTCTCAAAAACAAACAAACAAACAAAACCCACTATAGATATATCAAGACAGAATTCTAAGAAATGTTCAAGTAACCCACAGGAAGGCAAGAACAAGAAAACAGAAAAAAAAAAAAAAAACAGAGCAAATAAAAAGCAACAAATAAAATGGCAGACTTAAGCCTTGACATAGTAATAATTACATTAAGTATAATTATCGTAGAATTTTAAATGTTTAGATGGGCTTCCAGTCCAAGATGGAGAGAGAGCATGTGTTTGCCTCACCACCTGGGGTCTCAATGGACTACGGATTTGGATAAATTTCTGCAAAATGGAAAACACATGGCATCATACTAACAGACAAGACTCACAGGAAACAAAAGAGTGATACAATAGAGGTAGAAACCATCTGTTTGGTTCTATCCTTGAGAGGCTAAATAGAGACTATTTCCCTAGAGCTACTAACTAAAATACTATCACCTGGCAGGAAGCAGTGGGGGTTGGGAGGAGGGGCGGCAGTGAACTCAAAATAGATGATTACCTTTCTGGTGTCAGTGCCTGGTCCATACCCCTCACTCCTAGCAACAGTTCTTCTTCTCCGTTTCCTTCCTTAAAATCCTCCATTAATTTTTTATTCATTCATTTGACCAATACTTAGTGATTAGCTACTAAATGCTAGGCACTGTCACAGTTGCTGGGGAAATACTAGTGAACAAGATAAGTCTGATTTGGGGGAGTTTTAATTCTACTAACGAACAAATAATAAATATGAAAACAAAAATATAAACAGATCATTTTAAATAGCAATGAGTTCTATGAAAGCAGAGACATTGCAGGAATTAGTGTATATCCTTCCACCTGCTCATCACAAATAAATTCATTAGCAACTGCACTGCTACGACATTTCAAAGGCTGTTGAAATTCCACGTCTCCAAGGGCTGGAGTTCTCATTGCTATCAGCAAATGATCTGACTCCAGAATCCCAACCTTAGGGTATGCTTCCTAGGACTACTCTTAGGATACAGGGTTAGGTCATGTATTAGTCCATTCTCATGCTGCTAATAAAGACATACCGAAGGCTGGGTAATTTATAAAGGAAAGAGATTTAATTGACTCACAGTTCAGCACTGCTGGGGAGGCTTGAGGAAACTTACAAACATGGCAGAAGGGGAAGCAAGCATGTCCTTCTTCACATGGTGGCAACAAGAAGTACTGAGCAAAAGGGGAAAAGACCACACCATCAGATCTCATGAGGACCCATTCACTATCAGGAGAACAGCATGGAAGTAACTGCCCCCATGATTCAATTACCTCCCACCAGGTCTCTCCCACAACACATGGGGATTATGGGAACTACAATTCAAGATGAGATTTGGGTGGGGACACAGCAAAACCATATCAGGTCAGGTTCTTGAAAAACCAAGCCTGAGATAAAGATTCCTGTGCAAGTGGTTTATGGAGGGAGTGCTCTCAGAGGAAATGCCTCTGGGAGTGATAGAAGGAAGTTTGGTTAGTGAAGGAGCTGGGCAAAGGTGTGTTATCAGCGGAAGTGTGACCTCAGCTTGCACTCACAGAGAGCTCTGGAGTATGAGTTATACCGCAAAGATTGTCCTACCCAGAGGCAAAGAAGATTGAATTCTTATACCCCTGCTTTGCCTTTGGATATGAGCCACCCTGGGGCAAGGGCCAGAAGTGGGTAACCTCTCAGGCATCTCCACATGAGACAGTTCCTGTCATTCAAAGGCAATCCTTTCAAGAAGGGTTTCTTAACTTCCCAACTTTCAATTTGGGAAGATTTCTTATTGTCTAGCTTATTTTTATAGACACAGTCATCTTATTAAATAATAGTGACACACTAGCCTTATATGTTGAAGACTTCCCTTAAAACTGCTAACAGATATGGCATAAATCATTGTAATAAAATCAATTCTTTTTGGTTGATCCAAGATTCCATTTTCCTTCTCGTTGAAGAAGTAGGTGAATTTTAAAGGAAAGAACTAACTTTCCAAATTCAACCTGAGCTAGTTACAAAATAAATAAAACAGAAACTGCCCATTCTACCTTTTTTATGCAATAATAACAATACACACTTAGTCCACTAATTAAGTCTTCCCTTCAAGAAAGATTAGTAATTTATTTAGTAATTAATTACTAAATATTAAAAAAATTTAGTAATAAAATTAGTAATTTTATTACATTAGTGATAAAATATGTGTGCCAGGTGCAGTGGCTCATGCCTATAATCCCAGCACTTTGGGATGCCAAGGCAGAAGGATCATTTGAACCCAGGAGTTTGATACCGGCCTGGGCAACATAGGAGGACCCCATCACTACAAAAAAAATTTTTTTAAATTAAAAATTAGCTGGACATGGTGGTGTGCACCTGGAGTCCCAGCCACTCTGGAGGCTGAAGCAGGGAGATACCTTGAGCCCAGGAGGTCAAGGCTGCAGCGAGCCATGATCATGCCACTGTACTCCAGTCTAGGTGACAGAGTGAGACTCTGTCTCAAAAAAGAAAAAAGATTTCTCCCAGGCTTTTGGAGTTCTCAGAGTGTCACAAATGCTAAGAACAGACAAGGAAAGAGGAAGAAAAAGTACAGAGAAACAATCTTCTATCCCCTTTAGTATTTGCAAACTATAGTGTGTCCCTTATTTGTTTCATTGTTATAATCTGGATTCTTGGCATTTAAGAAGAAACTGAGATTTTTCTGTAACTCTGATGAAGAACATTCCCGGAGGCCAATGTCTCTATGTGCTGGAAACCAGAAAGGGGAAGTGTCCCAGCTAGAGTCTGGTAAACCATAATTCTTCCTATTGTCAAGGATTTCACATCTTTGCTCACACATGGGAAAGTTCTCAAAGTAGATTTGACAATATTTCACAAATACCACAAAAGGACCATGCTCAGCAAAGACAATTCCAGGCTTGGCACTAAGCAATGTAATCTATCAACTGGCACCAGTGAGTCTCACTTGGTGTGAATGTTCCACAGCACAGACCAGTACCACTCTTAGATCTGGGCAAGAGGAGACTAACTTGGGCACTGTGATTAAGAGGATTTCACTCTGGTCTTTCTCCAGGCACCATCCTTCTCACAGGGTGAGGGTCCCAGGGGCCAAAGGGCTATGCCTACCTAGAAACTGACTCCCTTCTTTTAAACCATATTTCAGATATGAGGGGCCCCAGAATTTCAGCTCTGCCACTGGCCCTTTTCTGAGTCCCTCTACCCTTGAGTGGACAGTGCCTCTGGCAGTCATATCTTTAGGCTGGGGGTTGTCCAAGGAGCAGCCATTATAAGAAGAATGAACACAGATGTGTTCACAAGACCTTTCATGTGTTGGGCAAACTCAGGGTGGGAAAAGAGAGTAGAAGGGCTGTGATCCAGGGCCTAGCTCTTCCCACACCACCATACTTCAGCAGAGACCTCAGAAGAGTCCTAAAACTCTCTATATAAATAGTATTCAGTTTAGGTAATAATTGAGTTACTATGTGGCAGGCACAATCAGGACTGGCAGGCACTATTCTCAGTATCATATATGTATACACAAATATATATATATATAAAATATGAATTATAATATATTATATATAAATATATTCACTTAATTTTCACACTAACCTTATGGGAAATATGCTTACAGGGAGATTAAATAACCTGCACCAGGCCATACAGCAAGTGGTGGGCCCAAGATTTGATCCCATGCAGCCTGGTTCCAAAACATGTACTCCTATTTCACCAAATACAATTTTGCATCCCTCTGTGAATTTCTAGATTAGATAAATTTGACGTGTATCACAATCTTCCTTGGAATTTGCTTTGCAAAAAAAAAAAAAAAAAAACTAAACAAACCAAAACAACATGATTTTTTTGGAGAAGGCAACTTGCTTAGTTAAAACAACAGGGTGGATCCGGTGCTATATAGAGCAGTTTGCTGCAAGAACACACAGCGTAGGGAACTTAACCCAGACCATGGAATCAAGGGGCACTTCCAGAGGAAGACAGTTTCTGAAATAAGTCTGAAAAGATAGGTCCAAGTTAGGCAAGCAAATAAGATGAGAGCAGGACAGTCCATTCTAGCCTCTAGTAGGAGAACAAAAACAAATAGGAAAGAGGGCCCTTTATTTTTTTTTCATGGGTGGGATTTTATTAAAATTGTACATAGATCTCAAATTTAAATTTAAAAATGAGCATTTTTTTCTAGTATCAAAATAGTTATTTTAAAAATAACTTGGAAGCCGGGCGCAGTGGCTCACGCCTGTAATCCCAACAGTTTGGGAGGCTGAGGTGGGCGAATCATGAGGTCAGGAGTTTGAGACCACTCTGGCCAACACGGTGAAATCCCGTCTCTACTAAAAAAAAGAAACAAAAATTAGCCGGCGCAGTGGCGGGTGCCTGTAGTCCCAGCTACTCTGGAGGCTGAGGCAGGAGAATCGCTTGAACCCGGGAGGCAGAGGTTGCAGAGAGCAGTGATCGCGCCGCTGCACTCTAGCCTGGGTGACAGAGCAAGACTCTGTCTCAAAAAAAAAAAAAACCCTTAGAAAACTTTAATACAACTTTGTTATATATTAAATATTCACCTAAAATCTCAATCATTTCTCTCCCATCTCTCTCTGCTAGAATCTTGGAGGGCCCTTCATTTATAAGTAACTCACTGCAAACACTTTCAAGACAAGAGTGAGGGGAAGGTGAAGAGGTTAGAGCTGAAGTGTTTATCATATCTCTAAGTCCATGGCTTTTAACCTAAAAGCCACCTCTGAAAATTTATCTGGAGGAAATGAAAAACCTGTGTCACTACTCTGAAAATTCAGATTTTTTAAATATTCAGGGATAGATTTATAGAAACTTAATTGTGTATAACCTTACCTTGTGGGCAAGAAAAATGACTCTCAAAGATGATAAAAATCAGTAGTTGTCGAGAGTATGATCTTTTGATTCAAAGTAGAAATTCACTTTTATTATTAATCTTTATTGGGCCTACTCACTCCTGCCAGAGTGGGTCATGCAAAGGCTCTGGGGTCTTAAGCAGAGTACAGTATTTGGTAAGAATGTTCTAGGGTTTGGTTTACACTGACCACCACTGAGATGCCCATTGCGAGTATATGTAGTCATTTGAAGTTTGGGACTTCTGCCATGTCTATGCCACACTTGGACATTCAAATCATTACAGAGTCAGTCTAGGAACTCCTGTGCCTACGGTTCGGTCTCCTTAGGTGCTCTAAGCAACCATTTGCCCTGGGAGTCATGCCGTTTCACCAGGGCACCTAGAGAGTGGGTTCCCATCACCACTGGAATCCAAAGACCTGTCTCCTCAGCCTTAGAGAAGCGTCTCCATTCTGTTGCTACTTTTTTATCCTGCTTGTTTAAAAAAGGCATTTTCCTCTCCCTAGTTTCCCTTTTGAGACCTTTAACATATTCTCTCCAATTGCTTTTGGCTTTTCTAAATGCCAAAAAGAAAGCTTGTATTCAAGCAACTCAGGCTTTAGGCACTGAAAAAACATCCATAGCAAAGGAACAAAGGCCTTAAAACTGGGAACAGGCCAGGCACGGTGGCTCATGCCTGTAATCCCAGCACTTTGGGAGGCCAAGGGGGGTGGATCACGAGGTCAGGAGATCAAGACCATCCTGGGCAACATGGTGAAAACCCGTCTCTACTAAAAATACAAAAATTAGCTGAGCGTGGTGGCACACACCTGTAGTACCAGCTACTTGGGAGGCTGAGGCAGGAGATTCGCTTGAACCCGGGAGGTGGAGGTTGCAATGGGCTGAGATTGCGCCACTGCACTCCAGCCTGGTGACAGAGTGAGACTCCATCTTGAAAAAAAAAAAAAAAAAAAAACTGGAACAAATTCCAGAAGGACAAGCATCTCAAATATCTCTGTTTTCCAGCAGCAAAAATAATAATAATGATTCAACGAATGATTATATAGGATATTTGAATTGTTATACATTTTGCATCATTATAAATAACACTGTAAAAACTTCTTATATGGTATTTGTATTCTTGGGATACATTTCAAATAGTAGGAGCACAATATATCACTTGAGGTACCTGCTTACTTAAGCAAATGTAAGGTGAGGTCATTAATGTCATGACTGAAAGACAAAAGAGAAGCTTTTTGTCAGTTGCTGGAGTCCACTTTTCCCATGAATACCTTGTTATACTCTGAAGGTGAGACAGAGTAATTTTCAGGAAGCCATTGGTTTCCTGGAGGAAACTCAGCTCCTCGTGCCTAAGATTCAAAGTTAGAAGGACTCATCAGAATGGACTGAGATGGTCTCGTGCAAGTTCCCCTAGCAAGAAAGCAAGCAAAGTCCCCCAGAAGCACTCACCAGAAGGGAAAGGAAGTTTGGGATGGTACTGGAGCTCAACACAAGGTATGAAAATTGGGAAGCAGCATGAAGCTAAAGTAGGAAGCCCCTTGCCAAAGCCCTTGCCTAAGCCCTTGCCAAAGCACAGGCATGAGATTGGACTAGATAAGAGATCACTGCACAGTGAATAAGCATCCACCAGTCTGCATAGACCAGGTCTCCAGCAGCAAGAGTGTTGTGGGCAATAACTACAGCAGTAGAGCTGATGGACTGATTTCTCCTTCTAGTTCCTTGTCTCCTCTGGGATGTTGAAGCACAGCTAGTCTTTTTTGCCTGGGGTCCTTGGACAATTGAGGATACAGAAGGAGAGAACATAAGAGGAGGAATTGGTGGGTGTTTGAAGTAGTAATTGAAAAAATTAGACATGTGAACATGCTTGTGTCCCAAGCTGGAAAAACAGGTCAATAAATACACATACTATCAGAGTCACAGTAAATGCATGTACTGTCAGAGTCACAGATTTGTTTACAACCAGAGAAAATACAGAAAAATGTAGCTTCTTTGTTGCTTCTTCAAGTATTCTCACCTGCTGTGTAGAAAGGAAATCTATCTTTGAGCTTACTACAGTAAATTTGGTCCACCAACTTTATTTAGCAGTCCTTGTAGAAACTCAGTCATCTCCTATAAAATTCTGTGGCTCTCAGATTTTTAGATGGAGTGACACATCCTCTGTCCTTCTTCAGGATGGGATATGGGCAGTGGTAAAATGATTACCTCACCTTATGAGAGCAACAAAGAGGACCCAAGATTACATGCAGTGCCTCTGGATTCTTGCTGGTCCTTACAGCAGAAATCTTGTCTGTGTGTCTCCTTGACTGTGACCACTGAGGCAGAGGCTACTGGTCACAAACTAGTATGTATGACCAGAGACCACAGCCAAAGGCATTTGGCCCTGTCCCAAAGTCTCTACCTCCTACCTAAGGTGTACAAAAAAAATAAAATAGGTCAATTGAAAATAGCTGAAATATTGAGGGATATTTAGAGTACAAGAGTACTCACAGCAGTATTGCAATTACAATGTGTATACGAAGGCCTTATTGACTTGATTTACATTTTTTTCTTCTTTCAATATGTTCTAGTTAGTTGAACAGATTCCCAAACAACCCAAAATATTTTTGGTTTAAGTACTAGGAATTATAATTATACACCTTTCATGAATGAATGGTCAAACAAAATTCCTGCCAGAGATAAGTTTTCCAGTGTTCTGACAAAAGGACATGCTATCAAGCATGTGTTGACAGCCATTACAATGACACTGTGTACATCTAGTCAAGACGTTTTTTCACTTCTCCAAAGCCAGAAAAATGGAGAAGCCTCCCACCAAAACTTCAAGAGAAAGGATGAGAGTTGCTCACCCTCCCTAAACTTTAAATTCAAAGAAGGGGGCAACTAAACTGGAGCTTTGTGTTGTTGGACAACCCCTGTCTGTGGACCAGCAGTGCAGGATGGGCAATTTGCCTAAGCAGCTGTGAGCCTGGAATCTCTTGGGCAGAATCATTGGCTTGAGAACAGTTTATCTCCAGGAAATTTCTTTGCTGGGGGCAAGTGGAGGGGGGCAGAAAGGTCTACTTTACTTGAGATGTTTCTCAGCAGATAAGTTTCCAAAAATCCTCATTCATATCTAAATATGTCTTCCCTAGAGAGACTGAACAAGGTTCTAAGAGCTGTAGAACAGTTTTAGAAGAAAGTGCTCAAAGTTAGGCTAAACCTATAATTCCTACAGGCAATTTGCTCCTGGAATAGTTAGCACCAAAATCACATAGGGGGGTTTTATGGATGTGTACCTTTTGAACAGAAATCTTTAAAACTAATTCTTTTTTGTGTTAAAAAGGAAAACATGAATAGTAACATGCTAAGATATAAAATGGACGATGTTACATATAAATTGATTTACTTATGTTCCTTAACTTGAAGATTTAGTGCTTGGTAATCTTAATTTGGGAGGGGTTTATTGTGAGGTTTTTCATTTTAGATAAGCTTCCAGTTCAAGATGGAAGAGGAAACACATGTGTTTGTCTCAATACCTGTGGCCTCAGTAGACTACAGATTGAAAACATATGTGGAATATGGAAAGCAGATTGGGGTCAGGCTGACAGATAACAGAGCACAGGAAACAAGAGAACGAGGCAGTAGAAGCCATTCTTCATGGCTGAACCCTTGATAGGCTTCTGGCTAGGCAGAGGCAGGCATAGAGAGTAGAAAGGGAAACAGAAAGAGAAATCTCCTTCAGCCACTAGAATGCCTGCTCTGCTCAGCCAGCCTCTCTGTTCCAGGCCCCTGACTATACAGAATGATGGGTGGCACCACCATTTAACCAAAGTAGAAGCTATTCTCTAAAATAGTAAATAATTTATTTGGGTAGGATTATAGTTACCCTTGGTGATCCAGGTACTTCAGAGAACTTCATAGGCTTTAGTTTAGAGAGCAAAAGTGATGAGCAAATAGCCAAACACCAAAATGAGGATTCAGGAGAAAGGCCTATTGAAGGAAAAATCTATAGAAAAAGCTCACAGCTGTGCCTGAGTTTCACCAATCCATTCCTTCACGAAGAGAGACTCAAGCATTAGCAGATAGCCAAGACAAATCACGACACCAGTGAGAGGAATCAAATGAGCACATTACAAAAATAATAATGACCCCTGAGGAAAAAGCAATTTTTCACAGAACTGAGACGATCTAAGGAAAAAATTCTGATTTGTATTCTCAGGGAAGCTTGATAGGATATTCAGATATTGCATCCAAAACTATAAAAACAGGTTGCTATAGAAAAGGAGAAAAAAAAGTTTTCTTTTAAAGTTTAAGTAGTTTAGCTAAAAGAGAAAAGTCAATATGAGAATATATGGTTGTCAGCTGGGTGGCCATGGAAATGCTTGAGTCACACCTTCCCCAACTACAGGCAGTGCAGCTTGCAGCTCTAGGAGAAGCTCCTTCCCTGTGCTTAAGGAGGGGAGAGAGAAGAGTAAAGAGAAGTTTGTCTTGCAACTTGGATACCAACTCAGCCACAGTAGGATAGGGCACTTGGCAGAGTCCTTGAGGCCCCCAATTCAGACCCTAACTCCTGACATTTCTGGACACACCTTGGGCCAGAAGGGAATCGGTTTCCTTGAAGGGAAGGACCCATTCTTGGCAGGATTCATCACCTGCTGACTAAAGAGCCCTTGGTCCCCAAATAATCAGCAGTGGCAGCCAGGCAGTACTCGCTATGAGCCTTGGATGAGACTCAGAGCCCTGCTGGCTTCAGGTGTGACCAAGCACATTCTCAGCTGAGATAGCTACGGGGAGACCCCTTCTACTTGGGGAAAAAGTAAAGGTGACTTTGTCTTGCACCTTGGGTACCAGCTGGACCACAGTGGGGTACAATACCTCATGGGCTCCTTGTGTCCCTGATTCTAGACCTTGGCTCTTGGATGGCATTTCAGGACCTACCCTGGGCCAGAGGGGAACCTAATGCTCTAAAAGGAGAGACTCAGGCCTGGCGGCAATCACACAAGCTGACTGACTAGCCTTTGGTCCTTGAGTGAATATGACAGTAGCAAGGCAGCACTCAGCACAGGCCTTGGGCAGTGGCGACCCTGGTAGAGACTTCTCTGTTTGAGGGAAAGGAAGGCAAGAGTGGAAAAAACTGTCCTGTAGTTTGGGTGCCAGCTAATCTTCAGTAGAATAGAGAGGATCAGGTAGATTTCTTTTTTTTTTTTTTTTGAAACAGAGTCTCTCTCTGTTGCCCAGGCTGGAGTGCAGTGGCGCTATCTCAGCTCACTGCAAGCTCCGCCTCCAGTGTTCATACCATTCTCCTGCCTCGGCCTCCGGAGTAACTGGGACTACAGGCACCCGCCACTGCGCCCGGCTAATTTTTTTGTATTTTTAGTAGAGATGGGGTTTCACCTTGTTAGCCAGGATGGTCTCAATCTTCTGACCTCATGATCTGCCTGCCTCAGCCTCCCAAGGTGCTGGGATTACAGGCGTGAGCCACCGCGCCTGGCCAGTATCAGGTAGATTTCTAAGGTTCTCGACTCCAGGCTCTGGCTCCCAGATGGCATCTCTGGACCACCAGGGCAAGGGAGAACTTGCCAGCTTGAAGGGAAGGACACATGTTCGGCTGAATTTGCTACCTGCTGATTGTAGAGCACTTGGGCCTTGAGCAAAAGTAGGCAGTAGCCAGGCAGTGGTCACTACAGGCCTTGGGTGAGACCCAGTACTGTGCTGACTTTAGGCCTGACCCCATGCTCTCCTAGTGGTTGTGGTCACAGGGGTGCCTATATCATCCCTCTCCCAGCTCCAGGCAGCTCAGCACAGAGAGAGACTCAGTTTGTTTGGAGAAAAGTAAGGGAAGAGAACAGGAGTCTCCTTGTAATCTAGGGAATTCTCTCTGATCTTACCCAAGACCACCAAAGTGATACCTCTACAAGTCTGCAAGAGCCACAGCATTACTGGGCTTGGGGTGTCCCCTAAGGTGGATATGGCTGCAGTGACCAAAGACTTAGATCACAACACCCAAGTTCCTTCAAATATTTGGAAAGCCTTGCCAAAAAAGACAGGTTCAAACAAGCCCAAACTGTAAAGACTACAACAAATATCTAATTCTTCAATGCCCAGACACCGATGAACATCCACAAGCATTGGGACCATCCAGGAAAATATGACCTCACCAAATGAACTAAATAAGGCACCAGGGATCAATCCTGGGGAAACAGAAATATGTGACCTTTCAGACAGAGAATTCACAATAGCTGTTTCGAGGAAGCTAAACAAAATCCAAGATAACATGGAGAAGGAATTCAGAATCCTATCAGATAAATTTAATGAAGAGATTGAAATAATTAAAAAGAATCAAGCAGAAATTCTGGAGCTGAAAAACGCAATTGACATGTTGAAGAATGCATCAGAGAATCTCACCAGCAGAACTGATCAAGCAAGAGAAATAATTAGTAAGCTTGAAGACAGGCTATTTGAAAACACAAAGTCAGAGGAGACAAATGGAAAAAGAATAAAATGCAATGAAGCACACCTACAAGAACTAGAAAATAGCTTCAAAATGGGAAATCTAAAAGTTATTGGCCTTAAATAGGAGGTAGAGAAAGAGATAGGTGTAAAAAGTTTATTCAAAGAGATAGTAACAGAGAACTTCCCAAACCTAGAGAAAGATATCAATATTCAAGTACAAGAAAGTTATAAGCACCAAGCAATTTTAACACAAAGAAGACTACTTCAAGACATTTAATAATCAAACTCCCAAAGATCAAGGATAAAGAAAGGACCCTAAAAGCAGCAAGATAAAAAATAATAATAATAACATATAAAGGAGCTTTACATGTTAATAATAACATATAAAGGAACTTCAGTACATCTGGCAGCAAACTTCTCAGTGGAAACTTTACAGGCTAGGAGTGGCATGACATATTTAAAGTGCTAAAGGAAAAAACTGTTATCCTAGAATAGTATATTCACTGAAAATATCCTTCAAACATAAAGGAGAAATAGACTTTTCCAGACAAAAGCTGAGGTATTTCATCAATACCAGACTTGTTCTACAAGAAATGCTAAAGGGAGTTCTTCAATCTGAAAGAAAAGGATGTTAATGAGCAAAAATAAATCATGTGAAGGTATGAAACTCACTGGTAAAGTTAGTACACAGAATGTCATAACACTGTAATTGTGGTATATGTTGAGTAGAAAGACTAAAAGATGAACCTATCAAAAATAATAACTCCAACAACTTTTCAAGATGTAGACAGTATAGTAAGATATAAATAGATATGACAAAAAGTTAAAAAGCTGGAAGATAAAGTTTAATTTTTATTAGTTTTCTCTTTGCTTCTTTGTTTATGCAATCAGTGTTAAATTGTCATCACTTTAAAATAATAGGTTATAAGATAGTATTTGCAAGCCTCATGGTAACCTCAAATCAAAAAACATACAACAGATACACAAAAAATATAATATAAGAAATTAAAACATATCACCTGAGAAAATCACCTTCACTAAAAGAAGAACAGAAAGAAAGGAAAGGAGGAAGAGAAGACACCAAAACACCCAGAAAACATCATACAAATGTCAGTGGCATGGCATATGTAAATATCAGTATATCAAAGAGATGTCTGCACTCTCATGTTTATCACAGCACTATTCACAATAGCCAAGATTTGGAAGCAACCTGTGTCCATCAACAGACAAATGGATAAAGAAAATGTGGTACATATACACAATGGAGTATTACTCAGCCATAAAAAGAATAAGATCCTGTCATTTGCAACAACATGGATGGAACAAAAGGACATTATTTTAAGTGAAATAAGCCAGGCACAGAAAGATAAACTTCACATATTCTTGCTTATTTGTGGGAGCTAAAAAAAAAACAATTGAACTCATGGAGATAGAGAGTAGAATGATGGTTACCAGAGGCTGGGAAGGGTAGTGAGGATGGTGTGGGGGAAGTGGGGATGATTCATGGGTACACAAGTATAGTTAGAATGAATAAGGTCTAGTATTTGATAGAACAATGGGGTGACTACAGTCAACAATAATTTATTATACATTTTAAATAACTAAAAGAGTGTAATTTGATTGTAACACAGAGAAAGGATAAATGCTTGAGGTGATGAATACCCCATTTACCCTAATGTGATTATTATTCATTGTATGCCTGTATCAAATTATCTTATGTATCCCACAAATATATATACCTACTACGTACCAACAAAATTTAAAAATAAACAAAAAGAATATATGGTAGATTGACTGTATTAATGATCCCATTTCTTCACCCTTCACTTTATCCAAGTCCTTCATTATTTAACTTCCTGGCACTTTTCCTCTTTGCCTCTGAGCTCATCCATGTGAATGCCTTTAACCAATGATGCTGCAAATGTGACACAGGAAGAATCTAGAAAAATGTGTTCCTTCTCTTTTACCTTAGTCATTGTTTGTTTTCTCGACATATGTAAGAGACACATGGAGTAGAGCCCAAGGGGCAGCCTGTAGACTCTCAAAGACACTCTCAAGCCTGACAGAGATCAGAACCACCCGCTCAAGTGTCAGCTAAATGCTCCCCTCCAGGAAGGCTTCCTTGTCCCCTCCACCTAATGAACCCTGCCTTGGGCAATAATCTCATTAATTTTATACTGCTGTGGGGAAAAGAAAGATCAGACTGTTACTGTGTCTATGTAGAAAGAAGTAGACATAAGAGACTCCATTTTGTTCTGTACTAAGAAAAATTCTTTTGCCTTGAGATGCTGTTAATCTGTAACCCTACCCCCAACCCTGTGCTCGCAGAAACATGTGCTTTGTGGACTCAAGGTTTAATGGATTTAGGGCTATGCAGAATGTGCTTTGTTAAACAAATGCTTGAAGGCAGCGTGCTTGTTAAAATTCATCACCACTCCCTACTCTCAAGTACCCAGGGACAAAAAACACTGCGGAAGCCCGCAGGGACCTCTGTCTAGGAAAGCCAGGTATTGTCCAAGGTTTCTCCCCATGTGATACTGTGAAACATGGCCTCGTGGGAAGGGAAAGACCTGACTGTCCGCCAGCCCGACACACGTAAAGGGTCTGTGCTGAGGAGGATTAATAAAAGAGGAAGCCCTCTTTGAAGTTGAGATAAGAGGAAGGTATCTGTCTCCTGCTCGTCCCTGGGCAATGGAATGTCTTGGTGTAAAACTCGATTGTATATTCCATCTACTGAGATAGGAGAAAACCGCCTTAGGGCTGGAGGTGAGACATGCTGGTGGCAATACTGCTCTTTAAGGCATTGAGATGTTTATGTATATGCACATCAAAAGCATAGCACTTTTTTCTTTACCTTGTTTATGATTCAGAGACATTTGTTCACATGTTTTCCTGCTGACCCTTTCCCCACTATTACCCTATTGTCCTGCCACATCCCCCTCTCCGAGATGGTAGAGATAATGACCAATAAATACTGAGGGAACACAGAGACCTGTGCCAGCACGGGTCCTCCGTATGCTGAGCGCAGCTCCCCTGGGCCCACTTTTCTTTCTCTATACTTTTGTCTCTGTGTCTCTTTCTTTTCTCAAGTCTCTCATTCCACCTGACGAGAAACTCCCACAGGTGTGGAGGGGCAGGCTACCCCTTCATACTGCCTTCACAGCACCCATTGTATTCGTCCATTTTCACGCTGCTGATAAAGAAATACCTGAGACCGGGCACTTTACAGAAGAAAGAGGTTTAATGGACTTACAGTTCCACATGACTGGGGAGTCCTCACAATCATGGCCGAAGGCAAGAAGGAGCAAGTCATGTCTCGCATGGATGGCAGCAGGCAAAAAGAGGGAGAGCTTGTGCAGGGGAACTCTTTATAAAACCATCAGATTTCATGAGACTTATTCACTGTCACGAGAACAGTATGAAGGAAAGTGCCCCCATGATTCAATTATCTCCCACTGGGTCCCTCCCACAACACGTGGGAATTATGGGAGTATAATTCAAGATGAGATTCGGGTGGGGACAGAGAGCCAAAACATATCACCCACCATTAATGAAATTATCTTGTTTATATCATTGTGCTCATGTTTATTGTTTGTTTCCTCTACTAGAATGAAAGCACCACTGGATCAGGGACCTTGTCCATATTATTCACTAGTGTTTCTCTAGCATCTGCAACAATGCCTAGCCATTAGCAGGTAATTAGGAAGCATTTGTTGAATAAATTAAATTTGAATAAATTAAATTTGAATGAATTAAAAATGAATAAATGGGTTGGTGGAAGGAATAATTGGAATGAAGATTGGTATTAGGATAGATGATCAAAGAATTTACTAATTGATATGCCCCAGACACGGACAGATTAGAAAGACTGTCATCCATAGAAGGCCTGGAGGCCCCCTCTTGCCAGATGACATTTTAGTGGACCCAAGGAAGACCCAGAGGATCCCTGAAATATTTCAACATTTTAACAACTGGTCTGTCCCCCAGTGCATACCATTTAAACACCACTCTGCTGGCTAGGACAACCATGTAATGTGCTATGGTAACAAAGTTTCACAGACTGGACAAATACATGAAATGGCTCATTTTTGAGTGCTCGGTAACATCATCTTAGTGCCCGCAAATCACGTATCTGAGGCTATGTAAAAATAAGACTGATCAGCTCGAATGTCAAGCTCTCAGGCATCTTTCTTTGCTTTGTGGGACTGAAATCATTTAAGGAAAGGAATGAGATCACTTACACTTTCTAAAGACTGAGGGACGCCCTGAGCTTCCCAGTTCTCCTACCCACATTTCTCTGAAGTCAGTGAGGCACTACTTCTGCTTGGCAACAAAGAATCTGCCTTCTCTTATTTCCCAAAGTCCCCCTTTTTTTTTGCCAAGATAATCTTTCCCAGACAGAGGCATTCAGGAGAAATAGAAGTCTCATGTCCCAAGAAATGGGGAAGGGAGGCGGGAAATCACACAGAAAAGGCCCTGGCGGTGCTTAGTCAAATGAGTTCAGCATTTGGATAGGGACCAGCAGCTGACACACATATGAGAAGATTAGGAGAGTATGTGTACTGAATAGTTCACCAAAACCAAAGAAATTAAAATTGTAAGGCTGTGGGAAAAAATACTAGTTATGAGAATAAAGCAATTAATTTTCCTTACAAAATATCTGTTAACCACAATTGGCAAATTAACTAATCCCCAAAATAATCAACACTATAAAACTTCACTCGGTTGTTTGAGAAAGGAGAAAGCCTGTTAATCAGAGCCAATTTTTAATGGCTGATTTTTCTAAAGCCCTTTTAGTGCTCAAATAAGGGTAACTACTAAGAGTCTTTTGGAAAACTACTATCAGGAATGAATGAGAAACATTCTTAATGACTTTAGATTGCTATATTCATTAGTTGCTAGCATACTTAAAAGTAGATTATTATTATTGTATTAAGTATCCTGTCTTGTTTCTTAGAAATATTTTCTCCACACATGTTAATATTTAAAAAATCAGTCCATGCAATGATGTGATGATTAGAACCATAAATAGTTTGGACACTAGTTAATGAAGCTTTTCATTTTTAGGAAAACAGCAGAATTATCTCAGAAAGGCTATCAGTGCATAGCTTTTAACTCTACCTCCTGCTGTCCAGGGATGTTAAACATTGGTAAACAGAAAGTGAACATGGAGGAAAGATTTTCTGATTGATGAGGGCAAGTCTTTCAAAAAGCATCCAATTTAAAAGATATCCTTTTCCTGGCGGAAAACCAAAGAAGTCTCTAACCCTCTCCCACCACAATGTCAGTAATTTTTTAGATGGCATTTTTCCTCAGAATAATTAACATTATACAGCAGACAGAATTCTATCAACCCTACAATTCACAGATAGCAAAAAATAACCCTCCAAAAGCCAGAATAATGGAAAACATGGATGAAATCATAAAGTCACAGTAAGAATTTCCATAGAGAGTAAACTGATTCCGTTGCAAGCCAGGGAGTTCTGTAAAATTATCTTGTGTTGTCTAAAATAGAGAAGTAACTAAGATAGGATATTCCATGCAACATGTTGTCCAGGGTAGAACAGACTAGTAGTGATCACTCCAGGCTCAAGATTTAACCAATAACCTAGTAATAAGGATGGGTAACTAACAATAGAAACACACCGCAGAGGTGGCGGCGCCTGTAATCCCAGCTACTCAGGAGGCTGAGGCAGAGAATTGCTTGAACCCAGGAGGCGGAGCTTGCAGTGTGCGGAGATCGCGCCACTGCACTCCAGCCTGGGCGACAGATTGAGACTCCGTCTAAGACAAAAAAAAAAAAAAAAAAAAAAAAAAAAAGGAACACACCAGGAGAAAACCGTCTCCCTTCTGGCTCCGCCATCCGCTGAGAGCTACTTCCACTCAATAAACTTTGCACTCATTCTCCAAGCCCACGTGTGATCTGATTCTTCGGGTACACCAGGCAAGAACCCAGGATACAGAAAACCCTGTGTCCTTGTGACAGGGTAGAGGGTCTAATTGAGCTGGTTAACACAAGCCACCTATATGCACATGGAAAGGGGTGGTGGTAGTTGTGATGACGAAGGTTACTAAACACAAGCGCTTTACTTTACTCCTTAGTTTGGGTTGACTCATTGAAGGGGGAAATGTTCCCTTGTCCCTCCCACAGGGCATGCGATGTGGGTGTGGCTCGCTTCTTGAGTGCCCTGCTGCTCAGACCTCTAGAGGAGCACACACACTGGCAGGCCGTGGGGTTCCGATCCCACGGCAGTGTCTAGGGGTGAATGTGTAGGCTCCTGAAGCCCCAGTAGGCCTGTGTTACAGGGTGCTCTCTTAGTTTGCCGTCTATAGGTGGCTTGTGTTAACCAGCTCAATTAGACCCTCTACCCTGTCACAAGGACACAGGGCTTTCTGTATCCTGGGTTCTGGCCTGGTGTACCCGAAGAATCAGATCACACGTGGGCTTGGAGAATGAGTGCAAAGCTTTATTGAGTGGAAGTAGCTCTCAGCGGATGGGGGAGCCAGAAGGGAGATGGTTTTCTCCTGGAGTTGAGGGGCTCGGGGGCCGCTCTCCTCCGACTGCCCACCGAACTCCACTGGTCCCACCGGTGGATGCCCGGCCGGCGGGCCGGTGCCTGTGTCTGTTCTATATGCTCTTCTGCCGACGTGCTCCTCTCAACGTCCTCTCAACGACCAGCCGCTTGCGTCTTCTTCCTCCAATGTGCTCCTCAGGACGTCCTGCCGCTTGTGTCTCTGCCTTGCTAGGGTCTCATGTTTTTATAGGCCCAGGATGGGGGCGTGACGGGCCAGGGTGGTCTTGGAAAATGCAACATTAGGGCAAGAAGGCAGAAGTGCTAGTACTCACCTAGGTCTGCGGGGATGGAGCCCTAACCAGGGGCCACCCCCGTCTCTACCCAGCACATCTGTTCCCCCATTCCTTATCATTTAAAGGGACCACACTCTTACCTTTCCAGCACTCCTGTATCATCATTGTTTTATAAAATCACAAGCTGAATCATTTGTTATTATAAGCCAAGAAACCTGAAATGAGACCCAGCTGGTTTGCATCCTTAGTATCCTAGGGCAGAGACTGGTAGCCCCAAACCAGAATGATGCTTGAATAAATCCTATTTCTCTTTTAAGTACTCCACACCAAAACGAGTAAAAAAGCTCCTTTCTAACACTTACCCTAATTATGGGGCGGGGTGGGGGGAGGGCAGAGGTCAGTAATTTATTCTGAGAATGAATGGAATTGACCAATGGAATTTATTTTGGAATCAATGGCATCAAAGAAAAAAAGGTTTTAAAAGTCACTAATCTCTATATTGAAGCAGTAGTTTTAGACACTTTAGTGATAAAATGCCAGATACAGCTTATTGCTAAGCAAGTATGAACAAAGCCCAAAACTAAGATCAGACACCTGGGAGAAGACAGACAGAATGGCAAAGTGTAAACGTTGGCCAAACTGAGGACAGGCTGAAGCTGAAAATTGGGAGCTCAGAACACCAAATGACTACACAGGGAGCCTAAACACCAGGGTCAAAGAGGAACATAGGTAGTCAAGGACGTAGAATTTGGAAGAATATATGATGGGTATCCATGGCAAAAAAAAATATGAACAGACAAGTACAGGTAAACAGAACCACAGGGGACAAAGACATGAAGCTGAAGGACTAAGCTCTTGACACTTCTCTTATCCTGGTTCTAATCCTGTTTCAAAGCCCAGTTGTAACTCTGCTATTGGATTGCCTATGATACTTCTGCATTCTTGTAGTAAACTCTCCAACCCCTCTTCTTTGTTGTTTCCTGTTAATTGTAACCAAATAATTTTTATTAACATAGCATTTGTACATTACAAAGATGTGGAAGCATATTGCCAAGTAGTTCTCCAGAAAGTACATGGGATTCATTTACCCAATGACAGGTGCCTGTTTCCCTCCATTTTTACTAACTTGATGTTTTCATTCTTTCAATTCTTTACAAATTCTTTTTTATATTCTAATAACTGGTGTACTCAGAAATAGCACACTGTCTTTGCCACAGAAATATAGAAAGGATGGATACTACCAAGAGATCTGGACTCAGAGAACAGGGGCTCCTATTGATATAAATTTGGATTCTCTTCCATTGGAAAAAATGATGAGATCATTTATGGCTAAATATGGAACAGTAAGATCATGCTAAGCAAGGGGATCTTTGAATGAATGGACAGAAGGATGGATAAGTTTGTGCTGCATCATAGTTGAAAAGGAGCAGAGCATGGTAGATACCTTTTAGGTCTGAAGGAAACTGCCCAACCCATAAAGATTTCTTGAGGATCCCACTGGTGTCCAAAGCTGATCCATCTAAAGGACACCTAATCTACCACAATGTATTAATCATAACTTTACATAATAAGATGAGGTTTAAGAATTATAATGGAGGAAATTATCATTTTATAGAACTGACTACACTGCTAGCCAATGAGTAACTGAAGATTATGAAACATCAAAGAGTTCAGGTGAGTAGGTAGTTAAAAATAAATAGGTACCATTCAATATATTCTAAATAAAGCTTGTTAAAATATATATATTATGTTACTCTCAAAGTTACAAAAAATCTGGGAATGATCCCACTGGTGAGCATGAAAATAAATGTGTAAGAAGTATATAATTAGCAACAGCAACCCCAAAAAAGCCCCCTAAATTTTAATTATAAAAGTAAAAGTGGTTTAAATAGAGAAAGATGTCTTGAGATGGGATAATTGATATTATTAGATGTATGTTATTTCCTGAACATAATTAAAATTCAGCAAAGATATATCTAGAACTTGACAAAATATTCATCTGGAAGAAAAGCCTATGGGGCTTATAAAAGGTTGGATTAATGGGGGCACTTACCGAAACACATTTTAAAGATTACCATAAAGCTACAGTAATCAAAAAAGTGTAGTACTGGCAGTAGAATAAACAAGAAAAAGTCAGTTTTTAAAAACAGATTAATATGATAAATCTGAAAGGAATGAAGTGTGGTAAAGTTTACATTTCAAATCAGTGAGAACAAGATGGATTAGTGAATTATACTTGGGAAAAAATAAGTTAGAACCATTATATATCTGTCAAGGTCAATTGCAAAAACCCGGTGTATTCATTAGCTAGTTTAAGCAGAAGGAAATTTATTACATGGTACTAAAGGGCTTACGGAATCATTAAGAGAAATGGAAAAAAAAAAAAAAAAAGAAAAAAGAGACTATAGGCTGTACTTCCAGGAACAGCTCCCAAAGCCACATGGTAGGTCTGGGCTAGGAAAGTTGGTGCCAACTTGCTAAATTTCTTCTGCAGTGGCTAGGTCTGAAGCCACACTGCCCTTGCTAGTTTCTGCACAACTCATTTGCCAAATCAAATCTCACTCAAGTACATTTGATCCACAAAATCTAAGTCACATCAGCCACACTAGTTACACAGATGTATGGAAACTGCAGGTTTCAGTTTTCCAGCCTGTGCAGTGCAAGGAAGGGCATTAGAAGGAGGAGGACTAGATGGTGAGCTGACCAATTTACACAAACCAAAATAATCCCCAGATACCTTAAATATAAAGAACCAAATAATAAAATAGAACAAAATATAGATATGTTTAGGCATTTAAACTGATATTTTTTAGTATTTGAAGTATTACGCTATATGTTAGTATGGTGTGTAATAACATGCATTGGAAACACCCTGAAGTTATCAGTATATAATTGCTTGTTAATTATGGCACATCACAGGGACTGTCACTCATTCTTTAAAAGAATTAGAGGATATTTAATGATACGAAAAGATGTTCACAATAGATCACTGATTTTTAAAATCAGGTAATACAAGTTATGGGGTACAAACTCATTTTGTGAATTACTCCTGTAAATTGTGTTATATTCAGTACACATTAATAGATATATTACATGTAATATACATTTTAATTTATAACATGTAACGAAACACATAACACACACATATATTTCTGGGAAGAAAGAGAATGAGAGTGAGAAGGAAAAAGCCTATAAAAATGGTAACAGTGACTATTTCAGAACAATGTGGTTGTGGGATTATTTGATTTCTTGTTTGGCTTATAATTTCTTAAGCAGATACACAATAATAGAGTATCTCCTTTGTTACAAGAAGAGATTATTTTTAAAAAGCAAAAAACAAAAGAACGAGGAACCAATATAATTTAGAAAAAAAAAAGATTTTAAAAAAATTTTAGAAAAAAAGAAATTTTAAATCCTAAATGAATGTTACCCAACATTTTTAATGAAAGTTAACGTTTACTAGAAACTTGCTATTTGACAGCCACTGTTCTTAGTGCTTTAAATGTATTAATATATTTGTTTTTCATAACAACCCAAAAGGTAGACACTATTACTATTTTCATTTTACAATGAGGGAACACATAAGAGGTTACGTAAATTGCCTGACATCATACAACTAGCAAGTGGTTGAGCTTACTACACAACACTGTTATAAAACCCAAGCTTTCAATCACAACATTAAATATTATCAATATTAATATTCTTAGCTAATATTTTTTGGGCATCAACATATAATACAATGCAACCATTTTTAATTGTACAATGCAATGGCTTTTGGCATATTGACAGAGTTGTACATTAATCACCACAGTCAATTCTGGAACACTTTCATCACCCCAAAAAGAAATCCCACTTCCTTGAGCCCATCACCACCCCATCACTCCAGGCATCATACCAATACTTCACTTCCGTAATCTATTGTATTCTTGCAACAATGCTGTATGGTAGAAGTGAATAGCCCCACTATACAGATGAGAAAACTGAGGTAGAGAGAGGTCGAGAAACTTGCCTAAATTGTATAACTAGTAAACAGTAGAATTGGGACTTAAATTCAGGCAATCTGTCTTCAGAATACAGTCTCCTAACTACTCTGCTATGCCACCACTACATTATATTACAAAAATGAAAGTTCATGAATAAGTAGAAATTACTCCAGGAATATAAAGATTGTTCAATTTGAATATATCTAGCAAAATGACATATCATACCAATAATAATAGCGAAAAAAATACTATCCCCAAAAGCACTCAGTATCTATCTCTAGCAGAAAAAAATAGATGGATGACCCCCACAAGTAAACAAGAATAGGAGAATGTGTACACGTCTATCTGAAATAACTGTAATTAACACCTAACATTGACACAAGAAAGACATATGTAAGTAATAAAAAATAAAACATATCTGTTACCATTACCCTAACTTAAATTTATTCTACATGTTTTAACTAAGGCAGTCAGTAAGTAAAAGGAAAAATGAGGTTTCTCTTTAAAAAGAAAATGCAAAATAATTATTTCTATATAATAGACTGTATAAATAGAAAAATAAAACCAACTTCAAAATCATCTTTAGTAATACAATATTTCAGTAATCCAAGAAACGGAAAGTCTGTGAAAAAAAAAAAAAGATATACGTGTGTGGGAGTGGCAATGGGAGTGGAAGGTTAGAGCTCAAATTCATCTTTCAGGCTGAACAGTCCCCATGAACTGGAAATCATTAAGTCCTGTTTCACCTCCCGAGAATGCATACCAGTTAAATTCTTTACATTCTTTTTCCTTGCCTACTTTGCCTGGAAAAATGCTTGAAACCACAATGTTGGACAGATAGTTTATTTTTGTGTGTCAGTATTTTAACTGGAAGGAAGAGGAGAAAATTTTTCATGGATCTTTAGGTTATAATGATTTGACCTTTTATTAGTTATAGGATTTATTGCCCACATGAAAAAAAAGGAAGAACTTTTGCAAAGGAAGAGTGGAAAAGCTAAGGGCCAATATCATGTATTCCCGTCTTCCCTGACCTACTATTCAAAACCTCCAGTAATGTGGAGAAAAAAGAAAGGCTCCAGAGTCCTTTGAAGTCTGTGTGACTTCAAGGAAATTACAGAATAAAAATGTCATGGAGCATCTTGCAGGCTGCTGGAGACCCCAGGGCTCTAGGCTGAAGGGAGTCTTCAGCTTTGCAGATCCAAGAGCCCAGATGAATCTGCTCAACTAAGGGCTATTCTGGGATGTCCAAGAGCTGTGACTAAATGAACTTACCAGATTTTTTTTTATATAAACCAGTCATTTATGCATCTTTACCAGCCTCCTTCCCACAGAGGTTTTGGTGGCTAAGATGTCAGCCCATTAATTTATCTTTAGAAATACATCAGTAGCTGCTGAGGTACACCAGATGAAAACTGACTTGGAGTCAGAATCCCTGGTCCAAGTCTCAAATTAGTCATTTAAATATTATGTGTGATCCTGGCTGAGACACTTAGCCTATCACTCCACCAAAATTAGCTTTATCAATGTCACCAATAACCTGCTGGTTCCCATGTACAATACACTCTTTTATTAAAATCTCACTTAACCTCTCCATGGCCTTGTACCCTGCTGATCACCTTTCCTCCTTGAGTTTTCATGGCACCACCTTTCTGGTTTTCTGCTTACCTGTCAGCTGATTCTTCTCTTTATTCTTCATCTCATCCTTTGCATCTAGGATCTGTCTTTCATACTCAACTATTTGGGTTTAAATCCCTTTCCTTGAGTAGCCTCATCCAGATCCATAGATTCAAGTCCCAGACATTGATCCTAAGACCCAGAACTATAGATAAGACATTTCCACCTGAACAAACCTTGGAGACCTAAACTCAACAGGCCCCAAACTGAACTAAGCGTCTACCCTTATGCCTTCCCCATACTGTCCAAATCAGAAAATTAACTCCTCAGGTGAAGTTGATGCTATTAATCTATGAATGACCCTTTGAGTAGCAAGTCTGAAAAGCAAGAACTTTTTTCATGACTCCAACACTAGATTATCAAGTCTTCCTTGTTTATAGCCCCTCGCTCCGCATCATCCCCACCTCCATTGCCTTAATTCAAGAGGGAATGACACCTCCTTCAAAACAGCCTCTATGCTCTCTCTACTGATCTCCCTGACTCCTTGCTGGGCCATGCCAATTTTTCTTACATAGTCCTCCCATAATGACCTTTATCAAAGGCCAGTCTGAGACTCCCAAATGGCTTTTCCATAGCTCTAGAGTTATTTAAGCTTCTTTGTTTTGTATGCCGGCCCTTCATGGTCTGGCTTTATTCTACCTCTAGACTCACATCTGCAATCCCACATCCCTTGCATCTCAATCATTACCTCGATTTTCCCAAACACATCATGCTGTTTCATGTATCACTGCCTTCCTACAATCATTTCTTCTATTGGAATGCCATTCCAAACCTCAAAGCTTATTCTTTTCTCATCCTTCTAGGATCAGTTCATTCATTCCTTTCAAAAGAGGTCTACCCTTTCCCTGGTGTGATAGATTGCATTTGCTCACCACTCTTTTTGCCATGGCTTCATCATGACCAAAGTAGACTTTCCCACACTTGTGCCTTACTGTGGCCAATAGCACAGAAGCGGAGGTAATAATGTGCCAGTTCCAAACCCTTTTAAACAAACTTAATGACATCCCTATGAGAAGAACCTGTCTGAGCCTGTCTCAGAATGATCATGAGAAACACATGGAGAACTTCTCTAATCAGCTGACCCTCAGAGGACCAAAAGACGTGTCAGATAAATCCTTACTGGTATGTGCAGTTTTGAGGTGTGGTTGCTTCTTATGTGGTGTGTTGTATATTAACCAAAACATTTAGTGTAGTTTATTTGTCCTTCTCTGTCCTCCCATAGCCACTCTGTATGCTTTAGGCCAGCTCTTCTCCAAGACAAATGAGGAAGCAAAACTGGCACCTTGACCTGCTGCCATTCAAACTTTAGTCATAGGGGAAAAAACATCCTCTCTGCATTCTAATAAAGTTTCTTAAAAATGTAATAACACCCTGCCTTGTACTATTCCTCCAAATAAATGAAGACTTCAGCCCTTCCCCTTAAGTTGTTAATTCTCTAACCAAAATAATTTTATCCTTGACTTTTATAAAACTGATGCCTACATATATATGTGAACCTTTATTTACTGATATGACAATCCAGTGAAGAAACATCTGATTTTCTGCCATGAACAAACCAACTTTCACCTTGTTTAATTCAGGGATCCCAGCTCTCTTAAAATCTGGAGTAACTTGAAAAACTATGCAAGTAGAAATAATTTTATTTTCTCAATGCGTTTGTCTGAGTTTTGTTTTGTTTGTTTGTTTGTTTGTTTTTTGTTTTTGCCACGAGCAAAGTTTGAGGCATTAGGTGCCATCAAGTGCTCAGCATTCTAGAAGCCTATGTCTTGCAAGCGTGATGGTAGCTCAGGGATTTGTCTGTGAGAGAAGAAACCAGAAAGGCACTGTCTTGGGAAGACGCTAAAATAAAAAGACTGGCCCACAGTCCAAACTCATCGCCAAACCCAGAGAAACAGGCAGGCTGTGAATCCCACTATAAGTGCCAAGAAAGGCAATTTGGGTATCCAATTCTAATACTCATGAGAAGGTATTACTGCCGTTGTTTAGAGGACCATTCAGCCTCTGGCATAGGTGACAGAGAGACAGGCTGACATGGAAAACCTCTATTGCAAAACTTTTCACATGGTGACACAGAAAGTTTGTGTATAATTCTTTTATGTTGTTTATACAAGACAAGCTTTTTGATACTTGTGTGGAGACATTACAAACAATGATTCTGAGCCTGACTGGGCTGTATAGGACATGCAAATGATACAATGTTAAGTGAAAAAACAGAAAGCAAAATTTTTTTGTACAATGTTATTTTATAACATATTCCTAGAAAACTGATTGATAGAAAATACATGCCTGACCAGGCATGGTGGCTCACACCTGTAATCTTAGCACTTTGGGAGGCTGGGGTGAGTGGATAGCTTAAAAGCCCAGGAGGTTGAGGCTGCAGTGAGCCCACTGCATTCCAGCCTGGGCAACGGAGTGAGACGCTGTGTCAAAAAAAAAAACAAAACAAAACAAAAAAAAAACAGATAAGAAAATACATGCCCAGGCCGGGCGTGGTGGCCGTGGCTCAAGCCTGTAATCCCAGCACTTTGGGAGGCCAAGGCAGGCAGATCACGAGGTCAGGAGATCTAGACCATCCTGGCTAATACAGTGAAACCCCATCTCTACTAAAAATACAAAAAAAAATTAGCCAGGCGTGGTGGCGGGTGCCTGTAGTCCCAGCTACTTCGGAGGCTGAGGCAGGAGAATGGTGTGAACCCGGGAGGTGGGAGCTTGCAGTGAGATGAGATCGCACCACTGCACTCCAGCCTGGGCGACAGAGCCAGACTCGTCTCAAAAAAAAAAAAAAAAAAAAAAACAAAAGATAATACATGCCCAAAGGGGTTTAGTTGAGTGAAGATAAGAGATTTTTAAAAATATTTCTATTTTACAAAGCATTTTATGTAAGAATATAACTTTATGATGAAAAATAATAAATGTCTCACATAAAATAATATCTACAAACAAAAGCTGAAAATTTAAAAAGAAAGGTTTTTCAGTGAGCACTGAATGAGAGCAAAGCAGCAGGGAAATGTTGCCCAAGTATTCCTATAGGGATATTCTACCAAGGGGTCCACTATTCATTCCAGTCCATCACAGTTCCCTCTCCAAACTGGGTTGGAGACACATGAATCACTCTTTGGCTTTAGATTTCTAGACTCCACACAGACTACAGCCCTTCTGATACATGACAATTGAGAAGATTACTGTTTACTTCAATTATATGCCAGTTATATATACTCCTGACTGGTTTTCTTGATTGAACATAGACCTTGGTCATTTGCTGAAGAGTTAGAAATATTTTATCAGCAAACACACTTCACTTTTTTATTGAGTGTTTGTATGCCTAGAAGAGAAGGCTCATTTTTATTTCATTTTCAGAGGATAAATTTTCAGACCTCATCTCCAAATTCAAGGTTTCTATCCTATTTGGTAGCCTCATATACAGCCTGTTATAACTTTTAACAAACATGAGTGAAAACAGCTTGTCCCTATCTCTTTCCTATCTTGTTCAGAATAACCCTTCAGACACTTGATGTTAAAACTATCCATCAGCTTTAATTATTCAAATTAACCCACCTTCTCTGATTAATTTTGGCTTTACCCCGATGTTTTGTTTTACAGGAAAAAAAAAAGGAGGGGAGTTTTTTTCTGGATACCTGTGCATATCTCCTCATTGGTTTTAAATTGAAGACCTCTAAAAGGAACACTCTGTATTGGTACAAATATCACCAGCATTGCCTGTACTGTAAAGCTGAATGTAAGGTGGGTGGGGAGGGGAGAGGAGGTAAGCAAAGACATCGTCCTCTACCAAAATCAATTTATCTAATAGGAAATCACAAATATGCATGATGTTTTGCAATACATACAATCTGTGTGCTGATAGGAAAAAAAGGCCTAGAACTAGAAATAATATGTTTATGGAATGACCAGCTTCTAATAACCAAGAAATCAGTATGGGATTCCTATAGGAATAACCAAATGGCAGGAGAGCTATTTAGAAAATATTCTGTTCGGATGCTAATGAAAGGGAATATACAGGTATACAGCTTTATAAAACAGTAAGACAGGGATATGCCCCTTGCTCTGCAGGGCTGACAGAATGATTTAAACAGGAACACTGGGAGTAGACTATTGGAAGACAGCATCAGGGATGGGATTGGTCAGGAAGAGTTTAGAGATGGGTTAAGATACTAAAATGGCGAGGTAAGGGTCAAGTCCTTTCCATCATAGAAATGGGGAGGTCAGAGTCAGAGGTTCATGCACTGAGGCTTGGAGAGTCCATTCAAAAAGAGGCAGAATTCTGGACTCGGGTTAGGGATCAGCAGCGAGGGGGATATGGCAGGTAGAGCTGACACTCTGACTATTATGAATCACGGATACAGTGGGCCTAGCTCTTGGATGATGTCACATTCAAGGAAGCACCATCAGAAACAGCCAAAAAAAAAAAAAGATTTTTTTTTCAATCTTCAACATGCAACTCTCAAAAACAACAAAAACAGTAAATGGCACATTCAAAACTCTTCCTTATATTCTCTCTGAGTTACTATAGAGACTAACTTCTTTTTTAAAAAAACAATTTTATTTTATTTGAAGTTCTGGAGTATATGTGCAGGATGTGCAGGTTTGTTACATAGGTAAACATGTGCCATGGTGGTTTGCTGCACCTATCAACCCATTACCTAGGAATTGAGCCCCACATGCATTAGCTATTTATCCTGATGCTATCCCTCCCCCGACCCCCTCAACAAGTGTCAGTGTGTGTTTTTCCCCTCTATGTGTCCATGTGTTCTCATTGTTCAGTCCCCACTTATAAGTGAGAACATGCAGCATTTGGTTTTCTGTTCCTGTGTCGGTTTGCTGAGGACAATGGCTTCCAGTTTGATCCATGTCTCTGCAAAGGACATAATCTTATTCCTTTTTATGGCTGCATAGTATTCCATGGTGTATATGTACCACATTTTCTTTGTCCAGTCCATCACTGATGGGCATTTGGGTTGATTTCATGTCTTTGCTACTGTGAATAGTGCTACAATTAACATACGTGTGCCTGTATCCTTATAATAGAATGATTTATATTCCTTTGGGTATATACCCAGTAATGGGAATGCTGGGTCAAATGGTATTTCTGGTTCTAGGTCTTTAAGGAATCGCCACACTGTCTTCCACAATGGTTGAACTAATCTGCATTCCCACCAACAGTGTAAAAGCGTTCCTATCTTTCTGTGGAGACTAACTTGTTATCTCTCTCCCCAGCCACCATGCTCCCTTCCCCATCAGCTATTCCTGTGCCTTTTTCTGTGTCCAGGAGCTGGTGGGGCAGAGAGAACTGTTCCTCAGAGGGCAGTGGATGGAGATTACCCCAGGTAGGAAAACACCTTTCTCTTGGGGTAGCTGGGATGCTTAAGTGACTTATACAGTTTAATAATTTTTATTACGTCTCTCTGCCCTCTAGTCAAAAATTACTGCCCGCCCCCCACCCCGCAACATACACACACACATACACATACACACATAGAAAAATTCTTATTTTAAGTGGGGATCCCAGAAACTCTTTATTTACAGTCTAACTTCCCCACTCTTTTTCTTCTACTGGGGATACCTGTCATGGCCCTTGTGATTGTGCCTCTGGCATCTTCCAGCTGGATGACCACAGCCCCTTCTTATCAAACTTGACTGAGACTAAGGGACAGGCAAAATCCTAGGAAGCAAACGCAGTCAATTCCGTATTTAATCGGCCCTGACTTCATAGCTCCATTCCGGATATTTGGCACGGAAGTGATGTTTCCTGGTAAGAGTCCTCCTGGTTGCAGACTGCCACTAGATGTCCCTCATCCCCTCAACCTAAACAGAGGAATGAGTCTTCACCTCACCGCAAGGTATGTGACAAGTAGGGGGAATGAGTACCTGGGTGGGCAGAACCTCCTCGTGAGTAATCAGAAGTGCAGTTCTGAGTCAGAGCCTGGCTGCCATACACGGTTCTTTCAGGGGCTCTGTCTTGAAGGAGTGGAGGGGAGCCTGCACGCTGTGTCCCAGCATTAAGTTCTGAACTTCATTCTGGAACGAAATCCTATGTCCAGAGAGCTTTTCATGTTGACTGCTTTTCCTCCTTAATTCTATTCTTCTTCACCAGTAGACAGACTTAGAGGGTCCTCAGAGTAGCAGTAAAGTTCTGGATGGGTTTGATAATTTCTGACTATAAACTGGCACCACATGAATTTTATCTGGCTGCTTTCTAGCCTCCAAGTTTCATTCATTAGCCCCTCAGAGGAGAGCTCTGACAGTGTAAACAAGGTGGATCTTCCCAAAAGTATTAAGAATTAGCATAGATATGAGTCCTAATCACTTTTCCTGTTGGTCAAAGGTAATGAGATGTTTCTGCTCAGAAAAGTCAGTCATTGAAAGACTTTGTCTGTGATCATTCCATTTGGGAGGCCCAGCACTCACACAAATAGCAGCATTTCTCTGCCTCTGAACGTGACCTTCCTTATACATTTTTGTGACACGTTCTAACCACACCCCTCTATCCCTGTTACATTATATCCAGTCATATCTCAAGCTGTTGGGGCAACTGGCCAGTCCCAAATGCCTCCAAAGCTGATATGCAAGTCCATGAAGTCCCTGTGTGTGTATTGGGGGTGAGGGTTGGGGGTGAAAGATGAATCTAACTCCCTCTGGTAAAGGCAGGCTAAGCCTTGAACTAATCAAGGCAGGTCAGACTCTCTCTGAATTCCTCTCACAGTAGCTCATTGAAAAACGTTTCCTAGATGAATCCTTTATGACCCAAAGGGAAAATATTCCAAGGCTTTCCAAGAATATTCCAAGAATATCAGACTACTATCACAACTACCAAATTTAAAACATAATGAAGGCAGTAAACAATAGAAGAGATATTTCAGACAATCTTAAAGTCAAATTAGAAACTCAAGCCATACTTAAAAATGTTGGCATGTTTCCCTAAAATTTCCTCAAGCATGATTTTCACTGTTTCTCCCAAGTTTAACTGGACATGGTTTTGGGGGAAACAGGGAGGCACATGGAGAGTTGACATGGATCTCCTGGAACCTAGATGGTCCATAGAGCAAAACTTTTCTCTTGTCTGGGGCCACCTGTGATAGCAAAACAAAGACATAGGGCTTATGTGAGAGTAGCCTGTTGATATGGTTTGGCTTTGTGTCCCCACCCAAATCTCATGTTGAGTTGTAATTCCAAATGTTGAAGGTGGGTCCTGGTGGGAAGTGATTGGATCATGGGGGTGGTTTCTAGTGATTTAGTACCATCCCCCTAGTGCTGTCTCGTGATTGAGTTCTCATGATACCTGGTTGTTTAAAAGTGTGTAGCACCACCCCCTTCACTCTCTCTCCCTCCTCCTCCAGCTGTGTCGAGCATGCCTGCTTCCCCTTCATCTTCCACCATGATTGTAAGTTTCCTGAGGCCTCCCCCAGCCATGCTTCCAGTACAGCCTGCAGAACAATGAGCCAACTCAACCCCTTTTCTTATAAATTACCCAGTTTCAGGTAGTTCTTTATAGCAATGTGAGAATGGATTGATATACCTATCCATAAAGAATTTGGGATGAGATTTTCCTAATGGGTTATATGAGAGTTTCAGACCTTCTCAGAGTAGCAGTGAAGTTCAGTGAAGCCTAGTTTGAGTCATCTTGCAAGGTCTCTACCTGAGAAATTGGCCAGGGCAAGGGGACCTCAGTGATAAGAGCTCTGTAGTCTTAACCTGAGAAGCAGAAGCTGACAGTAACAAGACATCAGAGGTGGCAGATGGAGACTGCATTACTAATACTAGGGAGTAGTGCCAGATCAAAAATCCCCAGATAATCTGCAAAGAATTCATAAAAGTGACCCATGAAAGAAAAACAGTAACTGAGAACCTAACAGGCAGGAGGTTCCAGTGTTAGATTATGGCACAAAAGCCACATAAGCCATTGTCCTTTTCTTTTAATACCTCTCACACTTCCACGATGCCCCAAAATCATGAAATAGCAGTCAGTGAACAAAAGAGCACAAAGGGAAAGACTCTTCAAAACTTTCAGGGGCATCAAAAAAAAAAAAAAAAAAGCAAAGCCTGAGAAACTGTCACAGTAAAGAGAAGGCTAAGGAGATATGATAACTGAATGAAATACGGTATCTTAAATAAAATTCAGAAACAGAAAAAGGACATTAGGAAAAACTAGTGAAATCTGAATAAACTGTGAACTTTAGTTAATAATAATGATCGATATCAATTCATTCACTATAACAAACATACTATAGAAATGTAGAGTGTTAATAATAGCAAAAACCAGGTATAGGGGATGTGGGAACTCTATAATCTTCCTAAGTTTTCTGTAAATCCAAAACTGTTCTAAAACATCGATTTTATTTTTTTTTCAAAGGTAGATGAGGGATACCAGTTAAGAGGCTGTTAAATTAATTTAGAGGCTGATGATAGGAACTGGGACCAGAGAGGTAGCAACTGAAATGGAAAGCAGGTATTTGAATTTGAGTTACATTCTAGAAATAAAGCAGGCCACACTTGCTACAGGATTGTGTTGTGAATGAAGAAAAGGAGGTACTGAAGGTGCCTCTGAATATGGGTCTTAAGTGACTGGATGGCTAATAGGGTGTGTTTGTTGAGATAGGTATTGGGATAGGAAAAGGTGATGGTTATTTTGGGGCAGCGGAAGAGAATGGATGTGAAGTGATTTGTTTTAGATATGTTAGGTTTGAAAGGTCTATTAAACAGCAAGATGAAGTTGTCAGGTAGTTTGGGATTCAAGGGAGGGCACAGGGCTAGGCACATATATTTAAAAGACACGTTGGTATATTTAAAGTCCTATTATAATTGACAGAAATCAGTGAGATAGTATTTAGAAGAAGGCCCAGGACCAAGCCCTGGGGCACTACAATATTTAGAGATTATGAAGAGGAAAAAGAACCAGACAGGCCGACATTGAAGGTGCAGCCATAGAAGTAGGAGGAAAACAATGGAAGCATTTAATTATGGAAGCCTAGTGAAGAAGATGTTTGTCAAACCCATCAAATGCTGCTGAGTAAGAGAAGATAAGAGAAATGACCACCATATTTAGAAAGACAAGAGTGCTTTTAAGAGAGAGGTAGAAATAAAAGCCCGATTAGGGTGGATTAAAAAGAAAATTTTTAATGTCTTTTTTAAAAATTTGAAAAGGTGGTGGCTCACGCCTGTAATCCTAGCACTTTGGGAAGCCAAGGCAGGCAGATCACTTGAGGCCAGGAGTTCAAGACCAGCCTCGCCAACATGGTGAAACCCCCTCTCTACTAAAAATACAAACAAATTAGCTAGGTATGGTGGTATACATCTGTAATCCCAGCTACTTGGGGGGCTGAGGCATGAGAATCGCTTGAACCCAGGAGGCGGAGGTTGCAGTGAGCTGAGATCGTGCCGCTGCACTCCAGGCTAGGCAACAGAGCAAGACTCTGCCTCAAAAAAAAAAAAAAAAGAAAAAGAAAAGAAAAGAAAAGAAAAATGAAACGAAAATGGGTTGTAAGGAAGTGGAAATAGTGACTCCCAACAAAATCTGAGAAGTTCTGTAGCAAAGCAGAGAAACAAAATGAGAGAACCATAAGAGATAAGGTCAAATCTTTTATTTTTTAGTAAGCCAGAAACTCTGAAGGAATTCAAAGAAAAGAGAAAGCATAATACAAGAAAAGAAATAAGAATTCAAATCACTAAAATCTTTAAAACACTCTTAAATACCATAAAAAAAAAAGAAAAGAAAAAACCCACAGAATTTTGCCATCCGTCTATGGACCCATGCAATTTTCTGCTTCCCTCAACACTGGGCTCAATCTAAGCTTTAGTGCTAAGCACCAAAGGGAATCTCCACCCATTTACTATACCCAGAGAAAAGCTTGTTCTCAGACTCCTGCAGTCAGTAGCTAGTCAGGTTGAGTCATCCTGGGGACCCTAAAAAGTGACATATGTTATTGCTGAAAGGGCTAACATCAGTTCCAGTATAAATCAAGCTTACCCTTCACTGATTAAAAAAGAAGAAAAAAGGTAGATTCATCAAAACGCCTTGCTATAGAAAGGATCACTAGTTTAGTGTCAAAGCCCCTCCTCTCACAGAAAAAGAGATAATGGAAAAAATAGGAAAAAAACTTTTCTAAAAGATCACAATGCATATTTTCAGTGCAGTTTGACAGGCTTTAGGGATGCATGAAAGTAATGTATATGGCTATGGGAAAGTAAGAAATCAGAGAATAGAATGGGTTCTTAAGGGAAATAATAATTTATAAAAAATGAATTAAAAAGGCCAGAAATAGCAGAATGAACACTATACTGCTGAAAAACAAATTAGAACAGCAACCCAGAAATTCACTCACCTATTCAGTAAATATTATTTAAGTACCTCCTCTGTTCTCTATTCTGGCTCATATGTAAGCATTTAATATATAATAACAAGAAAATAAATTGCAGTCCCATGGAGCTTTCACCCTTGTGAGAAATATTACAGAATTTGGTGGAGAAAAATACATTGATATAAATGATAAGAGAAATTGTAAGTAATATGAACAATAGATAAAGGTGATACAGTATTTATATAATTAGTTATTCCAGAAGAACACTAGAGAGCAAATGGAGGAAAGAATAGAGGAAAATTTCTCTGAGCTGCTTGAGATTTACAGCAAAAAGACTCGCTGAGTTCTCTGGACACACGATAAAGTGCATTCAATTATATTAATATCAACTTTTAAGATCATGTAAATTAAAAACATTATTAGATATAGGAAGCATCACCATATAATGATATACAATTTAATTCACTAGGAAGATAATTTTAAATATGAATACTCCTCAAAATATATGAGACAGAAATTCATAGACCCACCCCCAGAGAAAAAATGACAAATGCACCATCAAAGTAGGAGATATCAATATATCTTTCTCAACTGTAGATAGAAAAAGCAGAAAAAAGCAAAATAGCTAAGATTTTCAAACATAATCAGCAGGACTGATCTAATGAAAACATATAGAATTTTGCATCCAACCATTGGAGAATATTAGTTTTTCTCAAGCCTGCAAGAGACATTTAGAATATGGGTACCAAGATAAAAACTCTTGGCTTCTGAATTCCAAAATAAAGATTAAATCCTACAAGATAATGTACTAGACTAGCATCATTTATCACTGCTGAAACACTTAATGCTAGAAATAATTAAGCAATGTTTTAATATTTCTTAAGGAAAATATTATTACACAAGAACTATAA
This sequence comes from Homo sapiens, assembly GCF_000001405.40. Classification (NCBI taxonomy): domain Eukaryota; kingdom Metazoa; phylum Chordata; class Mammalia; order Primates; family Hominidae; genus Homo; species Homo sapiens. Next base: position 110,847,756 of record NC_000009.12, read on the forward strand.
ACTCAGCCAAAAAATGTTCGTGTAAGAGGAAAAATGAAATATGTTTTCATACATATAAGCAGCCACAAAGTATGCTTTCTGGGGAAAAAAGTCATTATGGAAGCCAAAAGAAAAATGATTCAGCATAAAGAGATAAAGAAAGAGGAAGATGGGAGAAAAAAAAAAAACCTAACAAGCAACATAACCGGCAAGCTAGAGTTATCTAAGGACTTCTTGGCAGATGTTAGCAAAAAATCCTTCAAAGAAAAACATCATTAGGAAAAAAACAAAAAAGCGGATCTGAAAATAAATATGGAGTTGTTTCAATAGATGAGGAATTTTAGAGAAAAGAATAGGAAGGACCTACAACTCTGGTAAATTTCTGAATCTGAAAAAGGGAAACACACACATATAATCTCATGATTAATAGAGCTTAAAATGTTTTTGGAAAATACTTTTTAAACAGACAACTTCAAAGTAACTGGAAAAAATAATTTCAAGATGGCAAATTAGAACAAAGAAAAACAAGGATGTACAAAAGCATAATAAAGAGAAATAAAAAAACAACTAAATAACCCTATTATGCAAAGCCTTATGGAATGAAAAATAGAGCAAAAACAAGATTTCTGCTGTTTATAAGACATATGCCTAGAACAAAATAATGTAGAGTTGGAAAATTAATTTTAAAAGAGGAGTCTTGGAGATACCAATATTTAGAGAAATCTAAAACCAAATAAACAAAAAATGCGATTGCATAATAAAATGTTCAACCAATGTCAATCTAAGTCAAAAGCATTTAGATTGGCCAAATCACAATCATAATGGGAGATCATAAGAAAACTATATTAACTTCATAATTAAAGTAGAAGAGAATAAATTAAGATATATTAAATTAAACATACCATTTCCAAACTTTATAGAAAAGAAAATATAGACCTGTATACCCAGCAAAGGTCTTACAAACTTTTCAAGTTTTAGGGATTTGACATATTAATTCTAAATTGTAAATGGAACAAATGTGTAAGAATACCTACAAAAATATTGACACAAAGGAATAATATGAGTTTCCATTTCACATATTAAAATATTTAACATTATGATGACTTAAGAATTATATTAAATGAATGTAAAATTATAATATGTAAATTGTTAAACTGAAAGAGTTGAGATCAACAAGCTACTTTTTCTTTCTTCTTCTTTTTCTTTCTCCAGATGCACATAATCTGTAACACACATTTACAAATATTTTAAAATTCTGTAACTGGTGTTAAAAAATTGGCTTTTTGGGGGAAAAAAGATACATTTTCTTACAACATACTTGAATAAACTGCACTGAAATTGAATACTTAGTCACTAAAAATAATAGATGCACAAAATAAACAAAAGAAAAGATAGTCAAATAAATTTAAAAATCAGAGGGAAAAGCATGTCTAATCTTGTCTCAAAATTCAGAAACCATCAATGAAAATTACACAGAATTGATTAACAAAAAAATGAAAAATTTTTTTTTGTAGCCAAAGACATTATATTCAAAGCTGAAAAAATATATAAGAAAGATGAAGAGCTAGTATGTTAACAAATAAATAGCTTCCAAATTAACAAAAACATCAACTCATAAAAATAAAAGATATGCACAGAAAAGAATAAACTTATGAAAAAACCCTCAATTTCACCGATAAACAAAGAACTGAAAACTAAAATAAAAGTGAGAAATAATCACATACCAGTTTGGCTAAAAATCAAAAGATTGCTCATAACCAGTATTGATGAAGACATGGGAAAATGGTCTCTCTAATCACTAAAAATCTTGAAGGACATTCAATCAGTAGTAACAAAAACTGAATGCTCATACATGTAGCAGCAATTTCACTTCTAGAAATTTATCTTAGGGAAGTAATAATTGCACAAAGATATAGATTCTTATCTCAGCATTTTTTTAATAAGAAGAAAAAATTGGCCAGGTGGTGCATACCTGTAATCTCAGCACTTTGGGAGGTTGAAGTGGGAGGTTCACTTAAGTTCAGAAGTTCAAGACCAGCATGGGCAACATGGCAAAATCCTGTCTCTACAAAAAATACAAAAATTAGCTGGGCTTGGTGGCACACGCCTGTAGTACCAGCTATTTGGGAGGCTGAAGCAGGAGGATTGCTTGAACCTGGGAGGTTGAAGCTTCAGTGAGCCGTGACTGCACCTCTGCACTCCAGTCTGGGTGACACAGTGAGACCCTCTCTCAAAGATAAAATAATAAAATAAAATAAAATAAAATTATAAAACCTAAATTGCCACCAAGGAAGCATTATTTTAATTACAGTACATGAACACAATGGAATTTCACGTAGCAATTTAAAACCTGAGATGCATATATATGTGTATGTATGCAAAGTTGCCCCAAATTTGTAAAATACGAAAACAGAAACAAAACCAAAAGCATATTACAAAGCATATGTACGCCAAGATCCAATTTTTGAATGATGTTGATTAAAATTTATAGTTACATCTTTTAGGTACAATATTCTAACTTTATTGATTTAACTGAATTTAGCCTTCTTATAAAACCCTATTTCCATTCAGTGGTAGAAAGAAAAATCAATCTCACTCATGCAGGGTAACTTCGAAAATTATTTTAAAACTTGGTTTCTTGAAGGTTAACTTGGTTTCCTCTGGGAAACTTGCTCCTCATGCCATTTTTCTCCTTTATTTTATCTTGAGGACTCTCATTCAAGGCATCTGGGTACAAGGGAAGCTCATGGCTATTATGGTGTTGGAACAAGGAGGCTCTGGTTGGAAAGAGGATGCTCCCAAGGACTCCAGGCTTGTTCCATCTGGTTTAACAGCTTCTGCCCTCGTGTAGCAGGTCCTATGTGGCTTTTGAGTGTTTGCAGGATGAACAACTGCTGTCTGTGGTTCCTAGAATGCCCCTAGGCCCTGAATTCCTATGAATTCCACCTTCCCTATCCCTGACCCCCAGCCTTGTCCCACCCACCAACAATCTCTCAGCATTTATGCAATACAACGTGTTTTTCAAGGAGATGATAGTGCCAAGTGGGTATTTTTTAAGAAATAAAATCATGACTCAGATACAAAAATAAAATGAATGCATATCAAAGATTTCGTTCAGCTCATTAATTAATGAGGGAACCAGTAAGATGTTACAATCCAGTTCAAAGGGAAATTTTAAGTACAGGGCCTCGAATTCTTCCCACCAATATTCAGATGATGTAGAGCAACTGCCACGAGGAGGCTCCAAAACACATTTGGGAGGAGACAGTGCTTGTCCACACAGCCAACCCCAGGAAATCTCAGAGTGCTCCCTGCCTTGAAGGTTTGCCTTAGTGTAGCATTTACTGAGCATGTACATATCGGAACATCATTTCATTATAAATTAATTTCCTTTTATATATTGTCCATTATATTATAATTGATTATACTTTTTTTTAAAGATATGAATTAATTAGGTTGCATTATCTAAAAATCTCATTTCAGGATAATAATACTTTATTAAACAAAAACATTGTTAATAAAGGTAGGCATTGGCTCCGATAGAGGTGAGAGCCACTGTATTCCATTCCATTTCATCTTGGAACCTATGCTCTGGTCACTAAGGAGAGAAAATATCTCCAGTGGAATCAATGACGTTGTGCTTTAGTTAGATTTGACTTAACCATGATGGTGAGTCCTGAAACCCTTCCTCTTAAATGGCCTGGGTGGCCATTTGAGGCTCCCAATGCCTCATTAATGTCTATGGTACTTGAAGTTTATCATATCACTTTTGCTCCAGTATACTTCGATAAATTAATACAGGGAACAATTAGGGTATTTTTAACAATTGTTATTTTCCAAAAATAAAAATTCACCAAATTTATCCACATAATTCTGTATAGAGATATTAAAGCAAATAAAGTCAAATATAATAAAAAGAGGAAAAATTACGATCATTTGTAGACAGGATGATTATCAGTCTGAGAAGCCTAAGTGTAGTGGACATTTGCTGTTTTTACTGCCCAGTATCTTTTTTCTCTTCTTGAAAGTACCCCAATTACATTTAAATAATTACCTTTTTCCTTCTGGATACAAACTATGATCAGCAGCCCTGCCTTGCCCTGTCCTTCTCTAGGCCAGACATTGAGATATGTAACCCAAGATACAGGTCTTGATTGAATCTATATCTTGAAGAGAAAGTCAAAGAGACCAAAAACTGTTAGAATCCATCCATTTCCACAGAGATATTCTGACCAGATTGTTTCTGCTAGAAGAGAAATTCTGTAATTCCTGCTACCCAGCTCAGTACCTGTTTATTTCCAAGACTAACTTTCTAATCTTTTAATTAATTTTGTGAACTCTTAATTTTCTATCAATTAATTCCTTTTTTGTTTAAGTTAGTCAGGGTAAAATTTTATTAATGCAACAAAAGAACTCTAACTGATGCCTCAAGGTGATAAATTTAAAAGTTTGTTAAAAGAAATAAGAATGCTTACTATGGTGACCAATTTCAAACAAATAAGAATGTTTACTATGGTGGCCAATTTCAAATACAGTTAATACTTTTTATACAGGAACAATAATCAGTTAAAGAACATAATGGGGAAAACGTTCTATTCAAATTATCGGCCACAATATAAAATACGTAAATATAAACATTGTTTATTAATAACAACATTGTTAGGAAAAACATGAAAAAAACCCAAAATGCAACTGAAAGACCTAAATGTAACAAATAAAGAGAAAAACATACCAAGTATTTAGATGTCAATTCTTTTCAAATTATTCTACTATAAATGCAATTCCTGTAAACATTTCAACACAATTTCCATAAACATTCCTTTTTTCTCAGAATTTCATAAAATAGCACAGGGAGAGAGAAAAATATAACTCATACCTTCTAAAAATGTAAATTCCAAATGATTTCACATTTTTATTGTATTATAAAAGTCATTAGACTACTAGCAGGAAACATAGGTATATATTGACATAACCTAAGTGTAGGAAGCAAAATTTTAAACAAGCTATTGAAGCTAGGAAGTTCAAGTAAAAGATTGGTGTAATAAACACCGTACCTTTTAAAATTATGTAAAGTGAAACAGATATATAAATAAATAAATAAATAAGCAAGAAAGTTCATTTATTAAAAAGGAAAATGATAACCTTCATAGCACATATGGAAAAGTATTAATATATGTACTACATGAAAGCTTTCCTATATATTAGTTAAGAAAAAACAAAAATATCCCTTGCCTAAAACTTAATTTTTCTTCTAATATATGTTTCAAAATAATTGCCCCTCCATTTTCTCATCAAAATAATTTTCTGTTCCTCCTTGCCCAATGTGCCAATTCTCTTGCTTCTCTCAAACATTTTTGTTGTATTTTCTAGAGCAGAGCTTCCCAAAATTTAATGTACACACACATAGCCTGGAGATATTGTTAAAACACATGTTCTAATTCAGGAGGCCTGGGTCACCCCTGAGAGTCTGCATTTCTTACAAGCTCCCAGATGAAACAGATGTTGCTGGACTCAACTACATGTTTTAAAGATGGACACATTTGGCCATATCCTTCTTCATTTCTTCATTGAACTCCTCACTTTTATAAAACTTAAGTACATTAGGAATGGGAGTGGGGAGCTGATCATTGACATCCTCCTCATTCCCTAGGGCTGCTTCTAGACATGCAACGCTGCCTCCTTCTACCAAAAACTTCCAATACTTCTTGTTGCTATCATCTACTGGCCCCCAGGATGTGTCTCCTGATCCCCCTGATTCATTGAAGACTGGCTCCCGATTCACAGGCTTCCATTCCACCTTAAATACAGCCAGCATCCTAACAGGACCTTCCACTTTAAGTCCAGCCAGAATCCTAAGTGGACCTTTCATAGTTCACGTGGACTTCCCGGTCATCACTCCAGACATTCAGTCTCTTGATATTTTCCTCTCCATGAATCTTGTCTTCCTGTCTACCTGAACCACCAATTCTCCTCACACCTTAGAATCTGAAATGGTTCCACCCTCCAAATCTCTTTATGCAGATATTCTACTCTCTGAGACAGACCATAATCTCCTATCATTCTAACTCGGTGGCTGAATTTCCCCCTAAAGGCTGGTTTCACGGACATAAGATCAGTGTAGTCAGTTGCACAGGGTTGTACACTTACAAGAGACTGCATGTGGTTTAGTGCTCTGCTATGGGTGTCCTGATATTCTTAATTTTTGAAGAATAGGCTCCACATTTTTATTTTGCACTGGGTCCCACAAATTATGAAGTTGGTCCTGCTTCTCCTATGATATGAATTTTTAAAAATCTGGATTCATATTATTTTATTATTTATTTATTTATTTTGAGATAGAGCTTCACTTTTGTTGCCCGGGCTGGAGTGCAATGGCACGATCTCAGCTCGCTGCAACCTCTGCCTCCCGAGTTCAATTGATTCTCCTGCCTCAGCCTCCCGAGTAGCTGGGACTACAGGTGTGTGCCACCACGCCTGGCTTTTTTTTTTTTCAGCAGAGACAGGATTTCACCATGTTGGCCAGGCTTGCCAACTCCTGACCTCAGGTGATCCACCCACCTCAGCCTCCCAAAGTGCTGGGATTACAGGCGTGACACCACACTGGCCTGTGTTCATTTAAAATACAGGAATAATATATACTCATTTTAACAAATTTAACAATATAGAAATACAGCATTTAAAGTCAAACATTCTCCCACCAATTACATTCCATAAAAGTAAGTACCATTAATAATGTTCTGTATCTTTACCTTGTCTGTCAGTCAGGATAGGGTGCATATGTGTGCAGGCATATATTTTTAGTATACTTTCATTATTAAATAATTCATATCAAATATATTTTCTGTAATGTGTATCCTAGACATCTTAACATATCTGTTCCTCTGTGTCTACATTATACTTTTTAACTATTAAGTGGTATATTTCATTGCATGACTGCACCATAATTTATTGTAGCACCTGGATGTGTTAGATCCAGACAGAGTAGATTCAGATAACTTAGGACCTCCATCATGAACTAGGAAAGTAAAACAAGAAAAAAAACAACTTCACTCAGTCACGAAATAGAATATATTTTCATCTCCAGTGAAATGCCTCTATTGAGTGTAGAACCTGCCAAACTGCTCTATACAGACCTCTTTACAGAGTCCACACCCAGCCCTGTACTTCAGACCTGCACACTTGCAGAAGAAATCCATGTCAGGTAACAATACCAATCTACCTGGACCCTTACTCTTAAATATGAATGAAGAACTCAAGGTCATCAGGTATTAAAGAAAAGCAAACGATGTGGAAAAGGAATAAGATAAACACACAGAACTGACTGTGGAGAAAACAGAAATAATGTAAAAAACAGATTACTACTACCTATATTTGTTTTTTGTTTTAATTCTTTATCTTATTGACACTTTCATTGCATTGGCCCTCTTAGTTCCTCCTTATTCATCAGCACTTTTCTGCCTTCACTTTAACCCTTGTTAGCTTAGAATTTTTCCAGTTGACTATTGCTGTGTAATAAACTATCTCAAAATTAGTGGCATAAAACATCAATCATTGTATTATGTTCATGATTCTATGTGTCAGCATTTTGGGAAAGGCATAGTAGGGATAGCTTGATTCAGCCCTACTCTCTCTGGGGACCTAGTTGAGTGACTAGAAATGGAGGGCCTATTTAACTGGGCACATGTGTCTGAGGCTTCATCTGATAATGTTCTATATCACACTTCTGACACCAAATATGGGAGAGGACTTCTCATATCAACTAAGTCTCCAACTCTCTCTACACAAACTTGGTGTCCCACAATTCAGTTCATTTCTGACACTAACTACAAATAGTTAGCACAGACTCTGCTAGGGCTCAGTCTCACAAGGTCTGCATCAGTTTAGACACCAATCATGTGTCTAAGCCACCTATACTTTTGACCAATAGGCTATAAGTCAGGGGGCTCACTCAACCTCTTCCTAAGGTTTGATAATTTGCTATGATAGCCCATACAACTCAGGAAAACAATTCACAAATTATTACTGGGTTATCGTAAAGGATACAACTCAGAAACAGCTAAATGAGATAGATGTATAGGGCAAGGTATGGCTGCAGGAGCTTCCATACCCAGTCTGGGCACACCACCCTCCAAGCACTTCATCAATGGGCTCACCAACTAGAAGCTCTCTGAATTCCACCACTTGTGTGTTTTTATGGATATTCTATTATGTAGGCATGATTGATTAAACCATTCACCATTGGTGATTGAGCTCAATCTCCAGCCCCTCTCCTCTCCCTGGAGGTCTGGGGGTGAGGGCTAAAAGTACCAACCCTCTTATCACATGGTTAATTTCTCTGGCAACCAATCCCCATCCTGAGTCTATCTAGGTGCCCATCAAGAGTCACCACATTAGCATAAACTCAGGTATAGTTTAAAGGGGCTTTTTATGAATAACACACGTCACTTCTCTCACTATCTCACAGGAAATTTCTAGGGCTTTAGAAGCCCTTAGGCTAGGAACTGAGGATGAAAATCAAATATAAATTTCTTATATCACAGCTGTGGCTATTAGCTGGGTTGCTTGGTTTTCTTCCTTATGGTGTCTACTGGAGCTAGAAAGTCTAAGATGACTTCTTCACTTAACTTGCCTGACTGTTACTCCTTCACAGGGCCTCTATGTCCTATAGAGTAATCTGGATATCTTCCAGTGCGGCTCAGAGCTAAGCCCATAACTGACACAGCATCATTTCCACCACAGAATCCAAATTAAGCCCTTCAACAACACTCCTGACCCTTTCATTAACATATGCTCTTGATTCATATTTCTGTCTTTTTGTGTCACTTGTTGGTATCAATTAAATTATCTGCCTTCTTTGGCCTACTCTGAGATGCTGCATATTTTGAAGGAAAAAGAAACCATAACCAGAAAACTGGTGTACTGTTACTTTGAGAACTAATCATGATAATGAAACTAAACAAAATATTTCAAATCTTCCTGACAATCCTACAAGGTTTTTCTAGTCAAATCGCTTACAACTGTCTTCCATTGTCTTTATTCTTCTCAAACCTTATGCTCCACTAAACGTCTCACCTACTAATTGACAGGAAAGATAGAAGTCATCAGTGGTGAGCTATTCGACTTTACATCACAAACTCTACACACCTACTTGAATCTTACCTAAATAAGATCATTTATTCTACCTGTGCTTAAAGTCATTTTCTCCTCCTAATCAACAATTTTATGATATTGTGTAATCCCCAGCTGAGTCATCAACTGTTTCTTCCTACCAGCATTTAACTATATTCGAATCACAGATAGATAGATAATCCATCAAACACCTGTTTCTTTCATTACAACCATTTTCTTTTCTTCCTTTAGATATCAATCTTTTTAAAGTTGGCTATATTTGCTGTTTTCAATTTTTCACCTTTGATTTACATCACAACTTAATTCAATCTAGATTCTTTCTCCTTAATTTTTCTGAAACTTTTCTCACCAATGACAATTTTGTAGGTAAATCCAGAAGCTATATATTTTTTCTTATCTTGTATAACCTCTTGGGAACATTTGACACGATGGGATTCCTCTTACTCTCTTCCCCCTTTTTTGCCACTGTGATAATTTTCTTCAGTCTTTTTTGATGAATTCCTTTCTAATCATAAATGTTAGCAATTCTCCGGGGTTGCTCTTGGCTTTTTCTTTTCCCCTCACTCTGCATGCTTTCCTTGAGAAATCTCAAACATGCTCATGTTTCCAGAGCCATCTATATGCCAGTTATAGATTTTTATTTCAAACTTACTCCTTTCTTCTAAAGCAAGTCCTGTATGTGCAATTGCTACAACTCAACTTCCTACACAACCTCTTTTCTTGGATGTTCCAGAGATACCTACTACCATACACATCTGTAAATGAACTTATATTCTTCCCCCCACCCTCACCCCAAATCTGTTCCTTCTCTAAAATTTCCCATCTTAGTAAATGGCAACACTACCCATGCAATTGCTTAAGCCAGGAGCAAGAGGATTTTCCTATTTTTTCATTTTTTCTTATAAACCTCATTCCATCAATCACTAAATCTTCGCTGGTTTTACCTCCTAAATATATCTAAAATACACCCACTTCTTTCCATGCACACCACCAGCATCTCGCTCAAGCTAACTTCATTTTTCATTTCAGATACATTAGTAGCATCCAATTGCTCTCCTTCCAACCACTCATGCCCCATCTAAACAGTTATCTAAATAGCAAGTTTTGAAATTGTCCATCTCATCATTTTTCTCCCTATCTTGAAACTTTTGAGTGGCTCATTGCCTTCAAGAATAAAGAAAAAAACTCTTTAGCATGAATTATAGGGTCAGCCTAATATAGTTAAGAATAATTATCCCAACTCCAGCCCCTGTTTTACATGCTCCACATATGTAACCATTCAAGTCCTTAAATACTGCTTTAAAAACTTTACACATGACATTACCTTTGCATTCCCATGTGCCCCTTTCACCTAAATAACTTCTACACAGTCCTCAGCTGTAAACTTTAAAATCATTTTCTCAGGCAAGCCTTGTTTGCAGCCCCAACCCCATTCTTAGACAAGGTTACCTCATCCTCACTTGCAATAATTACTCACCTGGCTGATCTCATTTCGCAGAGGTCAACCCACTCTCTCCTTTCCAAGAGTGTAAAAAATAATAATAATAAAATAATTACTTTCCCAATGGATGTCCTTTCTAGACTGTAAGCTCTGTAAGGATAGGTGCCATATGTTTCTCGTTTTACCACTTTCTCAAACATGCGGCATATGTTTAGCACAGCTAAATAAATGCTTCACTAGGAACCACAGAAACATTCAAAAGAAGTTTGAAAAAAAGAAGGTAAAGTATGATCCTATTTTTGAAAAACACAAGTAGAGATCTATCATAGGCTATAACAAATGTATAAACAGAAATGCACTCAGCTGTGATTAACAGAAATGTGAAAAACACATTAGTGATTTTACTTTTCTTATAACATGAAGAACATTAATGTAGGGAGTCCAGAGCCTGCACAGCTGTCACAAGATAATTTGATCCATCACGTCTACATTCCAGAAAGAAGGGGAAGGGCAAAGAGCAAAACAGTATACATCATCCGAGTTAGCCCCCTTTAAAGAACTTTCTTAATAACTCTACCTAGCAGATTCTCCTTAAATCTCAAAGATCTGAACTATGACACATGACCAACCTTATCTGTGAGGGAGGATTAGGAATTTCTTAGCAAAGGAGATAAATAAATGGATACTGGGTGGACCACTAGCGGTCTCTACCTCGACTGTAGAGGTAGAGATTATACCTCAAATGCAGCCCAAAATTTTATATAAAGAGTAGTTCTACCATAGCTGGAAAACCACAAGTGATATTTATTTTTTGTTTTATTTTGAAAACATTTTATTATTTTGCTTTCTTCCCACTTTTACATTTTCCTACATTGAACATCTGTTATACTTGTAATCAGATGAAATGTTATATATGAGTAGCCAGAACTATTATACTAGAGATATAAACTAATTCAGAGGGATTAGTCCTACCAGGTATCAAATAATGTTTTAGGCCGGGTGCAGCGGCTCATGCCTTTAATCCCAGCACTCTGGGAGGCCGAGGCATGTGGATCACTTGAGGTCAGGAGTTTGAGACCAGCCTGGCCAACATGGGAAAACCCCGTCTCTACTAAAAGTACAAAAATTAGTGGAGCATGGTGGTGTGCACCTGTAGTCCCAGCTACTCGGGAGGCTGAGGCAGGAGAACTGCTCTAACCCAGAAGGTGGAGGTTGCAGTGAGCCGAGATTGTGCCACTGCACTCCAGCCTGGGTGACAGAGCGAGACTCCATTCAAAAAACAAACAAACAAAAATAATGTTTTAAAGTTTTCATAAACAAAATGAACAATAGTAGAAAATTGATCACTAGTACCAATAAAAGTTTCCCAAAACAAATATATATGTATGTATGTGTATATATACATGTTTGTATACACACACATACACATGCACACATATATAAATGTACTATAAGGCAAAATTTTAAAAATAGTTTATTCAAGATTGATAAGTATCTAAAGTATAACAATCAGAGCTACGAAATTTTAGAAAAATAATAGAGTTTTTAAATTATCACGGAGGGGAAGAGGCTTCTTTAAACAAGACAAAAAACAAAACAAAACAAAACAACAGAAGCCATAAAGAAAGCATTGATGTGTATCTAAACAAAAACTAAAAACACAGTCAAAAGGTGTGAAATTTGAGAAAATATTTGCAATATTTTAATAGACAGTTATTTCCCCTAATATAAAATAGCTTCTATATAAAAATGAGGACAATTTTGAAAATACAATAGGAAACATAAGCCTGGAGCCCAAGAGACTACACAGGATTAGAGATAAAAATTTAAGAGTTGTCAGTGTACAGGTGTTTTTAAAATCATGGAACTAGATGGAAGTACATAGTAAAAATGATAGAAAAAGATGAGAATAGGCATGGGAATGAACTTCGGAGGGCTCCAGCAGAGGAAACTATTCAAGATATTAGAACACTGATGGTTTGGCTGTGTCACCACCCAAATCTCATCTTGGATTGTAGTTCCCATAAAGAACTCCCACTGAGAGGGACCCAGTGGGAGGTACTTTATTCATGGGGGCAGTTATCTCTATGAGTTCTCGTGATAGTGTGCCATGTTTTCATAAGATCTAATGGTTTTATAAGGGGCTTCCCCCTTTGCTTGGTTCTCATTCTTCTCTTTCCTGCCATCATGTGAAGAGGGACATGTTTGCTTTCCCTTCTGCCATGATTGTAAATTTCCTGAGGCCTCCCAATCCAGCATAACTGTGAGTCAATTAAACCTCTTTCCTTTATAAATTACTCAGCCTCAAGCAGTTCTTTATAGTAGTGTGTGAACAGACTAATATAGTAAATTGGTACCAGGTAGTGGGGTGATGCTGTAATAATACCCAAAAATGCAGAAGTACTTTGGAACTGGGTAACAGGCAGAAGTTTGGAGGGCTCAGAAGAAGACAGCAAGATGTGGGAAAGTTTGGAATTTGCTAGAGACTTGTTCAATGGCTTTGACCAAAATGCTGATAGTGATATGGACAATAAAGTCCAGGCTGAGGTGGTCTCAGATGTAGACAAGGAACTTGTTGGGAACTAGAGTAAAGGTCACTCTTACTACGCAAAGAGACTGGCAGCATTTTGCCCCTGCCCTGGAGATCTCTGGAACTTTGAACTTCAAAAGAGATGATTTAGGGTATCTGGCAGAAGAAACTTCTTTTTTTTTTTTTTTTTGAGATGGAGTCTTGCTCTGTCGCCAGGCTAGAGTGCAGTGTTACAATCTTGGCTCACTGCAACCTCCACTTCCTGGGTTCAAGAAAGTCTCCTGCCTCAGCCTCCAGAGTAGCTGGGATTAGAGGCATGTGCCACCAAACCCAGCTAATTTTTGTATTTTTAGTAGAGACAGGGTTTCACCATGTTGGCCAGAATGGTCTTGATCTCCTGACCTCGTGATCTGCCCGCCTCGGCCTCCCAAAGTGCTGGGATTACAGGCATGAGCCACCCTGCCCGAATTCTGGCAGAAGAAATTTCTAAGCAGCAAAGTGTTCAAGAGGAGGCAGAGCATAAAAGTTTGAAAAATGTGCAGCCTGATGATGTAATAGAAAAGAAAAACCCATTTTCTGGGGAGAAATTCTAGCTTGCTGCAGAAATTTGCAAAAGTAAGAGGAGTCAAATGTTAATCACCAAAACAATGGTGAAAATGTCTCCAGGGCATGTCAGGGACCTTCCCAGCAGCTCCTCCCATCACAGGCCCAGAGGCCTAGGAGGGAAAAATGGTTTTGTGGGCCAGGCCCAGGGCCTCCCAGCTGTGTGCAGCCTAGGGACTTGGTGCCCTACATCCCAGCTGCTCCAGCAGTGGCTAAAAGGGGCCAAGGTACAGCTTGGGCCATTGCTTTAAAGGGTGCAAGCCCCAGGCCTTGGCAGCTTCCACGTGGTGTTGGTCCTGCGGATGCACAGAAGTCAAGAATTGAGGTTTGGGAACCTCTGCCTATATTTCAGAGGATGTATGGAAATGCCTGGATGTCCAGGCAGAAGTTTGCTGCATGGGTGGAGCCCTCATGGAAAACCTCTGCTAGGGTGGTGAGGAAGGAAAATGTGGGGTCGAAGCCCTCACACAGAGTCCCTACTGGGGCACGGCCCAGTGGAGCTGCAAGAAGAGGGCCACCATCCTCCAGATGACAAAATGGTAGATCCACTGACAGCTTGCACCAGGTGCCTGGAAAAGCCATGGACATTCAACATCAGCCTGTGAAAGAAGCCAGGAGGGGAGCTATACCCTGCAAAGCCACAGGGTAGAGCTGCCCAAGGCCATGGGAGCCCACCTCTTGCGTCAGTGTGACATGGAGTCAAAGGATGTCATTTTGGAACTTTAAGGTTTAATGACTGCCATAGTAGATTTTGAACTTGCATGTAGTCTGTAGCCTCTTGGTTTTGGCCAATTTCTCTCATTTGGAATGAGTGTATTTACCCAACACCTGTACCCTCCTTGTATCTAGGAAGTAACTAATTTGCTTCTGATTTTACAGACTCATAGGTGGAAGGGATTTGCCTTGTCTCAGATAAGACTTTGGACTTGGACTTTTGAGTTAATGCTAGAACAAGTTAAGACTTTGGCAGACTGTTGAAGGGTATGATTTTGTTTGAAATGTGAAGACATGAGATTTGGGAGGGGTCAGGGATGGAATGATATGGTTTGGCTGTGTTCCCACACAAATCTCATCTTGAACTGAAGTTCCCATAATCCCCATGTATTGTGGGAGGGATCCAGAGGGAGGTAATTTAATCACGGGGGTGGTCACTCTCATGTTATTCTCATGATAGTAAGTTCTCATGAAATCTGATGGTTTTATAAGGGGCTTCCTCCTTCACTTGGTTCTCATTCTTCTCCTTCCTGCCATCATATGAAGAAGGACCTGTGTGCTTACCCTTCTACCATTGTTGTAAGTTTCCTGAGGCCTCCCCAGCACCTGTGGAACTGTGAGTCAATTAAACTGCTTTCCTTTATAAATTACCCAGCCTTGAGCAGTTCTTTATAACAGTGAGAGAACAGACTAACAAAAATACCAAAGAAATGATCATGTGAAATTTCTAAGCCAGAGTTGTAAATGACGGACTTTAAGGCTGCTACTGGTGAAAAATTAAGGGAAAACAAGAAAAATGATATCGGAAACTAGAAGGAAGGGAAATCCTTTTCAGGTGGGGGCATAAAGTTTAGCAGTGCTGACACCTACAGTAACATGGAAAGTAAAAGAGGTACCTATAAACTGAGTGGTTTTGCTAAGGAAATTTCCAAATGGGGTGTTGGAGGTTTTTTCTACCTGCTTTTTGCCATTTATAGTAAAATGCAAGAGAAGATAGAAGAGCTAAAGAAAGTGCTGTTAAATATAAAAGATCCAGGAATTGTTTGGTTTGAAAACTATCCACTTCCAACAATGGAAAATGATGCTAAGTAAAAAATAGCTTCAGGCAAAGAACAAATTGAGGGCGATTTCAAGAAAACATGATCTAAAAATGAAGCTAAGTTTGTGACTGTAAAACATTTTGTTCAGATTTGGAAAAGGTCTAAGTTGATGCCTCCAAGAATCATTCAAACAGTAGGGCTTCTAAGAAACTAAAAGATTCTGTTTCTCAGCAGCTTCAGCAAAAGCCAAAGATAAAAAGGTCTTATTTCAAAGGGATCTGTTATTTAGTGGTTGACACTTTTGTTTAATGGAGTAAACCTCAATAAAACTCATAGAAAACCCACAATGTTTTAAGGTAAATATATTATCGAATCATTGTCAGGTTTAACTGAAGTAGACACAGCAAAATGCAAAGCACGTTTGAATGCCCAGACTTCTACAGTCTGAAAGCAGGCTAAGAAAACAACTTAGTAGCAAACACAAGCTAACTTTCATAGAGAAGATAGAAAAACTAAAATGACAAAACAAGAACTCAGAATGTGGCACTAATAACCATGGAAAATCATTACCAAGTTTTAAGTTATAATCAAGGAACTGCCAATAGCTCTCTTGTTGGATAGCATAATGGATTCCCTACGTGTGTCTTCCATTTCTCTCCTTTATTGAATGTCTATAGTGGTTCTTTTTATGCCTGTCCCATCAGTTATTTGATTTGTTGGAGATGGGGTTGGGGGTGTGGACACAGATAACTATTTCTCCTTAGTTCACAGGTCTTCATATTGAGAGAAACCCTGTTGAGGGGTTGTCCTTAAGGAACCACAGTCAAAGAGCCTCATCCATATGTAGAAACACAAATGGTTAGATCTTGTACTTTGATGATGCTGTAAAAGGAGAGACTATTGGGTACCCTGGGAAGGGGGAAGAAGTATGTTTTGCATGTGGAGAAACATAAATCACTGGAGAGCAGAGTGAAAACTGTTGTAGCCAGACTTCTAGATGGCACCCAGTGATCTTTGCCTCCTGGTATTTCTGCCTTAGGGTGATTCCCCGCACACTGAATTAGAGCTGACCATGTGACCAGTGGAATATTATGGAAGTAATAGAGTGTGATTTCCCGAATAGCTTGGGAAAGACACAGCCACTTCTGCCTTGGTTTTTTTGGATTACTAGCCTTGGAGAAAGTGACAAAGGCTCTCTCCTTGACTAAGCTCTACTCTAGTCAGGCTCCTCTGAACCCTATTCTTAACTAGGCCTCGCCCTATAGACATGACAGATTCTTAACACAAACGATTTCATCCACCATCACCACCATCCCCACAAACACTAAGAGACCTGGACAACCATGTAGACTTTTCAGTTTGGCTTCCTTTATTTAGTAATCTACATTTAAATTATCTCCATGTTTTTATATGGCTTGATAGCTCATTTATTTTGAGTGCTAAATAACATTCCATGGTCTGGATGTGCCATAGTTTATCCATTCACCTACTGAAGGACATGTTGATTGTTTCCAAGTTTCAGTAATTATGAATAAAGTTGCTTTAAATATTCTGTGCAGGTTTTTCTATGGACATAAATTTTCAACACATTCAGATAGATACCAAGGAGTATTATTGCTAGGTCAGATGGTAAGAGTATGTTTTGCAAGGAACTGCCAACTATCTTCCAAAGTGGCTATACCATTTTGCATTCCCATCAACAATGAATGAGAGTTCCAATTGTTCCACATCTTCACCAGCATTTGTTGTTGTCAGTATTTTGGGCTTTTTTATTCCATATTAGTTATAGTTATATTAGCTTATTAGTTCTAGGAGTTCGTCAGTTTCTTCAGATTTTTTAGGCAATCATTAAACTCAGTTTTATTTTTCCTTTCTGAAACTTATATTTCCTTTTCTTAACATATTTTATTAGATAAGACTTCCAGTATGATGTTGAAAAGGAATGGTGAGAGGGGATAGCCTTGCCTTGTCCCTTATCTTAGTGGGAAAGCTTCTAGTTTCTCACCATTAAGTATGATATAAGCTGTAAGTTTTCTGCAGATGTTCTTTATCAAGTTGGGGAAGTTCCCTCTCTATCCCTAGTTAGAAAGTTTTTATCATGAATGAATATTAAATTTTGTCTAATGGTTTTCTTCATCTATTGATATAGTCATGTGATTTTCCTACTTTAGCCCATAGATGTGATGGATTACATTGATTTTTTTAATGTTAAATCTGCCTTGCATGCCCAAATTAAAATCCACTTGGTCATAGTGTATTTTCTTATACATTTTTGGACTCAATTTGCTAATATTCTGTTGAGAATTTTTGTATCAATGTTCATGAGAGATATTGTTTTCATTTTAATAATATCTTTGGTTTGGGTACAGGGTAATGCTAACTTCATAGAATTGAGTTAGGAAGTATTTTCTCTGTTTATGTCTTTTGGAAGATATTATAGAGAATTGGTATAATTTCTTCTTTAAATGTTTGGCAGAATTCTTCGCTAGTAGACCCACATGGGTCCAGTGCTTTCTGTTTTGAAAGGTTATTAATTACTGATTTAATGTATTTAATAGGTATAGGTTGACTCAGATTATCTTTCTTCTTGTGTGAGTTTTGGCAGATGTCTTTCAAAGATTTGGTCCATTTAATCCAGGTTATCAAATTTGTGGACATAGAATTGTTGTTTATAGTATTTCTTTATTACCTTATAATATTCATGGGATCTGTAGTAATGTCCCCTCTTCCTTTTCTGATCTTAGTAATTTGGAGACTTTCTCTTTTTTCCTTAGCTTGGCTAGAGGTTTATTAATTTTCTCTCTTTTCAAAGAACCAGCTTTTAGTCCCATTGATTTTTCTCTATTGACTTCCTATTTTCAATTTCATTGATTTCTGTCTAATTTTTATTATTTTTCTTTGGCTTACTTTGGATTTAATTTGCTCTTTTAAAAAAGTTCCCTAAGGAGGAATGTTATTGATTTTAGATCTTTCTTCTTTTCTAGTATATGAATGCACTGCTACAGATTTCCCTCTAAGCACTGCATTCATTGCATCCCACAAATTTTGATGTTTTATTTTTATTTAGTTCAAATTTTAAATTTATTGAGATTTCTTCTTTGACCCATGTGTTATTTAGAAGTGTGTTGTTTAACCTACAAGTCTTTTGGGGTCTTTTGGCCAAACTCTTTTTTAATTAAAGAAACCTAAAAGACTGACAGTATCCAATACTGATGAAGAGATGGGTTAAAAGGTAGGCTCATACACTATGGTACTATAAACTGGTACAGTATTTTTGGAGTGCACTTTGGTATGCTTTACAAAAAATAAAAAATTAAATGTCCATTTCCTATAATCAGGAAAAGGCAAAAGTCAATTTTAATGCTCATCAAGACTGAATACTATTTATCAGTTGGGATAAGCTATGTTGCAGTAGCAGATGAATGACAAAATCTCACTGAAAACAGAGCAGGTGCTTATTTCTTGTGTAAATCAGAAATTATCGGAGACAATTCTCAATCAATTTAGAAGTTTATTTTGTCAACATTAAGGACATCCCCTGAAGAAAGGAACACAGAAATCACAGAAACAGTCTGTCCTGTGTGCCTTTCTCCAAAGAGAAAAAGGCTTCAGTATTTAAAGGGGAAACGCAGTTTGGAGGGGAAAGAGAGAAGGTGTGGTCACATTACTGAATCCACGTGTTGCACGAGAAAAGGAGCAGGTAGGGGAAAAGCCAATTATGTATTTGTCTGGTGCTCAGTAAATCAGCACTTTACATAAGATAAGGTGAACATAGAGTAGCTACCTGTGGAGATATCTGGCCTTTTATCTGCAGCCGTGTGCTTAGGGACAAAAGGAAGAGCAGTTTCTTGCATGACTTAGATTTCAGCTGAATTTTTCCCTTTTGGCATAGTGATTTTCATAGTGAAATTTTATTTTCCTTTCAGACTTGATAATGCTGTCCATTCAATATGAGACATCAGGGAGTTTGCTCTACATAGTCACTCAAGCTGATGGGGATGTCACTCTCTTATTCTGCCGCCTCTATTTTTGGCTTTTGGAAGGTGGAGGGGGAGAGAAAAAAGATCTGAAAACTAGCATGGGGTATTTTAGTTCATCAAGTCTAGAAATGACAGA
Organism: Homo sapiens; assembly: GCF_000001405.40. Taxonomy (NCBI): domain Eukaryota; kingdom Metazoa; phylum Chordata; class Mammalia; order Primates; family Hominidae; genus Homo; species Homo sapiens. The sequence continues at coordinate 110,867,308 of NC_000009.12, forward strand.
TGTCACATCCACTCACAGCCCACTGGACATAACTAGTTGCACAAACCTGTCTAACAGAGTTGTAGCTTTCCAAGAGTCCAGGAAGAAGGGGTAAACAAAACATTGATGACCTGTAATAATCTCTACTTCAACTGCAGAGCAAGGCAGACACATACTTAAACCTTGGATGGATATCTATAATGTATTATCAAGTTAAAAATCAAATACATGGTACATAACCTTATTTTGTTGAAAAGAAACAGCTTCACATGTTTCTGGATAATACATTCAGATATTAAGTTCTGCTTTTTTTTATTTCTCCTTGTTTTAGCTCATTTCCTTCTTCTTATTCAAGCAGATCGAGGCTGTGTGCTTCTCATCTTAGGGAAGAATATAGCAAGATGGCAGCAGAAAAAAATCAGACTCCAAAATCTAAGTCTTCAGTCCAGGGATATATCCTGAGCTTCAAGTTTCACATAGCCACCTTCCTACCACAAAATTCTCATTTGAAGGCTCTACTCATTATCTTTTCTCTGTAAAATTGCTCTTATGTTCCTTATCTCAACGTATCACATGTCCATCCATCCAGTATTCGAGGTCATAACTTAAGAAAACATCTTTATCCAAACAATCACCGTGTCCCAAACACCCCTGAATCCATTCATCTCTGCACCTCCATTGCCACCTTCATCTTTCGTCTCAGTTAATGTGACGGCCTCTGATCCTATCTTTTGCCTTCAGTCTTTCTTCTCCAATTTATTCTGAAGTGTAAACCAGATTGTGTGGTTTTTTTTTAAACTTAAATCCTTTAGCTTATTTCCCACAATTCTCAAGGATAAAATCACTTCCAAAATCACTCAAGTCATCACGCCAGCCTGCCTTTCAAGCCTCATCCTCACAGTCTATACCTGCCCTTCTTTCCCAAATGGCATGCTTTCTCTCACTAAGCATTTACACATCTTGTCTGAAATTCCTATCTGCATATGCTAAATGCGTGCCAATTTTTCTAATGGGTTGTTTTGACGTGAACTGATTACCAGAGTGAGTGCAAGTTCAAGAGCTTGACAGGGGCACACCTCTGTGCAACTCAGGCTCAAGGTGAGTGGCTTTGACAGGACAGTTCTCATTCTAAGACAGAGCATTCTAAATTATCCTTTCAAAGATAGTTCCTCTCCCTATCTTCCACCATCCATTTTATTTTCCTTTAATTTCTATGTCATGCCATTGTTTCCTTCATAACTCTTAATACAATTTGTACTTTTATTTTGAACTTATTTTCTTCTCCTTCGCTGCAACTAAGTTCTATTAAAGATCTTGCTTATCACATTCACAGCAACATCATAAGAGCCTGATACACAGAAGACTCTGAAAAAATATTTGTAGATGAATAAGTCAAAGAATGAGTGGTAGATAGCGATAACATCAACTATCACATCTAATTATGGTCATAAAATTTTCACTTAAGAACTGTTGAGTGACACCATATTTCTAGTTTTGTTATAGTCATTGGTATAATAAAAAAGTAATGGAAAGCACAAGATTATCTTACTCTCAAATATTACTAACTTGTTTTCTAGCTTGGAATATAGGCATGCCTGCAATAATATGAACACCGCACAGCACAGTTCATGCACCTGTTAATGACATCATGTTTTCTTCTCTTACTTTTACTGTGCTAAGTTCTTTGAGGGATTAAAAAATATATAAAACATCATGCCTCTTCTCAAGGAACTCATAATTTGTTTGGGGAGACAAAATAGATAAATATATATAAGGAATTATCAATTGCAATATAAAGAATATGTAATTAGCCATCAAATAATGCTATAAACAACAAATATTAGACCCCCAGTTTTTTCTTTGAGACTGTTTCCTCATGTGTAAGAGTTACCACAAAGATCAAAATACAAATTATATGAATGTTTTATGTGAGCTATAAATCCCATAAATCCCATTACCCACGCAACACAGTAGTGCTATTAAAATTTTTCCTAAAGCATAGCAAAATAAGTTGACTACTCAGAAAACACAGACACATTGGTAGAACACATCATCGAAGGATTTAAGCTTTTTTTTTTCTTTTACATTATTCTGACTTAATTTTAACTGTAATATTCTTAAATGTGAAGGAAACCCTTTATCAGGATTGTGGAATTAAAGAGCATTTCTTCATTAAGCATGCCTTTACTTGTAGTTCACGCATTTCATTTACATAAACAAGTGTTAAGTACTACTCAGCACTATATGTTCTTCATAATAGAAAATACAAAGATTCCTTTCATGAAAGATCCGAGTTAAAAGATGCAAATTATAAACAATGTCACACATGAAACAAAATGAAGTCTGGCTTTCCTGATGCCAAAGAGACGTTGAGAGTTCCACAAAACAAACAGAAATGTAAAATCGCAGCCGGGCATGGTGGCTCACACCTGTAATCTCAGCACTTTGGGAGGCCAAGGCGGGCGGATCACGAGGTCAGGAGATGGAGACCGTCCTGGCTAAATGGTGAAACCCCATCTCTACTAAAAATACAAAAAAATTAGCCAGGTGTGGTGGCAGGCGCCTGTAGTCCCAGCTACTCAGGAAGCTGAGGCAGGAGAATGGTGTGAACCTGGGAGGTGGAGCTTGCAGTGAGCGGAGATCGCTCCACTGCACTCCAGTCTGGGCAACAGAGCAAGACTCCATCTCAAAAAAAAAAAAAAAAAGTAAAATAACTTTGTGAATGTCTGTTTATCAGGTTGTGTGCAACAGATTATCTGTGGTCTAACTTCCAAACTGTAGGGGAGACTTCCACTTTCTACTTTACTCATTTCTGTGTTCCTTGAAATATTTGTTTGCGTGGTTTCTCTCTGGACTAGATACAGTCTATAGTTCATGTGTATAGAGACTCTCTCTTCCTGTCTGTTAACTCTAGGGAAGTATCAGCACCACATCCATTGTTACAGAGAAGTCTTATGAGTTTTAGCATGAGAAAAGTATCAAATGTAATTGAAGAAATGAGGACTAGATTAGTGAATGCTAGGAGTCAGAATGGGGGTAAGGGAGTTGGATGAAGCTATAAATTGCAACATGAGGAATCTTTGTGGTGATGGAACTGTTCTATGCCTTGATTATATCAATGTCAACTTCCTGGTTGTAATGTTATGCTATGGTTTTGTGAGATACTGGCCACTGGGAGAAACCAGGTAAAAGATATACGGAATCAGTCCATATTATTTCTTAGAACTGCATGTGAATCTGCAATTATCTCAAAAGAAAAGATTTAACTGGAAAGCGACAGTAACAGTATAAGTAATTAAACAAAACAGGAACCCATGAGTTCATAGGGGTATAAATGAGTGAATAAATGAGAGAAAAAGTTTCTCACAGAAGATTGCTAATACATTTTGAAAAGAGAATTAGAAATTCATCATTAGGCAACTATCAATCAGAATAATGATTAATTCACCCAAGAAATATCAATGGATGCTAAAACTAGACATTAAAATTTGATGTGGAACAGGATACTCACATAGTCCCAATTACCTCTCTACAGGGTGCTTATTACAAAGGATAAAAAAATGATTGAGGGTATGTGTGCAACAGGTATCTGTTTTCTTCATAGTGGCAAACCTAGTAGACATCACCTTAACTACATAATCAAAGTACATAATAGGACAAATCAACATGATGTACTGCTTGATGGGATGTAGTCGGAAGAAACACAGCAGAATTTCTCTCTTGTTTTGTCAAAGATAAATGATATATATACCATTGAAAATGTCAGACAAGCCAAGTTGAGAGACATTCTAAAAAATGACCTGTGATCTTTAAGTGACAAAGTCATGAAGGTCAAGAAAAAACTAAGAGACTGTTGAAGATTTAAGAAGACTCAAAGAGAGATAATACAGCCAGCCAGCCTGGATTAGGTTATTTTGCTATAATGGACTTTATTGGACAAATTGATGAAGGTTGAACGGGATCTGTGAATTAAATGATAGTTCCTGCATCAATGTTAATTTGACTTTAATAATTGCATTGAGGTTATGAAAGAGAATGTCCTTATCTGTGGAATTACATAAAAAAGTATTCAGGGCTGATGGGGCATCATGTTGGCAATTTATTCACAAAATCTGTAAATTTGGTTAGCTTTTCCATAAGTTCCAAAATGCAAGTTATCTTTAACATAAAAAATTGGGTTGAGAATTCTCTCTGCAGGCTAGAGCTAGATTAAGGAATCTTGTGCCCAATTTCTCCTTCTTCCTCTTCTAATGAACATCCATAATCAAATGAGGATAGCATGATTGAAAATGGAAACTTTTTTTTTTTTTTTTGAAAATGGAATCTTCTAAATCAAGGATTGGAAAACTTTTTCAATAAAGGGCCAGAGAGTGAATATCTTAGACTCTGAGGGCCATTATAGACTCTGTTGCAACTACTCCACTCTGCGCTAGTATTTAATGATACAAAAGCAGTCATAGGGAATTAATAAACTAATAAGGATGGCTGTATTCCAATAAAACTTTATTTATGGACATTGACATTTGCATTTCTTATAATTTTCATGTGTCACAAAATATTTTCCCAACCATTTAAAAATGTAAAACCTGTTCTCAGCTCATAGGTCATACAAAAATAAGTGGATTCGACTGATGTGCCTTAGTTTGCAAATTCAGCATATTTTCAAATGGTCATTACATGTCACATCATTAAAGTTCATATTCAGAGTTATAAAGCTCATATTCATAGACTATTTGCTAATAATTTATGATTTAAGTTTATAATTTAATATTTTGTTAATAGTCTATGAATATGAGCTTTATAACATTAAGGGAAGAATTAGAGAATTTGCTGTGTAGACTACACAAGATGCAGGTGAATGCTAGAACATGAACAGCCCTTGCTTAGGAAGATTAACAATACATCCTGGCTCCTAGTTACGTACATCTCTTCTATCATGCAGTGTCCAACCTCATTCACAAACCACCATTCTAAACCCACAAATAATCCCTAATTCTTATGGGGTTTGGAATCAGGTGAAGCTCAGTTGATATGAAACAATTAGCACTTTGTTTCAAAAGCTCTTTTCATTAAAATGTTCTGTTTACTTTGTTATAGTGAAGGGATGTGATAAAAGAGGTGTTTCTACAGTTTTTACCTAGCATGAGTGCACACTCTGGGTTTTAAGGGAAGGAGCTAGAAGCAGTATATAATATTTCAGAAGCTGAGAGAATTCTGGAATAAACTGGAAGATGAACAGTGGAACCTAAAACAATAGCTAACTGGGAAGGAGAAAAGGAAGGCTGATAAGATTCATTAATTATACGTTAGTTGCGGTTTTAGGTCTTGAAAATTATGGTTTCACTAATTTAAAAAGAGGAATATATGTGAGGGGTGGCTAATTTGTAAAGACCAGTTCAAAGATATTTGATTTCTAACAATCTTATATCCACCTAAAATTAAAGGTTCAGAATTCTCTTCCAAATCCTCATTGAGACATTCACTTGAATAAATATTTTATCTTTTTCCAACACCTTAGTGATATACTGAAAATGTTATAATGGTTATATCATTGGAAGATATATATATAACTTTTATCTTGTTGGTTATTAAACCTATAAGTAGAAATACCACCGTGACTTTATAAACTAGTGAGAGTGTTTCATAAAGTTGTCAAAATTTTTTGTAAAATCAGTCTTTCAAAAAGAAACCCACTCTAACGGTTATCCTGTTGAGCTAAAGTACCATCTTAATAAATTGTCTCCTCTCAAGGAACATAAACTACCACCTCCCAGACATTGGCAAGATTTATTACTCAGATTGAAAAAAAGCAGTTGTGGGCTGGGGGAGCACACGGTTGCTCCGCCTCAGGGTTAAGCAGCCCTTGTTACAGAGAAATAAAGGAGGTCATAGTGGGAAAAACACCCACGCAATGCAAGCTGGAAGACTCTCGAACAAGAGAAATAGCACTGACCAGAACCACACATTACCAAACGCTGATTGAAAATGATTTATTAAAGTCCAATTAGTATGCTTTTCATTTCAAATAATCCATATAGCCTCCAGAAAAATATGCACATGTGTAAAAGTCCACGTTCATTTCTTTCACTTCCAATATAAAGTATTCTGTATTTTGTATAAAGTACGTGCAAACACCTTTCTGCTAATCGGGTCCCCACATTCTTTTCACTACAGGTACTTTACAAGTCTGCCCTCTGCTCAAACACTAACCGTGCACTGACATCCTCCTTCCTAGACAGCCATTCATCTCCCGGACTTCTTTCTCTCAGACATCCTCCTGACCTCCCCTGACCTGCTTCACCACTGTGTTACCTCACTGGTTACTTGTTACAGCAAACTGATGCAACTACTAGTCTACCTGGACAACATATTAAACAGGTATCACCTAATAGGGTGGCAGCCTATCGGGGTGATTCCTGGCGAATACACAGTAACCAACCACATACTGACACACTCAACCCATTTGCTACAGATGGACCCACACTAATTGATATGACAATCCTTTATTCACTCGGCACATTTGGTTTCTTTGCATTTTCTTCCATTTTACATTGCAGGTGTGGCTACCAAGAGCTGGATAACGAGTCCCTCAAACAAAGTTTGGAATTGCGAGATATATTGGGGTACCTTGATTCTTGAGACAGTTGAATTCTTCTAGTTGATCTTGTTGTATTAAAAAGTCACTCTCAACTGAAGTGACCACTGCATTTCTTTTGTAAAAAGGTCATTTGACTGGCTTTTCCTCACAACTGCCACCCATGCAGTACAAAAGCAGGAAATCCCTTTTCATGAAAGGTGTAAGTACAAGATGACATTTCACATTTTTTTAAAAAAAGAATCCTTCATGGGAATATATCCTAATAATCAATTATATGGAGACAGTTTTATGTACACCAAATTTCTGCAACTTTATAATAATGAAAATTAGAAACAACCTAAATAGTTAACAACATGGGAATGGTTAAATAAACTGAGTTGCATCCATTAAATGGAATATAATATAGCCATTAAAATTATGTTTTTGTAAAATTTTTAATGCCATAAGAAAATGTGGCAATTTTGCAATGAAAAAGATCTACTTATAAAACTGTTTACAGTATGACTCCAATTATGTAAAAAAAGTATACAATACACATATAGGCATACATGGGGGTTGCTTTTTAAAGGTGGTTACTTCTGGGTTGTGATATTATCAGTAATCATTTTTGCTTTTTTATACATTTCTGCATTTTTCAAGTTTTCTATGATGAGTATATTATTTTACAAAGACTACGAAAATTTTCCTCTGATATACTGGTAATTAGAATGTACTTGGGTATTTTAAATATATGGGAACAATATTATAGTGCTTCATCTTCTATGACTTTTTTGGAATACATATCACTTTGGTAATAAACTTACATTCCCTGTTTTATACTTGTTACAACATTTTAATTAAACAGTTAATATTGTGATTAGAGCATTGTTTGCTTCATGACCTAAACAAATACTGGCTTTGAAGTCTAGGTTCTATTTCCTAGAAGATTTAACATTAGTATCCTTTTAATCTTTTTAAGTAAGGCATACTGCATACATACATTACATGCATGCTTTCTAAACAAAAGATAATTCCAACTTACAGTTTTCCTATGTAAGGGAAAAAATGGAATTATGGTAGTTTAAAAGCAGTCCATAGTCTCATCCATCACAAACATGCTGATAGGCATAAACGTGTTTATTAAGTGAAACGTATCCTTTAAAAATAAAAAAGGGAAGCCTGTATATAAATGAAGTTGTGGATTCAACTAGCCAGAATTTATTCTGACTTGCACCAAACCACACAAAATCTTTTAAAAGTCTAGTTAGTGTAGTCTAAATGGACACTCCAGAGTCTGTTCTTGAATTCCATTGCAAGAGCTCCAACTTCCTACTTTCAGAAGGGATGGGGATCAAGATGAGGGTTGTCACATAAGCTAATTTTCAATATATATCAAGTCTTGTGGGGTCCAGGAACAAATACTGTCATTGGTTAGTGTTTAAGTACATGAGTTGACTTTTCTCCTCTCTCACACCCCACCTTGCCCTGGCAATTGGGTAGGGGGAGGCTGTTTATCCTCCAAGAGAGGACGGCTGGTTCCTCATCTCAGTTTCCGTTCTAAACCACAGAGTGGTCATTGCTGTGAACTCCAGCCAAGATGGTGTGGTTGAGGGAGGAAGCCGAGCGGTCTGAGCCTTCTGTGGGGCCGGTGGGGTTCTCACTGCGCTGGCAGCAGAGGATCTGCCTAAAGGTGGCGCTCATTTCTTTGTCGCGGTAGGAGTAAATGATGGGGTTCATGGCAGAGTTGAATTCAGCAAGGAGAAGGAAGAATTTCTCATAGGCCAGCACGTCGCACTGTGGACAGCACACGTCTAGAAGTAACAAAACCAATCCAGGAGTCCAGCAGATGATAAAGGCCCCTACAAGGACAAGGATAGGGATCAGAAGGATTTTTAAAAAGAGAATGAAAAAATATTATAAAACATGCGACCATAAAGTGAAATGATTTCAGTTCAATATAAAAATACTGAAGTTGGAAGCCACCATTGTCGCAAATGAAATACTCATTTCCTGAGAAAATCAGAAAAAATTTAACGATAGTCAACTTAAAATTTTATTTTGGACGTTACTAAAATCAAGCAATTATGAGACATTGATGATTATTATTTTGAGCAAAACACAAAGAGTTTGATAAGCAATTGAGATATGAAAAACTGCATTCAGGAAACACTTCACCTCACATAACAACATGGTTTTTAATAGCAGTGTTATTTTCAGGCAAAAGATAAGCACGAATGATAAGTGTCCTTTAATGTTTAATTAAGGCATAGTTTCTGGATTCAGGTTGTCTGGGCCCAAATCTTTGTTTGACATGTAATAAACTGGGTGAACTTAGGCAAACTACTTTCTTTCCTTAATTTTCCCATCTGAAAATGCAGATGATTATATTTACACCTCATAAGGTTTGTTGTATGGATTAAACAAGTGTTAAGGAAATAATCACTCAATCTGTATCTACAATAACAATAATAATTATTACCTGCTGAGTAGCATGGGCCTGTTTGGAAATTGTGATTTTCAATGACAAGATCTATGTTTTATTTTTATTCAACAACTACCCACATAGTGCTGTCCTATATGCTTTACCAGTAATAATTTATTGAATTTTCACAGTAGCCATATGACATAGAAACTAATATCCCCATTGTACAGATGAAGGAACTGAGACCCAGAAAGTTTATATAACTGGCTCAAGGCCACAGTACTGGAAAGCAGAAAAATCCCAGAGTTTCTGTTCTTAGAGGCTGCCTCCAGAGTTCAAGCTCTAGAAAATATTACATTTCTATATCTTGAAAATGATAACATTAAATATTTTAAACCAAATTTACTATTTCAGATGTTCTACTAATTTAGATCAACTTTGTTCTCTTTCTTCCCCCAATTATTCTGAATCATTACAATTTTACTATAACTGTAAGAGGAATGAAAATATAGATGAGATGCTTAATTCTATTTCATTTAGTTTCTGAAATCACTCATCATTTGGATCCCAGGAAAATGGAGGTTGTAAAATAGCATTAAATCCTACCACTGTGTTACTCCAGACTCTGCTGGGGATCTTCTACTGAAAGAACATGAGCCAACAGCGGTGGGCACCACTGTGTCCCATTACACCTCACCTAATGGGCCCCATATGTGTAATCAGGCAGGCTACATATGTGTAATCAGGCAGAGCGGAAGTAGGAGCAACCCCAGAAGGGCATTTGCATCTTCAGATTTAAATGGCGCTGGCTTTGGTGGATGCAGGCTTGGACTGGGGTCATGGATTTGGTCCAGCCTCAAGGAATTAGTTTCACAAAATGTAAACAAATGAGATTTAGTCTCCAAACAGCCCACTTTTGAATCTGAGCTTTCTTTTGTGAAACTTTTCAGCAGGGAAATGAAAATAAAGGAGAAAAGTACCCCCATAAAGCTCTTTGTTCTACAACACAAATGTGTATTGGTTTTAAACTGCTGTTCACTTTGAAGATTGGCCAAGGTACTTCATTTTCTAATAAATACAACACCTTAGACTTTCCTTGGAGAGAAAAAAATATTTCAAATATCAGGAGATAATAGCCAAGGAGCAATTTGAACTTCAATAAAAATGTTAATAAAGCATTCATTCCAAGTCCTTGAATTTCCTTGCTTGAAAATCACTCAGAAAGCTAAACATAAAGGAAAATCAAAGGAATGCCTCTTGGGTTTCAGAAATAATGCATTATTCATTGAGAAGCCAGGAAGGGAATTATTCTCAGGATGGAAAATGCTTGGATGGAAAATGCATGGTCCCATTATGCCATTTACTTGGAAACTAAAAACACACAGTCCCTTCATGAATGGAACAGCATTCTTTCAAGTTTCCTTTCCCCTTCCTTTTATCAAAGCTCTAATTGAGTTCAAATTCAGAACTTGATTAGACACAAGGAACATGCATCTCAATAGCTAGATTTTAAATAAAATGATCTTTTTCTCCTTCTGGGCAACAGAAGGGAATATCTTTATTCTCTCATACTTAAGCTGCTTGACTTTGCTCAAAAGTGAGAGAATTCAAACACTGTCATTTGTTGTTTATAATTTCTTCCCATGTTAAAATTTAAAAGGTGTAAGATCTTTCCAGAAAGAGCCCATAAGCCTTACTTTTAGACCAAGAAATGCAAGGAACCCTGCTAGACTGAAGGCAGGAAGTGGGAAACACCACAGCCTGACACAGGAGCTTCTATGTATGGATGCTTCATTGAGGAACCTGGATTCCTCTCCTTTATCTTCTTCACTGAAAGGAACTGGTTTTTGTACTAGGATTAAGCCCAACCACACAGTCCCAACACTCTGTGTTTGGATCTTCAAGACTCAATCCAATAATTTCAGTGACTCACAGTACAGGCCTCCGAAATCAACATCTAAAACCAATCATATGGAAATTCTGCGCCCCCCTCCCCCTCCTTTCTATTTCACAGAGGCCTCAAGGATCAAACTGACCAAAAGATGAGGATGCACTACAGAAGACGAAAATGGGGGCTGGAAAATTGTAAGGGATGAGGTTCCTAACCCACAATGAATGGATATTCTGAAATAAATTTTGCTCAAATTAAGGATTTCCCCTTGAGCTTCTGAAAACAATAATAAACCACACCTAAACCCCTTTAATAGTAAGGAGCTAACCATAATTCAATCAGGTTACAGGACTTGAGATGTGCATTGTGGACCCCATCAACATGTAATCTACAGAGAGTTCAGCGTACACCTGAAAGGTTGATAAGAGTTAAAACACCTCCATCTCAGCACCTCTGAAGTGGAGAAATAATAGCTCCCTGCCTCCTCCACATGGCACAGTGAGGATCAAACTGAGATACAACTTGTAAAAGCCCTCTATAAACTGTGCATCTACCTGACCACCATGACTTACGTGAGTGGCACGCTGGCGTTGCAGAGCCCTAGGATAGATTCTCCAAGGGCAGAATGTGAAAATGTGTTTTGGACAAGAAAGAGCTGGCATGTCAAAAGGCTCTGAGACAATACTATCCTGATTATAAAGAGATTCCTAGGACTTGCAGTTGGGTATGAAGAAGATAACAAGAGGGAATAGAGAGACAACATAGGGAAGCAAATCATTTTGGAGGTTCTCATGGGTCAATGCCATCACCTACCAAGATGGGGAATGAAATATAGTACTCAGTAGTCATAGTGCTTTGAGTAGTTTGTATATTTCCAGCACATTTCTGATAGAAGAATCCCACAAACCCAGGCACAACACCGATGAATGGTATGCAACAGTATGAAAGTAAGAGGAAGGGCCCGGTGCGGGAGCTCACGCCTGTAATCCTAGCACTTTGGGAGGCCGAGGTGGGTGGATCACCTGAGGTCAGGAGTTTGAGACCAGCCTGGCCAACAACGGTGAAACCGCATCTCTACTAAAAATACAAAAATTAGCCAGGCGTGGTGGCGCACACCTGTGGTCCCAGCTACTTGGGAGGCTGAGGCAGGAGAATCACTTGAACCCAGGAGGCAGAGGTTGCAGTGAGCCAAGCTCACACCACCACACTCCAGCCTGAGTGACAGAGCAAGACTCCATCTCAAAAAAAAAAAAAAAAAAAAAAAAGGATGAAGAAGTGTGGTTATTTATTGTAACATCAGAAACAGAAGTAGCAGAAGATAAGATGTCCAAGGTCACAAAGGTCTTGTATATCTGGCTATTTGAAATTTGTCCAGTCCAGCATACATTCTCAACCCTAGCCACACATTACAATAGTCTGCAGAGCTTCTTTAAAAAATAAAGACCTTCACCCACACCTCCCACTATGGGATTGTAATCTCATTGGCCTTACTGGTCAGATTTTCATTTAAGACACAACATTGGTGACAGAGTGGAAGAAGAAAATAAAGTAAAGGCAAAACTATTTCCAAATTCCAGAAGAGAGATAATGAAAGCCAGAATCAGGACAGCAGCACTGGGAAGAGATATAGAAGGACTGGAGAAGTATTTAGGAGACGGACTCCATGAGATGGATGAGACAGAGAAGTCTAGAATGACTTCTAAATTTTCACTTTGGTTGAAGGAGGAAACACAGGAGAAAATGTTTACTGGTGTTTTGTAAGGGAGGTAAGGAGAAGAAGACAGCTGATGAGCTGGGTTCAGTATGTGTTTAGTTTGAGGTACCTGCAAGACATCTAATGGAAATGCCTTAATTACATCTAAATAGGCTCATGGCAATTTGTGTCATGGGAAACTGTCTCACAGCACGCTGAACAAAAGTGGTTATATTGTCCCCTGATTTGCCAATATTACAAGTAACATGGGGTGGAGGATATTCAAAACAGATCCGTGGGTTGTTCTTCCTTGAACAAGCTTTATTCCTCCCTGATGCATCTGTCAAAGCAATCTGTGAGAACCCCAATGCCCACAAAGATGGAGGGAGAGGTGCTGGAATGCAGACGCAAAAGGCAGGGAGGAATGAGGCTGTTTTGGAACAACAGGTCACAGCTGCAGATCGAGATCATATTACCACACCTTCCCTCAAATCTATCCAACCTCATCAGCTGAATAATGCTTACCATCTGGTCTCACAATTACAGTCTTTTTTTCTAGAATGACTTTTTCCTAACTAGTTGAACTTTGCTTACATATGGAATGCAAGAACCAAAGTTAAAGAGGAAAACAGTCCTTGCCAGAGAAGACCTCTAGAGACAGTGTCCAAGATTTTTGATGAAAAACACAGAAAGCGTTTCTAGTCTGGCTGGCAAAGTTGTGTTTTTACAAAAGAACCAGACATCCCATAGATCCAAAACAAGTCAAGGTAAATCAATTCTACAACAGCACTGTGCCCAAGGTGGCCTCACTCTTCTTGTTTTTCAAATGAGGATCCCAGAAACAGTCCCATCTCAGAGACCTGCGGTGGGAATCAAGGGAGAAAATAAATGAGTGCCTAAGTTGCTTTTTCTGTTTTCCCTAAATTGTTTATTCCCTCAGGTCAGGCAGCGTGGTATCCCAGAATCTAATCAAATTTTAGTTCATCTCTGTAGTTACGTTGTGATTTCTGCTATTAAGGTACACACATACTACATAGTTAGCTAGGAAATCCTTCAATGCTATGTATCTTAACAGAGCCTATGTCAGAAAAAGTGGCCACAGATGCAAAGCTTATTCTTCCCCAGTCTTGCAGCTAAGGGTTCATTATAATGGGGGTGTATGTGGATGGCTTTTTGAGATTAACGCTTTTTCTAAAAGAATAACCCAGATTAATTAAAAAATCTTTTTTCCTGACTATTGAAACTATATAATTTACCTGAGGTATCTCCACAGTATTATTGTTCTATATTATTTCCACCCTGATACCAATTTTACTCCATCTAGTTTGGTGTTCAACACTGCCATTCCTTCCTGGTCACAGCACATGTTGCATACATTTAAAGTTTCATGATTTCATTTATTGTATGATGTGCTCTAGTATTTTCATTACTCACTCTTGAGAGCAACATTTATCTTTTAGAGAAGGATAATAACACCATACAGAGCTCTAAAGCAGAGCAGAATACTCATTATGTTCTCTTTTTAACATTCCTGGGTGACAGTTTTAGCTTCATTAGACTCTCCTGATCACCACAATGCTACTTTCCTGTGCCCAAGAGAATGCCAAAGCTGCCTTCCCTCTGGTGTACTCTCCTTAACATTAAGTAGTGTGTATTGCGCACGTACAAGTTCCATACCCTACAACAGACTCTAACTCTCATCCTGCAACTGTACCTTGGAAAGTCCACATTGAAATGACTTGAATGCTAGTGCCATTCTTACAGACCATTCAGGTGCTGAAAAGCCAGGTAAAACCACTTCTCCACTGCTACCATCCTAGCCAAGTGAGCAATACCTTTTATCTGCCAATTGCAACAGGCTCTTAACCAATTCCTCTTCCTCCACACTGCTTCCCTAAAGTCCAGCTTGTACAAAACAAGCATAAATCAATTTGCACTAAGTCACTCTCCTGCTTAAAACCCTCCAAAGTCTTCCTACTTGAAATCCTTACTGCTATCCATAATGCCCTACACATGACTGGCCCTGCTAGTTTCTTGGATCTCATCTCTTTCCACTCGCTCCTCATTTACGAGGTTCCAGTCACACAGACCAAGCCCATTTCTGTCTCAGGATCTTTGCATTTATAGATCCATCTGCTGGGATTACTCTCTCTGCAGCTTTTTATGTCTATTTACTTATTAAATGTCGCTTTCTTAAAAAGGCTATCCTTGGTTATCCTAGCCAGAGCAACAGCCCACCACCATCACCACATTCTCCCATTTTATTATCATCACATGCTGATATACCCAAATGATATATCCTTTATTTATACCCAAAATTATTGTATTTATTGGTTTACATGTTTATTGTTTTATCTTCCCTCAACAAGAATATTAACTTCATGAAGGAAGGAATGCTACCTCTTTCATGTCTGTATCTCTGGAATCTAGAATATTGCCTGGCGACAGCAGACACTCAGTATCTTCCATTGGATGAATTAGCAAGTCATAGCTAAGCGCCTAGTACATATATCCCAAACAAGAAAAATTAATAAGTAGAAATGTCATTAAATTACGGGTGGAAAATAAACATTAACATCTACCGTGTGTAAGGTCTTTAAATGGATGCTATAGGACATTCAAAGGGGCATAAGGAAGACCCTGGAAGACCAAATTCTAGAATGGTGGAACAATTCCTACACACTTTTGAAGGTTCAGAATTTGTATCCTATAATTTTAACCTGTATTACCTGGCCAAATTATTTTTAAGTGTGAGGGTTTTTTAAATGAGTGCACAGATACATAATAAAAGTGCAAGCACATGAATGAGAACAAGCAGCAGCAATTTCCGGACAACTTCTGAGATGACAGGCAGGAGGAAGGAGTAGGGGACGGTGCTTTGGTTATATCTACAATTCTTTTCAGAGACCTGAAGCAAATTATGTAAAATGTTAGCATGTTTGATTTTAATGTTTGGTCATTAGATGATTGCCGTATTACTTTTTGTGCTTTTTATATATTCAACTCACTCATATTCAGATATTTATAAATTTAGAAATTTTAACAACAAGAAACTAGAAGTCTTGATTTTTCTTAAGTAAAAGGTAAGAAGAGGAGGCAGAAGAGTAGAAAGTTTGCTAAAAGTTTTGTCTTGTTTGGGGGCTACTGTAGAAACCGAATTATATCTTGAATTTTATTTTATTTTACTTGAGACTGAGTCTCACTCTGTCATCCAGGCTGGAGTGCAGTGGCATGATCTTGGCTCACTGCAACCTCTGCCTCCCAGATTCAAGCGATTCCCTTGCCTCAGTCTCCTGAATAGCAGGGATTACAGGTGCACGCCACCATGCCTAATTTTTGTATTTTTAGTAGAGTTGGGCTTTCACCATGTTGGCCAGGCTGGTCTTGAATTGCTGACCTCAGCTGTTCTGCCCACCTTCGCCTCCCAAAGTGCTAAGAATATAGCCATGAGCCACCGTGCCCGGCCTATATCTTGAATTTTTTAAAGTACGTTTTTAAAATTTAAAGTTAGCCACTATTAAAAATAGATATTGGATGTACCACTCAAACCACTAAAGAAACAAACAAAAATTTTTTAAAAAGGAAGGAAGAACAAAACAGTTTGAAAAGAAAACTCAATTTATCAAAAGGAAGGAAAAGAAAAGACAGAAGCAAAAGCAAGGAAATGCACACACGTAAATAGAATGTCAAGAATAAGCCCAAACATGTGACTAGATATCATAAATGTGATGCCCTTAATTCTCTTACTAAAAAACAGATTCAACACCATGACTTTTGAACAGATTTTTGTTTTCCCTTGAACTTCTAACTGCTTTTTCTTTTTATTCTCTCTTTTGTTACAGATAAGAAACACACAGTTTATTACAGCAGAAGCATGCCACAGATGTATTTCCAACTTTTTAATTATACAATTTATCCCCAAAGACATTTCCTGCAGCCCGCTGACTTACTAACCCAATCGAACCCATTGATTTCTAGGCCTGCTTCTCAGCTTCCACTGAGGGCTGCTTATTTTACATACCTAGGTGGCACATTGTTTCTTCTAACGTACATCTTTTTTTTGGAATCTCTTTTCTTCTCCCTCCCCCACCCCCATTTTCTAGAGTGTATCCATGAGCATTCTTTCTAGAAAGTTTGCATAAGCTTAAAATCATTTTCTCTCAGAACACTGTCTTCTAGTATTTAGTCTTGCAGGTGAGAAGTCTGATGTATGATTCCCATTCTTTTTGTGTAAAACACCTGCATAGTACGAGTCCTTACTTACTCGCCAAGCTTTGTCTTGCACTGCATGTCTGCTTTCTGGACATATTAGTTTTTCCATTCCTTTCAGTCTATCACAATCCCCCTAACCATGGGCCTTTGTACGTGTTTGCTCTCTCTTCCTGGGATGTTACCTGCTCTCCTCGCAATCTAATTCCTACTCACACTTTACTTACCGCTACTTCTGGGATGCCTTCCCTGATTAAGTCAAAAATCCCTTTGTAATATGCTCTCAGCACTATAAAACACTCCATGGTAGAAGTTATCACAGGTGTAATTTATTTTTATTTATAATGTGATTATTGTTTACTTCTGTCATCAGACTATTTTTACTCCACTGTGTCTATTATTACCTAACAAAATTTTTGGCACATAGTAAGTGCTCTATAAACATTTGTTGAATGAATAAAAAAAATAAGTGAAAGAAAGAACAAGGATCTGGCTAGCTAGCTACCAACCTAGGCCATTAACCAAATATTTTTCTCATCCTCTCCTACCTGAAACTGTCACAATGTCTTTCATTAACTTTGGGAGATCACAGATATCACTAGAATATAATGTCTTGGCTTTGCTCATAATTCTTGCTTGGCCCTTGATTGGCAATTTTATCTATAGTCTCACATTCGTCTTTAGATTAAGGAAATATCCTATTACTTTGAGTAATTTTCTTTCCATTGTTTCTGTTCATCTGAGACTTCTTTTACAATGAATGTTGGATATTTGGGAATCTACATTTAAAAATTGATGGATCCTTGATGTCTCTTAATTTTTCATTTGTATTTTTAACACTTTACTTTTTATTTGGTATCCTGGGTGATATCGTGGACTTATTTTCAAGGTCAAATATTTGATTTTTAGCTATATCCATTTCACTACTTGGTAGTGGCTTTTGGTTTGTCTGTTTATTAGTAATGGATAAAGGAGGGCAGGCGATCAGATTTTTTTATTTTCAGGAACACTGTTCTCTGAATGATACTTTTGCATAGTAATATGTACTAATTTAGTCAATACAGTGTCTTCTTGAATTTGTGAAGCTATTAATTAGAGTTTATTTGACGTTATTTTGTGTTTCCTATACTATCACTGTTTCCATGTAAGATGTTGCTCTACATTCAAATGCAGTGGGTGGGGGGTCATCATGCTTCAAGGAATGTCTATTCGTTATGCAGGAAACATTCCTGAATAGAGGACCCTCTTAATTTGAGAAGACAGTATAAAGAACTGCCACCAAAGTCAGCTTTTCCCTGTACCTAAAACATTTAGCCATGCCCTCTGAGTAGGCAAAATGCTAAATGAGATAATTACATGGGGAGAGATGTGTTCCTCTGAATGTTCTTATCTACAAATAGAACAAATAAAGTCAGAATAATGTTCCAAAAATATGGAAGCAGCACAACCACCTAATTAGATCCAGGATGTATGCACACATACTTCATTGCCAATGGTAGCTACTATTCTCAGGAACAGAATGTGACCCCTGAGGTCTATAAGCATACAAAAAAGGAAAGGCTTTAATTTACTCGCAATCAAACAATACAGTCTAAACCTTAAGATGGGTCACTGCCTCTTCCTTTTTTCCTAATTCTTGTCTTCTGATTTCTACCCAGCTCTGTCTTAGGGTGAAGTAACTAAGGTTAAGACTGACTTACCAGGCCGGGCGTGGTGGATCATGCCTATAATCCCAACACTTTGGGAGGCTGAGGCGGATGGATCACCTGAGGTGAGGAGTTCGAGACCAGCCTGACCAATATGATAAAACCCCATCTCTACTAAAAATACAAAATTAGGCTGGGCGTGGTGGCTCATGCCTGTAATTCCAGCACTTTGGGAGGCTGAGGCGGGTGGATTGCCTGAGGTCAGGAGTTCAAGACCAGCCTGACCAACATGGTATTACCCTGTCTCTACTAAAACCACAAAAATTAGTCGGGTGTGATGGCGGGTGCCTGTAATCTCAGCCACTCCGGAGTCTACGGCAGGAGAATTGCTTGAACCTGAGAGGTAGAGGTTGCAGTGAGCCAAGATTGCACCATTGCACTCCAGCCGGAGCAACAAGAGCAAAAATCCATCTCAAAAAAAAAAAAAAATTTAGCTGGGCGTGGTGACACATGCCTGTAATCCCAGCCACTCAGGAGGCTGAGGCAGAAGAATCACTTGAACCCGGGAGACAGAGGTTGCAGTGAGCAAAGATTGCACCATTGCACTCCAGCCTGGGCAACAAGAGCGAAACTCCATCTCAAAAAAAAAAAAAAGACTGATTTACCAGAGCATTATTACCCATCAATAACCAAAGGAAAAAAAAAAAAAAAACAATGCTACTCCAAGGCCTACAAAGAGATTATCTGGTAAGCCCTTACAATTTTCAAGTCACTGATATTATTTTAAACTTGTAAAACTATATATATACACATATGTATGCATACACATATAACACATAACATGCATGCACTATGCACACTCAGGATCCTCAGTCTTCACTTTGCTGTATCATAAAAAAGACAGTAAGATTTGTTTTCTTTTACATAATGTGCACTATGAGACCCAATCAAAAACAATGGTACCACATATATTCTTCACATAGAAAATAACTCACAGTTCTCAAAATGGTGAAATCTATTTTGCCTCGTAAACTAAGTGATAAATTGCAAAAGTTTTAAAAAGCAAAATTTCCCCCTTATTTAAAAAATAATAAATTGTAAACTTCACAGAAAATCAATGTTGTCAACTCCAGACCAACATCATCTAACTTAGAAAGTGATACTAAACTAATTGCATGACTGTGGTCCAACTGTTACTAAGGTGATTTGAATAATATTTATCCCTTTAAAAGGATAAAGGAAATTCCCCTTAGAATCTTTCCCTAGCAAAAGTTCAACATTAACAGGAAGTTTATAATTGGTTTTGCAACATATTTAATTTTTTAACTACAAATTAAGATTCTCCCAAAATAATATAAATCTAAACAAGTACTGAAATCTGGCTGAAAATGCTCATAGAATGTAGCTGATGACAAAATCCTGTGGATTTTTTTTCTTTGCAGTTCATGAATCACAAGATATGTATTACCCAAGACAGAAACTTCAAGGATAGAGAAACGTAATGGAAATTTTATTTACAATTCATTTTCTTACTATCAAAATGGGGAAAATATTAAAAATTTAATCTAAAAGCGAATTCAGAAAACTTTGTGAATTATTTACATAACCTAAAAATGTTTATATTTATATAAATATAATTTTTAATAGCCAAAAGACATGAAAAGAAGAACAGTATAAACTGTAAATGTGGTCACTGTCATTCTTTTTGAGATTAGTTACATCTCCTATAGCTGCCAAATGCCCTGGATTGATCTTTAGGAAGCACAGATTCTTGGCAGAGCAGAAAGGAGGTACGGTCTGTTCTAATATGATAGCTATGTGTCTAAGATATCTCTCTTTATCAAAAACTTTTTCTAAATTAAAAAAATCCTTAAAGTAAGGTTATAAAAACAATTATTCAATTGGGAAGTGGGTGCTTCGGCTACAGAATTCCAGATTCACAATCATAAACATACTTTTTTCTACATAAATTTCAATTATTTTAAGTACAAGTGTAGAGTAAAAAAGCTAGCTGATAAAATTGACAACACCAAGTCTAAATATTGCAAAGCAAATTCTGACTAGCCCGTAAATCCTAAGCAAAAGTCAATCAGTTCTAAAGCTGTCTAAATAAACTGCAACAATATCGCTGATAGAAACTTATCCTACAGATATATTTACACACAATACAATTATGCATGTGCAAAGATTTGCAGTATTCTTTATTTTAAAAGCTGTAAATAACTTAAATAAGCATAAATAGAGAAGTAAAATAAGGTACACTGCACCCATAAAGTAGAATCCTATTCAATTCCATCAGTTTAGGTATTCTGGCTTTACTGATACCAAGTCATCAGATGCCCTACAGTAAGCCTTAATGGAGGATAAAATTCAATGCCTCTAACAGTGTTTAGAACAACAAATCATAAAAATGATACTTTAAACATCTTATTTAAAAATATAAATTTGTATTCATTTACCAATGTTTTGACATAGAGTCAAGGCTTTTTATTTGAACACAGGTGCATTGACTGGAGTTCTGTGTCATATTCGAAGCAAAAGCAACCCCAATTAAGCATCCCATACTACTTCCAATTTGGCTCCTCCAGAATAGAGTCAGAACTTAAAATTCTTGCAAAGCCATTTCAGTGAAAAACCCTGTGGAGTGTTTTTATGGATTCTCCAAACTTCGACAGTTGTTTTCATCAGTTCTTTTTTTCCCCCAATTTACATTAATTGAATGTTAACAAAGCATTCACCTAATTTTCATAGAAACGATGTCTTCTTTTTGTACTTATTTTATTAGACAATGTAATTATTTCATTAGTTATGTGACTAGGGATGCAGCAATGAACCCAGCAGAAAAAAAAAAAAAAAATCTGCCTTCATTGAGTTTAGGTTCTAAGATAAATGAGAAAGACAATCAACAAAATACAAAATAAGTAAGATACATTTTAGAGGGGAATAATATTTGGAGACTCTGGAAGAGCAAGTGTGGATACAAGAAGAGCAGCTAGAAACTCACGCAGTAAATCAGACAAGAGATAATGGTGGCTTTGAATATGGGAAGGTGGAGATCATAGACACATTTTGACCATACAGCTGATATGTATGGCTAACAGACTGGATACTGGAGAGAATGAGAAAAGTAAAAAATACCTGAAAACTGAAAAAATGAATTTAGTGGCAAGGAGGACACTGATGACAGTTCAGTGGAGTCATGAGAACTCCTGACTTGGAGTAACATCGAGAGAGCAGGAAAGAAACTGAATACTGCAAGGATATACAACTCTTTGAAGCAGTTTCACTGGAAGAGAATAGAAAAGTGGCTATGGGCATGAATTAGTATGTTTTACAAAACTATTGTTAACACATTGGCCGGGTGCAGTGGCTCTCACCTGTAATCCCAGCACTTTGGGAGGCCGAGGCGGGCAGATCACGAGGTCAGGAGATCGAGACCATCCTGGCTAACAAGGTGAAACCCTGTCTCTACTAAAAATACAAAAATTAGCCAGGCATGGTTGGGCGCCTGTAGTCTCAGCTACTCGGGAGGCTGAGGCAGGAGAATGGTGTGAAGCCGGGAGGCGGAGCTTGCAGTGAGCCGAGATTGTACCACTGCACTCCAGCCTGGGCAACAGAGTAAGACTCTGTCTCAAAAAATAAAAAAATAAATAAAGAAAGAAAAAACCACATTAAGTTGGTGAAAAGAAAAGTCAGGTAAGAATAGGTGCATATACTCAGTGTGTATATGTAGATACACACATGCCCTCCCACACTCACTTATGCTTATATATGTAGATAATTTTAAAAAATTCTAAATCAGAAATTAGTATTGCCATGGCTAAAGATTGAGGTGAGAAGGTAGATTCACTGTGTATTTTTCACTACTAGAATTTTTGTCACAAATCATTACTTTAAAATTAATTGTAAAATTGTAATTGAGTTTACAACTGTTAATAACAACAGGATACCAGCTGAGCTGCTGGAAATTCAAAGCAGCTTTAGGCTTGTTTGCTGTACAAATAGCATATTGTGGTTACAAAATAATCACTATTGGTTCTAGTAATACAAATCACATACCCTAATTAAGTGATTGTGTTATATCCAAATGGAATATCTAACAGACTAGAAATCCATTAACAGCACAGTTTTGCATTCAGAGGCCAAAATATTTTTACAAATGAATACAAATAATGAGAAAGAAATGAACCATGCATTTAACTCAAGAAGTTGAGCAAAAATATATAACGTCCCCAAAAGCAAAAAAGAAATTAAAACATGTTACTGAAATAGTAAATAAAAAAGAATAAACTTGATTAAGACAACAAATCTGGTATTTAAAGAAACAACTAAAGAGACAAATGTCTTATAAATATGACCAACAAAATAAAAACAGATTACGAAGAAGAGATAACCATAGATGATGAAGTTCACACAACTAGAAGAAGTTACATGAAATTATTTGCCAATAAATTTGAAAAAATGGCTAAAATTGATGTTTTTCTAAGGAAACAAACTATGACAATTGATGTAATAGTTTGATAATCTGAATATACCCAAAACAAAAAACATAGAGAATATAATCGTTAAAAAAGTTCCTTCACCCCCCTCAAAAGGCACCAGATTCAGATGGATTTGTGGATGAAATTTATCAAACCACTAAGGAACATATTACTTCCTATGGAATTTATATTGTTCCCCAAGTATTAACATTTAAAAAAAATTCCAATTCATTCTAAGAGACTAAAATAAACTATAAAAAAATAGACAAAACAAATCTCCCCCCCACAAAACTACAGATTAGTTTTTCTCAGTGGGATTGGAATTGGCTTTGGGGATGAAAAGCTTCTTTGTTGCATTAACTGTTCCATGAATTCCAGGGTCCTTAGCACCCTGCCCATTGTGGCCAGCAAAAACTACTCCCTCACATTCCCAAATGTCCCTGGAGAATAGTCAGCAGGAAGTACCACCTTTCTTTGAGAATAACTGTATAGACCAGTCAACTTTATGAATATAATTGAATCTGACATTATATTAGCAGAATGCTATGATCCAACCAAAAAGGGTTAACACTAGGAAATCTCTTAATGCAATTCACCACACTATTAAGAAAAAATATTAGCACCAATGACTTGCCTGGTAAAATTCAACATTTACTTTTTTAAAAGGAAGATAAAACACCACCACCAACAAATCAAAATATAATTACAAGTACAACACTTAGTAATCTGGGAATGGGGAAAACTACAGAAAACTTATTAGAAACCAACAGAAATCTTATTTAACAACGATATACTAGAAGTATTCCACTAATATAAGGGATAAGAAAAGGATATCCATTTGTACTGACATTCTAGTCAATGAATTAAGCTGGAAAAGAAAAAAGTGATAAACAATTGAAAATAAGTTGTCCTCAGATTGCCTGCTTGTTAATAGAAAAACTAAAATACCTGATAACTATTCAATCAACTATTAGAAAAAAATTTGTAACTCAGAAAAGTGGGCATATATAAATTAAAGTACAAAACTAAATGGATTTCTTATAATAAATATTTGCAAGATAATCATCATCTAGCAAAAGTATGTTATTCTTCAATAAAGAACATTACATAACTTTTAAGAAAAAATACCTAAATAAATGGAACTAGTACCATATTCTTGAAGGGGAAGATTCAATACTTTTAAAATAGGAATTCTTTCAAAATTAGTTTGTATATTAAACGCATTTGTGGGGGCAAGTTAATGAAAGGGGATTATCTCATTAAAACATGCTATAAAGTCACAGGTTTAAGCTAGTTTGGTACTAGCAGGAGGATAAACGAGATTAGTGGCACACATTAAAATCTAAAAACGGATCTCTGCATAACAAAATCTAACACATATTTTAAAACATGAAGAAAAGATCAAATGCTCAATAAATAGTCTTGGAATAATTTGACTTTGGGGTGAGGGAGGGATATAAAAGTCAGATTCCCATTACATATCAGTACAATAATAAAATGAATAATCCAATTAAAATGTAAAATAGTTTAATAGATGCTTCTCAAAAGAAAATGTATAAATGGCGCATTAAGCACATGAAAAGGCGATCAGCTTCACTAGTCATCAGGGAAATGCAAATTAAATCCACAATGAGATACGACTGCACACCCACTGAATGTCTACAATTTAGAAGAGTGACCCTAGCAAATGTTGACTTGGATATAGTGGAACTGAAACTTTCATCACTGCTGGTGAAAATGTAACATGGTATTAATTATTTGGAAAACAGTTTGGCAGCTTCCTCAAAAGTTAAACATTCACATATCATATGACTCAGCCATTCTACTCAATATTTATCCAAGAGAAAGGAAAGAATATGTCCACACAAAGATGTGTAGGAAATGCCCAGAGCAAAATATTTGTAATAGTCAGTAACTAGAAACAACCCAAAAGTCCATCCACAAATCAACAGGTGAATATACAGTAGTATTTCCAATCAATGGAATACTAGTCTGTAATAGAAACAAACTATCAATATATGCAACAACATGTTATATGTCAATTATAGTTCAATAAAGTAGGAAAGAGAGAATGACAGAGAGAGAGAATGAGGAAGAGGTTGACCAACACTAGAAAGGCCAGCACCAACTATCTTTAGTTTCTTCTTCTAGTTTCCTGTAGAAAGTAGGTCATAGCTCAGGCCGGCACGGTGGCTCATGCCTATAATCCAAGCACTTTGGGAGGCCGAGGCAGGTGGATCACGAGGTCAGGAGTTTGAGACCAGCCTGACCAACATGGTGAAACCCCATCTCTACTAAAAATACAAAAATTAGCCAGGCGAGGTGGCGTGTGCCTGTAATCCCAGCTGCTCAGGAGGCTGAGGCAGGAGAATCGCTTGATTTTGGGAGGCAGAGGTTACACTCAGCTGAGATCATGCCACTGCACTCCAGCCTGGTTGACAGAGTGAGAAAGAAAGAAAGAAAGAGAGAGAGAGGGGGAAGGGAGGGGAGGGGAAGGGAAAGGAAGGGAAAGGGGAAGGGAAAGGGAAAGGGAAGGAAGAGGGAGGGAGGAAGGGGAGGAAGGGAAGGAAGGAAGGAAGGAAGGAAGGAAGGAAGGAAGGAAGGAAGGAAGGAAGGAAGGAAGGCAGGCAGGCAGGCAGGCAGGCAGGCAGGCAGGCAGGCATGCAGGCAGGCAGGCTCAAAAACACTCAATAAGCTTAGTGGTGCAGGCTGCACCCTTACTGGGGAAACCCATGATTGTCCAGCAATATCTGTGGCTGGGTGGTTGAGTCTGTTGATCCAGGGATGAAATGTTAGCAAGCGCTTTGGCTTCAGAACTAAAGCTCATCAGTATTAAATGTGTTATTCTGATCTTAAAAAGAATAGGTAGCACAGTGGGAAAGATTTAAAATGCTCTTACTAGTGACATAATGGTAATAAATAAATGGACACACTCATATACTGTTGATAGAAGAGTCATTTGACCATCTTTTTGAAGGGCAATTTGGCAATATCTATCTAAATGTACAATGTCCTCTTTTACCTAACAATTCCATTTTAGAAATGTGTCATCCAGATATACTTGAAGAAGCATATAAAAATACAACCACATAATGTTCAATGAAATATTTATAACGGTAGAAAATTAGAAACTATCTCAATATCCACTGATAGTATACATAAGTGGAGTAGTAAGCAGCCATTAAGCAGATTGGCACTGCTCTATCATATTTACCCACATGGGAAGATACGCACATTACATTAAGTCTATAAAGTTACCTCATGTACAACAGGTCACTTATAAAATTGCTATAGGTACTTATATGTATATATACCCTATGTGCATTACAAAAAATGTCTAGAAGGATACACACCAAATCATTGGCAGTAGTTACCTTGAGGAACCAGAGGCAGTTGCATGGACTTTGAATTTTAATGTAAACATTGTTTTTGTAACTTTTTTTGGTAAGAAACATGTTTTTCTAAGCCTGTCCAGGACAGGGTGGAAACTGATGGAAAAAAAGTCCTGGAACCCACTGGGACACAAACGTGGTCTCAATTCCTGCTCTCATCCAGGGCAAGTGTTTGTAACCAAAAGTGGTATGCGACTGTCTGTTTCATGCACATAATCTTCCCACCTGCTTACACGTAGCCTCAGTGTGCTGGCCTGCATGATGTTCATCTACTATGCTCCCTGGTCTAAGACGGAGGAAAAAAGAGGAAGGACAGACAGTAGACTTTGATAATGATATTGATGTAGATAACCAACCCTAAATTATTACTTTTCTTTATTCTTTGGAAATGCTTCATTAGAATAAATTAGAAATGCTTCAATGGAAAGAACTTCATTAAAAATGTTTTTAAAATAATAATAAAACCTTTATTAAACATTATTTACCAGTTTAAAACAAAACATGTTTAATAATTAAGGAAATGAATGACAATATTCACATGGGAACTTAAGAAGCTAGTTAGCGGGGAGGAAGAAAAATAGAGATATCTTGGAAATAAAATTTATTTTAATCTCCGAGGCTGGGTAACTTGGAGGACTTTAAAGGTATGTATTCATCTTTTATAGGAGGAAAGAGACAGACAGACCTGAGGTCAGATACTGTTTCTTTTCCTTACTGCATATGGGACATTGGACAAGTTATTCACTTTTGCCCAGCCTCAATATCCTTATCTGTCAAATGAGGATATGATCTACTTTCAGCACTATTGTGAGGACTGAATGAGACACTGCAAATGGAATACGAAGCACAGGGCCACCTAATGGGTTCCCTTCATTTCTTTCCTTTCCTTCTTCAGTGAATACGCAAAGGATAAGCCTCCAAGAAATGTGGATATTTTGGGTGAACTGTTATTGGTTCTCCTAACCTAGAGATAGCAAAGTGGGAAGCTGTATTCCCTACTATGCCATTACCATAGTCACAGAGTGACACCAGGCTGTCCTTTAATCTGAAACAATTCTGAAGTAACCCATCAGCATTTCTTGATGACTTCTTGAACTTCAGAGTCAGTCCTCTTTTTGCTTAAAATTAAAAATAAGGGACAGGTGCAGTGGCTCACACCTATAATCCCAGCCTTTTGGGAGGCTGAGGCAGGAGGATCGCTTGAGCCCAGGAGTTCAACACCAGCCTGGGCAACGAGCTGAAACCCTACCTCCAGAAAAAGTAAAAAAAAAAAATCAGCCAGATGCAGTGGTGCACACATGTCCCAACGACATGGGAGGCCGAGGTGGGGGAATTGCTTGAGCCCAGGAGGTAAAGGCTGCAGTGAGTTATGATTGCACCACCGCACTCCAGCCTGGATGACAAAGCAAGACCTAGTCTTAAAAAATAAAAAAAGAATATAAAATGAATATTTGCTTTTAATTTCTTAATTTTAGACCCAATCTCATTTGAAAAAGAATTTGAGGTAAGAGTCAAGTTTAAAAGTTTAAATGGTCCTTTATTTTACTATCCTTCAAGTAGAGGGGAACAATTTCTAAGAGGAATGGACTATCTCAGCCTGCTAAAGTACCACATTCTGGAAAAGAATGAAATCCTTCTGGCTTTAGAGAGCCTGGGAAGACAGGGTGTACTGGACGCCCCACTCTGAGCATGCTCAGAGTTGCATAGCCAGAACAGCTGCTACAGCCAGGCATAGCCAGCAAAGGTTCTGGGTGGCTGGCTCCAACCTCTCCTCTCTGGGGCAGACACTGGGGCCTGGCCACTAGGCTGGGTGGGCTGCACAACCAGTTATTGCAGCACGGGGCCCCCTAGTCAGGGCCTAAGGCAGAGGCCAGATCTTCTTAGCCGGGAAACTAGGGGAGACCCACTTGTTTTTTAATGACAGGGCCTGACCTAGTTGAGATGTTTGAGGAAAATAGATAAGCCAGGGAGGGAACTCTTTAGGGAGTGAACACACAGGCCTCATATTTCTATTTTTCACAGGTCACAGTTCAGGAGGGTCTGTTGGAGACTTATCAGACAACAGCACTGACTGGGGGGTGTTCGGAGCTGGATGCACTCTGGCCACCTCGGTAAGATTGGACCCCACCCTCCAGAAACAGCTGGGCAGCTGGGCAAAGGCCAGCGCTGAGAGAATTTCATTGCAGAACAGTTCTGGCTAAAAAACAATAAAAATAATTTTCCTAAGAAATAAAGTAGCAACAAAAGAGAACCAGATGCAGCCCAGAGGAGCTTCATGTTGGCCCCACGTGAAGAATGGAAAGACAGCCTTTGGGACACCTGGGCATTTCTCTTGCTTCTCATGCCATTTACCCATCCATTTCGTATTCATTTCTTAGTCAAAAATCTTAATCAGATCAGGCTTACAGAGTGAAAAACTTAGTTAGGGAAGATGTAAGCTGGGTCAATTCCTTTGTCTTCCTTTAGCTGTAAACCAGTAAAGTGCTCGCTTCCAGTTTAGATCAGAGGGAGAAATGTACTTGCTCCATTTAATCCAGGTATATGATGCTAATGAAGAACCTCAAGTCCTGCTCATAATTATTCTTGTTACCACGACAGATTTTTGACTATGCTGCGTACTTTCTAGGGCCCTCATTATATTTTCAAAAACATTGCTGACAATTTTCTTTTTGACAGTTATTTTTCAGACTCCTGCTATTTATTCAGGTCATTTGTGGCCTTTTGATTTTTAACTATGTAAAGTTTTGAGGTGCAATTACATCTTTTAAATGCATTTATATGTTATCTCTTTATGATGCCTAATTAAATTTATCAGGGGCAACCCACACTTGAAACATTTAAAAGGCAACTCAGAATGTTTTTTATTTGCTTAGTCTGATTGTTACTGAATTACACCTTATTTTGTGTTTTGCACTTAAGTATTTGATTTTTAAGACATTCCCCATTGTACTACTCCATGGTATGATCTAGAAAGTAACCCTACACTTAAGTAGGCAAGAAAAACAAAGGAAAGGATCCACAAGAATAGTACACTAAGGATTACCCATAGTGAGGTTACTAGATTGAAGACTAGGATTTAAGCACCGTATGAACTTGTAATAAACACATAATACACTGAAGCATGACTTAAAATTTGGGAGGGGGTGAGTTAAGTGACTTGTATTTGAATATGCAACTATTTAGTGAAATCTTTTTTTTTTTTTTTTTTGAGATGGAGTCTTGCTCTGTTGCCCAGGCTGGAGTGCAGTGGCGTGATCTCAGCTCACTGCAAGCTCCGCCTCCCAGGTTCATGCCATTCTCCTGCCTCAGCCTCCCGAGTAGCTGGGACTACAGGCGCCTGCCACCACGCCTGGCTAATTTTTTGTATTTTTAGTAGAGATGGGGTTTCACCGTGTTAGCCAGGATGGTCTCGATCTCCTGACCTCATGATCTGCCCACCTCGGCCTCCCAAAGTGCTGAGATTACAGGCGTGATTTAGTGAACTCTTTAATCAGACAGAGAATTTTATTTTCCTGAATCCTGCCTTCCTACCTGACATAGTTTGGCTCTATGTTCCCATCTAAATCTCATCTTGCAGCTCCCATAATTCCCATGTGTTGCGGAAGGGACCCCATGGGAGATGACTGAATCATGGGGGAGGGTCTTGCCCGTGCTGTTCTCATGATAGCAAATGGGTCTCATGAGATCTGATTTAAAAACAGGAGTTTCTCTGCACAAGCTCTCTCTTTGCCTGCCGCCATCCATGTAAGATGTGACTTGCTCCTCCTTGCCTTCCTCCACGATTGTGTGGCCTCCCAGCCATGTTGAACCATAAGTCCAATAAACCTCTTTCTTTTGTAAATTGCTCAGTCTCGGGTATGTCTTTATCAGCAGTGTGAAAACAAACTAATACAGTACCTTTCAACCCCCTTAGCATGCTGGAAAAGTTCTTATGCATCAGAACTACAAACACATCTTATAGGGAGAAACTTTTGCATCCATTCATCTGTTTATCTGAATGTGGAACAGCATTTGGCTTCCTCTTCCATAAGTTAGAGGCATCTGTGTTCTTCAAATCATAGCATCCTTACTAAGCTCCATCACTCTGTCTTTGAAGATAAAACAACATAAGGTAAAAGGAAAAAGACAACTGGAGAACTAATTCTAGAAAGATAGGGAGAAACATTGAAAAGTAGAAAAAAATAACTAGATATAGACTAAAATAAGGCCTTTGATTTTTTTTTTTAATGAGCAGATATCTATACTACTGTTGTCAAGGATCATTGTCTCTGCATCACTTTGTATTGTTGAATTTTCATTATCTGGGGATTATTTCACAAGGGATACATAAAATCCTCAAACACAGAATTTCTGGAGGAAGGAAGAAAATATTTAATAGCAAAAACAGTGAGCTCAAGAAACCCTAGTAATTAGAATCATAGTCTTGACAAGTCAGATTTTCACTGGTCTTCAGATACGTATTTCAAGAGCTGAGAAAACTAGTGACTCATTTCTGTGACATTGGTGCCTCTGGGAATCCAGTGAAAGCCATGGCTCTATCCTGAAGGGTAAAAAGGACCTTAAAACAACACAATGCTTACAATTCCAAGCAATACAAACCAATATTTCTGGACCAAGTTATTTTTTCCAGTGCTAGTTTTGCTTTTAGAAATTTAAAAAATATGTGTCTGTTGGACTTTTCCCAGTAGCTTTGGAATTACAAAACTATTTTATCAGAGAATTAATATAACTTGGCACTTTTATTCATCTACATATGAAGTAAAAACTTTTTTATGTAGATTACCGTGTGCAAAGAAACATGAATTTAAATCTAACTTTTGTACTAGTATTGTAGTGACAGCTTCCATCCACCTACCCATCCTTTTCTCCAGACAGAAATAGTCTACAGAGAGTCAGTATGAAACTATAAGAACGCTATATTTAGAGTGGGAGAACCGGATTTAAAATGTTTCAAAAGTTGCAAGGCCCTCAAGGGTCATCGGGTTTACAGCACACGTTCACGAGATGAAGACAGCTATGTTTAAAAGCAAGCCTCCAATATTGTCCTTTCCACAAAACATGCAACGGTTTGATCTTTTGACTAGCACCAACTTCTCTAGGCCTCAAATTCCTCATCTACAAAATGAAGGAGATCACTTACAGCCTGAGAAATCTCTGGCTAACTAAACTAGAATTTTTAATTTGCTCCTTTTCTGTAGCAGTGAATTCTTATTTTTGCTGTAAGATGCAGTATTCATAAAATCAGGCCTTTCACGTAATGTGTGTCACCTTAACTCCAAAACATCCTATGAGTGTTTTCACTGCATTCGTGCAAAGAAAAAAAATGAGATAATTCCTTGTAGTTGTAACCATCATATAAAGTAACAGATTTTGATAAATACCAAAAACCTGATAATCCCCTTAGGTTCCTTGGACAAACATCGGCTAATTCTTTTTTAAAAATACAACACAAATTATTCCATTACACAAATGATTGCTCTGGAGAATTAATGTTAAGAATGGAATGTTAAGAATGGAAATACTGGCTACATTTTGTTACACATCAAGAATCAGAATATAGGATATTTAGGATGAGTTCTCTTCTTCACACTGTGAAATCATTAGGAAGCTTCAATTTACTATGAAATTTCTAGGTATTTGAAATGGCTATCTTTTTTCATAGTTGACACTCTAGGAAATGTTTGAATTCAATTACAAAGTAAAAATGATGGCAGCCATCCATTCAGTTAAAATGAAAATTATCTACATCAAGAATTTTCAGAAGTTCATTCGATCCATAAATAATATCAAGCAGCTATTTTGTGCAATGCAATGTAGTCAGTGTCTTTGGGAGAATATAGAGATGAAATAATACACAGACCTGGCTTGAGGAGACTAGAAACTGAAGCTGGGAAGAAAGGCATTTACGTAGCTAAATGGGAACCGTAAGTGCAGGGAGTAGCAAGGGAGGAGAAAGGAAATGATAGGGAGAGGAAGAAAGCAAGAGAAAGTCACCTAGACCAGTGCTTTATCAACTTCAATGTGTACACGAATCACCCAGAGATCTATTAAAATACAGATTCTGATTCAGTAGGTCTGGAGTGGGACCTGAGAATCAGCATTTCTAACAGCTGTCAGGTAATGCTAATGTTACTCATCCATGTACAGCACTTTGGGTAGCAAGAGTATGCTTTGAGTACATAAATTAACCTAGCTCAGAATTTCTCTATTTTGGCTAGATGATTCTTTCTTGTGGGACTGGTCATTCCATTGTAAGATATTTAGCAGCACCCCTGGCTTTTGCCCACTCAGTGCCAGTAATACACCACCCCCATGCCCCCATGGTGAAAATCAAAAATGTCTCCAAACATTGCCAAATGTTTTCCTAGGGGCAAAGTCAGTGGTGTAGATAATGCTTTTACATAAAAAGTTATATGAGACAAATAGCAACCCTCTTAAAAATAACTCACTTATTTGTATTCGTTTTCTATTTCTGCTGTAACAAATTATCACAAAACTTTGTGACTCAGAATAATCCAAATTTATTATCTTATAATTCTAGAGGTCAGAAATCTGATGTGAGTCCTTGCTAGGCAAAAATCAAAGTGTTAGCAGGGCTGTAATTCTTTCTTCAGGATCCAGGGAAGAATCAGTTTCCTTGACTTTTCCAGCTTCCAGAAGCTTCCACTGCTCATGGACCCTTCCTCTTTCTTCAAAGCCAATGATCCAGCATAAAACCTCCCTATCTCAAGGCCTTTAACTTAGTCACATCTGAAAAGTATCTTTTTGTTCCAGGGATAAGGATGTGAGCATCTTTAGTGGTCCGTATTTCTCACTCCCACCATGTTAAAATAAAAATTACATTTGTAAATGATTTCATACCTAGAATAATTTAAGATAAAGTTTCTCCCCCAAAATCCTAGAGAACAGGGATTTTCTTCTGTGCCGCAAGTACTTTCCTACCTGAGAACATTTCATAGCATTTCTAGTCACACATAAATTCATCTAAGGAAGAACCAAGTTTTTCTACTTTTAATGTTACAGTTTCTGGCACCATTCCCAAGCTTTCTTGACCCTGTTGCTATCACTAGTATAAAATTACATTTTAAATGCCCAACAAATGAGGAAATATGATTCATTTCTGAATCTTTGGGTGTTTCCTGAAATTTAAGAATTCTATTTGTATTTTACAGAGTTATATTTACTACCTTAAAAATTTTCTTTTAGATTTATCTCAAAAGTGAAGGTAGTATTTGGCTACTTGAACCCTCATCCAAAACCTTCATCAGCACCTTCCCTGTGTTTTTTAGATTTTTGCTCATATGTGCCAAGGGCTAGGGCATCTTAAGTTACAGAATACTTAGTGACAAATTTAATTGAATCTAATTATCGTGCTGAAATGTTTAAAACAAATCTTTTCTTCAATCTGTTCCTATAAACTGCTCTTCAGAGTGAAAGCATGCATCTGCTCAAAGTGATTCTGAGATGGGGGCGGATGAGTAAATAAAGCCAGATGGCATTTACACTTACAGTTTCTTTCCCTTTTTGAGTTTGACATATAAGATTTGACTAACTGTCTTTAAAAGCTCATTTTTCCCAGCCTGTGAAGTTAAGCTTGGTGAAGTTGACAAGAGGCGATTAGGAAGAAGGCAGAAGGAGAAGTCGTGGCCTAAAGATAGAGTATTTGTTGACTCACGTTCCCACTACGACAAGAGTAGCAAAACTGAAGGTGAGGCTTTAACTCTTCCTCCACGTTCCTAAAGATGTAAGAACTTCAGCTCATTGAAGCCCATAGAGGCAGCATGTATTAGTCTGTTCTCATGCTGCTAATAAAGACATACCTGAGACTGGGTAATTTATAAAGGAAACAGGTTTAATGGACTCACAGTTCCATATAGTTAGGGAGGCCTCACAACCATGGTGGAAGAGCAAGGTATGTCTTACATGCAGCAGGCAAGAGAGAGTGTGTGCAGGGGAATTGCCCTTTATAAAACCAACAGATCTCGTGAGACTTATTCACTATCATGAGAACAGCATGGGAAAGACCCACCTCCATGATTCAATTACCTCCCACCAGGTACCTCTCATGACATGTGGGAATTGTGGCAGCTACAATTCAAGATGAGATTTGGGTGGGGACACAGCCAAACCATATCACAGCATGATTACGAAGTAGGGGGAAGAGAGAGGGCAGGTAGACTGCATTTCAGTTTTGTTTACAGGGAACTATGAAAGGTAGAAAAATAGAGAACTTTCTACTGAAACAAAGCCACTAACTAAATTCATTTTTTCTATAATGAGTAGTCTTAAGGGTCTTCTCCGACCCCAACTCTACCCAAAAATAGTCCCTGCACAAGAATTCTGGACTGGACAAGATGGTACAGATACTTTTTCCCTGTTTCTCCCAGCTAAGTATAAATATAAACCCTAGAAAAAAAACACAAAAGGAAGCCAGAGAACTCCAAAAGGTGAAATGGTTAGAGACCCTACAACCAGAGGAATGTCACAGTGACAGTGTCTTACAACCCACAACCTCACAGAAGGTCACCCAAGCCCAGTGTTTCTAGAGCCTCAATCTCGTAGCCAGCCCAAATAGGCTCATTCCCACTCAGACCAAAGGGGAGTCCCAATGATACTACCAGGCTGGCCAGCGGTACTAGCCAGGGAAAATGGAGCAGGAGCCATGCTGATATTGTTTGGCTGTGTCCCCACCCAAATCTCATCTTGAATTGTAGTTCCCATAATCCCGCGTTGTGAGGGACCTGGTGGGAGGTTATTGAATCATGGGGGTGGATACCCTCATGCTGTTCTTGTGATAGTAAGTTATCACGACATCTGATGGGTTTATAAGGGGCTTTTCCCACTTTGCTCAGCACTTCTCTCTCCTGCTGCCTTGTGAAGAAGGACGTGTTTGCTTCCCCTTCCACTATGATTGTTAAGTTTCCTGAGGCCTTCCAAGCCATGTGGAACTGGGAGTCAATTAAACCTCTTTCCTTTATAAATTACCCAGTCTCAGGTATGTCTTTATTAGCAGCATGAGACTAATACACCTGCTGACCATAAGAAGACAGGAAAGCACTCTCCTTACTCACCAAGCCTAAGACTCCCTTCCTCCAATGAGAAACAGCAGGTGGCTTGCAGCACTAGCAAAGGGGATCCTGCCACAAAAAAAGGCTCCACCTGGGAAGTGTTTTCCTTGGAGAGAGGGGCAGTCCTCAGCACTAGTGCCTGTCTCCAGGATATCTGTTTGTATTCCCTCTACCTCCATCAGAGGCATCATGAGGCTCTACTGAAGAGCTCCACCCCTTCAGGTAGCACCAGCAGACGCCAGGAGGAACCCTAGCAGCCCCAGATAAACCAAGAAGACCAAAATAGCACCACAAAGTCTCTGAAAATGCAATTGTCATTGGATGCACGGCCCACAAAATTAGGCCAGGATTTTCTTGCTAAACCTAAATGGGATGACTGCCTACTAAAACAAAAGATTTAAATCAGACTCTGAGTCTCCTAACAGCATAGCCAAATTCCAGGATAGAATGAAAAATTACCCAACAAACCAAAAGTCAGGAAAATCACAACTTGACTGTGAAATGACAACTGACACTAACCCAGAGATGAAACAGAAGAAGAACTTATTGACAAAGATTTTAAAGCAGCCATCCTCAAAATGGTGTAATGAGTAACTGTAAATTATTTAGAAACAAATGAAAAAATAGAAAATCTCAGCCAAGAACTAGAAGTTATTAAAAAAAGAACCACGGTGCTCACAGTTCAGCAGCAAATACACTAACATTGGAACAGCATAGATAAGATTAGCATGGCCCCTGCACAAGGGTGACATGCAAAGTCGTGACGCATTCCGTATTTTTTGAGAAATTAAAAAAAGAACCAAATGGAAATTATAAAACTAAAAAGTACAACAAATATAAACTTAGTGGGTTCAATAGTAAAATGAAGGTGACAAAGGACAGAATCAGTGAACCTGAGAACAGATCAACAGAATTACCAAATTTACTCACTATGAACAAGAAGAAAATAGACTAAAAACCGACAAAAAACAGACCCTCAAGGACTTGTAGCACAATAACAAAATGTTCAAGATTCACATCATCAAAGGTCCAGAATAGAGGGAGAAAAAGAGAGTGGGCTTGAAAAATTGTTTTTAAAATAATGGCTTAAAATTTTCTAAATTTGGCAAAAAAATATAAATCTACAGATTCATAAGCTGTATAAATCTCAAACAGGATAAACCCAAAGAAATCCATACCAGGACATTTCATAATTAAAATTTTGATAAGTGAATTGCAAAAAAAAAAAAAAAAAAAAAAGTCTTGAAAGCACTGAGAGAGCAACAACACATTACCTATTAGGGAACATCAACTCCAATAACAGCAAATTTCTTACCTGAAACCATATAGGCCAGAAGGAAAAGGTGCATTTTCCAAGTGCTGAAAACAAAGAATTGTCATCTTCAAATTCTATATCCAGGAAAACTATACTTCAAGAATGAAGGGAATATAGAAACAGATGAAAGAAACAAAAGGACTGTGTTGCTGGCAGACCTTTTAAAAATGGCTAAAATAAGTTTTTTGAACAGAAAGAAAATGATGGAAGATGGAATCATGGAGCATTAGGAAATAAAACAACAAAACAAGCTGAAATATGGCTACATACGATAGATGATCCTCCTCATGAGTTTCATAAGATATATTAGATGACTTAAACATTATAACACCATCTGATACTCAAGACAATAATATTTAAAAGTGGGAAAGGTAAAAGCATTTAAATGGAAATAAGGCCCCCATGTGTCACTCAAAGTGGTAAAATGTTGATATCAGTAGACTGTGATAAGTCACATGTGTATTGTAATGAGATAGCAACCAAAAGGAAAACTATTCAAAGAGGTATACTCAAAGACATAGTAAATAAATAGAGGTATAATCCCAAAAGTCCTCAATATCTATTTGGGATTCTGCATATCAAATGACTCAATATAAATAAAAGTATTAAGTTGTTCATGGCAAAGTCCTAGACTAGGAGCTACCTCATTCTGAGACAGAACTAGACTGGAGCATGTTTCTGACTCTTAACTAGGAATCAGGATCACCAGAAATTCCTGGACCTTAACTGCCACATCTTTGAAATAGGAGTGGCTGGAGAAGTAGGTCTGGCAGACAACCTGGACCACACCCAGTGATAATTCTATACATTATTACAGGTTTTAATTCTTCTCATCCATCCCGTGTTATCCCTTATGATTCAGATGTCTTTCAAAGTGCTCTGAAAACTGTAAGAAAGTTCACAATCCAAAGAGGATATTGTATGACACACTCCAAGCTCTCACAAACCCCAGAGTAGAGAGGAGAGGAAGTGACAGAAGGAAGACACTTCAAATGTAGCATAAACCTACTGGAGCATGGACCATTTCCACTTAGAGGAATTATTCATTTCTTTCCCACCTCTGGTAGGGAACACCAATAAGCAAAGCAGGGTCACCTATTTACTGCTGTTCATTCGGCATCCTTTTAGATCAACTATAACAAATCCTTGGAACTAAAGGAACTATATGAAAATTGGCTGATGCCAATCATGGTCCACCAACTTAACATGCTCTCACTTCTTCCTCAGTTTACCATGCTATCCTATTCCAAGTCTGCATAGGTGGCAAGATAATTTGTCCTTGAGAAGTGCTAGGTCATATATGGATGGTTGGGTACACTGGACAATGAAATGCATTTAAAACAAAATATGCCTTTGCTTTTTTTTATTATTTTTTTTTTTTTGCAGAAGGGGTCTCGCTCTATTACGCAGGCTGGAGTGCAGTGGCATGATCTTGGCTCACTGCAACCTCCGTCACCCAGGTTGAAGCGATTCTCCTGTTTCACCTTCCCCCAGCAGCTGGGATTACAGGCGTGTGCCACCACACTCAGCTAATTTTTTATTATTATTATTTTTAGTAGAGATGGGGTTTCACCATGTTGGCCAGGCTGGTCTCGAACTCCAGACCTCATGATCCGCCCACCTCGGCCTCCCAAAGTGCTGGGATTACAGGTGTGAGCCACGGCACCCAGCCTGCTATGTTTTATAAATAAGTATAAACACCTTAATTGCACCATTTACCACAAAAGTTAAAGGGCTTGCATTTTCTTATCAGTAATATGTAAGGATTTAAAAGGCTCTATACATTTCCTCAGTCTCTTATGTTCTATGGAATTATTTTCCCTAGACAGATAGTGGTGAACATACCTGGGCTAGAACATGCCAGTGTGTGCACTTGCTGGCTGCGTGTCCTGGCTCAATACCCTGAGGTTCAGTTTCTTCATTTGTGAAAAGGATATGGTAATACCTAATTTACAGCAGTGCTATAAGAACCACATGAATTTCTGTATTTCAAACACGTGACATGTAATAAGCTTTCTACAGTAGCTATTATAATCCAGGAGCATGCTCTTTGTCAGAAACTTTACCATAGGTAGCAATGGATTTGGAAACAAAGTAAAACATTTCAAGAAATCAGATTAGTAAAGGTTATGGCACAAAAATACGTCAAGTTCTATGGACAAGATAGATGTTACCTCTAAAGCCAAAATTCTCCCTGCTTATGTTTGGGACTTCTAAGATCCCTGGAACTCTAGAATCAACCTTCTGACTACATTGCTGGTCCATTCTCTGTCTTCTATTATATGTAGGACAATGTTAACCCTTCCCAACTTGGTGTAATGTGTTTCATTAAAAAAAGGAAAAAATCCTACTTCTTAATTTGTATAATATAATGTTGACACTGGTGATGTTTTTAAAAAACTTATTTCAAGCCATGTGTTCTTTGGGTGAAAACTTCTGATTAAAGACATATAATCATTAAGAGTATCATCTCCATAATTTTAGCCTATGCTAGAAATGCAAGCTCATCTTTTCATTTTTTAGTACCAACCCAACACATGCCAAAATGGTCACCTCAAAATATTATCTAATAAAAGTACATATTCTGATCATTGTGTGGTAGAATATTTTTTCATATTAAAATATTTTTCTTGGGTTTGACTCTTACACTTAGGGAAACAAAATGCTTCACAACAATAATACTATTATGGCTCATAACCAGTTATCAAAATACTTTTAAAACAGCTGATTTTCTTCTAGAATGAAACTTTTTAAATTAAAATGCTTTTCCACATAAAATGCATATAGTCAGCAAATACAAAACATAACAAATATATCACATAAAGTAAATGAACTATATATTTACTTGTAAAACCAAAGTTTCTATGGAGTGACATTGGATATATATGCTTTGAAGGCCAACTTAAGGATGAAGGAAGTTTCTAAAAATTATGATATAAAAATCCTTTATTGATGCAAAAGGGATTCAGATTAACATTTTAATTCTGTAACTTAAAAAATCTAGAATTAAGAACAAAACAAATTCTATGAATGTACATTTTCTGGTATTACTACATGCAGCTAATTTCAAAAGTTGATATATATTTGAAAAATGTTAAAAATTACATTGATCGTATTATCACTTTAACAAAAGGGAGAAAAGGATAATACTACCTCTGAGAAAGGACTAAGTCTTATTTAAGAATTTGATGGCCCTAATGTCACAAACAATAAATATTCCTTATAATATTCTGTCCGGCAAAAAATCAAGAGAGGAACAGAGAGAAACTAAGATGAACAGAAATGTATGGCGAACAACCTAGAATGACTCACTGGAGACTTGACAGACCCTGAGCCACTGATGGTTCTAATATTCTTAGCTCTGTAAAAAGGCAAGGGGTAATCGTTCTTGGTCTTTAATGGAACAGACTCTGGTGAAAGAAAGAGAACAGAGAATAAACTATAAGAATAAAGACACACAATCACCTCAGCCAAAATAAACAGGTTACCTGTAAAGGGAGCATAATCAGACTGACCCCCGACTTTTCTGTAACAATGTTAAACATCAGGGTCCAGTAAAGCAACATCTATATGAGTTCACAGGAACTGTTTTGATTCATTAATTCTATATTCTCTCTTGACATTCACATGTCTGGACAACAGGAAAATCTCAGATAAAGGATATGTGTTGTCTTTGCATGGGAGACTACAGGTTACTATTTTCTTTCTTTGATTCTTAATATTTCCCAATATATCTGTACTAATCATATGTTATCTTTATAGAAGAAAATGATTTTTATTAATAATAATGCACAGATTAAAACAGAAAAAGCAGGAACTACAGAGAGCATAAGGATGGTAAGGATGGCTTACTATTCAAAGAACAGTAATTTGATTTACATCGGTTTAATTGTTCTAACTTTCACATCAAAAAAGAAAGACTTAACCTTTGACAAAACACACACACACACACACACACACACACACACACACACACAGCTTTTCTGATTTCAGGGAAAAGCTAAAACAGATTCATAAGAAAATTACACTACAGAAGATGGAGGCTAAGGCTCATATCCATCCCAAATAATTCTGCTTCTCATCAGTTGCTTCTTGTTTAATTGTTCTTTGGAAATAAATAATCAGTGTGTTTTTCTTTTCTTTTTTTTCCCTTATGCATATTTTAGGAACATTTTTCTATTTAAACTAGGAACTAAAGTATTATTAATTTTAAATATCTAAATGTTTATAAATAGTAAGCAATTTTAAAATATTTTACTTAAATTATTTTAAAATATTAAGACATTTGTTTAAATGCTTTTATAATTCATTAATGCTTAATAAACTATTAACAAATTAATATTAATTAATATATTATAATTAACTATATATTAAATTGATACTAAGTTATTGTCTAGATGTTATTTTATTAAAATTTAAATGTACTGAATTATAATTATTTTCATCATAAAGTATTAAAACAGAAAATTAATACTGAAATTAGTCTCTTATCACATCTTATGTTCAAGAGAAATCAAAAGGGAAATATAAAGCAGAATAATCTTAAAGGAAAAATACATTTTAGTAACTGCATTGAATGGAACATTCTGGTCTTTCAGAGAGATTCATTAGTTAGTGAAGTTACCTAAGCACTGTGAGGAAGTACCTTTTCTTCTGTGGACCAGAAATTCCCTGAAATGAATACGACTTCCTAGGAGGCCTTGAAAATGCAAAGGGCCAGCTCTTGGAGTTGCCCTTGCTGGAAAGAACTATATTGAAGGGAAAGGGCAGGTGTGACCAGCATCCTTTCAGAAGAACTGGTCTGGTCACATAGAGAAAAATGTTCAAGGAGTCTTATAGTTTCCATTTCAGAAGGGACACGAGAACTACCAATCAGATGCCAGGGAAGTATTGAAACCAACCCCATCGTTCCATAGACTGTTCTTTTGGATAAACATAGAAATTGACCTTTTTTGTCTTAAAGCTTGAAACTTATATTTATTTTATCTGAGTTCCTTTCTTGGGAAAGGACCTTCAGGCCTCTCAAAAAAGTATCAAAGAAGTGAAACTCACCAGATCACTGTACCAAATGCCATATCCCTCACTCATCATGACTGCTTCGTTGCCCCTCCCTAGTTCCTATTTCTTACACATTGTGACTATTTTTTTCCCTTCTATATAAACCCGTGGTTTTAGTCAGTCAGGGAGATGGATTTGAGTCTGAGCTCCCATCTCCTCAGCTGCAGCACCCAAGAAAAGCCTTCTTCCTTGGCAATGCTTGGCATCTCAGTGATTGACTTTCTGTGCAGTGGGCAGCAGGACCTAGACCAAACCCCGGGTGTTTCAGTAACAGTATAAGTTACATGATCCTAGCACCTTCTTGTACAGGAGCAGCTCATTTCACTGTGCTCACATTTCATTGATTGACATCACATTGGCATCTCAGTGATTGACTTTCAGTGCAGTGGGCAGCAGGACCTAGACCAAACCCCTGGTGTTTCAGTAACAGTATAAGTTACGTGATCCTAGCACCTTCCTGTACAGGCACAGCTCATTTCACTGGCTCATTACATTTTTTAGAAATTGAAGGTTTGTGGCAGCCCTGTATCACACAAGGATAGTGGCACCTCTTCTCCAGCAGCATGTGCTCACTTGGTGTCTGTGTCACATCTTGGTAATCCTCACAATATTTCAAACTTTTCATTATTATATCTGTTATGGTGATCTGTGATCAGTGTTCTTTTTGTTTTGCTTCATTTATTAAATAAAGTATTTATTTATTTATTTATTTATTTATTTATTTAGAGAGAGGGTCTGGCTCTGTTGCCCTGACTAGAGTGCAGTGGTGTGATCTCGGCTCACTATGACCTCTGTTTCCTGGGCTCAAAAGTGATCCTCCCACCTCAGCCTCCCGAGTAGCTGGGACTACAGGTGCCTGCCACCATGCTCGGCTAATTTTTTGCATTTTTTGGAGAGACAGGGTTTCATCATATTGCCCAGGCTGGTCTCAAACTCCTAAGCTCAAGCTATCCACCTGCCTCGGCTTCCCAAAGTGCTAGGATTATAGGCATGAGCCACCACATCTGGCCCAAATGTTATTTTTAGAGCAGGTTAGTTTCACAACATAACTGACCAATAAGTGCAGAGAGAAAATTCCACCTAAGACTTTCATAGCTGGAGAGGAAAAGTGAATGCCTGGCTTCTAAGCTTCAAAGGGTAGGCTGACTCTCTTGTTAGGGGATAAAGCGGCTGGTGTGTCTTTAAGCAGAAGCCAGTGCTCATTTACCATTCCAAAAATCCTACAGCCCTTAAGAATTATACTAGATCTACTCTGCCTGTAGTCTATAAATGGAACAACAAAGCTTGGATAACACA
The DNA here is from genome assembly GCF_000001405.40 of Homo sapiens. Classification (NCBI taxonomy): domain Eukaryota; kingdom Metazoa; phylum Chordata; class Mammalia; order Primates; family Hominidae; genus Homo; species Homo sapiens. The sequence goes on from NC_000009.12 coordinate 110,910,335, forward strand.
TCTGTTTATATCATGGCTTACTGAATATTTTAAGCCCATTGTTGAGACCTGCTAAGAAACAAAGATTCCTTTCAAAATATTACTGCTCATTGACAATGTACCTAGTCGCCTAAGAGCTCTGATGGACATGTACAGGGATATTAATGTTGTGTTCATGACTGCTAACCCAATATCCATTCTGCAGCCCATGGATCAAGGAGTAATTTTGACTTTCAAGTCTTATTTAATAAGTATATTTTGTAAAGCTAGAGCTGCCATAGATAGTGATTTCTCTGATGGATCTTGGCAAAGTTAGTTGAAAACTTTCTGGAAAGAATTCACCATTCTAGATGCCATTAAGAACATCCATGATTCATAGTAGGAGGCCAAAATATCAACATTAATAGGAGTTTATAAGAAGTTCATTCCAACCCTCATGGATGACTTTGAAGGGTTCAAGACTTCAGTGGAGGAAGTTGCTGCAGATTTGGGAGAAAGAGCAAGAGAAAGAGTCAGAAGTGGCACCTGAAGATGTAGCTAAATTGCTACAATCTCATGATAAAACTTTAATGGATGAAGAGTTGCTTCTTATGGAGGAGCAAAGAAAGTGGTCTCTGGAGATAGAATATATTCTGGTTGTCAGTGTTGAAATGACAACAAAGGATTGAAAATATTCCATCAACTTAGTTGATAAAGCAGCATTAGGGTTTGAGAGGATTGACTCAGATTTTGAAAGAAGTTTTACTGTAGGTAAAATGCTATCAAACAGTATCACATGCTACTGAAAAATCTTTTGTGAAAGGAAGAATCGATCAACGTGGCAAACTTCATTACTGTCTCATTTTAAGAAATTGCCACAGCCACCCCAATCTTCAGCAACCACCACTGTCATCAGCCAGCAACCATCAACATCAAGGCCAGACCTTCCACCAGCAAAAAGATCATGACCTGTGCAGGGCATGGTGGTGCACGCCTATAATCCCAGCACTTTGAGAGACCAAGGCAGGTGGATTGCTTGAGCCCAGGAGTTTGAGACAAGCCTGGGCAACATAGCGAGATGTCATTTCTACCCAAAATACAAAAGCCAGGCATGGTGGTTCACACCTGTGGCCCAGCTACTTGGGAGGCTGAGGTGGGAGGATTGCTTCAGCCTGGGAAGTAGAGGCTACAATGCACCAAGACTGTGCCACTGCACTCCAGCCTGGGTGACAGAGGAAGATCCTATCTAAAAAAATAGTGGAGGATTTGAAAAAAAAATTAAGAAGCAGACTTAAGATACTTTAATTTTTTTAATTTAAGAAAAAATATTTTCAAAAGATTATGACTTAAGGCTCAGATGACTGTTAGCATTTTTAAAGAAATAAGCTGTTTTTAAATTAAGGTATGCACATACTTTTTTAAGACATACTACTATTGCACATTTAATAGACTATATTACAAACATAACTATCATATGAACCAGGAAACCAAAAAATTTGTGTGACTCACTTTATTGCAATATTTGCTCTATTGCAGTGGTCTGGAACCAAATCTGCAATATCTCCAAGGTATGCCTGTATCTTTCCCATATGCCTATTTCCCAACTGAGATCAGAATTAACACTTATAATACAGAAAAGGGCTGGGTGATTGTTTTAACGGCCAGCCGGAAAGCAGAAAGGCTAGGGAGACAGTATCTCAGTCTAAAGAAAACCTAAAAGGCAGAAACCCTTGGGTGATAGGAAGTGAAGGTAGGTAGATAGAAGAATAAACGTCTGGGTTACTGAGGGCTGTGGGAGGGAGAAAGGAAAGCACAGTATCAATGCAGAAACAGTGTGACTACATCACAGTTTTTAAATACTTAATAATAGAAAATGGAAAGAAAAACAACTTCTTTCTAAGCACATCCTACTTTTGACCACCCATGTGGCCAGATCTCTTTGCTGTGACCCTCTCCATCATCGAGGTGACTAGAAGTACTTCACATTACAGAATTGTGCAACTTGTGAGCTTGAACATTGCCAGGAATCTCCACCTCTCAAAGACAATTCTGATTTCTTTACAAATGCAAATATTTGATCCCTGACCCAGAGATAGAATACAAAACTTTAAAACTCTTATCTTCTCATGACAGTTTTAAAAAAAGAATTAGTAGGGGGCAAAGACCTTTTGGCTGACTACAGAGTTTTCTCATTTTTTTCTTCTAAAAGCAAAGAGAGAAGAGGAAACACCAAATGAGCTTCTCCTTTCACAATAAAACCCGTTTTCAGACATTCGTCATTCTGGGAACATTGAGATTTTATTAATGGAGATAGTGTTTGGATATTCAGGCTTTCATCAACTATAGAAGCTGGCATGGTCTAAATTTGAACAAACTATTGAAATATAGCCATAAATTTCTTGCTGGAGACAGCGTCTCCATATTACAGTTTTTTTCATGACGCAAACAGTGTCCAAGGAGAAGGGCTAGAGATTCCATTCTAAATGCCACCAGGACATTCTGTTCTTCCTTCTTCACCCTCCAGATGAGAAGGGTTCCTTTCAGTTCAAAGGATGCTAATCTTGCCTCTCTTGGGACTGTCCCAAATAATAAACAGGCTGACCTTAGCTAAACAGAGCAACTGGTCAAACCTGGGAAGATCAGATTTTCAGCCTCAGAAAGCACTGTCATACGAACAAGGTTGGGAGGTTAACAGCATTAAGCCAGTTACTCTTTAGCACATCCTATGAAGTGGTGTCATGTGTGCTATTTGTGCTATTTCCCAGAGGAGGAACTTAAACTTGAAAGTAATTGACTTGTCAAGCTCCATTCAAACTGAAGTCTGTATTCAAATCCAGATCTTCCAGTATATTCCCTGACCTAGAAAACCATCTGGGATATAATAGATACCATCTATCTAGGAATCTAGCTATGTATCTACGTAGATACCTCTTGTTTACATAACTGAGGCGTTGAGCTGTCTGACTCCAAAAGTGTTTTTCTGCCAGACCATGCTGCATAGAAAGTACAGACTTTTAGAGCATCTGTTAGATTAAATACAGGTTTCCAACAGGTAGTATTTACCACTACTACAAGTCAGCCAAATCAGAAAGGTTCATTATCCTAAAAGAAATTAAAATCAGTGCCAACCTGTCATAATATACATACACACAATTTGTTTCTAAAAGTCTCTAAATGAAAGTTTTGCAAAAGTATTGATGAAAGGTATTTATATATATATGTATATGTACACACACATGTGTATCAAGTTCATTTTAATAAGTATATATATATATATCCATTTTTAGCTTTAGATATTACAAAACTATGTAATAATCAGAGTAGACCAGCAGATAAGCCTAATTAAGTATGCCCACAAACAAAAAGCACATTCTGAATGGAACAAACCAAGTGAAGTGGAGTTATGGAAAATAAGACTAAAGGACAGGCTGCAATGTGATTTTGGAAGGACGAGAACATTAGGGTAAGAGATTTCTGCTTTCCTTCTTAGGCAGTGGGGATCCATTTAAATTGTTGAGTAGGAAGATCAAAGTGGCTATTTTGTAGAATGTAGATGAAAGGTTACATGCTCAAAGAGGAGAGAACATCTAAGAAGTTCAATGGGTGCCTGCTATATTTTTCCACAAGAAAGCTGGCTATTACCAGACTGTATGAACAAGACACGTCCAAGCTTGACAAGCATCACTGACTTATTTTTGGCAGGCGATTTGGGACAAAAAGAAGTTCCCTCATTGCTTTTTTCCTTTGGTTCCTGTCCTCAAAGGATGACAGCATCTCAAAAGGCAACTCTTCCCAGGAGAAAGCAAGCTCCACACCCAAGAACTTACAAACTCCTTTGCCTGATTCTAATCCTGTTTCCCTTTGTCTTATGTAGCTGTCTCCCTAACTTTTAAACCATTTTATCACTGTGTACACAAATGTCTTTGTGTTAATCTGTTTTCATACTGCTAATAAAGACATACCTGAGACTGGATAATTTATAAAGAAAAAGAGGTTTAATGAACTCACAGTTCCACATGGCTGGGGAGGCCTCACAATCATGGTGGAAGGCAAAAGGTACATCTTACATGGCGGCAAGCAAGAGGGAGAATGAGAGCCAAGTGAAAGGGGTTTCCCCCTGTAAAACCATCAGGTCTCATGAGACTTATTCACTACCACCAGAACAGCACGGGAAAGACCCACCCCCATGATTCAATTAACTCCCACCAGGTCCCTCCCACAACACATGGGAATTATAGGAGCTACAATTCAAGAAGAGATTTGGGTGGGGACCCAGCCAAACTATATCAGTCTTTAATAAATGTGTTTCCACAAAATCTCTAGAACAATTCTGGTTGTGAGGATAATTCTTGGTTTCCTTCTTTCCCAGGCTGAGAGTCTTATCGAGGAAGGCAGAATGCTGATACTGACATGGAAGATGCCTAGTACAGTATGCAGAGACAGGCCTCTTTTTATCTCTTTTCACTTCCTTTCTTCATTAAAGACTCAAGGGGGGAAAAAAAGCTTATTTTGCTTGCTGAGATGATACTTCTGTGTTTTACCTTTCCTGCTTCAAAATTAATGTTTTAGCTCTCGAGCTAAGACAACTGCTAATCTCATACTCAAAAATGAAACCTAACCTTAGTTCTAGCCACTTGGCTTGAAAGAAACTTGAATAAAACAGATTTCGCAAGTTAAAAAAAAAAAGAATTTAATGATCAGAATGATAGTGAGGGCCCCTTTGTGCAAGCTGCATGCACTTGCAGTCTAGGAGGTCTCTCATTTAAGATGCAGACATTGTCCTTAAGGATAATTTTGATGGTTTTTAAACTCCCTGTATAATTGTACTCTCTAAAGTGTGCTTATGATTCATAGTTTTTCTTTATCTTCTTTCATTTTAAAAACAGTAATATTTATTGCTATTTTATGATGATGAGAATAAGAAGTACATATTGTAGAATATTTGAAAATGAATATACAACAGGTCGGGCATGGTGGCTCATGCCTGTAATCCCAGCACTTTGGGAAGCTGAGGCAGGCAGATCACTGGAGGTAAAGAGTTGGAGACCAGCCTGACCAACATAGTGAAACCCCATCTCTACTAAAAATACAAAACTTAGCCAGGGGTGGTGGCATGTGCCTGTAATCCCAGCTACTTGGAAGGCTGATGCAGAAGCAGAAGAAGAATCACTTGAACCTGGGAGGTGGAGGTTGTAGTGAGCAGAGATCACGCCATTGCACTCCAGCCTGGGAGACAGAGTGAGACTCTGTCTCTCAAAAAAGAGAATATACAACAAAAAAGTATCTGTAATTCCATCTCTAGAATTTAATCTGTGAACATATTATTCAAAATGTGTACATGTATATATACACACATACATATGTCCACATGTGTATGTACACATATAACCACAATCATATATTTGTACATACTCATTTTTCTTAGAATAAATTTCTGGAATTATGAAGATGTAAATGGATATGAATGGTTTAAATTCCTTAGATGTAGATTTTAGCTATTTTTCCATACGTTATCATCAAAAACGAAACACTGACTACCCTGAGAAAGAAGAAAAATTGAACGAGTGTGCCTTCTTTTCCTCTCTTGCTTACTTCTGAGTGTCTTACTTCTCACTTCTGTCAATATAAGTTATCAAATTATCAATATGAAAATCATGGTAATAACATGAATGACTAAAATCAAACAAACAGGTAAGTATACAGTGATATAACCTTATGGTTAAAATGTTAGATGTTAAATTTAAAGGATAAGGGAAACTTGAGTATGATATCAATTATATAATACTACTATATACATTTAAATGCATGTATACACACATGTAGCATGCAATAGCCAGTATCTACTGAGGTCTGTCATATAATTGGCACTGTGCTAATAACCTCATTGAATATACTTCTCATGTAGTCCCTGGCAATAACCTTACGAGATGGGACTGCCTGTATTTTACAAATGAGGAAACTGAGGTTCAAAGAGGTCAAGAAACTTCTCTGGGCAATACAGCTAGGAATGACGGAGCTGGGATCTTACTCTAAATCTGGATGCCTCCAGAGGCCTTTGTTCTTAGCCACTATGCTATATTGGCACAAGAAAAAAATACACTGGATGGAAGTATGTCAAAATGGTGGTGGTCAAGTTCAGAATCACTTTTGTAACCTTACTTAAATGATTCTGTATACTATAAAACATTGACATAGGATACGATTTACTTTTATAACCAGAAATAAATTAGTGAATAATAAGTATTGCATGCAGGCTTTGTGACTCAGACCCAGGTGGCCTGGATCACTCAGACCCTCCGTAGGAAGACCATTATTATTATGCAGAAACCCTTGGGTTGGCCATACTTTTTTTCCTCTTCTGTCTTGTAGCTGAGGTGGAACAGCCTCCTAATGAGGCAGATGTCTTTTTAAAGTCCTCCAGTTTTCTCTAGAGAATGCTAATTACTCCCAAACCACCCCCTAAAAAAACTCCACTCACTTTAACTAGAAATTATAAAAAAGGTATATCCAGATGTCAGCAACAAAGATAATATTTTTTAAACTTGGAAAAAATAACTGTAACAATATGCATGGAAAACTATATAATTCATTCTTTTGGATAGGCCAAAATAAAGTCTTTTTTTTTTTTTTAAGGTTGTTGAGGGCAGATTAACTAGTGCTGAGTGTGTATATTGTCAATATTGTAATAACTTTGTAGTTGGAAGATAAAATAACTTCTTTTCAAATATAAGCTAAGGTATGAAAAAAACTTTAAAATGTTCTTGGCCGGGTACAGCGGCTCACGGCTGTAATCCCAGCACTTTGGGAAGCCAAGGCGGGTGGATCACCTGAGGTCAGGAGTTCAAGACCAGCCTGGCTAACAAAGTGCAACCTCGTCTCTACTAAAAATACAAAAAAAAAAAAAAAATTAGCCAGGCATGGTGGTACATGCCTGTAATCCCAGCTACTTGGGAGGCTGGGGAAGGAGCATCACTTGAACCTGGGAGGTGGAGGCTGCAGTGAGCCAAGATTGTGCCATTGCACTCTAGCCTAGATGACAAGAGCGAAATTCCATCTCAAAAATAATAATAATAATAAAGTTCTTAAGCTTTTCAGGGGCAGGGCAATACGTTTTTAATAAGACTAAGAAACACTATGCTAAACCTGATTCTTGAGGGAGCCAACCAATATATTAGAAAGCCACATGACTGGGCTATATCTTTAAGCCCCACAGAATTGCTTTCATTGAACTGCACTTTGGTTACAGACCACCAACCTTCACTGAGAAATGATATGGCATGACTTTATGGGACATGGTACTGAATGTGCCATAAAGAATGTAGAGCTCTCCAGAACATCACATCATAGCTGATGCATCCATCACAGAGCAATACCCAAATGAGAAATGTCTCTTTGGACTCAGTACTTAGAAGGGTTATTTCTCCTGATTTTACTTTATGGCCACCAAATCATGAACGTTATTGTGTTTTACATCTTCATTAACTGCTAGAAAGTATGTCTTTACCTGACTCCATGTCATTTTCTTAGATTTCTTTTTCCCTTTCCCTCCTTTTTCTTGCTTATTTTAAACTCAACTTTGTCCTCTGAACTGAATGCATCTTTTTAAGCTGTCTTAAATACTTTGTTTTGAGACTGGGTCTCGCTCTGCCACCCAGGCTGTAGTACAGTGGCACGATCACAGCTCACTGTAGCCTCCACCTACAGGCCTCATGCTATCCTTCCAACTCAGCCTTCCAAGTAGCTGGGACAAGAGGCATGCACCACCATGCCCAACTAACTTTTGTTTTTTGTTTGTTTGTTTGTTTTTTTGTAGAGATGGGGTTTTTCCATGTCATCAGGCTGGTCTCGAACTCCTAAGCTCAAGCAATCCATCCACTTTGGCCTCCCAAAGTGCTAGAATTATAGGTGTGAGCCACTGCACCAGCCAAATCCTTTTTTAAATAAAAGATTAAGTATAAATAAACAGGCACATACTCTGTACACTTCTGTAAGACTGTTTATGTAAGACTGCTATTGGACATAAGAACCACCCAACATGAATGAAACCAGCATGTTTCCTATACCAAAAAGAAAATAAATTTTCATTTATATTTTAACAGTGAGATTGAAACAATCTAAGGTCTCTCACCCACAGGCCATTCTGCAGACACTCAGGTTACAACCTGAACCCAACAGAGTAGCTGGCTTATGTACAGGCTCATGATTACATCATGATTATGTGTTTCCATGCCACTGTGTTCAGGAAGTAAGCGGTCTGGATATAAGATTTCTAGCCATCCTTGAGGTGAGTGGACAGAAGGAACTGTCAGGTTAGAGATGCAGCATTTCAAAAACAAACAGAAGGGATGAAGGAAGGGGAAGTGAAGGAACAGGTAAAGAGATATGAGACTCAGAGAAGAGTAATGTCTCTGTAGCCAAAATTAAAGAAAACTTCAAAAAGAAAGTACTAGATGATACATTCTTTAACAGATGACTAATATTCCTGGCAAAAACTTTTTAAAAACTAAGTATACATTTAAATACATAACATTCCATCCTTTAGCCTTCAACCTAACAACATCAATTCCTTTAAAACAGCATTTTTGAAAAGCTGGTTTTTTTTTTTCCATCTGTACTCAAAATGGTACATCTATGGTGGACACACCCTAAGATGTTCCAAAATGAGTCACACTCTTGTGTAGTCCCCCTTCCCCTGGTGTGTGAGCAGAACCTGTAACTTGCTTCTAGCCATAGAATACAGTTATAGGATGCCACTCCCTTGATTAGGTTCTGTCAAATAGCAAAAGTGAAGGGGTTTTGCATATGTAATTAAATTGACAATAAATTGCTCAAAAGGGAGATTACCCTGGGTCAGTTGGACTGACTTAAGTGAGCTCTCACAGAGGCCAGAGACTGGAAGAAGTACAGATTTCTCTCTCTCTCCCTCTATCTCTCCCTCCCTCTCTCCCTCTGCCCACCCCCTGCCTCCGCCCATTGCTGGCCTTGAAGATGCAAGTTGCCATGAATTCTACAGTCACAAGGAAATGAATTCTACCAGCAACCTAAGGAACTTGAAGCAGATCCTTCCCTAGTCGAGCCTCCACATGAGAATGCAACCCAACTGGTACGCAGACTTCAGCTTGTGAGACCCCAAGCACAGAACCCAGCTAAGCATGCCTGGACTTTTAACCTACAGAGACTGAGAGATAATTCATGGGTGTGTTTTAAACCACTAAGTCTGTGACAATTTGCGATGTAGCATAGAAAATGAATACAACACCTAAAGACAGAGACAATTTGCATGGGAATTGCCTTTTAATCCACTAAACAGAAAAAAATGTAACGGAAACTTCAGACTCCTCTCTTAACTTCTCACATCACTTAGCCAAGTTCTCCCACATTAGATGTTCCAGATACTTAAACTAAAGCAGCTGTCACCATATCCAAAATGCTTCGCTGGAGAACCATCACATGACACCACTGTGGGAGTTTCAATGCTTGCTGGCCCAAGGAAATCTGCCTCCAATAAACCAGGAAATGTTTAACCCAGACAGCCTGTAACTTCCACAATTTTCTAATCAGCCACCAGAGAGTCCTCTTTAGATTGTCATAGTGACTCAGCACACACACATCAATGCCTTCAACCCCAAAGCTGCACATCTATGTACGTAGTTGTTCTCCCTTCACCTACTTGGGCATGAAAATCACCAAATGAGCACAGAATCAGCAAACTTTGTATAGGCCACAAAGGAGGAGGCAACGTTTCATTTCCATTTTAGCACTGAGATCAAAACACAGCCAAAGGCCAGGCTATTCAGCTGAGACTTGATTCCATAATAGCATGTTCTCTCTGCCCTGCACAAAATTATACCCTGATTATGTATTTCCATGCCATTGTGCCCAGAAGGTGGTTAGGCAGCAACAGCTCTAGCATGGGTGGAAGGTTTAGGCATCTGAATATTTGGAAAAGTAGAGAATGGGGGGAAGGGAAAGTTTGTCTCTTTTTCTGAAGCATTTTTCTGTCAACTGGAAATCAAACTTACCAATGCTTACATTATACTTTTCTGAGTGATGAATACAATGCTTTGGATGCATAGTTCAAGTAAGGTCGATAAGCAATTTATCTTTTGAAATTATTTCTAATGAGAGAGCATTGGCAATTTTTTTCAACTGTTGTGATTTTTATGCACTAATTAAAATCATTATAATACTTATATATACTAGACACAGCAGAAATAGCAAATTTTCATTGTTTAAAAAGACATCAGAGAATAACAATCTTCTTTTCCTTTTTTTCTTCCCTTCCTCTTTTGTTTTTACCTTTTGAAATACTAAAGGCAACAAAATAGCAAGTAATGAGCACCAGCATTGAAACTACAAGTCCTAGGTTAGGGTATGGGGTCTAGCAAATACTTAATTTCCTTCAGTAATTCACGTCATCTCTCTGAATCTGTTTTACCATCTCTAAAATGGGTAAAACACTATCTGCACTATCATACCTACAATTTCATAAAAATCATCACAGATAATATGTCTACAAAGATATTGTAGTATATATAAACCAAATGTGGCCAGGCACAGTGGCCCATGCCTGTATTCTCAGCACTTTGGGAGACTGATGTGGGAGGAATACTTGAGGCCAGGAGTCCCAGACCAGCCTGGGAAACATAATGAGACCCCATCTCAACAACAACAACAAATTTTTTTTTTTTTAATTAGCCAGACGTTACGGCGCTTGACTATAGTCCTAGCTGCACACGAGGCTAAAGTGGGAGAATCCCTTGAGCCCAGGAGTTTGAAGCTGCAGTAAGCAAGGATCGCTACTGTACTCCAGCCTGTGTGACAGAGCAAAACCCTGTTTCAAAAAACAAAACAAAAAACAAAACAAAACAAAAAACAGGGTGAGGTAGGACGATGGCTTGAGACCAGGAGGTTGAGGCTGCAGTGAGCTGTGATCTAGCCACTGTACTCCAGTATAGGTGACAGAGCAAGATCTTATCTCAGTTTAATTAAAGGAAATTATATGAATGTATTTTTCCTTTCAATATTTATGTTTCCTCTCATGAACTGACAAACTAAACTTTAAGAGCCAGTAGTTTATTACTCTGTTCCTAAAGACATTAAAATAGTTAAAAGTAAATTACGAAATTACTGTCAGAAAAATATAGTAACAGTTAACATTTAATAAATGTCAGACATTGACTAAAGGGCATCACATAACTTTTCATTTGATTCTCACATGAAGGAAGTCAATTATCTCTATTTTACAGATGAGGAATCTGAAGTTTCAGGAAGTTAAAGAGTAAGTAGTAAACCTATGATAAAAAAAATTAAGCAGGTTAATCCGGAGTCCACAATTAACCACTCAACTGTTTCAAATACATTTTCCGGGTTGATACTCCAAGAAAAGGAGCGATGAGATGTGGTCTCAGCATACAGGTGGTCTTGTTGTTATAAAGCAGAGTGTTCCTAGTGAGCTAGGAGACCTGATGTGGAGGACAAGCCCACCCACATTGCAGGGAGACCGCCACAGACAGAAGCTAATGGCCAGCCACATGAAAGGCATGCCATTAGGGCAGGTTATGATGGACGTAATGCTCCCTGGAGTTGTGAACTGAAGAAGTCCTGTAGAATTTAGAACACATCAATTGACCTACAGCCAGCTACCAAACCACATCAGAGCCTACGGGGCTGCATCTAGGTCTGCAAAGGTCCAGAAGTTACAGAGACTGCTGCTGCTTGATGGTGAGTATGCAGAGAGCGGACCTGAGCAGCGGAGAAAGTAACCAGAGAGCTGGAACCAAGAAATAAAAGTAGGAACTGGGGAAGAAGAGTCAATGAGATGAAAGAAAACAAAACTGAAGTAAAGCCAGAAACCAGAAATACTGTAAGACTCTGGTTCCCAAACTGTGCCCCCAGGAACCTTGGGGTGCCACAGTGAATTCAGAGGAATGCTACTAGATATTTTTAATTTGAGGGCAGCTAACACTCGACATCTCTCAGACACCCTCTGAACTACGAGCATAAAGTAGTTCAGCGCTTCAACATTAAATGGCATTACATTCCTTTCAATGACATCATGTCCTTGCAATATGATATCTGCTATAATAAAAATGAAGTGTAAACATAAAACTCAGTGTGGAACAGAAAATGAAGATGGTGGTTTCCAATCTGAATTCAAGTTTTGAAAAGTTGTGCAGTGCCCAACAGGTGCATACATACCTTAGTAAATATGAAGGATTAGATAAAAATGATAATTCTTTCAATTTATATGGTTTTGTTTTACAAAATGGCTACTAATTTATCAGGACCTATATACGTATTAAGTTGAATTAACTAATTAAGTTGAATATACTTATTAAGTTGATTTAATAAATGAAACTGTTAGGTATTTCTTTTAGCTTTGGGGCACTGTAAAAAAACTGAGACAGTATGAGCACTGAACTGAGACGTCATGGGAATATTACTTAGGGATTAAAGTTGTCTAGGGAAGATAGAAAAGTAAAGGATCTCAGCAGTGAGTTGCATATCTGTTTTCAAGGTCTTATTATTATATTATTATTATTATTATTATTATTATTATTATACTTTAAGTTCTGGGGTACATATGCAGAACGTGCAGGTTTGTTACATAGGTATACACGTGCCATGGTGGTTTGCTGCACCCATCAACCCATCATCCACATTGGGTATTTCTCCTAACGCTATCCCTCCCTCAGCCCCCCAACCCCCAACAGGCCCCAGTGTGTGATATTCTCCTCTCTGTGTCCATGCTTTGACATGGCAACACCACTCAATACAAAGGAGACTTGCCCCACTGAGTCCTAGAAGCATCATGGGTCCTGACCCTTGTGGTCTGGTCCTGCTCAAGACATAATAAAGATCTGCCACAATGAGGATTAATTCAGGGACTTTAGATTTCAGCATGGCAATATGATAATCTGATGAAAACAAGTTATGTATCATGTATTTTATAATAGTACCTACCAAGTACTTATAAACTTGGCATCTTATACAGACGGTCCCTGACTTACAATGGTTTGATTTAGGATTTTTTGACTTTATGACAGTGTAAAAGTGATACACCCATTCCTTAGAAACTGTACTTTGGGTACCCATACAACCATTCTGTTTTTCACTTTCATTTCAGTATTCAATAAATCGATGAGATATTCAACACTTTATTGTACAATAGGCTTTGTGTTAGATTATTTTGGCCAACTGTAGGCTAATGTAAGTGTTCTGAGCATGTTTAAGGTAGGATAGGCTAAGCTATGATGTTCCAAGGTTATGTGTATTAAATGCATTTTCAACTTACAATATTTTCAATTTACGATGGATTTATGGAGATGTAACCCCACCGCTAAGTCAGGAAACATTTGTGTAATAATCTCACTTAACCTTTTGAGGTTTTACTGTTTCTGCTGTGTCTCTCATTTAACACGCAAGGAAACTGGAGCTTGCAGCCATTGGATACATTGCTCAAGCGGACTCTGCTGGTATGCAGTAGTGTCAGGATGAGAATCCAGGAAGTTGGGACTTCAAAAGTAACACTGTTAATCACCACGCTGTCTTTTTCAGCTGTTAGGCCTTTAGATTTCTAAAGAAGTAAATATACACTAGACTTTCACATGGAACAAAGTACTTCAAAGGAGTACATATATTTTTATGTGGCCACATACATTCCTATTTTTGTTTATCTTGGTTTCTAAATCCTTAAAAAGTTTCCATCTCTTTTTTAGGTTTGCTAATGTTTATCATCATGAATAAAGATAACACAAATGGTTGTAACATAGTGCCACTAAAAAAAATCCAATATTGTCATGAATGTGACAAAAGACTCCCAATCCCCTTGTGATAAATTGGCACAAGCTTTCTGAAGAACATTTAACAATAAGTCATTATGATTCATTACTCTGTGAGGAAGGAATCATAAGAGATATTTATCTTAATGTTATTATAATAGCAAAAAAAAAAAAGAAAACGTAAATGTCTAATGATTATATATTTCATCATATGAATGTACTGAACTTTGGGTAGAAAAATCACACTTTCAAAGATTACTTAATGGCATAATAAATGCTCAAGACAATCTTTTAAAGAATCTATAAAGTGGTATGCATTATATGAATTGAATAAACTATTAATTAGCAAAGGACTAGAAAGAAACAGTATATTCAACTTAATATTTTGGTTAATTATGGAAGGTAAAATTCTAAATGATTTTCTTTTTTTTCCTTAATGAATATGCATTAGTTTGCTAATCAAAAAAAGAGTAAGCTGGGTGTGGTGGCATGCACCTGCAGTTCTAGCTACTCAGGAGGCTGAGGCAGGAGGATCACTAAAGCCCACTGAGTTCAATTCCAGCCTGAGCAACATAGCAATACACTATCTCTTAGAAAAAAAAAAAGAGGAAATGTGATGTGATTAAAATAAGATTCAGTACTTAACAAGGTAAATGCAGTCTAATACTTCATTCCCTAAACATCACCTGTATGTCAACAGCCAAGTCATACATAAAATTCATTTACATAAAGCTTTCCTGATTTTACTTCCAACAAGATAGTCTCTCTCCTCTAAATTCTCATACAGCTTTATTTGTACTTCTTTTATGGTACTTTTGTCACCTTTTGCCTTTCTCAATAATTATCTATGTATATGTGCCATCCTTCCTACCAGACTATAGGCATTGGCATGTCACGGCCAGATTTGCTTCATAATTACATCTGCCATGAGTCTGACTCCCATTCTCCCTGTATTTTAGTCATATTTGTAAGTGAATAGGGATTATACATTTTGGTATTTGTTTTCCCATCACACAACAGGCAATATGCCACCCACGCTGAATTGGTTTGTATATAGTTGCAGTGCTCTTTATGGCACCCAAGGAGACAAATAGGCTTAGTGGATGGCACCCCAAAATACAGTTTTTTCCTGAGATTTTGGATATAGATATAGATATATGACATAATATATATTTAATTATATATATATAAAATAGTCCATATATATAAAGATTGTCTGGCCTCTTGGGGGATACATTGGTCCGTGTATCCAAGATGCTTGAGCAGATGCTGAAAAACCACTTATCATTGCTCCCATATAGACAATTCAAGCCTGGCTTTGGAAGATTGTATGAACATCATATTCCTGATAGTCTCATAATCCTGATAGATGACAGTTTATAGAATCCTGCTGGGATTCTACATCATTGATTGAATGAATGACTAGAGGATGAATTTCTGGATAAATATACAAACTAACGAGTGGAATCCCCATATAGAACCTTCAGATCACCTTGTACAGGCAGAGAATGGGAAAATGCCACTCATCATTATACAGGCCTATAAAAGAAGCTAGATAACTTCAAGGAATGCCCATCCTGGGAAGGCAGCTCCAACCACTAATCACAGCAGGCCACAGGTGGCCCTTTCATGTATGTGAGCCACAGGTAAAGTATGAGAACATTACATTCACCGCAGCATGTGCCAGGCAGCATGCTAAGCACTTGAACAAATCTAATTTTCTCAACAATCTCCTCATTTGGGAGACAGTACTCTACCCAGTTATAGATGGGAATAGAAGCTCAGAAGGGTCAAATATACTGCTCTAGGTCACACAATTAACATGTCATCAGAACTGGTTTTTTTTTGTTTTTTGTTTTTTTGAGTTGGACTCTCGCTCTGTCACCCAGGCTGGAGTGCAGTGGTGCGATCTCGGCTCACTGCAAGCTCTGCCTCCCGGGTTCGCGCCATTCTCCTGCCTCAGTCTCCTGAGTAGCTTGGACTACAGGCGCCTGCCACTGCGCCCGGCTAATTTTTTGTATTTTTAGTAGAGATGGGGTTTCACCATGTTAGCCAGGATGGTCTCGATCTCCTGACCTCGTGATCCGCCCGCCTAGGCCTCCCAAAGTGCTGGGATTACAGGCGTGAGCCACCACGCCCAGCCCAGAACTGGGTTTTTGCACACAAGGACATGTGAGTCCGACTCCCAAGCTCTTCAGATTATACCATGCTGACTCAGGAAGAAATTAAAGCCTATGAACAAGCAAATGATTGATTTACCCTTTTTCTACAAAAGTTTCCATGCAGACACATACAATTGTATTAGGTTAATGCAAAAATAAATATACATTGTTGCTCCATCCTCATTCTTGGGGGAAACAAATGGTTTCTCCTCAGGATAATATAAAATCATATGCCTACTTGAAACATTCTTAGATACCCCATAATTTCTCAAGATACCTTTTAGTAGATCAGGTGATTTTCAGACATTAATTTACAGGTGACAAATTTTCCTAGGGTGATAAAACTAATTAGTGTGGATGTTTCAAATATTTTGAGAGGAAAGTCTATTTAGTGTGAAACAATCTATTTTCTTTCATAGCTCTTCAAGAGCCAAGAATTTTGTCCGAGTGGTTTTGTGTTTTTTTTCCCCTAACTCTCCTTTCCTTTCCTTTTCCCTTCTGATCCTCTCCCCTGTAAAGCAAGTGTGCAAACTCACATGCCTGGGGCAATCACGGATACTCACAGTACCAAAAATGTGCCCATTTCAGTGGAAAAGGTGAAAAGGGTTTTAAAATTGAGCAAGGACAGGTTGAATGCCATGTAATTTAAACCAAAGCCGGCAACTCCTCACACGGTCATTGTTGAAGGTTTGTGTGACGTAAGTACTGATGCCTGAATCCCAACACAAAGATTCTGTTTCAATAGTCTGGGCTGAGGCCCAAAAATCAGCCTTTAAACAAGTGTCCCAGGTGACTCAGATGCAAGGTGGCCCTTGGACCACACCTGGAGAAACACTGACGTAGCGAAGTCCTTCGTGGTACAGATAAAGAAGTTGTCGTAAAGGTTAAGTGGATTGCCCAAAGTCAATTCAACGAGTAAGTGGCAAATCTGGAATTAGAATACAGCTAACGCCTTTGCAACTACACTACATCACATTTTTTACTTAGCATTCCACACTTTTTTTTTTTTAATTTGGGTCACTGCTCTATAAGTAGCAGCTGCGAAAACATTCATAACTTACATTTGTGTGGCACTTCCTATAAAAAGAGCTCTCACATTCATTATCCAATATGATCCTCACCAAAATATATTTTCTGTATTTGGCAGATGAAGGGGCTGAAATTCAGAGAGATTAAGATTCTTGCTCAAAGTTATACTCAATTTGGGACAAAGTAGGACTTAATGAGTTCTGAAAACTAGTAAACACTCAAATGTTAACCATTATTATTATATTTTCTTTTTAGAAACTCTCAGAACTAAAAATATTGACCTAGGAAAAGTTAAGAAAAGTAGGAAAAATTGAAAACAAAACTGAAAACAGCCAAACTGCACGCAATAAAGTTTATTACATATTAGAATAAATTTGATTTGATTCAAAAATGAATCAAATCTTTTTTATAAAATTTAGCTGTAAAATAAGGCCAAGGAAAAGTAAACGTGAGAGGAAAAATAACTCACAATAGTAGATGGTTTAGTTACTGCAATTTGGTATGTTAAAAAACTAATCAATAAGTTAAGCCTTCATACACAAATCTTTGACATACACAAAGATTTTAGTCGTATGAAAATTTTAGCTATATCTGAAACTCGTAGCAAACTAGAAATATTTTAACTGTGCTATATGTTGAAGGGATTAAAGTGAATTAATAATATATACTCTAGAAATGTCTTCTCAATAAAAATCAATGTTACTGTAATTCTGATTTAAATATCCATATTTATAAAGATAGTACAAAAATGTCCTCAAAGTTTAATCAAAACAATGGGTCTAAATGTCCCATGATCTCAATAAGCTTCCTAGTAATAAAGCTACATCTGTTACTATTAAAGTTATAAATCAGTAACTGCAGAAGGACAATACACTGAACATGTAATATTTTATAATTTAATGGTAGTAAATCAGTTATATAATATAGATAGAGCAATACATAGAAATGAATATTTTTTGTTTCTGCTTCTCATTTCAATGCTTTTTAAATTTACAAATGCTTTCGGACAGATTTCCTGCCTTAAAGTATTAATACTAATTTAGATTGAACTGAAGCATTAAGAAATTCCACTAAGGAATTCTATTAATGTTACTATCTCACTACGCTAATATAACATAACTACAGTTAGAATTACTCATATTTTGTTTCTATAGCATGCTCTGCCACTCTAAATAAGTAGTTCTCATCTACTGGTACTCTAGAATATATGTATGGTGCCTTAGAAATAGTGTTTTTAATTAAAACATCTTCACTTTTCTTCTAGAACATTAGAATTTGCCAAATTAAACAAAGCCAGTGCTCTAATCTCTACCGTCTGATCGTTTTATACACACGCACACATACATATACACACACACACCTTTTAAAGAATGTCTAAATAGAGCCTCTTTTGCTTTAGTTCAGAAACTCACTGATTCCAGCTCCTCAATTTATAGCTTGGCCTTTCCTCTCAGACTGGACCAATATACAAAGGAGTACCACGTGCTTGGCAAGGTTAGCAAACCCAATCCCTTCAGCATAAAATGGTGAATCACTTGCTGGCTACAGCAAAACCTTCTGGACTGTTCACTTCATCCATCTTTTCTGCATGTTCTTTAAGGCTAGGCTCCTAAGTGGCTACCTTCTCTCTCCCAAGAGAAAGGAAAATAACTTGAGTGAATGAGTTCATGCCTGCAATATAAATATGAGAAGCTTTTTGAAGCACAGAAATACCTGTTTAGAATGAACTCATGGAAAACCCAACTTAAAATGCAGTGTTCTTTGTGTCAACAAAAGTCTACTTGGGCAGAATAAATAAGTGAAGCCATGAATTTCCAGTCTCCCAATGCCAGATTAAATCCCATTTCTTCAAAAAGACCCTGTTATTGCTGTGTCACCCTATTAGAACCTCATATTTGCTTTGGATCATTATAATAACTCCTCTATGGGTGCAGGAGCCCTGCCAGGGTTTAAGTAAAGCCATGACCACATTCAGTCTAGACACTATCATCTTCACTAAAATACATGAACAGAAAGTAGCTTCTCAGAGGCACAGGCTCTAGTTAGGCCTCAAAGAAAAACAATATCAAAGGTACCAACAGAAGAAAAAAATTGTTTATATGAAAAAAACAAATTTCATTAAAATGCTTTTTTCAAAGAGCATGACAAAGACTATGTAACAGAAGGGAAAAATTCAATTTTGACACAGAAGTTTACAACATTACCTGTTCATAAGCAAGCAAAATTTCTGAGAAAACAAGATTCTATAAACTGAATACAATCCTTTATTTCAAGGCAACTCAAAATAAAATGCAGAAATAGTAAATAAGTGAAACTTCTTGTATAGTTAAATTGAACTCCAGGATAATATGGAAGCCTATAAGACAAAGGAGAAAATCCATGTAATATAGAATTGATTGCTATCTAAAATGCTGTATTTCCCAGCCAATAATGTGTGTGTGTGTGTGTGTGTGTGTGTGTGTGTGTGTGTGTGTGTTATAGTTGCCAGATAAAACACAAGATACCCAGTTAAATTTTAATTTCAAATAAAAAAGAAGTATTTGTTTTTTAGTATAAGTATATCCCATGCAATTATTTTTATTGGCTAAATTCGGCAATTCATATGTGTGCCTCCTATGTTCATTCTCATTTTTTCAATCTGTATCAGGAAATCAGAAATGATGCTTCGAGTTGCAAAGAACGTAAACCCCTCAAAAACAGAACTATACATTTCCAGATGAAACAGCTGCCTGTGAATTCTACTGCTGTAACAATAACAAAAAACACCTGAAGACATTCTGAAACCTCAACCAGGCCATTACAGACTGTAAAACACCATAGAAAATTATATTCTCGTTATGTTTCAGGTATAGGTGTCGACTTTTCCTGGCAATGATCTTTCAGATCCTGAAACACATACACGTCACTGTCAATCCCTTCTTCTTCTCCATAGGATGTTAATCTGACATATAGAAATGAATCCCTTTCCACCGGACGTGGTGGCTCACGCCTGTAATCCAGCACTTTGGGAGGCTGAGGCAGGCAGATTACCTGAGATTGAGAGTTCGATACCACCCTGACCAACATGGAGAAACTCCATCTCTACTAAATACAAAAAATTAGCTGGGTGTGGTGGCCTGTAATCCCAGCTGCTCGGGAGGCTGAGGCAAGAGAATCACTTGAACCCAGGAGGCAGAGGTTGCAGTGAGGTGGAGATTGCGCCATTGCACTCCAGCCTAGACAACAAGAGCAAAACTCCATCTCAAAAAATAAAAATAAAAATAAAAATAAATTAATCCCTTTCCTTATAGGTCAGTAACCATTCAAAACCCATTTACTTCATAACCAGTTTGATGATGTCAAATTGCTATCTCTAGTCAATTAAGAAAGTGAATATTGGGCCGGGCTTGGTAGCTCCCAGCACTTTGGGAGGCTGAGGTGGGTGGATCACCTGATGTTGTGAGTTCTAGACCAGCCTGACCAACATGGAGAAACCCCGTCTCTACTAAAACTTCAAAATCAGCCGGGCGTGGTGGCGCGTGCCTATAGTCCCAGCTACCCCGGAGGCTGAGGCAGGAGAATTTCTTGAACCCGGGAGGCAGATGTTGCGGTGAACCGAGATCACGCCACTGCACTCCAGCCTGGGCAACAAGAGCGAAATTCCGTCACAAAAACAAAAAAAAAGGTGAATATTATGCCAGTGCAAAATGCAGCCAGAAAGTTCTAAGTAAATATTGTCTGACAATTCTGGAAGCTTCCCTTTCCACTCTAAGGATTTATACAAGATGTACATGCCTAACAACGGCTATTGTCATAGCTAAGTGAAATACTAATTACAATACAAGAAAAGTAATTGAATATTTCATTCAATTCAGGGTATAAAGAATATCTAATAGAAATAATTCCTTTGCCTAGGCTTACTTAGCAAACTTCTATACATCATCTAAGATGAAATTCCAACATCAATTTCATCTTGAAGTCTTTTCCAGACATTGCCCGGTGAAATACAGCATTCACATAGCACTTTGCCTGTTTTGTCATATTATATTGTGTTTATTTACCATGTTATATTGCACTTATTTAAATTATCTGTCATTATCTGCTACAGTGAGAGCTTCTTGAAAGCAGGATACATATTTTTGTTGATCTTTGCAGTCATACTCATTAACAGAGAGTCTAGAAGACTTCAATGCATGTTTGCTGACAAAATAAACTATTATTAACAAGTTTGCAAAAAAAATTCTGATGGTAGTTTCTTTTGCTGTGCAGAAGCTCTTAATTAGATCCCATTTGTCAATTTTGGCTTTTGTTGCCATTGCTTTTGGTGTTTTAGACATGAAGTCCTTGCCCATGCCTATGTCCTGAATGGTATTGCCTAGGTTTTCTTCTAGGGTTTTTATGGTTTTAGGTCTAACATTTAAGTCTTTAATCCATCTTGAATTAATTTTTGTATAAGGTGTAAGGAAGGGATCCAGTTTCAGCTTTCTACATATGGCTAGCCAGTTTTCCCAGCACCATTTATTAAATAGGGAATTGTTTCCCCATTTCTTGTTTTTGTCAGGTTTGTCAAAGATCAGATGGTTGTAGATATGTGGCATTATTTCTGAGGGCTCTGTTCTGTTCCATTGGTCTATATCTCTGTTTTGGTACCAGTACCATGCTGTTTTGGTTACTGTAGCCTTGTAGTATAGTTTGAAGTCAGGTAGCATGATGCCTCCAGCTTTGTTCTTTTGGCTTAGGATTGACTTGGCAATGCGGGAAGTTTTCACTGGAACTTAGCCTTAAAAAAAGTCCTGAGAGGCAGGAGTTGTAGCTGCTTAATTATAACGACCTTATGGCAAATATCCCTTTGAATGAGATCCACTATCAAATCGCATTGAATTTTTGGCTACCTGGGTATATTACTATTGTAACTAGGCAACCTGTAAAACTCCCAATCCAGAACAAGAGGTATATTTCATGTAGTCATTCAGCAAATATCTAGAGTGCCAGGACCTATTCTAGGTGCTGGGAAGTAAGATAAAGCCCTGGCATCATAGAACAGCCATGATGATTCTTCACAGAGATTCATGAGGTAGCAGTGAGAGATTAGGAGTTATTAATAAATAGCATTTTCTTTGTAAGTAAATGACGATGAATCCCAGACTAAAGGATTCACAGGTGGTCAAACTGTGAAGCTAGGACCGGCTAGAGAACAGCAATCAGGTCTCATGAACCCAGCCATTCGTCATTTCTTCCATACATGCCAGACATGGCCCTTCACTGCTGATCAAAAGGAAACAGAATAACAGAATGGTGCCTTAGATCAGGGGTTCGAAATCCCCAGGCCATGGACCAGTAACAGTCCATAGCCTGTTAAGAATCGGGCTGCACAGCAGGAGGTGAGCAGCAGATGCGCAAGCATTACTGCTTGAGCTCTGCCTCCTGCCAGATCAGTGGCGGCATTAGATTCTCATAGGAGTGTGAACCCTATTGTGATCTGCAGATGTGAGGGATCTAGATTGCGTGCTTCTTATGAGAATCTAACTAATGCCTGATGATCTAAGTTGGAACATTTCATCCCTAAACCATCCCCCCTCCTCCAACCCATCTGTGGAAAAATTGTCTTCCATGAAAGTGATTCCTGGGGCCAAAAAGGTTGGGGACCACTGCCCTAGATGATGCCTGGGCTTTCAGCTGTGCCTTAAGTACTGCAGATCCATCTGAGGGAGCTCATGACTTTCTTATAGACATTGACAAAGTGGCCTGTTACATTCCAAAGTTCATTTTAATAGTCAACACCATTTAACCAACTCTGAAGAGTCAGCAGATCAGAACTATTAGCATTTCCTGTGATGCTAACAGGATTTTTCATACATAGGGCTGAGGCTCAACAAGTAGGGTGTAGGCAAAGCTGCAGTAAAAGCAAAGGCCATTCATTCGGGATAAAAATTTACAGAGTATAATTCGAGCCAACAGCTGCTGGAACACAATAGTAATTTCATACTATGTCATAGAAATGAAGCACCATCTCGCACATCAAATTATACGTGGACTTGGTGTGTAGGTAGATGTGAATGGATGTGGGTGTGTCAAAAAAGAGAAAGGGAAAGAAAAAGGAGGGGAATTCTCATGAGGACACAACCTAAGAGTAATGATAATACTTGCTACCATTAAGTGTCTTCTGTAAGCCACATGTATGTGCTTTACATAAATCAGTTCATCTAATGCTCACAACCACTTGAGAAAGGCCCTATGATTCTTACTTTGTTAATTCTGAAACCAAGACTCAGAGAGGTTAAGTCAGTTATTTGGGACTATGGAACTCGTAAGCAAGGAGCCAGGATGTGAACTTCAAACTCTGGCCTATCTTACTCCAGATCTAAACTCTCAACCCCTAGGAAACAGTGATTCTCAGTGGTCACCACAATTCATTTAAGAAATCTTTGCATCATTTATTACCTTTAACGACAAGGAAAAGTAAATGACTTTCCAACATTCATATTTGGATGAACAAGAGTCTCGGCCAGACAAGGCCTGAATCACTCTCAACAGACCTAAAATAAGAGCTTCATGTTCTGGTTCCTCTGTCCACACTTCAAAAGGAACTCTGTTAGGTTCATGTGGTATTTTTGGTTTCTGTTTCTGTTTAAACGTTTCTTCTGAGAAAAAATATTTGAATGGAGATGGGCAACAAAAGGGTATAAAGAGCTGGTGTTTGAAAGTTGTTTTCTGTTTTGACCCAAGCCCAGGATGTGGGGTCTGGGAAGCACTGTGGGACTTTTGCAAGGACTGTCTCCTGGCCACCACCCATGGTGCCAAGCAGCCTAATGGCTGGCCAAACAATCGAGGCTCTCATGGATATTCGCTCAGGTTCTTCCTCAAAGAGGCCTTTACAGGGATGCCACTGGGACCTGAGGAGACATGGGGTAGCTTTAGTTCCCCTTCAGAGTAACAGAATGTGTAGCCGGTCACCTGTGGCCAGGGAATAAGAGACTCTGTGTCCATTCCCTGCCCCTAGCAACAGGACCAATTGGGAAGTCTTCCCTTCCTGCCACATGGCTCTCCCACAGGAAAGTAAAGCCCCCAGATTCATCTCTTTGAGAGGATCCTTTATACACTCGCCACTCCCTTTAATGGGGGATAGTGCATCTAAAAGCTTATTATGAGAGAAGGTAATGGCTGGTCTGAGTGCAGGGACGTGTACAACTAATTGATTATAACCAATTACAGATTTCTTTGTTCTTTCTCCACTCCCACTGTTCTACTTGACTAGCCTTAAAAAATAAAAAAGAAGGTGGAATGCACCGTTCATACAAAGAAGAATCATAGTCCCTTATTTTTGTCCCAGTCCCCTTTCAAGTTTTCCTCTAGAAAGCTCTACATGGTTGATCCACAGTAGTTACTGTCCTTATAATTTTATTTACAGAATAAATAGAATCCTAAGTAATCTTGGAAATCAAATTGGTCACCTTATCATACGGAAAAAATTAACACAGGGAAAGTAACTTGCCCAGAATCATCCAGATAGTTCTTGTCAAAGAGTAGATTCCAGAGGTGCCCTGACTCAGTGAATATAACTGAACACACACACAAACACACACACACACACACACACAGAGAGTGAGAGAGAGAGGAGAGGAGAGAGAGAGCACAAACTTAATATAAAAACCAAGTGGAATGAAAAATAGTAACATAATGCTGTTGTCAAGAAAGCTAACAGGATGCTAATATATGTGAAAAGCTACTATATGTGATGCTAATAATGTACAAGCGATTCAGTTTCAGATAACTTTTTTCAAGGTTTAATTAGGGAGGGAGATTACCAATTGGTTATAAGAAGACCTATTCAAGGAAACTCTTCCTTTGAGAACCAGTTACCTTCACAGCCACAATGTTTACACCTAATCCTGGCTAGCCACATAAATACATGGCTGAAGTTCCCAAAAAAAGATGAAGATGGAAAGTGTGGATGGGACTGAACAAGGCAGGGGCAGTAAAAATAGCACCTTAGTGGAAGTCAGGAAACTTGGATCCTGGCTTGGATCAGGAGCTAACTAAGACCTGAAGTTCTCAATTAACCTGGGGGTCTCGGTCTCTTCATTTGTAAGATGTGGGAGTTGGATGATATAATTTTTAGGGATCCTTTCAAGTTCTAAGAATTCTAAATCTGGACCGACTCCAGCCTTAAAAAAAAAAAAAGCCAATTATACACAGCAATACAAGTCCAGTGTTGAGAGCTGCATTTGAAAAACTAAAAGAGAACCTAGAAAAAAATATTGGCTGGGCATGGTGGCTCACACCTGAAATCTCAACACTTTGGGAGGCTGAGGTGAGCAGATCACTTGAGCTCACGAGTTCAACACCAGCCTAGGCAACATGGTGAAACCCTGGCTCTAAAACAAAAAAAAGAACAAACAGAGAGCAGAGCCTTGGAGGAGGGTGACCATTCATCCTAGGTTGCCCTAAACAGTCTTGATTTACTCCTGTTATCCCAGATTCCCAACAGTTAGTGCCTGTTTTCATTCCCAAAAGCATCTCAGTTTGGATGATACATTATGTGAGGACTCTGCCTATAAGGAATTGGTGTTCATTTGATCTTGGGGAACCCTTCATCGTCTCCCAACTCCCACAGACAGAAGCTCAAACTTCTCAGTATGTTATAAAGGTTTTGACCCTCTTGTCAAAACTCCATCTGGCATACCTACTAGGTGCTAATCACACCTGACTACTTTCAGTTCCTCAAAGGTGATCATCATTGCTCATGAACTGGTCACCTTCTCCTCCACCCAATGCTACAGTGAGGCAAGCTCCTCTACATCCAGCAAGACTCAGCTCAAGATTGCCTCCTCTGGGAGCCCCTCCCATCACTCCACTCGTCATCACTCTCTGCCCATACCTCTACTAGCACATGAACCCGAGTGCTTTGCAGCTCTTTTTTAGTCTCCTCTACTACATCATAAGCTCTGTAAAGAATTTTTTCTCTTATCCCTTAGCACACAATTGGCACTCAACAACATGCTTGTTGAAGTAAACTGAAAAGAGAAGCACATATAGATTTGCTAATAGGACAGTAGCCAAATTAAATCTTTCATCAGAGTGAATAAGAAAACTATGGTCTTAAACTTATCTGACTCCTGCCACTTTCGTCACCACTGGTGACAGTCACCATGGTATGTGAAGAGTCAGTGTCCTGTGGCCAAAAGGCATGGTCTACAAGAATCTGACAGCTGATTTCCAGTTCTGCCACTTACAAAAAGAATGATCTTAGACAAGTTACTTAACCTATCCTAATTCAGTTCCCTCAACGTAAAATGAGGAAAATGTAACTCCTTGATGTAAGAGTATAAACAACACAGGAAGAGTAGGGCCGCATACTGACCCTAGTACAGAGAATGTAAGACATAAGGAGTAATTTAGCTTCCATGGTGATCGTTTCCAACCAGAACAAACTAGAAAAACAGTGTCTCCCTCTTCTTCCCCAAAGAGGTAAGCCACACCTGGATTCATTTTACTTTATGTCTCTCCCCAGGACTCAGATGTAAAAACTTCACATCTTAACCATGATTTTCTCTTTTCAAATTCTGGATCTCCTCCTCTCTAAGTATCCTGGACAGAAGTGTCATCACAAAGAATACAGCCAAAAAGGAAAGGACTTATAATTCAAGACATGCCATGGTCAAATAAGGAAGAACATCTTGACGGCCACTCTGACTCAATAGTGGAAACGACTCAGAAGGAATTCTTGGTAAAATGTCAAGTAGGGAGACTTCAAGCCTAGGGAGGGATTACATGACTTTATGCTAGGGCAATGAACCTTCAAGTTAACTATACCTTGAACAAAATCCTCCCTCAATCAGAAGCCATCAGTTAGTGCTGCTGCAACATGAAACAGTGGAAAAGGGTGGATGAAATGAGGGTCATCAGAAGCAAAAGGAAGAAAAGATTGCTCCCTTAAAAGCTTTCTCTGCCCAGGGAAACAAAGCCCAGTCAGCACAGCTAGGCAGTTTCAACAGAAACAAATGAGATCACAGTGTTTCAATTTAATAGCACACACTGCTTGCTGTTCAAATGTTATAACTAAATACAGCATGTGCTGCTAGTTGTTTTGATTAAAGGGAAGTAGAATAACATGGAGGGGACAAACACATGGGTTCTGAAACCCAAGTGCCCAACCTTGAATCCCAGCTCCTGACCTTGAATCCCCGTTCCTATACTTCCTAGCTGTGTGGCTGTGGGAGAGTTACCTAACCTCTCCTTACCTCAGTTTTTATCAACTGGAAAATAAGGATAACAAATCAATAACAGTACCTATACGCCATAGGGTTGTAATTTACAAATACTAATTTCTAAGGTAGCACATGATTTATGCCAAATAAGTATTTCACAACTAAAAATAATTATTAAGATCCAGTACTCACTCAAAAGCAGCTTAATACAAGATCATGCTTAAAAACCAGCCATTGGTATTGCCCATTATTAATCTCAAAGATGACTTTATTTTAATATAACTTGACTCATAACAAGTCAGTTGCTGACCAACAAATTCTTCTTTTGATCATGAAGACTGAATAGGTCTAAAACCCAGGGATCATTTTGATGAAGTGAAAATGGAAACTGAGTAATCATTCCCAGAATAAATGGAAGTAAAACAAACATATTATTTACTGAGCACCCATTGTAGCCAGGAGTTTTCCAGGCTGTTGTATTTTAGAAGGCATAGAACATAAAGGTGTCGCTAGGTTTGGCTCCCACATAGCTGAATAAAGTGGCATTTACTGTAGTGAATTCACTACGGCTCTGGTCTTCAGTTTTGAAGGCAGAGAAACTTGGTTTTGTCATCACATGCATTCCCTCAGCATTTATTGACTACCTACTTTGTACCAGATAGCCGTGACAGGCAATGTGGCAACGTGGAGAAAACAAACAATCATTACAATCCTGCCTGCCCTCACAAACCTGGCAATCTGGCAGTGAAGACAAATACTAAAAACCAAATGTACACAAACTAAAGTAAAATAACCAGATTATCAATGGACTAATTTACAAAGAGAAGAACTTCGAGTAGACCAGAATTCTTGTTCCTACTGAAGTGGGAGACCAGCAGGACTTGTTTTCACAACGCTGCTGATCAAAACAGGATGTAGCAAAGAAACCAATCCAAACCAGCAAGGACCAGGAATCATAATACATTTGCATTAGACATTCCTACCAGCACCATGACGGTTTACAAATGCAATGGCAATGACTTGGAAGTTAACCTTACATGGTTTCAGGAACTCCCCACCCCTTTTCCAGGAAGTTCATGAATAACCTGTTTAATTATATTTAGCATTAAGAGTGGGGGCCCAGGCATGGTGGCTTATGCCTGCAATCCCAGCATTTTGGGAGGCCAAGGCAGGAAGATCACTGGAACCCAGAAGCTCAAGACCAGCCTGGGCAACATGACAAAACCCCATCTCTACAAAAAAAAAAGAAAAAAGAAAAAAAAAAATCTGGGTAGCTGGGTGTGGTGGTATGCACCTGTAATCTCAGCTAATTGAGAGGCTGAAGTGGGAGAACTGCTGGAGCCTAGGAGGTCCAGGCTACAATGAGCCAAGATCATGCCACTGCACTCCAGCCTGGGTGATACAGCAAGACCCTGTCTCAAAGAAAAAGAAAAAAGAATGGGTATAAATATAACTAGCCAGCAATCCATTAGTGCTGTTCTGTGCTACCCTGCCTATGAGATAGCCCTGCTCTGCCTTTGGAGTGGTCACTTGGCTGTACACTGTTACGCTAACAAACTTGCTTTCTTTCACTGTTGGTTCACTCTTGAATTCTTTCCTGGGCAGAGCCAAGAACTCCCCCAGGCTGAGCCCCAATTTTGGGGTTTGCCTACATTATGACAAGACCAACCCATGTCTCCCATGTAACCGTGCCTATCTAAGGATGGACACTTACAATTCAAATAGGGGAGCATACTGTAGGAATGGCATTAGGCACCACGCCTTGAAAAACATCTGTTAGGATTGTGACTTCCCCATTCTAAACTTTCCAACCACTCCCTGCCCACATCCTGCCCATTCTCTTATTCTTGCTACTTTTCTCAAAAAGGCTACGGTCCATTTAATTTCTGTTTCCTATATTACAATCTTATTCCCATCTTTCTTCACCAAATACCTTCACCTATCACCGTGACGGGGTTTTCCATGTTCTGAAAGTTCTTCCATCTCACAGCTTTAAAAATCATGCTCTTTATTCCAGAGATGTCAACTGCATTCGATCTTTGTGGAGTATACTAGTTTAAATATTATTTCTGTTATTTTAAAGTTAGTGGTTGTGCAGTGGTAGTAGTTGGGCATGGGAAAGTGGCATTTAGGGCAAATGTACACTGAAACACTAGCTCCTATAGCCTCAAAATGATTATTTCAACCTGAAAAACAACCCAAAGAGGCACAAAAGTATGTGAATCATTCAGTACATTGCACACTGGAATACACAAGATATTATACAAAGGTCAAAATTAAAACAAGAACTTGGCAGGTTAATAGTCCAAGTTCAGTAGTCATTTGCTGCTGGCAATTCTGCAAACTATGAGTAGCACTTGTCGTAATAGAAAAAGTTCATGCATATAAAAAATGTCAACCAACATTTAGGTCATCAGCAAATAAATATTTGAGTCAATACAGGAAAAAAGTCTCATGTTATTTAATGTCTCATGTTTTATTTCATACAAAAATAGCATCCATGGTAAACAAAGATGTGTTTTATCCACATCATGGAAAATGTGGCCTTGTGGCACAGGTGTGCTTAAGGTCCTGTTAATAAACATACAGAGAAACCATTTTTGTAGTTCTACTAATCTTCATTGGATGCAATAAGACAATCTCATATCTGAGGTGATGGGGTCCTCAGTGTTTCAGTTAGTTAGGCAGGGTTTTAGGTGTGTCAGTGATCCCAAGGCTTAGTTGCTATTCTCACAGGTCTACAAGAGGGTCAACAATGAGTATAGCTGAAAATGATGTCCATGATGCAGTCATCCTAACCAAAACAGACGAGACCTATGCATCAATCTGAATACTACTTTATATAATGATCAGCAGGACCCTGTCTCCTTCCAGTGGCTAAAATTAAGGTAATTCCCAGAGTTTCAGAGGAGCCACATAATCCCATGTTACATTCACCCAAAAATGCTATATAAATTGGAGCACAGAGAATTATAGGAACTTTCCATTGAATTTCTGTGGGGAAAGAGGAGGTGATAAAATGTTTTTTTTCAATTTCCATAGGGAAAGATGAAATGATAAAAGGTTTTCAAAAAAGATTTTTTAATGTGATCAAACGTTAACCTGAATATAGTCTATGGAGAATGTATAATTCCATTGGGTAATTATTTTAAAAAACTCTCACTCTACTCTCAGCTCCAAAGGAAATGTCTGTATCTGTCCTTTTCATGGAGCCAGCACAGAGCGTAGAACATAGTAGGTGCTCTTTAACTACCTTCTACACACATAAGTGAATATATTCTTCTTGATCACTACTATGAATTTTTCATCCAAGAAAAACAATGCTTATTTAAAAGCAGAAGGTATTTGAGTCTACAAATCTTGCTCTTCACCTTGAAATATGAATTAACCTCCACTACTACAAATAGAAAATTAATAGAAAATAAGGAAGTTTTCATGAAGATGACTGTCAGAGAATATCATTAATTCCAATCTGTTTTGTTCAGTAAATCTATATAAAACCTTGATATACTACCTATAATGTAGCAACAATTACAGAATAGACTAACAAAAATAACTATATATGGAAGCATATTCATATTCTACAAAAGCACTTTCTGTCTGAAAATATGTAATACAGAAACCACAATGCAAAAGTTTCACAATTTAGGCTGTAAGAAAAATGAATGAGTTTGACTGGTAATTCTGGTATTTTCAATATTAGATAGCCAAACTCTTCAATGACATCTTTTACATCATCATCATTTATACTGCACCACTGGGACCCATGTTTCCCTAACGCTAATTCTATAATTTTAGGAAGACTCATAAGCTGACATTTAATATAAAGGTGCCTCATCCCCTTGTAATTCCTGGTGAATTACCTGGTGAATATTCATACTGTTGGTTACCTCTGACATAAAATAATGTGGTTTATGTTAGTCACTGAGAATCTATAAAGTAAGTTACAGTCAAGACAGAACTTACCAAGCACAATGACCACAGTCTTCAGAAGACTCATCATGGTATCCCGATTCCGCCGGGGTCCAGAACTATGCCGAGACATTCTCATAGTCCTCTGGCGAACATAGCCAAAGATGTGAGCATAGAGAACCACCATTACCACAAAGGTCACCAAGTTGAAAATGGCCCAGAAGACTAAGTAAGAGTCACTGTAGAGGGGTGCCATGTTGGAACAATTTTCAATATCACAGATACAGTTCCAGCCCACACTGGGTATAGCACCCATAACGATGGCCATAGTCCAGATGACCACAATGACCACCACTACCCGCCGGTTGCTCATCCGTGTGTGGAGCTGCATGCGGAAAACCGTAATGTGCCTCTCGATTGCAATAGCCAGTAAGTTGGCCACAGATGCCGTCAGGCTGGTGTCAATGAGGCCCTGACGAAGGAGCCATGTGCTAACAGTCAGTCTCCGAGTATTGGGTCCTGTGTTGAACATGAGATAGAAGTAGGCCAACCCAGCAAAGAAGTCTGCAGCAGCCAGATTAGCCATTAGGTAATAAATAGGAAAATGGAAGCGGCGGTTGACATAGATTGCCACCATGACCAATAGGTTGGCCAACATGATGAAGATACAAACAGTGATTCCAAGTCCCATCACCAGCTTGCTGACTGTGTTCCATTCTGTGGCAAGATGCTTTCCACTTCGGTTATAAAAGAAGGCAATGGACTCGTTGTAGAAGCACTGTGGTTCATTCATGGCTGTGAACTAAAAGAAAAAGGAGAAAAGATGATGAAAAAGAAGGCACAGGTCCAAATTTAAAGCTTATATAGATAACACAAGACTTTTATAGTACATGCAACAGAAAAACAAAAGCAAATAATTTGAACATTTGATCCTGCATACCATCTTGTGATTATGTTGAAACTCCAAGGTTTCTCACAATATTACTGTCCTTAAGATTAAAGGCAGTTGGAGTTAAATAAATGACAAGGTCTCTGCTTAGTGGTTTTATGTCATTGAAGTCTACTACAAAAGCCACATGGCCAAGAAATCTTGCTTAAAATACATGAGACAGACAAAAATTTTGCAGAACATTGCAATTGGAATATTTACCATAGTAAAATCTATTTGACCTGTTATTTAGGGAATCTGTAAACACAGTTGGTTTCTAGATAGGGTATCATTGCCCTATTATTCTGCATTTCTATTCTCACACAGTATGTTCCATGTGGGACAGACATTTTGTAATGCAGGTTCCCACAAGGACCATCATTCCAAACATTTCAAACAAGTCACTGTGCATCAAAGGTTTTTTGCCCAAAGCCAGCATTTGCTGCTCAACATTCCTGTGGTCAGCACTGCCTACCCCCACAACTCCTTAAGTTCAGAATAGGACTTGTCAACCAATCTATGACATTTGAGAATTTTTTTTCTTTTTGGAGGACCCAACGTAACCTCCAAAGAGTAGGTGACCCTTTGACAATGTTCTACAAGTAAAATATACTTAGATTAGATGCAGCATATTTTTTAAAGTGTGGAGTGAAAATGCTTTATAACATGTTTACTTATTCTTCAACATCATTGATAAGAATATATTTGCTTATTATTTACAATATTTATAATAATCACTTTAAAAAGGATTGAGACAGTTTAAAACAGAATAATATATGTTTATTTATCTATCATAATATATAATATATAATTATATATAATTATAATATGTAATTATATATAATAATATATTTAAACAAAATTAGAAAATAAGTAACAAACTAGAAATTAGAAAAGTATACATCACATAGAGTAAGTCATTCTTCTTGAAGCTCTAAGTTTACCTGGGACCCCTAAAATTAAAAAATATATCTTGAAGACGGTTCACATTCTACTTTTTCATTTTTATTTTGCTTTGAATCTAATAAATTACCCAAAACATATGACACTTTTAACCACTATTTTTGATCAAATATTCTACTGAATATCCATAGGTTGTACACTAAAACTTCCAAGAACAACGTGAAATACTTAAGTGGTTAGTCTTCTGACTTACCCAGGCATCTAAAGTCTCTTTCCTTATCTAGACTTTAATAGCTTTTAGATTATGCTTCAAATATTATACTTAATACATTGTATAATTATTTATCTCTTTACTTGTCTGCTTCTTAAAGAGATCACAGTCCAGGGCACAGTGGCTCACATCTGTAATCCCAGCACTTTGGGAGGCCAAAGTGGGTGGATCACTTGAGGTCAGAAGTTCGAGACCAGCCTGGCCAACATGGTGAAACCCCCTCTCTACTAAAAATACAGAAATTAGTCAGACATGGTGGTGGGCACCTGTAATCCCAGCTACTCAGGAGGCTGAAGCAGGAGAATCGCTTGAACCCGGGAGGTGGAGGTTGCAGTGAGCCAAGATCATGCCACTGCACTCCAGCCTGAGTAACAAAGC
Organism: Homo sapiens; assembly: GCF_000001405.40. NCBI lineage: Eukaryota > Metazoa > Chordata > Mammalia > Primates > Hominidae > Homo > Homo sapiens. The sequence goes on from NC_000009.12 coordinate 110,943,847, forward strand.
AAGACCCCAACTCCATCTCAAAAAAAAAAAAAAAAAAGACAAAGTTGATCAAGCTGTTTCCCCACTGGACATGTTTTAAGGGCTTATGAGTGCACGTTAGATAAAAGTCTAAACTTTTCAATCATCTTATCAGACCTTACTTACCTGCCTCTCCAGCCTCAACTCAAGATATTAATGACTCCAAACTCTCAGCTTCAGCTCTATTTAATGTGCTGTGCTCTCTCTCTCAACTCTGGTTCTCAACAGTGAAAACAGTGGTTTCTTGTATCAGAATTACCTGAGAGTTTGTAAAACACTGATTGCTGACATAACCCGCAAGAACTTCTGATTCAGTAGATCTGAGGTAGGGTCCCAAGTAATGCCAAGGCTGCTGGTCCAGGGAATCACTGTATCATAATTGCTTAATTATCTGTTGATCCCCTCTACACTAGGCTATGAAACCCTATAAACGCAGAGATTCTAGCTTGCTTATTCATTGTTGTATAGTATCCAACTGTTCTATGGACTACATGCTAAATACATATTGATTTCCTTAATAAATTAAAGATATTTCCAAAAATGTTTAAACTTTACAAATTTTCTTTCTGCAAAGGATATTTAAAACTTTGTCAAGACAAATATAAAAGTCTGTTCTTTTCATTAGTCTCTATAACCATCTACCTTCTCTGAATCAAGAAATGTTTAAACCAAATATCAAGCGTATATTATTTCCCAGCATTCCAACTTCTGAACACCAAGTAGCAACAAAGTTAAGCAGAGATATATGCAGCTTCTTAGCCCTTCCCACAGAGAAAAACGATAAAGTTAAGGATGGCAAAATTAAGAAGTATAAATTATCTCTTTAAGCCACAATGTACAAAGATGAGTAAAACTGACAGATTTTCTCTAAAGGTAGAGAAAAGTGCCCTGTCCTATGCCATTTCTTTTCTCTCAACAATTGACTGTAATACCATAAAAACCATACATATTTAATGATAAAACTTAAATGATTTTCGAAACTCAATTTTATCATCTGTGAAATGAGGAAATTGGACTAACTTATACATAAGGTCTAGTTCAGATTTAAAATCCTATACTAAGAGGATTCTGGATAAGAACGCTATATTTCATGAAAATTAGCAGCTAAATATTGAAAGAGTAGAAAATACACCAGGAATTAAAAATTGGGAGGGTATAATATGCCTGAGAAGAAGTGAGAGGAATTTCAGTTAGTTTTATGACAATAGGACTGAACTGATAGAGGAATTAAACCTCCTCTCTTATTGTCTGCAGAAAGCAACAGGTCAAAAGAATAAGCAGTGGAGACCCTGAAAGCACCTCCAATGGCAGTAAGAAGGGCAGTGTGAATGGGCTTTCCTACTTCTTCAGGAGCCGACAGACTTAGGCAGAAAACCTACATGGTTCAGAGAGAATCCAATTTAACTGCAATTGGACTATAGGCCAATAAGATAGTCAGGGCTATAATGACAGAAAAATAATTATGGAACATAATGGGGAAAAATGTAATCAAAGGAGGTGGCCACTTATCTCTCGCCAAAGAAGAAATCACCTCCCACTGAAGCAGATGTATGGGAGGGGAAAAAAAGAAGAGATAGAAAGAGAAAAAGATTAAATGATGGGACATCTCTGATTTGTGTCCTCAATGTGTTTTGTTAACATAGTAACATTGAAAATAGAACAAGCCATTATGAAGACAAAAGAAATCAGTAAAAACATCACAAAAATAGTTTTTTATTGCTACTTTAACAAATTGCTATAAATTTAGCAGCATAAATATACAAATTTATTCTCTTACAGTCCTAGAGGTCAGAAGTCCAAAATAGGTCTCACAGGACTAAAATCACCGGGAAGGCAAAGCTCTGTTTCTTTCCAGGAGCTCTAGGGGAGAATCCGTTTCCTTGTCTTTTCCAACTTCTAGAGGCTGCCCACATCTCTTGGCTCATGGCTACCTGTCATCTTCAAAAGCTAGTAATGACTAGTCAGGTCTTTCTCACATGACTGACACTCAATCTTCTTTCTCACTCTACCACATTTGATGACCCCTGTGATTACACTGAGCCCACCCAAAAATCTAGGAGAAACTCCCCATCTCAACATCTTTAACTGAAACACATCTGAAAAGTCCCTTTCTCTATGCAAGGTAGTAGCCACAGGCTCTGAGGATTAAGTAATGGATATCTTTGGAAGCCATTATTGTGCCTATCAGAACAAACTGAAAAACAATTTCTGTATTAAAAATGGCAATGCAGGTAATGAAAGGAAGTATAAAAATTCCAGAAAACTGAAATGGCAGGTAGAAGACTAAGGAAATTCACCCAACACTCAGAAAAGAGTCAGAGATGACAAGAACAAAAGAAAAGAAGGCACATATAGGAAAAAAATTCAAGATGCACCAGGGGTCCAAGAAAGATTAGAAGGAACCTGAAAAACACAGCTCCAAACAGAAGACAAGTAATTGCCTAAAAAGAAAGGTCTCAGATTAGTGATTTAAATTTATGTAGATTACAAAACAAAGTTAATTAAAAGCAACTAAAATGTAGGTGTATCTTGATGAGATTTTGGGATCTCAATGGTAAAGAAAAATTGTAAGAGTTTAGAGAAAAAAAATAACAAGTCAAATATCTAAAGACAGAGAGAATCAGAACAGACCCATTATACAGAGAAATTTTTTGAGATACATAGCCAATTACATTGATGTTTTCATACGAGGACAATAAAGAACAGTCACAGAAATGTGAGTATTCAGAAAGAATGCCATCTACATTTCATCTACACTTCCTTCGTAGAGAAAGTGTATATAGTATTTAACTCTTGAGAAAAGAAAAAAATAAATACACACACACACACACAATAAATACAAGACCCTGGCAGCAAGCATTAAAACCCACAGAACATGATTCTAAATAATTGTTCTTCATAGGGTTATAAAACTTAAAGCAAATATCAAAAATAATTATTGAAAGAAGCTATACCTATTAATAAAATAGCAATTTAATAATAATCTGGGATTAAAATTACTTACTGTATAGATAAAAACTTGAAATGGGGAAGCAGAATGTAAACATATTAATTTTCTCTTATTACTCAAGTAAAAATGAGATGATTTAAATGTGACAAGTTTTCAAAAATAAAGTTAAATATGCTGATTCAAAAACCACTGAACTGAATAATACACTAAAGCAGAATGGCAACTTTTTGTATTACTGGAGAAAAACAGAGTGCAAAATAGGAGGAAAGCATAAGCAATACATAGAATGACAATTTTGTAAAATTTATGTAGGTGAGATTATAGATGATTTTTTCATCTTTAGAAAGTAGCTCATATTTATTGCAAGAAATTTTGGGAAGAACAAAAATACACTCATACAAAGTCCAATAAGTACTTTTCCAAAAAGCTCATTATAAAATCCAAATCACCATAATTAGAAACTTCTCTGTAATACGAAGTTATAGAATTTCACCCTGCCCAAGAAACAAAAACATAAATAAGATAGCATTATTCCCAAATTCAGTTGTCCTCAAAACTGAAAAGAGAAGTTCATATTCATGCCCTTTTCTCACCCATCAATTATTTTGTCTTAGGATGATAGGGTTCGAGGGAAGTGATCTCACTGGCTGCTCTATAGAGTAGATGTTACAAATCTCAGAAATTTACCTCACCTTATTGTGTGATCTCAAAATAAGTTATAACAAATCTGTCAAGCCTAAACGCTAAAGAGTCACATATGTTGTTTACCTTCACCATGCAATTCATTCATCCATGCACACATTCTTGAACGTTTATAGGATACCAGGTTGGGCATGGCACTGCATTATGCCTTCTAGGAGTACGACTGATGCACCCAAGTGCCTGGCATGGAGCCACTCACAGTACATCTGATGTGTTCTTCCATCTCTTGAAAGACAATTACATACTCATTGGCCAAGAGGAAGAAGGAACAGTTGGCATAAACTCACATGCTAGTAATTACACCAATGTGATTTAGTATTTAGATATGAATGTAAATATGTACTCTACTGAGATACTCTAAGGGAGACTGTAATCTATGCTGATAAAGAACTAGTAATAAGATATAAATCAAATCAAACCAACTTACTTCCTCCACTTCTGTTAAAATACAATAGAGTGAGCCGGGGCGGGGGCCTGATTTGTAGCTTTGGTTTAGCAGATCTCTTTCTGATTCTCATTTTCAACTAGCTAATTTGTTTTTCAATAAGTTCCAAAACTGTTCTGAATCTCAATTGTCTCATTTGTAAATTAAGGTAAGGATGACCTCTAAGACTTTTTAAATTCTTATTCTTAAATTCAAAATAATCAGGCCTATTTTCTTTCTCCAAAAAAGATTAGAAAAGAGACAGCATAGAATTTAATTAAATTCCATTAAGTCTCTATTAACAAGAAAAAAGTCCTCACCCTTCTTAGAGCTTCAAATTGGACATTTTAAAAAGTGAGATGTTTTGTCACAATAACTAGAAAATGGGCCACAAAACAATACTGATATCCACTAAAAATGATTTTAAACTAGAATACTTAAAATCGCTGAAGAATATGCAACTAGTAAATTTTAGGAGGTTTATCTGAAAAAGTACATAAAATGCTACTTCTTATAAAATAATAATGTATATCAATGTGATATACACATATGCAAAAAGAAACTGTGCAACACATAAATTGTAAGTTAATAAAAGTACTTTTTATCTATTATAGCCCATTGTCTACCATGCTGAGAAAAGGTACACATCATCATACTTGTCAAATTTCCAAAGAGAATTCTGTGTCAGTCCTAAGAGGAAGGAATGGAAAAATTCACTAAAAACACTAAGATGTGCTGGATAAAGTATAATAAATAGTCCTTAGATGCACTGCTAAGCTAAGAGGGAACTTAAACCAAGGTGAAAGGCTGTCCAGGCAGCAGATTGTCAGAGATCATGAGGACAGGGCTTTAATACTATTGGGAAACAGAAGATGAGCCCTTGGGCTTGACTGAGGCAGTGAGTTGGAATTGAGACCCACCCACCAAGCTAGCAGTCTCTAAGATCTTCGTATTGGTAAGTGTGTAGATCAAGAAAAAAAAAAAAAAAGATATCCCTACTTGCACTGGGAAGAACAAGGAAGTTTTGTCAAGCTCAGGCTCCAGATTGGAAAATAAATAAAGAGTCCCTTAAGAAATCATGACTCTAGTCCCATAAATCACACAAGGCTGGGATTTGAACTTAGACTACCTGTCAAGTCTGAGAACCCTCAGGAGAAGAAATTAACACAAACCAAGGTCCTGAGTTGGTGATATCCCCATGCTCCTCCCACTCACCGCCTAACACTAGCAAACACCAAACTTCTCTGGAGGACGAGACCTCAACACAGCCAGCCACACGGGATTCTCTCAAACCAGCCTCACTGAATATAAACTCATCTTCCAAAAGGAAAAAAACACAGGAGGATGCCACATGTGAGAATCCCCAGAACAGTTCACAGCAGGATTAGACCCAAGAATGTCAGATAATAAATGATTAAAGACAAAACGGAACTGACTGCATTCTCCCTTTTCCACTTCTATTGGTTCAAGAGTTATACATTGTTTCTATTCTTTAATGCTTAGTCTTAATATTTTAACATGCACACTTGACTAGAAGTCTGAAGGTAATCCTCTTCCCTTGATATGTTTTCTCTCCAGTGCCTCCACTCCCATCTTACATGTTACTGTGGCTCAACATTCTACTTCCATTTGTTCTGAAGCCTACCTAAAATTACTTGCTATTACTTATTTTCCCAGTTTATTTGGTTACCCCATAAGAAGCCAGTAGAATCATCTTACAAGAACAAACAAGGAGAGTAAGAACAACATGAATTATGAGTTAATCTAATTTAAGACCATAAATGAGAGTTTCTAAATAAAATGCAAGTAAATCAAATATGTATCTTCAAGATACACACAAACACACAGAAGATGGGGTGTGTGTATATATGACTAAATGGGTTGTATGTATATCAATTTCTTACGACTAAATAGGGTTTCCTCCAGAATGCAAAGATGATTTAACATTTAAAAAATGTGGTTACATAATTAACCACTCTAACAAATTGAAAGAGAGAAAAAAAGCCAATGATCATCTCAAAAGACATGGAAAATGTGCTTGGCAATTTTTAATACACTTTCATGATATTCTGACAATCTATAATTAGAAGATAATTAATTTCCCTAACTTATTGAAAAGTAGCTATCAAACATGTACACTAATTGTCATATTTAAGCATTCACTTTCAAAACATTCATATCATATTTAAATATGACATGAATGTCATATTTAAGCATTCACTTTCAAACAGAAACAAGGACAGGCGTGGTGGTTGATGCCTGTAATCCCAGCACTGTGAAGGGCTGAGGCAGGTGGCTCACTTGAGGCCAGGAATTTGAGACCAGTCTGGACAGCATGGCAAAATCCCATCTCTACTATAATAAAAATACGAAATTTAGCTGGGCATAGTGGTACATGCCTGTAATCCCAGCTATTTGGGAGGCTGAGGCATGAGAATTGCTTGAACCTGGGAGGCGGAGGTTGCAGTGAGCGGAGATAGCATCACTGCATTCCAGCCTGGGTGACACAGTAAGACTCTGTCTAAAAAAAAAAAAAAAAAAAACTGGAAATTTTTAAAAAACCTTATTTTTAACCACACATAATATAATCAGTTACACAGAAAATGCAAGACACCTATAAACAAACTGTATTAAGAGAGTTTAACAAATTTTCTGAATTAATCATCAAGCCATATGAATCAACTGCTCCTATAAAAATACCAGAAAAAAAAATTCTAGTTATTATTTCAAGAAAGAACACATTTACAGTAACAAGAGCTCTAACGTATCTAGGAATAAGTCTGACTTTACAAAAGCATACAAGCAAACCTAAATAAATGAAGAAATAAAATATTTTTGTGAATAGAGATGTAAAGATGTCAATTTTCCCAGTATCAATATATAAATTTAACATGATAAAATTAAAATCCCAAAAGGGTTTCTCATGGAACTTGACAGACTCCCTGAACATTGATATGAAAGCACAAAAGAACAACAATACCCAAGACAACTAGAAAACTAATAACTAGATGCGTTATTGAATACTACATTTTAAAGTGATGGTAGTTAGGACATTGTGATATTGGCATAGAAATACATGGATAGCCCAATGGAACAGAATAAAGAGCCTGAAACACACATATTATAACTTGATATGAGAGATATGATTTTACCCATCAATTGAGAAAATGACGTATCTGTTCATTCATGTAATAATACTTAAAAACTGAATATTTATTTTAAACACAGAAATCCGTTTCAGGCAATATGAAAATACACATATAATAAAATATAATTTTAAGAAGAAAATGAAAAAATATATTTATAAGCTCTGAAGAGGGGAATATTTCTAAATATGACCAAAAAGCATCGATAAAACTTGACTAATCAAAATTTTAAGACTTCTGTGCTGCAAAATCTAATGAGTGAAAAGAAAAACTAAATTAGTAGAAACTTTAGAAACACACATAAGAAAGACTTTCTCTACAGTGAAATGTAAAGACTTCTTACAAGTCAAAAAGGGAAAAGACAAACAATCCAACAGAAAAAGGGGCACCGATGTGGATAGGCAATTCACAGAAGAGAAAACCTTAAGAGCCAATAATCACAAGAAAAGAAAATTACATTTACAGGGAATCAGAGAATTAATTACAAACTGCAGTGAGATCCAATTTATTTCCATCAGGTTGGCAAAAATTACCAAGTTGGAAAATGTCAAGAGTCAGTGAGGTCAGTCCTACAGTGCTAGTGAAAGTAAAATTTAGTACAATAGCTTTGAAAAACAGTTTGGCAAAAACTACTAACTATGAACATGTTCATACACTAGATCAAAAGATTCTAACCCTAGTTTAAAAAAAAAATCACACATGTGCCTAACGAGAGACACATGAATTCCAATTGCCACTCTTTTAAAATATCAAAAGCAACACAAATATTTATCAACTGGTGAAGGAATAAATCACAATATTACCAGAAAGATATAAAGCAGTTAAAATAAACAAAGTATAGCTTTAAATATGCTAATGACTAAAGCAATTTGCACAAGGATGCATGCAGTACATTATTCTTGTGAATATTAAAAACTTGCAGAAGCCAAGACGGCTGACTAGAGGCATCTGGTACTCACCTCCTCCACAAAGAACAGAAATAGCAAGTAGATAGTCACACTTTAAACAGACCACCTAAAAAAGAGTACTAGAATTCAACAGAGAAGTGACAGGAAACACCTAAGGCAAGGAAGAAGAGGGAAGCAAGGCAGCCTGCTGTTCTGGGACTGGCGAGAAGCCTGGAACAGCTCTTCGATGTAGGGAAAGGGGAAGTGACCTCCAGTGGTCCACAATCCCACCAGACTCCAATCCTAGCCACAGGAGAGCCCCTCAACCCAAAAGGGCCCTGAAACTGATGTAGGGAGCTGCCTGGAGACCATGCAACAGCGTTACTCCAGAGACAGAGCTCATGCCAATTCCCACCTTCCCCCTCACCCTCTAGTCCTAAGCAGCTACAGCAAAGCACCACTTTGAGAACCCAGCCCCCACCAAACTGCATCTACCCAAGGGGCCCAAGACCCTCCTCTCTCCACATATCTGAAGCTACACTGACACCCTCTGCTTACATCTACCACCACAGCTGACTGCCATTGGCAGCAACTCTGCTGCCCACGATAGCAGGGCTACAACACACTTAAAAGTGCCCTGAGGAAAGGCTACTCTGCTTATAGCTGCTACCTGGGGCTGAAGCATGTGCTCTCCAACCACCTGTCTGTGGTTGCTGCCACTGAAAGCAACCCCGCCCTCCCCAGCAGTAGGACCACAGCACAGCCATTGCCACCCCCACCAAGCATTCCACTGCAGAACTGAGGATCACCCCGCCCCTGCCTACCACAGCTAGCACCAGCACTTGGGAGCCTGAGGACACGTCCACCTGGCCCAGCTCCACTGTCTACCTCCAGTGCTCAAGCATGCCATCCAGGGGCCTTGGGATCACCCTGCCCCAACCACCACCACTGGCACCTGAGCACACTTCCTGGGGATCTCAGGATGGGCTCACCCAAACTGCCACTATCACCTCAGTTGGCACACAGACGTATGTGCCAACTGCAGGCCTGGCGACTGGCCCTCCCAGCCTGTTGCAGCCACTGTCAACACAGTATGGACCACCTGGATCCCACAGGGTTGCCCCATCACTAATACTGCTATCTCCCACACCACACCTGACACTCAGAGGGACCTAAGGACCTACCCACATGCCTGGCCCACTCAGGCAAGCCTGGAGGCTCAAGAATCAGCCTGCCTGGACCTCTTACACTGGTACCAGCATACACCAAGAACAGGCATGCTCAGCCTGCAACTGCCACTACTGAGGCTCAGGACTGACCCATCTGACATCCCCGGCCCCAGCAAACCTTTGCCACAGCCTCCACAACCAACCACACCCAAAGCCACTTAAAGAATTACAGACACATAGTCCGGGCGTAGTGGCTCATGCCTGTAATCCCAGCACTTTGGGAGGCCGAGGTGGACAGATCACCTGAGGTCGGAAGTTCAAGACCAGCCTGATCAACATGGAGAAACCCCAACTCTACTAAAAATACAAAATTAGCCGGGCATGGTGGCACATGCCTGTAATCCCAACTACTTGGGAGGCTGAGGCAGAAGAATGGCTTGAACCCAGGAGGCAGAGGTTGTGGTGAGCCAAGATCGTGCCATGTCACTCCAGCCTGGGCAACAAGAGTGAAACTTGGTCTCAAAAAAAAAAAAAAAAATTACAGACACTACTGATGCATTTACAGCCAAAGAAATTATATGGAGACTACACTACTTCACATACTCAGAATCAAAGCCAAAGTGACCTACACAACCAACACCATAGATACATCTTCAGGAAAACATCCTCCCCTATGAAAGTAAATTCCCAAAACTGGAATAAGAAAATTTTATATCAGATGTGCAAATTATCAACATGCGAACAAAAGAAACACAAAAAAGCAAGGAACTATGACACCTTCAAAAGAGCACAATAATTCTTCAGCAATAGACTTGAATGAAAAAGAAACTTATGAAATCCAGGACAAAGAATTCAAAATAATAATATTTTAAAAAATAGTGAATTATAAGAGAATTCAGATTAAACAATAAAAAGAAATCAGAAAAGCAATTCAGGATATAAATGAGAAATTTAGCAGAGACAGATATCATTAAAAAGAACCAAACAGAAATCTTGGTACTAAAGAATTCACTGAAAGAAATACAAAATACATTCAAAAAGCTTCAACAACAGACAACAGACAAGATCAAGGAGAACAATTTCAGAATTTGAAGACAGGTCTTTTGACATAACCCAGGCAGACCAAAAGAGAAACAAAAGGATAAAAAAAGAATGAACAAAGCCTATGTGACATATTGGACACAATATACTGATCAAATATTTGAATTTTACATGTTCCAGAAGGCAAAGAGAAAAATGAAAGGGAAAGAAGACCTATTTAACAAAATAACAGCTGAAAATTTCCCAAGTCTAGCAAGAGAATTAGACATCCAGATATAGGAGGCTCAGGGATCCCCAAACAGATACAACCCAAAAAGGTCTTCTCCAGCACATAATAATCAAACTATCAAAAGTCAAGGACAAACAGAGAATTATAAAAACCTCAAGAAAAACAAAAAGCATCAAGTCACTTATAAGGGAACCCTCATCAGACTAACAGATTTGTCAGGAGAAATTGTACAGGCCAGGAGAGAATGGGATGGGATGACACATTCATTCGAAGTGCTGAAGGAGGAAAAAAACAAACAAACAAACAAACAAAAAAAACTGCCAGTAAAGATACTATACCCAGCAAAGTTATCCTTCATAAATGTAGAATAAATAATGTATTTCCCAAACAAGCAAAAGCTGAGGGAATTACCACTAGACCATACCTACAAGAAATGCTTCAGGGAGTCCTACACTTGGAAGTGACAGGATAATTTCTACCATCATGAAAACATACAAAAGTGTAAAACCCACTGGTAGAGCAAACACACAAATGAGGAAGAGAAAGAATTCATATGTTACCACTAAAGAAAACCACAAAACCACAATGATAAACAGTAAGAAAGAAAGGAAAAAGGATACATGAAACAACCAAAAATCAATTAACAAAATGACAGGAATAATCCCTCACATATCAATAACAACCAAGAATGTAAACAGATTAAACTTTCCACTTAAAAGATACAGCCTGGCTGAATGGATTTAAAAACGTGATCCAACTATACTGTTACCCACAAGAAACTCATCTCATCTGTGAAGAAACATGTAGACTGAAAGTAAAAAGACAGAAAAAGATATTCCATGCAAATGAAAACCAAGAATGAACACAAGTACCTATACACATGTCAGATAAAATGGACTTTAAATTAAAACAGTAAAAAGAGATAAAGAGGGTCATTACATAACGATAAAGGAATCAATCCAGGAAGATGTAACAATTCTAAACATATACACCAAACACAGAAACAACTAGATGTATAATATTATTAGACCTAAAGGAAGAGACAGATTCCAATACAATAATGGTTGGTGACCTCAACACCCCACTCTCAGCATTGGGAAAAAAATTAACAAATAAACATTGGATTTAAACTACACTTTACACAAAAATGGACCTAATAGACATTTAGAGAACATTTCATCCAACTGCTATAGAATATACATTCTTTGTATCAGCACATGGAACAGTTCCCAGAATAGACCACATAAAAAAGTCTCAACAAATTTAAATAAAAATCATACCAATTATCTCCTCAGACCACAATAGAAAAAAAAAAACACAAATCAATTACAAGAGTAACTTTGGAAACTATACAAATACATGGAATTAAAAAAAATACTACTGAATGACCATTGGGTCAAGGAAGAAATTAAAAAGAAAATCAAAAAATTTCTTGAAACAAATGAAAATTGAAACACAACATACCAAAACCAATGGGATACAACCAAAGCAGTGCAAAGAAGGAAATTTATAGCAATAAATTCCTACATCAAAAAACTAGAAAGATTTCCAATAAACAACCCAAAAATGTATCTCAAAAAACTAGAAAAGAACAAAATCAAGCCCCAAATAAATAGAAGAAAAAAAATAATAAAGATTAGGGCATAAAAAAAGGATGAGTTCGTGTCCTTTGCAGGGACATGGATGAAGCTGGAAACCATCATTATCAGCAAACTATCACAAGAACAGAAAACGAAACACTGCATGTTCTCACTCATAAGTGGGAGTTGAACAAGGCGAACACATGGACACCGGGAGGGGAACACCACACATGGGGGCCTGTCGGGGGGTTGGGGGGCTAGGGGAGGGATAGCATTAGGAGAAATACTTAATGTAGGTGACGGGTTGATGGGTGCAGCAAACCACCATAGCATGTGTATACCTATGTAACAAAACTGCACATTCTGCACATGTACCCCAGAACTTAAAGTATAATAATAATAATAAAAATACTATGTGTAGTAGGGAATAAAAGTTAATATTTAAAAAATAAAGAAAGAAAGATTAGGGCAAAACTAAATAAAATAGACTTTAAAAGACAATACAAAGGATCAACCAAAGAAGTTAGTGTTTTGAAAAGATAAACAAAATTGAACTACTAACTAGACTAACCAAGAAAAAAGACAACCCAAATATAATTAGAAATGAAAAAAAAAGCAGTATAACTGATACCATAGAAATACAAAAGATCATCAGACTATTATAAACAACTATACGCTAGCAAACTGGAAAACCTAGAGGAAATGGATACATTCCTAGAAACATACAACCTACCAAGATTGAATCAAAAAGTGGAAAACCTAAACAGACCAACAATGAATAATGAGACTGAATCAGTAATAAAAAGTCTCCCAACAAAATAAATTCCAGGACTAAATGACTTCACTGCCAAATTCTACCAAACTTACAAAGAATTAACACAATTCTCCTCAAAGGATTCCAAAATATCAAAGGGAGGTGATTTTTCCTAATCCATTCTACAAGGCCAGCATTACTCTGATATCGAAACCAGAAAAGGATGCAACACAAAAAGAAAACTGCAGGGCTATATCCCAGATGAACATAGATGGAAAAAATCCTCAACAAAATATCAGCAAACTGAATCTAATAACACATCAAAAAGATAATATACCACGTTGGGCTCAGTGGCTCATGCCCGTAATCCCAGAATTTTGGGAGGTCAAGGTGGGAGGATCACTTGAGCCCAGGAGTTCAAGACCAGCCTGGGCAACAAAGTGAGATGCCATCTCTACAAAAAAAAAAGGCATAGTAGTGCGCACCTATAGTCCCAGCTACATGGGAGGCTGAGGCAAGAGGAACCCTTGAGCCCAGGAGCTATGATTATGCCATTGCACTCCAACCTAGGTGATAGAGTGATACTCTGTCTCAAAAAAAAAAAAATAATAATAATAATAATAATGCACCATGCACCATGCACCATGATCAAGTAGGATTTATCCCATGGATGCAATGATGGTTCAACATATGCAAATCAATAAACACAATACATCATATTAACAGAACGAAGAATAAATACCATATGACCATCTCAATAGATGCAAAAAAAATTGATAAAATTCAACATTCTTTCATGACAAAAACTCTCAGCAAACTAGGCATAAAAGGAACATACCTTAACCTAATAAAGCCTATATATGACAAATCCACAGCTAACATCATATTGAATAGGGAAAAGCTGAAAGCCTTTCTTCTAAGAACTGGAACAACACAGCATGCCCACTTTCACCACTCCTAGTCAACATAATACTAGAAGTTCCAGCCAAAGCAATCAGGCAAGAGAAAGAAATAAAGGCATCCAAATTGGAAAAGAGGAAGGCAAATTGCCCCCCTTTGCAGATGACATGATCTTATATCTAGAAAAATCTAAAGACTCCACCAAAAATCTCCTACGTTGGATAAATTCAGTAAAGTTGCAGGATACAAAATCAACATACAAAAATCAATAGTGTTTTTACACACCAATAATGAACTATCCAAAAAAGAAATAAAGAAGGCAATCCCCTTTCCAAAGCTACAAAAATAAAATAAAATACCTAGGACCAAATTTATGCAAGGAGGGAAAAGACCTCTTCAAGGAAAACTACAAAACACTGATGAAAGAAACTGAAGAGGACACAAATGGAAAGACATCCTATGCTTATAGATCGAACGAATTAACGTTGTTAAAATGATCACACTACCCAAAGCAATCTACAGATTCAATGCAATCTCTATCAAAATACCAATGTCATTTTTCACAGAAATAGAAAAAACAATCCCAAAATTCATACAGAACCAAAAACAAGCCTAAATAGCTAAAGCAATCCTGAGCAAAAAGAACAAAGCTGGAAACATCACACTATCTGACTTCAAAATATATCACAAAGCTATGGTAACCAAAACAGCATGGTATTGGTATAAAAACAGACACATAGACCAATGGAACAGAATAGAAAACACAGAAATAAATCCCTGTATTTACAGCCAACCTACTTTTTGACAAAAGCATCAAGAACCTACACTGAGGAAAGAAACCCTCTTCAATAAGTGGTGCTGGGAAAACTGGATATCCTTATGCAGAAGAATAGAACTGGACCCCTATGTCTCACCACATATAAAAATCAACTCAAGATAAAGACTTTATTAAGACTGCAAACTATAAAATTACTAAAAACATTGGGAAACACTTCGGGGCACTGATCTAGGCAAATATTTTATGGCTAAGACCTCAAAAGCACAAATAAAAACAAAAACAGGCAAAAGGGACTATTTTAAACTAAATGTTTTAAAACAATCAATAGAATGAGAGGCAACTGGTTGAATGGGATAAAATATTTTCTAACTATTCATCTGACAAGGTATAATATCCAGAGTATACAAGGAAGGAACTCAAACAAGTCAAGAGTTAAAAAAAAAAAAAAGCAAATAATCTCATTAAAAAGTGGGCAAAGGATATGAATACACTTTCTCATAAGAAGACATACAAATGCCCAGTAGGTATATGAAAAAAAACGCTTAACTTTCCTAATCATCAGGGAAATGCAAATCAAAACCACAATAAGATATCATCTTACCCCAGCCAGAATGGCTATTATTAAAAAGACAAAAAAAAAAAATGCTGGCAAGGATGCAGAGAAAAGGGAACTCTTATACAGTGTTGGTGGGAATGTAAATTAGTACAGTGACTATTAAAAAAAAACAGTATGAAGATGTCTCTACAAAAAAAAAAAAAAACCACTAAAACCAGACATTCCATATGATCTAGGTATCCCTCTACTGGCTATTTATCAGAAAAGAGAAAAAAGAAAGAAAGACAGAGAAGGTAAGGATGGAAGGAAGGGAGGAAGGGAGGAAAGGAGGAAAGGAGGAAAGGAAGAAAGGAAGAAGGGAGGAAGGGAGGGAGGGCATCATTTCAGCACTTTAGGGGGCTGAGGCAGGCAAATTGCTTGAGCTTAGGAGTTCAAGACCAGCCTGGGCAACACGGTGAAACCCCGTCTCTACCAAAAATAAAAAAAAATTAGCCAGGCATGGTGGTACACACCTGTGGTCCTAGCTACTTGGGAGGCTGAGGTGGGAGGATCACTTGAGCCTGGGTGGTGGAGGTTGCAGTGAGCTGAGATCACAACACTGCACTCCAGCCTGGGTGACAGAGTGAGAACCTGTCTCAAAAAACAAACAAAAAAATAAACAAAAAAAAGTAGAAGAGGAAAAAGATATCAGTATATCAAAAGGATACCTGCATTCATGTGTTACCACAGCACTATTTAAAATAGCAGAGACACAGATTCAACCTAAATGCCTACCAATTAATGAATGGATAAAGAAAATGTGGTATATATACACAATGGGATACTATCTGGTCATAAAAAAGAATGAAATCATGTCAGTTGCAGCAACACGAATGGAGTGGGGGGCAGTCCTTATATTAAGCGAAATAAGCCAGACACAGAATGACAAATATCCCAGGCATGGGATCTATGAACATAGGATTAAAAAAAATTGATCTCATGTATAGTGAATAGAATGGTGGTTACCAGAGGCTGGGAAGGGTAATGGGGAGGTGAGGATAAAGAGGGGTTAGTTAATGGGTACAAACATACAGTTAGATAGAAGGAGTAAGTTCTAACATTCGATAGCAGAGTAGGGTGGCTATAGTTAACGAAAATGTATGGTATATTTCCAAACAGCAAGAAGAGAGAACTTAAAACATTCCCAACACATTGATATGGATAGGAACACATGGATGTGTTCCCAACATATCTCAACAGAAATAATAAGTACATGAGGTGATGAATAGCCTGAATAGCCTGACTTGATCATGACACATTCTATGTGTGTAATAAAATATCACATGTACCCTGTAAACATGTACAAATATTATGTATCAATAAATAAACCTGCAGAAGCCTACTATATATTTTTTATGTTTTTCTCACATATGTATACATTCACAAGCACATGCAGAGAGACGATAAGTATCAATTAATGGTCTGGGCAAAGAGGAGGCTAATGGAATTAGGAAGGAGTAAAAGGGCTCCAACTTTATCTGTAATTACTGACTTGTTTTATGTATTAAGTCCCAAAAGATCTTGAAGAAATTACATCGAAATGTTAACATTTTACAAAGCTGGGTAATGGCTATGTTATTGCATTATAACTCCCTGTAAGCATTTCATTTTGCTTAATTTTTTTTAAAAAAGGAAAGAAAGAAATTGAATTCAGTCTGAGCCATTAAGAGAGAGAGGAAGAAATGGGAGGGAATGTTAATTTACTCATCCACAAAACAAAGAGAAAAAGATCACCTTTTATATGTTGAACACTGAGAACTCTATTTCTGTGACATCTATTCTCCTGCAACTTTTAATCAGGTAACCCAGAAGACTTGAAACTTCATAAACCAAATGCCAGCTCTAAAATGCAGCCTTACTTGAACTGACAGGTCAAAACAATGTAATAATTCATACTGACAAAAATGAAAAATTATTTTCCATTAGGCCATTTTGCTGAAAGGCTAATAACAATATATTTCCTTATAAACTTGTTCCATTTCAATTTTTAAAATGGAATTTTGTATCTATTTTAGTTTTTATTATCTTCTACTACCTTCCATTATTGTCCTTTTTTTATTACAAAACAGCTTATCTCTATAAACTATGTTTTTACTGTGATGAGCTAAGAGACAGCAATAAACTTATACAATTTTTAAAAAGCAGCACTTAATATTTTAGATACTGAGAGCAATTCATTTATAACCATTTTAAGGGGAAAAAAAAAAAAAGCCAAATGTGGTCCTAAGACTCCTATGAGTAAATGTATTAGTCCATTTTCATACTGCTATGAAGAAATACCCAACACTGGGTAACTTATTAAAAAAAAAAGAGGTTTAGGGCCAGGCACGGTGGCTCACACCTGTAATCCCAGCACTTTGGGAGGCCGAGACGGGTGGATCACCTGAGGTCAGGAGTTCAAGACCAGCCTGGCCAACATGGTGAAATCCCATCCTACTAAAAATATAAAAATTAGCCAGGTGTAGTGGCACACACTTGTAGTCCCAGCTACTTGGGAGGCTGAGACAGGAGAATCGCTTGAAACCGGGAGGCAGAGGTTGCAGTGAACTGTGATCATGCCACTGCACTTCAGCCTGGGTGACAGAGCGAGACTATCTCAAAAAAAAAAAAAAAAAAAAAAAGAAAGAAAGAAAAAGAGGTTTAATGGACTCACAGTTCCACATGTCTGGGGAGGCATCACAATCATGGCAGAAGGTGAAGGAGGAGCAAAGGCACATCGTACATGGCCGCAGGCAAGAGAGTGTGTACAGGGGAACTGCCCTTTATAAAACCATCAGATCTCATGAGACTTATTTACTATCATGAGAACAGCATGGGAAAAACCCACCCCCGTGATTCAATTACCTCCCACCAGGTCCCTCCCACAACATGAGGATTATGGGAGCTACGATTCAGGATAAGATTTGGGTGGGAACACAGTCAAACCATATCATGTATATTTGTGATACATCATTTGAAAGAGTAAATACCATGGTGTAACTGATGACTATAATCCTCACAATCATTTGCCACCTTGTTTCTCCTGCCTTTTCTTCCTCCACTGCCATAGCATTGAATTCCCCCCTGTAACTTCAGTGTTGCCCTAGTTTTCCAGCTAGTTTTGAATGAGACAGTGGAATGATCTATGGTTAAGTCTCTCCATCTTGACCTATCTTACATAAGTGGGATCTACATCTGACCATGACAGCTCATTCCTAAGTTCCCATCAGTCATCTCTACACAATCCAGCATGTCAGAGGTGAGCCCTGCACTATGACCTGTGCCATTGAGCTGGGATGCTTCCTGGGTCTTCTCCTCCACTGTCTTTACCAGGTTACTGCAGTAACCTGATCAACCACAATTAAGGTAATACTAAACAGAGTTCTAAGTAGGCAAAGCCCTGAGAGCTGGGGCCTACACCTGCTCCACTCCAAAACCTTCCTATGCTTGGTGGTGGAAACTCATCTAAGTGCAAATGTTTGATATCACCTGCTGGACATTCTGACTTTGAAATCAGCCAACTAGTTGACCAACACACACACCCTACTCTTCTTCCTTCAAGATTGGAATTCCTGCTACTAAAGGTTGTCTGAATCATTGAAAGTTGCTTTATTTCTAATCTATGCTTTCAGAAACTAATATGCTCCATGGCCCTCTAATAAACATATTCTCTGATGCTGAGAAGAAAGTATCAACCCACTTTTGCTTTTCTCCTGGCCTGAGCCTGCCTAACACAATCATGTATGAAATGGGATAAGTTTAACTTAAGGGCAGCTCTTAAGTGATGTTATGCAATTACCAAATGGCAGTATTAATATTTTCACACAGCAGGGAAAGGTTGATTTTTTTTAAATGACAGTCTTATTAAGGCAAGGTACAGATCTTAAAAGACAGAAATCCCCTGGACTCTATGATTTTCTCAGGTGGAAAAAAACAGCAGGCCACTGTCCCACCTTAGTGTGTATTCACAGCAAAGCTGCAACAAAAGTTCAAAGAAAGACAGCTGGAGAATCTAGGGGTATGAAAACGAGATTGGGCAAACAGTTCCCTAATGGGCAAGAAGTGGGAAAAAGCCAGACCCACTTTGAAAGATAAAGGAGTAGCTCCATTAACCATTGAAGACTAAACCAATTAAAAAGGATGTATTAGAAAGAAAAATAAACAAACATGAAAGGTGTCTTATGTGGTTTACCCTAGGTACCCCTGTACAATTTCATCTTATGAATAGAAAATTCAAAATGGGCTTTCAGATTCCAAAATAATATCTCTTCTCAAACCTTATCTGAGTTTATAAACACAAAAGGAGGCACAAGATGAATTTAAATTGCAATATGGGAACAAATTTAACTTCTAATAGAAACATGGTTCAAGATGAAGTCAGAAGTCTCAATGTTTATCTCCACATGCATTTATTCCTGGCAATACGTTGGAGTTTTCCATAGAGTGTTTATCCAACGTGGCCTTCCTTTGATGGGTCTTCTGGCATACCACATACACAGACCATATGTAGTGGTTACCTCTTTCTCCCTGTAAAGAACTTCCAGAATTTACCTAATGTTAAATGACGAGTTAATGGGTGCAGAACACCAACATGGCACATGTATACATATGTAACAAACCTGCACATTGTGCACATGTACCCTAAAACTTAAAGTGTAATAATAATAAAATTTAAAAAAAAAAGAACTTCCAGACTAATCATGGGGAAAAGGGAAAGAACTAACATACGTCAGGTATCTATCAAAAGGCTGATACTATACAAAGCACTTAACAGTTATTTTTGCCATTTAAACTTGTTACCACACTGTATGTTATTTGAATTCTAGAGATTTTAAAAAATAAAGCTGAAAAAGACCTATGTACTGAAGATCCCCCAGCTATGGTGTATAACAGTCTAGATTTGAACCAAAATCCACCCGGGTCTACGCCCATGCATTACCTTTTCTCAATTCTATGTTAGACGAAATTATCGTGTGGCACTGGAAACATACTTCATACTGCAATTAATTGTTCACATTTTAGTTTGAAAGAAAGCACTGTCAAGATAATCTGTAATCCCTTATTTCAGAGACTCATAATTTAATAATTGCAAACATTGTATGAATTCCCTTACTCTGAAGCCTTCTGTGTGTCTCATTTTTGTATTCTTCAGTTGTGAAATATTCTAGTTATAATTTCAATCTGTTTTCTCACTTAGAAAATAAAGAGAGGAAGTGGAATTGCCTTTTTAAACCTTAAGAGTCATTGAATCATTTTATGCAGAAGAGTAAACTGATCTAATCAATGTTTTTAAAAAATAAAAATAAATAACCCACCAACTACAAGAACACATTTTAGAAAAGCAACTGAAGAAACCTGAATGTGAATTGAGTATCAAGTGATATTAAGGAGTTATTTATACTTTTGCTAAGTGTGATGATGGCAGTGTGGTTATTTAAGCAAATTATTTTTTAGATATGCATATTAACATAAGGGGATTTTTTAAAAGATGACAATGCTAGGGATCCTAAAATACTTCATCCCCCAAAAAAGGAGCAAGTGAAGCAACTGTGTCAAAATGTTATTACTGAATCTAGGTGTTGGCTATATTGAGATTGTTATTTTTATTTTTGTGAATGTCTGAAAACTGCCATAGTACAAAGTTCTATCCAAAAAGACGAATCTTTCAGCCTCAAAAAAAAAACCCATTTAATGTGAAATTCAGTTGCTTTGATAAAAAAAAAATCCACTTTCTAATAACAGAAATAAAACCTAAAACACAGATTTTGAAAATACATATTTTGTTGAGAGTACCTATTGGTAAGGATGTCCAAAAAAAAGTGTCTTCCAAAAGACAACAAACAGACACCAATCACTTTTTTTTTTTTTTTTTTTTTTTTTTTTGAGACAGAGTCTCACTGTTTCACCTAGGCTGGAGTGCAGTAGTGCGATCTCGGCTCACTGCAACCTGCCACATTTGCCTCCTGGGTTCAAGCAATTCTCCTGTCTCAGCCTCCTGAGTAGCTGAGATTACAGGTGCACGCCACCACACCCAGCTGATTTTTGTATTTTCAGTAGAGACGGGGTTTCACCATATTGGCCAGGCTGGTCTCAAACTTCTGACAGGTGATCCACCAGTCTCAACCTCCCAAAGTGCTGGGATTATAGGTGTGAGCCACAGCACCCAGCCGCAATCACTTTTTATCAGAACACTGAATGAGAATTGGAGGAACAATCTCTTAACTAAGATATTGAAAATCTACCCAAATTCACATCTTCAATGAAAGCTACAGGAAATCACTTGGAGGGATCAAAATATCTTTATGTTCTTGACTTAAAACCAAAATGGTTGTGAACAGGCAACCTACAGAATGGGAGAAAAATTTTGCAATCTATCCATCTGACAAAGGTCTAATATCCAGAATCTACAAGGAACTTAAACAAATTTAAGAGAAAAAACAACCCCATCAAAATGTGGGTGAAGGATATGAACGGATACTTCTCAAAAGAAGACATTTATGTGTCCAACAAACATATGAAAAAAAGCTCATTATTCCTGGTCATTAGAGAAATGCAAATCAAAACCACAATGAGATACCATCTCACACCAGTTAGAATGATGATTATTAAAAAGTCAGGAAACAACAGATGCTGAAGAGGATGTGGAGAAATGGGAACACCTTTACACTGTTGGTGGGAATGTGAACTAGTTCAACCTTTGTGGAAGACAGTGTGGTGATTCCTCAAGGATGTAGAACCAGAAATACCATCTGACCCAGCAATCCCATTACTGGGTATATACCCGAAGGATTATAAATCATTTCTACTATGAAGACACATGCACACGCATGTTTATTGTAGCACTATATTTACAATAGCAAAGACTTGGAACCAACCCAGATGCCCATCAATGACAGACTGGATAAAGAAGATATGGCACATATACACCATGGAATACTATGCAGCCATAAAAAAGAATAAGTTCACATCTTTTGTAGAGACATGGATGAAGCTGAAAACCATCATTCTCAGCAAACTAACACAGGAACAGAAAACCAAGTACCACATATTCTCACTCATAAGTGGGAGATGAACAATGAGAACACATGGACACAGGGAGGGGAACATCACACACCAGGGCCTGTCTGGGAGTGGGGGAAAAGGGGAGGGAGAGCATTAGAACAAATACCTATTGTATGCGGGCTTAAAACCTAGATGATGGGCCGGGCATGCTGGCTCACACCTGTAATCTCAGCACTTTGGCAGGCCAAGGTGGGCGGATCACTAAGTCAGGAGTTCAAGACCAGCCTGGCCAACATAGTGAAACCCCATCTCTACTAAAAATATAAAAATTAGCCAGGCATGGTGGCACACGCCTGTAGTCCCAGCTACTCAGGAGGCTGAGGCAGGAGAATCGCTTGAACTCAGGAGGCAGAGGTTGTGGCGAGCCAAGATCACGACATTGCACTCCAGCCTGGGCAACAGAGTGAGACTCCATCTCAAGAAAAAAAAAAAAAAAACCAACCTAGATGATGGGTTGATAGGTACAGCAAACTACCATGGCACATGTATACCTATGTAACAAACCTGCATGTTCTGCACATGTATCCCAGAACTTAAAGTAAAATATTTTAGAATAAAATAATTTAAATTCAAATAAATATAAAAATGAAAATTAAAAAATAACAAAATGGTCATGTAACAAATGAGAGACAGAATGATACACCATGAAAAATACTGATAAAGAAGACTCTTGCCTTACTGGAATCACAGGTGTGAGACCTGAATATCTTTTAGGTTTTCAGATACCTATTCTGGCCTCTAATATAATCCTAGGTTTAAGAGAAGCCAAACTGCTCACTCTGGTACTGAACTATTGACTCTTTCATGAACAATGAAAATGAAACTTTTAATCCAACTTCTATCCACAGTAACCTGATCAAGCACAGGGTAATGCTTAACACAGTGCTAGAAACAGAAAATGGCTCTGGAGAGCTGCAAGTTTGTTTGGTTTCCTACCCCATCCCCATGCCCCCAATATCCACAGGATACGAACACATTAACTCAACCTAATGATGAACAGGTTCCTGTCTGCAAATACATCCCAGGAGTTTCCTTTGGATAAGAAAACTCTTTTTCAGTGTCTGGACCAGCAGAATTATAAATCGGTTACAAACACGGCATCTTCTTGCTGCTGCTAGTCCAGTTTCGTCTTAGTATTCATCACCTAGCTTTGTAAGAGCTAGGTGCTCTCTCAGCATGAGAAAACAAAAATCTGTCTCAGAGTCAAGGCAGGGGTAAAGCAGAGAATACAAACTTGCCCCACTTCAAAAAACAAGGCATATCTTTCAACTAACTAAACAGCAATCCCAGCAGGCGTGACAATGCAAGCTTTCTTCCCTATTATTGTTTGAAACAATCACAAGCTATTTGTTCATATTAATTCGTTTATATGTAGTATTAGGCAGCCTTGATTAGAAAAATGCTCTTTGTTACCCAATGAATAGAGTAACAAACAAAACCAAAAGTTTTTCTAAAAAATTGTTGTTTTGGCCTTAGAAAAGGATTTTCAGGCCTTTCACACTTGAATGTGGATTTATCTTTACAAGGTCCCTGAATTCACTGGAAAAGAAAGCAAGTTGATGTGCCAGACAATACCAGGCTAAGGTGACTGAGTGAGCTGCTTATTATGCTTGCCTAAGAAGATGCTATATCTAAATTATTTTTACCTTCTTTGAACTTGGGCAAAACTGATAATAAGAGAGAAGACATCAGTAGAAGCTTCGGGGCAAGGGCAAGTCAGCCTTGGACTAAATTTCACTGTACAAATTACATGTGAGGAATTGACATATAATTAGGAGGCCCATCATTGGCCAAAGGATCCTGGGAACCAAGTGACCCAATGGTCTGCATCTCTCCAGAAGAAGCTATCTATCTCTATGACCTAATGTCCCAGTGTATAGCTGACTCCTTCCCCGTGGGCTTAGTTCCCCAACCATCAGAGGCTGCCACTATTCCCAAAATACGGTGAGAATAATGCAACTACCCTGGTTAAGGTTAATTAATAAACTTGCTCAATAAAACTATTATCGAAAGTCAGAACTTGAACCCAGGTCTATTTCAAAGGCTGGGACCATTAAGCTAACAAAGACTTCTTTTAAGATCAATGTTAAATTCATTAATACGGTTTGAAAGACCCTGTAAAATCTCCAACTTTATAACCTAACCCATTTATGCTAATTCTAGCACTTGCCGATTTCTGCAGTATAACTATTCCATGTGGCTGATTTCAAGCTGCTGGCATGAAGTCAATTGGCTCGCGAAATTCCTGAAAATTTAACAATCTGCTTCTGTGAGTTGGTATAGGTGGCTCTAGGGACATCACTGTTTACAATCTCATGCCCCACTGTAGTGCAACCATCCAAAACAAAATTCTAAATGCTTTGCTCCCTCTCTCTCTCTCTCTCTCACACACACACATACCTTGGGACACTTGACATTCACCTATGCTTTTTCTTCTCCTTTACCAAAATAACTCATATTAATTTGTCCTCAGCCTAGTGGTCTTCCTTCAAGAAGCCTTCCCTGATCCTCTAAATCTTTTCTTGGGTCTCCACTTTCCTCCCAGAGCACCCATACTTCCTGTATTTGTGCATTCCTGCATGGGTGACAAAGCGTTGTAACTTTTTGTTTTATCTGTGTATCTCCCACTATATCTGTAAACTCTGGCAGGGCAAAACTTATTTCTCTTATTTATTCTTGTATCCCCCAGCCCTGCCACAAGGCTTGCTGAGCAATAATAACAATGCTTGCTAATATGCACTGGGCAATATGTGCCCAGAATATGTGCCAGGCACTATTCTGAGCTTTATAGAAATTATTTCATTTCCGCCTTAAAATAACCCTATCAGGTTGGCTTCATTAATGCTATGCTCATTCCGTGGGTAAGGAAATAGAGGCACTAAGAGGGTGGATACCTTCCCCTCAGGCTCAGGTAATTAGTAAATTGAAGCAGGGTGACTGGTGAGCCTATGTGCCTCCCTCAAGAAACCAGTGTTTCTTGGCCATATTTTTTTCTCATTAGTGATCCTTAAGGAGAAAAATTAATTACATTTAAATTTTTTCTAATGAGAAAAAACTAAATACTAAGGAATAAGATTTTGTTGGATAGAGGTATAAGCTCTGGAGGGATTTTTTTCATCTCCCAAAACCCAATTTTTGTCCTCTTGGGGCAATATAACTATGTTAAGAATGTATGTTCTAGGACTTTCATTATCCATTTCCATTAATGTACCATATACTTCTCCCTAAAAATACACAGTCTTGTTTTAGAATTTTAATGGTATCTTCCCATAAGTACTATTTTGCGTCTTGCTTTCTTTTTCCTCCATACGATATCTTGGAGTAATATATAGCTGTGTAGACATCCTCATTTTAAAACTACTGAATAGTGGTCGGGCGCAGTGGCTCATGGCTGTAATCCCAGAACTTTGGGAGGCCAAGATGGGCAGATCACCTGAGGTCAGGAGTTTGAGACCAGCCTGGACAACATGGTGAAACCCCGTCTCTACTAAAAATACAGAAATTAACCAGGCATGGAGGCACACACCTATAATCCTAGCTACTTGGGAGGCTGAGGCAGGAGAATTGCTGGAACCCAGAAGGTGGAGGTTGCAGTGAGACAAGATCGTGCCACTACACTCCAGCCTGGGCAATAGAATGAGACTCTGTCTCAGAAAAAAAAAAAAGAAATAAATAAAATGACTGAATAGTATTTCAATCATGTCCACATTCCTGAATTCATTAAGTCTTTCTACTATTGGATATTCACAAAATTTTGTACTTCTTGGTTTGCAACCAATGCTTCAATGAATATCTTTATACATTCCTTATACACTCCTTGGGCTCATGTGTGAGTGGTTTTCTAATGTAGATTCCAAGACAGGAGCAGGGCATGTGCAGAAGTGTATAATTTTAATAGATACTGTTGAATTACCCTCCAGAGTGACTGTACCAATTTACTTTCCCACAGAGAATTTACGAGAGTACACATTTCCCCCAGTGATTGTATGAAATAGAACCTCTTTCTCCTTTGGGCAGTGTTAAACATTTTAATTAAATGAGTCATTTAGAGGTATTTCTATTCCTCACCAGCTGATAGGAGCTTGTGTAACAGAGAAGATATATAGATAAGAAGATGCTGTTGGAAATGCTGAAAGATGACAGCAGCAAACCGGGATGTGGAAATGCCCTGTCTAGAAAACCCGCACTAGCCTAACTCACTTCACGAAAGGACTAAGAAGAGTCATTACATGGGAACAGCTGCAGTGGACTTTGAAATGGTGACCTCAGGTAACAGGCACTAAATCTCTTTGCCCATTCTCCAAGTCTCTCAGACACCAAAAAAGTCTATTGAAGATAAGGGAAACCAAACACCCAAAGTAAATGAAGTGTTGAAAGGACAATGGTCCACTTACCAGAAAGAGGAATGCGTATGACGATGGTAACACTAAACATTCTGGAAAATAATACTAAAGGCCTTAGTACTTTATTCTTTATTCATATGATATGAATAAAGGGCTTTATTCATATGATAAAATCCCAAGGTTGATAACAATGATGACATCCCAAATGGTGTTGAGGAGAAAACACTATACTATATGAGGGAAAAATGCCCCTTGTTCTCCTTTTTCCCTCTCCTCCTTCTCTCCTTCTCTCACAAACACACAAACCCCTACTTAAAATACATACAAAATTGAATAGCCTGCAAAATCATACTGAAAAAAACAGTGTGGAACAACGTTCTGTATCAAGTTCAAATTTCAATCAGTATGGCTCTTTCTTGAAAGTATGCTTTTTTCTTCAAAGTTGCCCGAGGCCGGGCACAGTGGCTCAGGCTTGTAATCCCAGCACTTTGGGAGGCCAAGGCAGGTGGATCATTTGAGGTCAAGAGTTCAAGACCAGCCTGACCAACATGGTGAAACCCCATCTCTACTAAAATACAAAAATTAGCTGGGCGTGGTGGCGGGCGCCTGTAATCTCAGCTACTCAGGAAGCTGAGACAGGAGAATCGCTTGAACCCAGGAGGTGGAGATTGCAGTGAACCAAGATCATGCCACTACACTCCAGCCTGGGCAACAGAGCAAGGCTCTCTCTCAAAAAAATAAATAAATAAAAATAAAGTTGGCCAAAAAATGATTGTCACAAATAAGAAAGGAGGTCACACTATAGAAAGAAGATAAATGAAGAGTAAATGGGAAACTACACTTGCTGAGCACCTCTGTATGCCTCATGTATATGAACCATCATTTTATCCATATAACCATCATGTGAGGAATGATTACATGAGAGGAAACTGAAGCTGAGAGAAGCTAGCATGACTAGGGCTCTTTATCCTGCAATCAGAGGAGCAGGGATGTGAACTGTGGCCTTATGACTCCAAAGTCTGTTTCCACATTGTACCCTGCTGCCTGGTGAATCTGAAAGAGTCCAGCCAATGCCTGATTAAATCAGGCTGTAAAATCATCTGAACAAAGACCATGTCCCTGCCGTATTACTGCTCTTCACTGGACAGAAAAAAATAACTCATACGATTGCTGCTCAGAAGTTTCTGGAATTGCATTTTGTTTCAAAGTTCCTAGAACAGATCAAGGCAAAAGAGTAAGTATAGGAGGAGGACAACAAGACAGCCCTCAGAAAACTTGTTATAAAATTAGATCCATTCTGATATATTTCATTAAACCCCACCCCACCCCCCGGCCCACAAAAAAGCCAAGAGAGGAAAAGCAGCAGGGTTTACTACTGACTTACTTTGATTTAGAGTTTGATGCCTATAATGTCAGACATCCTAAGCACTGAAAACCAAGGCCTCCTATGAACAGAGGCCAGTTCACTAAAATCACTTGTTCATTGTTCCAGCTGCTTCCTGAACGAAATGGCACCTCACTCACAAAAGCACCATTATTCGAATACACACCAAATGATAGCGAGAGAGATATACATGATCCCTAGAGTCAAATACACTTCCTGAAACCCAGTTTAAATATTTGACAAACTTACGATTACCTCAGACCTCTGCTAGTTTGAAGCCCTTACCTGGGGCTGTGAAATTACAGGGATGGAAGTAGAGATGGCAGCCATGACAGCTCTGTGGTTGTAGGTGGTGAACACGCCCCAGAACTACGGGAGACAAATTTTCTTGTTTGCTGATCAGATCGAAGTCATGCTAGGAGAAGCTGTGTACCTGGAAAACAACAGGAAAACCCACATTTAGCATAAAAGGACTAGCATATGGGTGTGAAGTACCATTGGCCAAAGGAGGTAAGAATCCCTAGACATCAAGTGTCAAATACTAGCTTAATGCAAACAGAAAGCCGGTAGGGAAAAGCTAAGGTCTAAAAGCCACGACTTCTGTGCTATCTGTCCAAATACTCTTAAGTTGAGGAATTTTCATAGGTTTGAATCCAACATCCCAGCTAGATGTTTTGGGAAGACAGTTTCAAGTTGCAGAGCTGAGGAGGGTGAGTCGGGGGAAAAGCCATCCTGCCATTAAATAATAAAGGAATTGAATAATCCACAGTGGAGAGCTGACGGCTTACATAGAGGGCAAAGAGAATGCAGTAACCACCCCCACTTATCTGAGGAGTGGATTCTAAGCCCCCCAGTGGATACTTGAAACTGGATAGTGGGTCAGGTGCAGTGGCTCACGCCTATAATCTCAGCTCTTTGGGAAGCCGAGGGGGAAGGATTACCTGAGGTCAGGAGTTTGAGACCAGCCTGGCCAACATGGCAAAACCCCATCTCTACTAAAAATACAAAAATTAGCCAGGCGTGGTAGAACATGCCTGTAATCCTAGCTACTCAGGAGGCTGAGGCAGGAGAATTGTTTGAACCTGGGAGGTAGAGGTTGCAGTGATCCAAGATGGCACCACTGCACTCCAGCCTGGGCGACACAGAGAGACTCCTTCTCAAAAAAAAGAAAAAGAAAAAGAAAAAGAAACTGTGAATAGTACCCAACCCTGTATATAACAGAGACAGCTACTGAGTGACTAATGTACAGGTAGCACACACAGTGTGGAATCGCAGGACAAAGGGACAAATCACATGGACAGTATGAGATTTCACCCACACTATTCAGAACGGTGTGCAATTTACAACTTGTGAATTGTTTGTTTCTGAAATTTTTCATTTAATATTTTTGGACCAAGTTTGACTGCAGGTAACTGAAACTGTGGAAAGTGAAGCTTCGGATAAAAGTAGACTACCATAATACCGTCAAGTGATTAGATAGCACCCCGTCCAACCCCACCTATTTGCAGAAGAAAAAATTGAGGCTTAGAGAAGAAAAGGGACTAGAGTCACACATTTAATGGTAGAACCAGGACTACAGCAGCAACTCCGGTTCCCAGGCCTATATGAAACGTAACGAAGTTAATGTGTTCCCTGCCTATATCTCCTCAAGGAACTTAGTTACCGCTTTTAAGACTAAAGAAAGGCAAGATACCTGATGCTGTAGGTGTCAGTCCTGAGAAGTCAGGTACTCAGATAGGTGGATGGGGAGCTTCATAAATCAGACGTCCACCTGTGTGAGAAAGAGAACATTTCTAAAATCCTTTTGACATCCTCAAAGAGAGGATGCTAAATAAGCACAAAGTATAACCAAATCTCTTATTCACGTGTTCATTAAGAAAACTCAGAAAGATGCTAACTTCCCTGTAGTAAATCACAGCCCTAGTTCTGTCCAAAGGCTGATGTGACTCTTTCCACATTGCAATTTAGTCCAGAAGAAAAAAATTTTTCATTTTAAGAAAATAATTTTTAAAAATTCGTTTATTTTTAAGAAACATTTTCATTTTCTGGTGATGTTCATACTCCCTAACAATATCTTTTCTTTTATTCAAAAGACGTTATTGGCTGGGCACAGCAGCTCAGGCCTGTAATCTCAAAACTTTGGGAGGCCAGTGGGGGCAGATCATTAGAGGTCAGGAATTTGAGACCAGCCTGACCAACATGGTGAAACCCCATCTCTACTTAAAATATAAAAATTAGCTGGGCGTGGTGGCACACACCTACTCAGGAGGCTGAGGCAGGAGAATCACTAGAACCCAGGAGGCGGAGGTTGCAGTGAGCCGAGATCGTGCCACTGCACTCCAGCCTGGGCAACAGAGCAAGACTCCGTCTCAAAAAAAAAAAGTAAGGCTAAGCCAACCTTGCCTTTAAGGAGCTTTTGTCTGTAAATATACTTCCTAGTTTCACCAACATGCAAGATGATACCTGAACACTTTTTAAACTATTGGGAAATGATACTTTTCATAATAGTAAAAGTAATGAACCAGATGTCACAAGATCCAAGTCTTGCACAGCAGGAACTGTGGAGTTGGACATTTAATCCAAGTCCTTTGTCCCCCACATCCCTTGGTGCTACCCTATATTAGCTCAGGGATACTGGGCAAATGAGGAGCTCAGAAGTGCTGCTTTTCTAAGAAATAATCTAGGTTTGACAGCAACTTCTATAAGCTTAAATTTTTAATTGCTACATTTTTGTGCAGCATCCTTGATACTACAGTTTCAATCACTTTAGGTTCTGGCTGCTTAGAACTGTAGAGCCTTCCTATTTTCTTCTCCCATTACAGCAATTATTTTCATTCACAAATAAGTAGTAAAGTTCTCAAGTTATCTTGTCATGACATTCAACACCGAATTCCACAGCTGCCCTGTGACAGTACTGATATTCTCCTTAGTCCCAGTTTTAGGAACAAATGAGACTTGTTTATCACACTGTGAAAGTAAATAAACAACCCAGGAGAAAAGCATATGTATACAGGACCTTTCTTTTTTCAAGATGACTGCTAGAGTGCCAAACCTACCCAAGAAAATTACAGGAACCCCAAGGTGCACTGTTTTACACTGAACTTATTCCTGGCACTATTTTTTGCTCACTCCTACTTTCATTTTTCCTTTCTCCTTCTCATGTATTTATTATTCCTGGCATTATTTTTTGCCCACTCCTACTTTCATTTTTCCTTTCTCCCTCTTATGTATTTATAATTCACATTATCTTGCTCTATGTGACATAAATGAATATATCAATAATACAACTAAAAAGCAAAAAATCAAGCACATAAGATTCCATTCTTAAGGACGCATACTATATGCTCAGGTCCAATATCATTTCACCAAGCTATGTCATTAAGCAATATAACCTTAAAATATTTTCAATATTCAGAATATAGAGAGTTGCCTAAAAGGTAAATAGAGGCACCTAGCTTAGAGTAAGGAAAGCGAAATAGAAATGGATGAGATCCACCAAACAAATATGTCATATGACGTTATTACTAACAACAGCAGAGGGAAAGATGCGAGACTGGGATTTCATGAAAGGCCACTGGATGCTGAGCTTTGGAGCAGTCATTTCCCCAACAGTTTGAGGCAGATACTATTCAGTTATTTTACAGAGGAGACATCTGAGGCTTTGAAAGGTATTGTGAGGTTATGCAACATACCCACAGTCACACAGTCAGGAAATGAAAGAGCTGAGGTCTGAACCAGGGCCTATGCTAAGATTCATACTCTTTCCATAGGCCAATATTCCATGTGATCAAAGATTAAAAAGAGATGGAAAGCACATGGAATCTTTAAGCAAAAATGTCAGATAAAAAATGGAGAAAGTAGGATGAAAGTCAGATGACCTGCAGAGTAACCCTGAGACAGAGAACCTTGTGCTCTTCTCATCTATATAAAATTTTAACCATTTAACCCTCATTTGGATGTTTCATTTCCTTGAGATGCCTAATAAACATGACAGATTGTTAGTTTCACATTTTCAAGAAGAAAATAAGACAGAAAATTAACTGCCTTCTCCTAAAACATGCGACACGTCTAATTTTGTTGAACCTATTCACACATTACAAGAACGCTTTATAAAATAGTGTATGCTTACTTTGCCAAATACAAGGGCTAAATGACATAACTTCAAAGGTATAAATCAGTTTTCCCTTGGGAGTGAAGTCTTAAAATTATATCATGAAATCTATTTACTTCTCAACTTATTTACAAAACTGCACAAATCATGGGGGAACTAAACAAGACAAAAAAGACATTACCCTAAGTAATCATGCCATACAGTATCTAGCTGAGTAAGCTGGCTCACTTTGACAGATGAACCCCCGCCTTACCAGAGCCCCAGACTGTCAACTAGAGAGTTGCACAATAATTTTTAAAGAAATACATCCCTGGCTGGGTGTGGTGGTTCACGTCTGTAATCCTAGCATTTTGAGACGCCGATGTGGGTGGATCATGAGGTCAGGAGTTCAAGACCAGCCTGGCCAAGATGGTGAAACCCCGTGTCTACTAAAAATACAAAAAAAAAAAAAAAAAAATTTAGCCAGGCGTGGCGGCAGGCGCCTGTAATCCCAGCTACTCAGGAGGCTGAGGCAGAGAGCTGCTTGAACCTGGGAGGCAGAAGTTGCAGTGAGCCGAGATTGCACCACTGCACTCCAGCCTGGGCAACAGAGTGAGACTAAGAAATACACCCCTCTGAACTCTTCCAAGTACTTGGATACCTGTTCTGCAACTCTTCCAACCTGCCACCAACCTAACTCTCCATTTCCTTTGCTTGAGCTTCAAAACTGTGTTCTAGCCACAGAAAACCATGAAGCAATGTGGGTTTGCCCAGCTGACATCAGGCTCTCCAACTGCCCTTGGAGCATTACTGCTGCCTCTTCTCTTCTTTCCTAGTTGTCTCCATTTTCTATTCTCCTAGGCATCTCTTCTCATCTATATTTCTCTTCTCAAAACCGTAAAATTACTTCTAATGCCTCTCACCTGCAAAAGATGAGCTTTGTCATCTATTTATTTATTGGATCATTCATCCATTCCTTTACAATCACTGGGTCTAAATTACCTCAATATCCCCCCTATGATTCAAATCACATATATAAAATACAATTTCCAAATAAGAAAGCTATAAGCTTATTTCTTTGTGCCAGATTACCAAAGAAATGACCAGTTGATTATAACAGAGGAATATCCTGAATCAGCCCTGGAAACTATAAATAGATCTTAAACGTTCAGAAATATATACTTGAAAGAATCAACATGGGAGGTTGACAAAAGGACTAAAACACGATATCCTCTTCATGTGAAACTGCAACTGCACAACCAGAAAATAAGCAAATGAGAATCCACTAAACCCATAATGATACCCCTAGTTTAGAGCGATGGGGGCTGAGGGAACTAAGCCCAGGAAGACTTGGGGTACATTTAAAACACACTAACTCCTTTAAAAGGGCTCCTGGCTTCAGAGGCCAGCCAAGCAAGTAACCTCTGGCTGCATTTACTTCTGGTTGACAGGTGGCCATGATGACTACCACAGAAAACACATGGGAAAAAGACACTCCCAGCTGGCTCCTGGCAAGGGCAGCCATGCCAAGTGACAATGACCTTGCTAATTACTGAGTGCCACACCAAATACCTAAAACAAAGTCTTTGGTTTGAGGCAAACTTCCCTTTGATTACTTCTGGAGCTGATGCTGGCTCTTTTCCCAGGCCTCACAGGAATATGAATTCATAATTGGTAAATTAATCTACTACAAATGTAACCTTTTTCCTTTGTCTGGACTTGAGTCAAATAGTGACTCATACAAGTTTCTTGAAAGAACACAGGGTTACTAATGCACGCGGGGCTTAAAACCTAGATGACGAGTTGATAGGTGCATCAAACCACCATGGCACATGTATACCTATGTAAGAAACTGCATGTTCTGCACATGTATCCCGGAACTTAAAGTAAAATTTTAAAACAGAAGGAAAGAAGGAAGGAAGGAAGGAAGGAGGGAGGGAGGGCGGGAGGGAGGGAGGGAAGGAAGGAGGGAAGGAAGGAAGGAAGGAAGGAAGGAAGGAAGGAAGGAAGGAAGGAAGGAAGGAAGGAAGGAAAGAAGGAAAGAAGGAAAGAAAACAAGGCAATACCCAATACTGAATATGCATTGACTTCCCTAAGGATAAGCAAAGGAGAAAAATCTAAATCCACCAGGCAAATAGAACACATTGTGGTTCAGAAAAGGGGAAGATTCTAGAATCAGAGCAAATATTTACTTAAGAAATAGATATACTATATAAAAGAGAAAACTCTATTAACAGAAAATTTCTAGCTCATGTTCTTAAAATTCCAGGGGACATAGTAGAATCTTTGCACATAGAGCAGGTAGCCATAGAAAGAAATATGAGACCAGAAAAGAGTCTGCGCTAACCAGAAAAGAAAATCTGAATTATGAACTTGAATAAAAGCAACCAATGAAGCAGAAAGTAGAATATTTTTAAAAAGCAAAAAATAAAATTAGTGATGCAAAAGATAAAACAGACTTCTCAGAGGTAGCTGGGGGAAGCTACGTGGGTAAAGATTTTAAAGCCTTCGTCTCCAAAACAGAATAGATGAATGAAAAGCAATAAAGGAGGAAAGAAGAAACCATCAATGCTGAAACCTGGAAAGGACAAATTTATTCTAAAAACTTTAGAAAACTATTACAGATATACAACAATTTAGATAAAATGGGGAAATTTTTCAAACTATGTATCATTCTTCAGAGAGCCCTATAGTCTGATATAAACAAAATAGAAGAAATTCCTGAAGCCCAAACCTGGAGGAACAAGATGAGATACAGGCAGTTCAGAGCTGAAGCTTGTCTTCTTTCTTATTATCTCTTCCGCCTATCAGAGCTAAATAGCATCTGAAGCCAGTCTTACATCATCTAAGGCCTGAGACGGAAAGATTTTTCTCTCTGGAATCTGAGCAGATGAATAGGTTTAACAATAGTAACATCGAGAAGAATATATTGCACTTATTCAAACAAAAACAGGATGCTTAAAAAGTGGTAATTCAAAATCTAAAAAAGTTTTTCCCACAGAAGTAGAGAGCAAAGTGGTGGTTACCAAAGGCTGGGGTGGTTGTGGGGAGAGGGAGTTGGGAAGATGTTGATCAAAGGATACATATTTACAGTTAGACAGGAGATCTATTGCAGTTAGGAGGAATAAGGTCAGATCCATCGTGTAGGACAGTGACTATAGATAATGATGATACATGGTATTCTTGGAAAATGCCAAGGGAGTGGATGTTAACTGTTCTTACCGCAAACAAATGGTGGCTATGTGAGGTAATGCATTTGTTAATTAGCTAGACTTAACCATTCCACAATATATATATACTCAAAACATCATATTGTGCATGATAAATACTTATAATTTTATATGTCAATTTTTAAGAATTCAAAAAAAATTCAGTAGACAGATTGGAATATAACTTTAAGGAATGTGCCCAAAATGTAGAGTTAAAAAAAAAAAAGTAAAGAAGACTAGAACAGTAAAAATGAGAAGGCTACAAAATGAGTCCAGCAGGTCTAATAGCCAAATAGAATTCCAGAATAAAAGAGTAAAGGAAATGGGGTGGAGTGAAGTCAAATGACTAACTCAAAATATTTCCTAAAACGTAAGGTCATAACTGTGTAGACTGTAAGGGCCCACTGAGTGCCTACCTGCCCATTTCATTTGATTTCAATATGCCCACATTAAACACAGCATCTGTCATCATGAGTTGTGTTTTTTTAACTGTAAGGATATTAAAAAGGTCCTATAAAATATCAAAAAGCAGGTAGGGAAGCTCATAAGCAAAAGATTAGGAATCAGAAAGTCTCTGGACTTTTCAACAGCAACCCTGAAAGCTAGAAGACAATGAAGCAATGAGGAAGGCAGTTGACAACCTAGAATTCTATTGGCAGATGTTCTTCTGCAAAACAGGGAGGAAACTAAGAAAAAGACAGGCATGTGATACAGGAAACAGGAGTCCAATACAAGAGGGAGAAAAAAAGGAATTCCTGGCATAATTGTGAAGGGAAATCCTTGGGTGATAAGCAAAAAGACTCAAGAAGTAGTATATCAAGAGGAGATTTGGATAACCAAGAGCATTTAGGACTGAATGAGTAAAAAGCACATAGAAAACTAAGCAAACATCAAAAGAACAATTAGTTTAAATAGAACAAAAAATTTGCAGAAGAGGAAAAGGATTCATAGAATTCTACATGGCTCAGGTATGAACAGCATTAACAAGGTCATCATCCTATTAACACTGAATAATGGCCTAGTCAAAATCATGACCTAACTATACTAAGAAAAGGAGGTTCAGGATGGGAGTATGTGAATGGTACACTTTGCACATGGTACATCTATAAATATTCCAAACTAGTAAGATAAAAAGAAATAAAAACCTTAGAATTCCACATAGCACATATTTCAAAACATATCATTCACAATTTTAAAAATTTTCAAAAAGAAGTTAAAAAAAATCTTACAGATTAAATGCAAATATCAAATGAGGCTGCCAAAACAACTGAAAGTGGTAGCTCTGGGGAAGGTAAAATTGTAGGAAGCAAGCAAGGACTCCTCTTTCCTGGCAAGCCTCAGAGCTATTTGACACTTTAAATTACATACATCCTGTCATTTGCAGCAACACGGGTGAGCCTGGAGGACTGCATGTTAAGCGAAGTAAGTCAGGCACAGAAAGATAAATACTGCAATGTTCTCGCTCCTATGTGGGAGCTAAAAAAGTTGATCCCACAGAAGTAGAGAGTAGGATAGTGCTTACTAGATACCAGGAAGCCTAGGGGACAGGGAGGGATAGGGAGAGTTTGGTTAATGGATGTACAAAGTTATACCTAGATAGCAAAAATAAGTTCTAGTGTTCTATAGATCTGAAGAGTGACTTATAGCAAACAACAATTTATTGTATTTTTTCAAATAGCTAGAAGAGAGGACTTTGACTGTTACCCGTATAAAGAAATGATGAAGGTTTGAGGTGATGGATATGTTAATTGCCTTAATTTGATCATTACACATTGTATATACATGTATCAAAATATCACACTGTATCCCATAAATATGTACAAATGTATATCAATTAAAATGAATATATTTAAAGATAATATAGAGGAACAAATCCCAAGCATCATTTAATTTCTTCTGTAAATAACTCAGCATAATACATATGCTGTAAGTAACTTTATGTTTACATATTTAGCTGTTTTGTCCTTAAAAGAACTCTTTTATAAGGAAACTACCTTACCATCATCACAGTTAAAAAATTAATCAGAGGTACTTGATATCATCAAATATTCGGTAAGTTCACAATCCCCTGATTTTCTTATAACTTTTAACAGTTTGGTTGGTTGAGTCAGAATTCAAATAAAGCACATACATTTCTTTTTTTAAGAAAAGGAGGAAGAGAGGCAGTGCTGCATAGTAGTTACAAGTACAGTACGCTAGGGAATCCAACTGCCTAGGTTCAAATCCTTGTCCTGCCAGTATGACCTTGGGCAGGTTATGTCATGTCTCCTTGCCTCAGATTTCTCCTCTGTAAAATGGGTATAATAATAGTAAGGCTGCCACATATGACTATAAGAATTGAATTGATTAATGTACCTAAGACACCTGGAGTAATACTTATCATACTGTGAACAATATAGTGAACATGGTAAAAGTGATAGCTAACATTGTTTGCCAAATAAAGTATCTACCTATACATTTTTAAATTATAAACATTTACAAGTTTGATTTTAAAATTTTTTAAGGAAATAAAAAAAAATCACTGCAGAAACTAAAAATTTAAAACTACAAAAGACAGAAGTGCCACTGCAGAAAACCAAGTTGGTGCCATGGAAGTCTGGCTTGGGAAAAAGTACATGTGCTTACAATAATGGAATTTACTAGATTAATTAGAAATTATGGACATACAGAATCTACAAATAAACAAATTTACAAGAAGAAAACAACCTCATCAAAAAGTAGGCAAAGGATATGAACAGACACTTCTCAAAAGAAGACATTTATGCAGCCAACAAACTTATGAAAAAATGTTCATCATCACTGCTCGTTACAGAAATGCAAATCAAAACCACAATGAGATACCATCTCACATCATTTAGAATGGCGAGCATTAAAAAGTCAGGAATCAACAGATGCTGGAGAGGATGTGGGGAAAATAGGAATGCTTTTACAGTGTTGGTAGGAGTGTAAATTAGTTCAACCATTGTGGAACACAGTGTGGCAACTCCTCAAGGATCTAGAACTAGAAATACCATTTGACTCAGCCATCCCATTACTGGGTATACACCTAAAAGATTATAAATCATTCTACTATAAAGACACATACACACATATGTTTACTGCAGCATTGTTCACAATAGCAAAGACTTGGAACCAACCCAAATGCACATCAAATGATAGACTGAATAAAGAAAATGTGGTACATATACACCATGGAATACTATGCAGCCATAAAAATGGATGAGTTTATGTCCTTTTCAGGGACATGGATGAAACTGGAAACCATCATTCTCAGCAAAGTAACACAAGAAGAGAAAACCAAACACCACATATTCTCACTCATAAGTGGGAGTTGAACAATAAGAACACATGGACACAGGGAGGGGAACATCACACACTGGGGCCTGTCAGGGGGTGATGGACTAGGGGAGGGATAGCATTAGGAGAAATACCTAATGTAAATGACGAGTTGATGGATGCAGCAAACCAACATGGCACATGTATACTTATGTAACAAACCTGCATGTTGTGCACATGTACCCCAGAACTTAAAGTATAATAATAAAAAATAAAAATAAAAAAATTTAAAAAGAAATTATGGATATAAATCGCAGGACATAAAGATTCAACATAATCGGCATACTTGACAAAAATAAGTGGAACAGAAGTTACTTAGCAATAAAAGTAAACTTTCCTAACTCCTACAACTCAAAATCAAAAACAACAAACCAACAAACAACTTAAAAATTGGGCAAAAGACTTGAGTAGACACTTCTACAAAAATGTATATACACATACACACACACACACACACACACACACACACACACACGGCCAAACATGAAGAGATGCTCAACATCACTAATCATCAGTAAAATGCAAATGCAAATCAAAATAGTAAGATAACATCTGACACCCATTAAGATAGCCATTATCAAAAAAAGAAAAGAAGTATTAGCAAGGATGTGAACAAACTGGAACCCAGCACTGCTGGTGGGACCAAAAATGGTACAATCACTATGGAAAACAGTATAGAGGTTCCTCAAAAAAATTAAAATAGGATTACCATATGATTTAGCAATCCCACCTCTGGGTATATATCCAAAATAACTGTTAATGATCTTTCAAAGAGATATTTGTATACCCATGTTTGTAGCAGCACTATCTACAAGAGCCAAGAGGTAGAAGCAACCCAAGTTTTCAACAACAGATGAACAGACATAAACTAAATTGGTATATACATACAATGGCTTATCATCCAGCCTTCAAAAGGATATTCTGGCATATGCTATGACATGGATGAACCCTGAAGACATTATGCTAAGTGAAATAAGCCAGTCAAAAAAGGACAAATACTCCACATATATAAGGTAGCTAATAGTCAAATTAATAGAGACAAAGTACAGTAGTACTTGCCAGGGACTGGGGGAGAGGGATGAATGAGAAATTGCTGTGTAATGGGTACGGGGTTTCAGTTTTACAAGACGAAAAGAGTTCTGGAGATTGGTTGCACAACAGTCTGAATATACTTAACACTACTGAACTGTACATTTAAATGGTTAAGAGGGTAAATTTTATGTTATGTGTATTTTACCATAATTTAAAAAAGTGTGACAAATTCCAGGAAAACTATGAAGTAAATGATAAGTGCAAAACAGGTTTAAGTTAATAAGCTTTAAAAATTAAAAGAAATCCCATTAAAAAAATCAAATGGGGAAAATAAATCAAATCATAATGGGAAAAAAATGGGCTGGACACAGCCATTAACCTCACCCCAACAAATAAGATGAAGGAATAAATTTCAAGATTTTGTCAGAAATATGGAACGACTCAAAAATTCTACAGC
Organism: Homo sapiens; assembly: GCF_000001405.40. NCBI lineage: Eukaryota > Metazoa > Chordata > Mammalia > Primates > Hominidae > Homo > Homo sapiens. The sequence continues at coordinate 110,983,912 of NC_000009.12, forward strand.
CAATCAAGCCTTTGTTTACCTGCAATAACAAAAACAAGCCACTTTTAATATTTTTATTTTTAATTTTTGTGGGTACATAGTAGGTGTATATATTTGTGGGGTATATGGGATATTCTGATGCAGGCATGCAATATGTAATAGTCACATCATGGTAAATGGGTACGCATCACCTCAAGCACTTATCCTTTCTTTGTGTTACAAACAATCCAATAATCCAACTATACTCTTTTAACTATTATAAAATGTACAATAAATTTACCCTGTTATGCTACCAAATACTAGATCTTATTCATTCTATTTAACTATATTTCTGTACCCATTAACCAACCCACCTTCCTAGCCCCTCGTAACTATCCTTCTATTCTCTGTCTCCATATGTTCAATTAATTTTTTTAGTTCCTACAAATAAGAACATGCAAAGTTTATCTGTGACTAGCTTACTTCACTTAACACAGTGACCTCCAGTTCCATCCATGTTGTTGCAAATGACAAGATCTTATTCCTTTTCTGGCTGAATAATACTCCATTGTGTATAAGTACCACATTTTCTTTATCCATTTTTCTGTTAATGGACACTTAGGCTGCTTCCAAATCTTGGCTATTGTGAACAGTGCTGCAATAAACATGAGAGTGAAGATACCTCTTCAATATGCTGATTTTCTTTCTTTTGGGTATATACTTAGCAGTGAGATTGCTGGATCATATGGTATAATTAAGATATATTTCTCCCTGAAAAATTTGTTCAAACACATAATACAACTACTCATATGACAAATCAAAATAATGTGCTCAGGAAACCTTTGGCAAGAGCAGCTTGTCAATCCAGATAAGCACAGAATACCTGTGATAGTAACGGTGACAAAAAAAAAAGAATGCAGTTTTAACTAATAGGAAAAAAAAAAAGCTATACAGTTGAAATACGTGTAACTAATAAGCTAAGATGAAAACTCCAGAAAATCACAAGAAAAAGGAGAACATTCTTCACCTTTTGAGAAAGGAGCCAATCAATACTGTTTCATTTCTAAAGTTGATAAAATCAGAATTTCCGTTTTAAAGAATCAAAAAGAAAAAGGAAAGGGGAAAACAGGATGACAGAGACATGGCCATGCTAAACTTTTTATCTGGGTTACTTATCCCTACCACTGACTCTACCCCCTTCACTGACAGTGAAGCAAATGGTTCAGCTGGGATGAAGGAGGCTATGGGTTCATTTGCTTCACATGCAGATTCAGAACAAAGAAATCAGAAATGCATTTGAGAAACCAAATGACTACCTTATGTTTTGTTTTAAAATACCATCGCCACCTGTGGCTACAGGCTGCTTTCCTCTCTCTGTGGCTACTTTCCTCTCTTCCTCAAAGTGTCAGCCCTAAGATCTTGCTTCAGTGTACTCACAGGATACAATATATTTCATGTTCATAAATCCTTTTCCACAAATAAGATCAGTCTTTTCATTTGCTTCTCCAGCTTTTCAATTAGATCTTTTATTTTCAAATTGGTCTAAAAGTCTATCATTTTTTCTACAGGGCACAGAGCTAACGCATTCCAAGGAAGAAATACAACTAGCCCATCCTGCGCACACTGACTGCAGAGAGAGAAACACAATTAACACAATTGCGCCTTTTTACATGTATTTTATCAGGTCATGATGGGCCAGGTCAGGTATTCTAGAAGCTGGAGAAACTGGCCAAAACTTATATAAGTAAACACTGTCTTAATTTCAAAGACTGTATTCCCAGCTGTATAGTTTTCACTTTAGAAGTGGTCCTGATGGAGAGGAATGCTATCCTGACACTTACCAAAATAACCAAGAATTGTAAAATTCAAATTATGGAGATTACTATCTTAGAATAAGTGTCACTATGAAGGCAAAGGATATATTGGCCAAACTGTTTAGCCTCAAGGTCAAGCTAGTTTGTGTTACAATGCTTAGAAAATGGGAGAAAATCTCTACTTAGAAGTAGTAAATCAGGAAAGGCCTGGAACTACAGATTTCTGAGTTGGAGAAAATTGAGCTCAAGGGAGTGTGATCACTCATGAAGACAGAGAGCAAGAAGAGAAGGAATGAGATCTACATTTTAAGGGGAAATGAGGAGGATTCCACAAAGAAGACTGAAAAAAATCCTCTTGAAAAGTAGAACTCTACTCTGGGTAAGAGACAGACTTCATTCTGCCCTGTTTCTTTCCAGAGTCATCTAAACTCTTGATCTTCTTTGTGTGTGCATGCCATGACCCTCAGCCATTTGCATAGGGACCTAGAGCAATGCAGATATAAATTTGAATTAGGATTTCCACTTACAGGAGAAGCACCCTATAGGGTGGATACATTTCTACTGAGGGCGCCACTGTGCCAAGCTGGGGTGTTTTCAGTCCGTAGTTTTCAGAACAAGGACAATTACAACCTCTATAACCAAGCTTCGGGCAGGCTAGACTCTTCCAACCACAGATGAGTCTTGAAAAATATTTCATTCTAAGAGTAAGTGCATGTTTCTAACATGAGAAGTAATTTTCAGCCAAGTATGGTGGCTCATGCCTGTAATTCCAGCACTTTGAGAGGCCAAGGCCGGAGGATTGCTTGAGCCCAGGAGTTTGAGACCAGCCAGGGCAATATAGTGAAACTCTGTCTCCACAAAAATTAAAAATAAAACAAAAATTTAAAAAGTTAACTATTCTAAAAAAAAAAAGTAATTCCCAAATGGCCTAAAATAGAAGGAATGTGAATATATGAAGTGAAGGGAAGAAAATTAGGGAAGAAAAGAGACCAATGGGGGTGGAAACAAAGTGTCGAAATAGCTAGTCAGAATATAGAAGTCTGTGGCTGTGGTAAGTAAAGTGATTCAGCCCTGAATAACAGTGTTCAACAGCAGAGAGTTCTCTTAACAGAGACATCTTCCATTATTTAAGGTTTCAAGTAGCTTAAAATTCAAGCACCTTTGGGAGAATGAATCAAAATCAATACTGAGTGCTTGAATGATTGTGATTTAAAACTGCCTCAACATAAGAAAGTTATCCTTGAAAGATGGTTTTCTGATGTGTTTGTATACAAAGTAGGAAAATAGGCGCTCAAATGTATTTCTGGTATAGGTGAAACTGTTGTAACCTTTCTGGAATGCTAATATTAGGGAAATGTGTGTATATGCATGGTTTCCATCAAGATCCTAAAAAGTGTGCTGAATCAGAAGGCATGTAACTCCACCACTAGGAATTTATACTATGGGAAAAATATAAAGGACAAAGAATTTGCTACAAGGATGCTTAATGCAATATCATGTATGATAGGATAATTTTAGGAACAATGTAAGCATCCAGTAATACAGTACTTGGCAACCTTGTTATTAAAACTACATTTACATGCAATTCAACTATTATATATCTATTCAATTATTATGTTTATTCTATATAATATATTGCATATATAATAGGTATTATATTCAATTGTATAATACATATGTTTATATAATATATATGTTTATATAATATTTCAACTCCCAATAATTTCATCTCCAGTGCCACCAATAACACTCCCTACTCCCTGGCCCCCTACTCACGAAATTATTCTTTAAAAACTTCAGTCTCCAAATTTGGGGGGAGACTGATTTGAGTAATAAAACTCCAGTCACCCATTCAGCTGGCTCTACATGAATTAAACTCTTTCGCTATTGCAAGTCTCCTGTCTTGATAAATCAGTTCCACCTGGGGAGTAGGTAAGGAGAACCCATTGGGCAGTTACACCACAGACAGCCCTGTGGAACCTACATGTATATATATATATATATATAAAGTTGGCCCTCCATACCTGTGGGGTTCGCATACCATGAATACTATATTTCTGATCTGCATTTGGTTGGAAAAAAATATGCATATAAATGGATCTGCATTGTTCGTGGGTCAACTGTACACGTAACTGGAGTCCCCAAAGCAAAAAGGGAGAGTGAAAAAACAAGGCTAAAAATAAACACTATAAACCCACAGACTCAACAAGCTCAATGAAGCATGAGCACAGGAAACAAAGAAAAATGCACAATCAAATTTACAAAACCATAACAATAAAATCTTTAAAGTTACTGGATTAAAGAAAAAAAAAGACACCTAGAGAGGAACAAGGATAAGAATGACAGCAGATTTCTCATCAGAAACAATCCAAGCAAAAAGACAGGTGATCAACATCTTTAAAATAATGGGAAGTGGGGGAACTATCAATCTAGAACTTTATACACATTAAAAAATGTTCAGAGGTGAAAGTAAAATAAAAACATTTTCAAACATACAAAAGGTGAAAGAATTCATCATAAGCAGACGTTGGACCATAAGAAATGTTAAAAAGAAGTTCATCAGACAGAAAGAAAATTATACCACATGAAAATATGGATCCTCATAAAGAAATGAAGGATACCAAAAATATTAATAGTAATAACATGGATAAATATAAAAACCATTTTATTATATAAGTATCTGAAAAATATAATTGAAAACAACTCATAGAAAGAAAAATATTTGCAAATCATAAGGGACTTGTATCCAGAATAAAGAACTCCTGCAATTCAATAATGAAGAGACAAGCTAATTTTAAAATGATTAAATATCTGAATAGATATTTTTCTAAGAAAACAGACAAATGGCTAACAAGAATATGAAAAGACACTGGATATCCTTTAGCCATTAGGGAAACAAAAGCCAAATTCACACTTCATAACTACTAGGATGGCTATAATTTAAAAGACATAATAACAAGTGTTGGTTAAGAATGTGGAGAAATTGGAACCCTTATACATTGCTGGTGGGAATATAAAAGGTGCAGCCACTGTGAAAATCTGGTAGTTCCTCAAAATATTAAATAGCATTTTCATATGATCCAGCAATTCCACTCCTAAGTATATGCCCAAAAGAACTGAAAATATATATCCACACAAAAACTTCTCCAAGAATATTCATAGAAGCATTACAGAATCATCAAAAAGTAGAAATAATCCAAATGTCTATCAACTGTTGAAAGGATAAAGTTAAATATGGTATTTTTAAACAATGGAATATTATTGAGCAGCAACAAAAAAAGAAAGAAAGATACATACTACAACATGCAGTATTGTGCATTTTTTTCTAAGTGAAAAGCCAATCAAAAAAGGCCACAAATCTATAAGCCTGTTTACATGAAATGTCCAAGATAGGTAAATCTATGAGAAAGAAAGTAGATTCGTGTTTTTCAGGAGTTTGGAAGAGGATAAATAGGGAGTGATTGAAAACAAATATGAGGTTTCTCTTGGAATGATAAACATTTTCTGAGCTTGATTGGAGTGATGATTGCACATTATCTATCTATCTATCTGGAGACAAGGACTGGCTCTGTTGCCCAGGCTGGCCTTAAACTCCTGTGCTCAAGTGATCCTGTCTCTGCCTCCTGAATAGCTGGGAATACAGGCACATGCCACTGCTGCAGAACTCTTAATATATCAAAAACTATTGAATTTTAAATGGCTGGCTTTTATGGTATTAAATTATACCTCAATAAAGTTGTTCTAAAAAGATAATGAAAATAACAATAGAGTTTATTACAAAAGTTTTAAAAAGCAGGGGAGTAAAGTAAGTATACTGTATTGTTGTGAGGTTCTTGTACTATACATAAAGGGGTACGATGTCACTTAAAAGTTGCCTACAATAAATTAAAGCCTACTGCACACACTGAATCAACCACTAAAAATAAAATAAAGAATTATGGCTAACAATCCAACAAGAAGATAAAATGAAATCATAAAGTATACCAAATCCAAAAAATAGAACAAATGTGACAATAGACAAAAGCAAGATGATAGATTTAAACATAACCATATGAAAACACATATATATACACTCATTAAATGTAAGTGGTCTAAACAACTCAATTAAAAGGCATAGATTATGAGACTGGATAAAAAAGCAAGACACAACTATATGCTCCCTACATGAACCATACTTTAAACATGAAGACACAAATAGATTAAAAGTAAAAGGATAAAAAAACGAAATACCCAGCTAACACTAAACAAAACAAAGCTGAAGTATCAATATTAAAATCTAACAGAGTAGATTAGTAGATTTTAGAGCAAAACATATTAGCAGGGATTTTAAAAAAAAAGGTTATTTCATAATGATAGAGTCTCTTTATCAAGATGACATAACAATCCTAAAAGTGTATGCATCTAATTACAGATTTTTGAAACATACGAAGTAAAAACGAGTAACTGGATAAATAAACAAATCCACAAATATAGCCAGAGATAAATATGCCTCAGTCATTAATTGACAGAACAGAAAAAATCAGTAAGGATATAAGAGACATGAACAATACAAGTAGTCAACTTGATCTAATTTGACATTTTGAAAAGACTCAACCCAACACCAGACTACACATTCCTCTCAAGAACAAAAGAAATCTGTACCAATATAGACCATATTCTGGGCCATAAAACAAGTCTCAATAAATGTAAAAGAATTTGAGTCATAAAAAGTCTGTTCTCTGACCACACTTAAATTATCAATAACAGAATGATCTCTGGAAAATCATCAAATGCTGGAAACTAAGTAATGTATCTGTATATACCTTATAAATCAAAGAAGTCAAAGGAGGTAATTAAAAAATCTTTTGAATTGAATATTTTGAACTAAATGAAGAGGAAAACAAAACATATCAAAATTTGTGGGATGTCACTAAACCAGTGCCAAAGAGGAAAACCATAGCATTAAACACCTATAATAGAAAAGAAGAAAAGTCTCAAATAAATGACCTCATCTTTTACCATCAAAAACTAGAAAAGGATAATTTAATTAAAATCAAAGTAAGCAGGAAAAAATAAAATAGTAGATAATTATATAGAAACTATAAAACAAATCCAAAAGATGTTTCTTTAAGAACATCAATACAATTGCTAACGCTCTAACCAGATTAGTCGAGAAAAAAGGTGAGAAGATATAAATGACTAATAATAAAATTGAAAGAGGGGTCATTACTATTGTCCCTGTCAGAGACATTAAAAGTATAATAAATGATTAAGACAGTGTAGTATAGCATTTTCTCCACTTTTAAATATGAAGTCACAATTTTAAAATCATGGTGGAACTATTAGATATCCATAAGCAAAAATATAAACTGAAAAAACCAACTGATTCATACCTCATACCATATACAAAAATTAACTGAAAAGGGTCATAAACCTAAATATAAAACTTAGAACCATAAAACTTCTAGAGGAAAACATAAGAGAAAATCATTGTGTACTTTGCGTAAGCAAAGTTTCCTTAGATAAGATACCTGTGAGCCAAAGTAACAAATGTAAGAAGACATATTTGCTCATTTCTGCTTGTCAACATACTTTCCCAAAGCCCCTGACTCTGTGACAACGTGTAGCTCTCCAGAAACGTGCATTGAAGACAAAACAGAATAGAGAACAGGGCCTCCCACCCTCCAGCTCTTGCCTGAGTCACTGTATTCCTTAAAAGATAAATGGCCCTAGTCCTTGCCTTTTCCTACACATAAGAGAACACCTGACAGGGTTAGTGATTACACTTCTGTAATCTATAACTAGATAGACTCTTGCACCCAAACTTTGATGTGATTTTATATGCACTGAACCTGTATATAAACTGTGAGCTGAAACACTATTTTGGAGCAGTCTGATAGAATCTTTCTGGTTTGTTTTGTTGTTGTTGTTGTTGTTGTTGTTGTTGTTGTTGTTGTTGTTTTTTGGGACAGTTTCACTCTTGTTGCCCAGGCTGGAGTGCAATGGCACGATCTTGGCTCACTGCAACCTCCGCCTCCCAGGTTCGAGCAATTCTCCTGCCTCAGCCTCCCAAGTAGCTGGGATTACAGGTATGTGCCATTTGTATTTTTAGTAGAGATGGGGTTTCTCCATGTTGGTCAGGCTGGTCTCAAACTCCTGACCTCAGGTGATCCGCCCACCTCGGCCTCCCAAAGTGCTGGGATTACAGGCGTGAGCCACCACTCCTGGCCAACAGAACCTTTCTGAAAGACTCCTCCCAGGCTGTAGTCCTCAGTCAGTCTATAGCTCTCAGTAAGACTTCTGGATAAAACTAACTTAAATTCTTTAAAAGCTTGTTTTTTTTTTTCTTTAGTCAAAATATCAAAAGCAGGATCTATAAAGAACAAACAGAAAAACTGAACTTCATTTAAATTTACTTTTTAAAAGACATTGTTAAATAAATTAAATGGCAAGCCACAAACTGAGAGAAAATACTTTCAAAGTATATGTCCATAAGGAACTTGTATCCAAAGCATATAAGAAATTTCAAAATTCAAAAAGGGGCAAAAGATTGGGACAGTTTACCAAAGATAATATACGGATGGCAGATAAGCATAGAAGAGCAATTAGGAAAAATGCAAATTAAAACCACAATGAAACACCACTACATGACTATTAGAATGGATAAAATTGAAAAAACCAACCATACCAAGTGTCAGTGAGGATTTAAAGAAGCTGCAACTCTCACACACTGATGTGGGAATGTAAGATAGAATCAGTCTGGAAAATAATCTGACAGTTTCTTTAAAAGTTAATTATCCAGTTCTGCCATTTAACTCCTAGGTATTTACCCAAGAGAAAATAAAGTAGTTGTCTATACAAAGACTTGAGCACAAATGCTTCTAGTAGTTTTATCTGTAAATAGCCAAAAACTGGAAACAGCTCAAATGTCCATTCATAAATGAATGGACAAATTGTTATGTATCCATAAAACAGAAGACTACCCAGCAATAAAAACAAATGAACTACTGGTATGTATAATACTATCTATCACTCTCAAAATAAGCCGAGTAAAATAAACCAGACAAAACACAACACTTACTGTATGATTCCATTATATAAAACTGTAGAAAATGCAAACTAATTTATAGTGACCAAAAGCAATTAAGTGGTTGCCTGGGAGTATAAGAGCAGAATGACATGAGGGAAGGATTTCAAACAACAGGAGAAAAGCTGAGGAGTGTTGGATATGTTCACCATCTTCATTGCAGTGATAATTTCGAGAGTATATGCATACGTCAAAACAAATCAAATTGTATACTTTAAATATATGTAGTCTATGTTATCAATGAAAAAATTAAAAGAAAGCATAAGTCTTAAAGAAAAACGCTATTTTACAACTTTTTAAAATGTAATATTTAAAGAACATTCTCCTTAAATGGAAAACTCTGGCATACAAGAAAATATGACCACTAACCACAAACTAATTTTTTTTTAATATACTTTAAGTTCTAGGGTACATGTGCACCACGTGCAGGTTTGTTACATAGGTATACATGTGCTATGTTGGTTTGCTGCACCCATCAACTTGTCATTTACATTAGGTATTTCTCCTAATGCTATCCCTTCCCCAGCCCCTCACCCACCAACAGGCCCCTGGTGTGTGATGTTCCCCTGCCTGTGTCCATGTGTTCTCATACCACAAACTAATTTTTAAAAATTATTATGGAATAGTTTTTAAGTTTTTTCCTGGCTTTTATACCCTTGATCTCTTGATTATAGGCTGTTTATTGTGTAGAATGTTCCTCAGTGGCTCCAAGGGCAGCCCAACGCAGAGTGTCAGAGTCTAAGTGAGGTGAAGAGGATGTCCCCATGGGAAGGTAGCCCAGAGTTTGTGTCAAAGCCTGAAAGGTGAGGGGTCAACCAGGAGAGAAAGAAAGAGGTAATCCAGGAGAGAAGGAGAGAGGTTTTCAATAGAAATAGAAATAAAAACAGTTATCAATGTGTGTGTTGCACAGTGAGAAGCCTGGGAATAGTGATATCCCAATAACAATGAGCACACCTAACACTTACATCTTCGTCTCTTAATACCATTCTCTACAGAAAGGTGCCAGGCTCCTTGGAGATATGCCTGTTCCTCAGATTAGGGAAATACATGATGCCTTGGTTACCTTGAGCAGACAGTTAAGACAGCACTTAAAAGAATTATGCAGACATGTAAAAAGGACAAGGAAACTAGTTTGAAAGGTACTCACTGGTCTAATTATTTCTAAGTTTGAAAATGAAAAAGGAATCCGTAAGTTCATTTTAATACAAATAAAAGTTTGACCAAAAAATTGATATTTACAAAGACTCAAACACTTCCCTAGAAAATACTTACCATAAAGTGCAAAATAATAACTGTACAGTAAATAAGTCTGGAAGACATCACTTTAATCAAGTGATCAAAATAACATCACCAATAATGGAGCAAATCAACAGTGTGTGCCACCTGACAAAATGCAATGAGAATATCACTTCTGTCATGTTCCTGCCAAAAGTTTGAAATCTGAATTTAATCAACAGGAAACATGTAACAAACCCACTGAGGAACATTCTACACAATGAACAGCCTATAATCAAGAGATCAAGGGTATAAAAGCCAAGAAAAAAGTTAGAAACTATTCCATAATAAAGTAGACTTAGAAAAGACCTAATTATAAATACAGTGCAAGATGATGAGCTGGATCCTTCACTATCAAGGATATTGTTGTGACAATATGGGAAAATTTCAATGGGATCTGATAATTAGATGATAGTAAGATAATAGGGTGAATTTACTGATTTCAGTGGTTGCTTTGTGACTATGTTGAAGAATGTGCTTGTTTGTGAGAAAAACAGAGTATTTGAAGATGTTAGCGCATCAGTGTAAACAATTCACTCTTAATTGACTTAGGGAGATAAAAGCTTCTTCACACTTTTTTACTGTACTTGCAACTTTTCTATAAGTTTGAGGGAGGCAGAGTAGAGGAGGAGGAGAGGAAGGAGCAGGGATAGAAGGAGAAGCAGTCATCTTACATAAAATAATTTTAAGTGGAAGAGAGGGTTCATGTGTCACTACTAACCATAAGAATAGACATCCCCAAGATCTGGCTAAAAGTGACTGTTACAAAGTACATGACTACCCCAGACACATATGTGCCTGATTTTAGAGAAGACAGGAAAAGATGTCTCAAACAAATCACAAACTCTAAGAGGCACGTTGCCAAAAGTCAAATAGGTCTTCTGAAAAAGGAGAAGTCTAGACCACAGTCAACAGCGCAGGCAGCATCGTACCACCAAGTTTAGCTGTGTTTTCAAAAAAGCTAAAGAAATATCATAGTATTAGAAAGACACATTTATGTTAAACACAAAACAAAGACAAAGGCAGATGCTCCAGCAATGTGGCCCTAAGTACTTCTGTTTCCAGGATACATGTCACATGAGAAATGTGACGAGGTACCATGTTCTTTGAAGATGGTACATTATGAAATTTCTTCTGCCTACCAGTGAGACTAATCTCTTCCAGATGTTGTTTGGCCCACAATGTGCTATTCAAATATATGAAAGTTTTGTTTATTTTCAAAGTTTGAGAGCCAAATAAGAAACCCAGTTTCCTTCACCAGCCTCTAATTAAACTGGAGATAAAAGCTTAAAAAAAATCAGTATATAACCTAAGTCTAGACTTATACATCCTGCCTGAAGTTTTGAGGTGGGGAGGGGGAAGAAAATAAGACCTGTGGAATACAATCCTAATATCTACTTCAGCATGGGAAAAATAATGAGACGCTTAATTTCATTTCCTTTCCTGCTCCCAGCATATTACCATTCTTCCTCATTGAAAACCCTCTTGGCAATACCTCTCTAAAACAGTAAATATAGAGGGGAATCTAAAGAAAACTAGTATTGTACTAGAGGATGAATTATTCCCAGCTGGGTCGAGGATATGTAAATACTCTGGCTTCCTGAGAAGTCACATACGTGATTTTACCAACTTGAGGGAGCACCAAGAAAGAGCTGGCCTCATTCTTTGATATACAATTCTATGAATAGCATCTCAAATGTTACCACTCTGTTGAAGAAATCAGGAAGTGAAGCAAAGGGAATTAAGTGACTTTTCTCTGTTCACAATGATTTAGTAACTATGAAAATCACCAAAAAAGGGGGGTCCCCTCTCTAACTTATGTGAGTGGTTAACTCCTGTTTTCCTGTTATGAAAGGGTTTAAAATATAATAGCGGACACTTTTAAAAATAATGGCTGAAGTCTTTTATCAGGAAAGCAGTAGAAAATGGAAGGGAAAAGGAGCCTCTTTTTTAATAAACTATGAGGAGATAGTAAAACCACAAAGTAGCCACAAAGCCCCTATGTCTGAGACATGACCTAAAAACCAACCGGAGACCTAAAAACAGCTGTGAGGCCCCACTTGAAAGACTTCTATCTGCTAATGGGCCTGAAAGATGCTGTCCTACATGTCCAGAAAAACACAGTGGGATAGTCCAAATATGTAGAGAATGGAGAATATCACACAGAAAACTTCTAACTAGTGTGAAAAGGGATTTGATGACCACTCCAAAAAAGAGATAAGGCATTATGACATTAGAAAGGGAATTCTGGGCTGGGTGTGGTGGCTCAAGCCTGTAACTCCAACACTCTCCGAGGCCAAGGCAGGACAATCACTTGAGACCAGGGGTTCGAGACCAGCCTGGCCAACATAGCAAGATGCCATCTCTACTTAAAAAATAATAATAAATATAAAAATATTTTTTAAAGGAAAGGAATTCTGATACAAAAGGAGTCCGCTTACAAAAAAATAAGTTTTACTAAACTGATATTCCCTAAAAAATCTGGGAGAAGAAGAAACAACCAGACTCAGTGGCTGTGGGTGCGACCTGACCAAGAATTTCCTGGGGCTTGAGAAGGAAGCGTGTGCCAAAGGGCTGAGGTTACAGCGACTGTTGTTTTAAGCCAAGTCATAGCGATAAAATGAGCAGGTGGCAAGTCTCTAAATCTTTTGTATTCCCAGATTTCCCCATTTTACAGTAATACAGTGCTGGGGGCAAGGGATAAAATGTGATGTGTTCAGCCAATTGCAGAGAAGCGGCTCCAAGGGTATAATTTTAGATTTCTAAAAGGCCACCTCTCCAAAGAACTACCCCAGTTTCTTTTGGTGGTAGCGATGGAGGTAACTGAAGTGACATACAAGGACCCTTCCCCTTCTGGGGTCTGATGGTCTCGTTACAGAGACTGATCTCTGATCTAAGTTACATGAACTCCTCCTCTCAGCTGGAATTCATAGCACCACACTGATTTCTTTTGGCCCCAAGCCCAAATTGCAGCTGTTTGTACTTATTCGTGGTATGGTGTATTTTGAAACAAAATGAACCAGATTTTTCCTACTGCCTATGTCAGTGCCTGGTATTGGGAAACATTAACTCTTTCACAGTGAGGCTACCAACAATTGTATTGTGTCTATGAAAGGAAGGATGATATAAAGAAGACACTGACCCCAAGCTGGGAAAGAGTCAATCAAGAAGCCCATTTCAAAGCAAAGGGCAGATATTCCATCATTTACTTAGTTTTGGGGCCCCATCTACTTCCAAATAAGTTTCAGATAGGTTACAGAAGATTATAAAGAACAAGAGTCATGGATTAAAGTAAGCAAGGGAAATAGGTATTTCAAAACTGAGTGCAAAATTTTACTCTGAGCTCTCTGGTAACCAAAGCAAAAGGGAAAATGAAGAGTTGCGTATTAACTATTGAGAGAGAGAGATGTTATTTTCTTCTACTAATTCCTAGTAAGAGTTATCAAATGGTATAAAATATACAAAAATATTAATATGGCTATTTCTTCTCCTATCAACTCTCAATGAAAGCTGAAGATAAAAATAAATGGTTCTTGGATGGTATAGCACCCATGAAACTTAAACACAAAACAAAACCAGACTTTTAACAGAGTTTTTTATTTAGTAGAAACTAGACATCTGTATTTTTTAAGTCTCCTTAATTCTGAAGCGTATGTCTGATTACATGCCATTATCTTAAATCAGAGTTCTTCACAGATACTTGGACTAGAACAAACGTATTATATTCTACATTTATTGCTAGTAAGTGATCTAATATGATATAAGGTGAGCAGAGCAAGCTTTACTGCAGAATATAGTAACACTGAGTCCTGTGTCTTCTCCAAAGCTGGTGCATAAGATGCTGTGCGAGAGAGAACCAAGAATCTGTATTTTAACAAGCACCCAAAGTGGGTCTAGGTTGAAAGCTAGGTGTGTTAACTACTGCATTACACCAGTGGTTCTCAAATTGTAATATGTGGCACACAGAATTCACTGGAGGGCTTGTTCAAACACAGATGTATGAGCCCCACCCCACTGCATGTCTGATTCAGTAGGTCTGGGGTGGATCCAAGAATTTGCATTTATTAACAAATCTCCAAGTGATGCTGGTGCTGCTCATGGGGCCACACTTTAAGAACCACTCACTAAACTGTCCATTTAAAAAATCAGTGGCCTCACATGGCCTTTAATAGAACTGGAAATAATAATTTAAAATAATACATAATTCAAGACTAAAGTCTCTGATAAGTGTCTGAAGTGTTCAGTATTGTTGATTAGAAAAAGTTTTAAGTGCTTTTAATACCTGGCAGAAAAGGCAAATTTGGAATTTTATTAAATAAATAAATAAATTGGACTTTCATCCAAACTGAAGGTCATTCCACCTGGTCAATTATAAGGACTGCCAGAAATATTGTTTCAGGAGAGAACTTTTGAATTATTCAATAAAGACTGTAACTGAAACACCGTGGACCAGTGCAAAAAAGAACTGAGGGCAGGTGTTACCATTTATAAATCCTGGACATTAAAAATACACACACATGTTTAATGAAACTCCTAAGAGCATGTTAAGTTTGAGAACTTCATCCCGGCAAGCGTCTACAACAATAAGGGAGCTGCAATTGTACCTTCACATTATATGACTTGATCTGTAGCATAAAGCTATTAGTGTAATCCATCTGAATCTGAATTTTGGAGGGTGTCGCCCAAGGCAACAGATTTAGTTTTGACAAAGTCAATAGCAAGTTCTTCTTAAAGAAAAGAACTGGACAATAGGTCTGAGGATTCTTAAATTCATTTTCTGTTCATGAGCATAAGATCACACCATAGCTCTACCGGAAAGGCAATATCTAATGCATAGATAGATTTCTTAAGTTATCAAATCATAGATTCAAAAGAAGGCATAAGGATGTGGACACAGGTGGGTTTTATATCATTTGGAAATGGAACTTGATCTGTCAAAAGATAACTCCTATATACTATGTTATTCTCTGGATGGCTGTATCAATCCTCTTAGGAAACATTAAAGTTTAAAATCTTCGTGATCAGTCAGCTCAACCCAGAGACATTTTATTAAGATCAAAAGCTGTAGTGAAATTAATATATCCCGCACATGGTCATAAAGTGACTTCTGAATAAAGATGATGTCAGCCCCAACTCCCCAATATGTCCACACCCAATTTCCAGTCAAAATACAAATGAAGACAAAAACTCAAAATAGCTCTGAAACCAAGAATAACAACCAGCCATTTATAAGAACCTGGGAGTAATATCTATTAAGTACAGTGCAGATGGAACTGAATTAAAAGCAACTGGTGTCCAACGAATGCTTTAATTGCTAAAAAAGAACAGCTAGAAATAAATTAGAAGGTTCAGACCTCCCCCACCCTACCTCATTTTCCAGAACACTGGAATGAGCAGGAATGAGTAGCAGCAGCATCCCCACACCATGCAGCCCTGCTTTCTAAAACAACCAGACAGCTATCCACTTGTCTTAGTCAGTTCAGGCTGCTATGAAAGCTACCACAGACTGGGTGGCTTAAACAACAAACATTTCTTTCTTACAGATCTGAAGGCTGGAAGTCGAAGACCAGGGTGACAACAAAGTTGGGCTCTGATGAGGCCTCTTCGGGGTTGTGGTCTGCGATCTTCTCAATTTAGCCTCATAAGTGGAAACAGGGCTAGAGAGCTCTTCTGGGGTCACATTTATGAAACTCCTAAGAGCATGTTAGGACAGGGTCTTGCTGTCACCCAGGCTGGAGTGGCGCGATCTACCTCACTATAGACTTAAACTCCTAGGCTCAAGTGATTCTGCCACCTAAGCCTCCCAAGAAGCTGAAACTACACGCACACGCCACCACACCAGGCTAATTTTTTAAAATATTTATTAATAGTAGACACAGGGTCTTGCTGTGTTGCCCAGGTTGGTCTCAAACTCCTGAGCTCAAGCAAATCTTCTGCCTCAGCCTCCCAGAGTGCTGGGATTACAGGTGTGAGTCAACACACCGACTGTAGGGTCTCTTTTATAAGGCCCCTAATCTCATTCATGAGGGCGGAGCCCTTATGACCTAATCACCTCCTAATACCATCGCCTTGGGGACTGAGATTTCAACATATGAATTTCAGGGAGACACATTCTTCAGTCCATAACACTGCTATTCTCCCTTTCTCTTACCCCTTTCAGAAGCTCTGTACAAAGAAGTTTTTTCATAAATCAGCAAGCACAATAAACAATCTACTGGTTGGTTCATGGCCTCCTGAATATGGGAGAACAGTAGTCCAGTTCTAAAAAGAGCTGGGTACAAGAATTCTAACATGAAAAATTTCCTTGTCACTAGCCAAATCTCTTAGTATTGACTTGTGACTAGGGAAACAACAGGCTCCACTTTGATCGGGTGACTTCTTAGGGGCATGGGGCCAGGGTTTTCTCCTGTTTCAGCAGTCAGGGTCCAGAGCCTCCAGAGGTAGTCACCAGGATCACCCTTGTCAATGGTGCCAGCTGCTCACTTGCACAAAGGCATCAGGCTAAAAGGAGAGCCATGGCTGCAATCCAGCAAGGACTGCTCTACTCCCCCAGCCACGTGCCTCAGTGTGAGCTGTGCTAGCCCAAAAGAATAAGCCTTCTGAAACCAGGCAGGAACCTGTGCAGCTAGTAAATGGGGCATGGTTAGAACTCCAAAGTCTAGGCCCACACTGTCCAATATGATAGTTGCTCTCCTACGTGCACAGTGCAGAAATACATTTTCCATTATCACAAAAATCTGTTGGACAATGCTGGAATACTGTCCACAAAAATTACGAAGTGGAAGGAAGCTTTGCCACTTTTCCATTAAAATGGAAATACTCTTATTCTCTCCTACAAAATACAGTCTCCAGAGAGGTCGGTCATTTTGGAGTCAGAATTAAATCTAACTAAATGCCTCTAAAACAATGAAAACCTTAAGACAGCTGGTACACTAAGCTCATAATAACCCCTTTTGTTCACTGCATGTTTCCTATGTTTTAATATGCTAAAATCAAACACATGGAAATGCTGAGCTGTTTTAAATAATACTCCTCAAAAAGGAATAGGGTTCTCTTTAGAAGCATTTTCTTCAATATCAGGAATAACAAGAATCTCACTATTACTCCTACTATTCAACACAGTTCTAGACAGCCTAGTTAATTCAATGAAACAAGACAACAATAAATAACATGTAAGGAGTGAAAGAGTCAAAACTGCCCTTATTTGCAATCAAAATGATTATTTAAATTCAAAGTCCAAGGAAGTCTATAGATAAACCTGCTCCTAAATTTCCAGTGAAATGCTAAGGACCAAAATAGCCAAGACAAATTAAGAGAATAGAAGTAGAGGACTTGACCTACCAATGAGTAAGACATATTAAAAGCCATGTAATGAAGGTAATGTGACAATTGTTCCAGGCTAGACATTCAGAGGTACACAAAGTTTCAAAACAGTCTTACATAAATGATACACATGACATTACAGTGGGGACATAAAGGGACTGGAAAAAAAAATGGTTCTAAGGCAAAAGGAAAAATATACCTAATCAGACACCCCAACTTCATATCATACATAGAACTAACATCCAGATGGACTAAAGGCCTGAACATAATTTGACTGGCCTAGGGGAACTCCAGCATCATGCTGGTCTCTTATTTCCTTTTAGCTTCATTTCTGAACCCTTCTACTGTTATTCTGTGCTAACAATCTAATGTAGGGAAAGCTGCCTCTATTTCCTGAAATAATACAGAAACAAGAAGTTAAAAAGACCGTGCTTGAAGATCTCTTTTATACCTAAAACTAACCACTGGCTTCCTTCCCCTCCAAAGAAAGTCATGTAATGTTCCTGATTCAGCAGACAGATTAAAAGCTCAATTAGAATTCTATTTTTAAAAATAATACATACAGCTTCTGAAAGAACATATAAGATGCCAACTAATCAATACCCTGGATAAAAACTTCCAAAATGACTAATAAATACCCTGGATAGGAACTTCCATATAAAAATTCATATAAATGTAGCCAACAAATGCAGAACAAGATTTAGCTTTTAACATATGCTAACCTTCTTTGGAAATTAAATATTTTACCTGGAAATAACAGTGGTTTTTTAAAGTTCTATCTTCAGACTTTCTCCTTGGTTTATAGCTCTTTTTACTTTATATAACACTTACATGTTTCAGCTGATTAATAACAACTACGCAGGAACATTCAATTCCAGAGGCAATTTTAATGTAGTCATTGATAAAATACAAGCTATCATAATAAAACTGTTTAATTTACTTAAAAAAGGAATGCAGTTCTAATCACATATTCATCTGTTATACTTTTCTTGTAAATTTCCCTTCGGAAACCAATTTTAAACTTCTAAACCACCTCAATCTGCACACTTAACAGTAAATCACGGTAATATGTGTATGTATTCTAGCTCTCTTGAGGCAAAACAAGCATTTAATTTTAACAGACACTACTCATGGGGTGCCAAAGTTAATCACACAAAACCAGAAGTATGGCTCAATGTGGGAACATATTTCTGAATGAACTTATCATTAAAGATAGAAAAAGTGTCCCAGAATGTAAACTAATAATGGGAGGTAATGAGGATGAACACAGTGCAATATTCATTGCTGTTTGAGAGCTGAATAGGTAGGTATTCTCTTATTCCTAATCGAAATTAAGATAAACCAAGGGACCTAAAACTCCAGAGATAGGATTTTTCCTGCTAAGGCTAATGGAACAAAGCAATTAACAACTTTCAGTAAAAGAGGAATGCAAGAACTATGCTCTAGAAAGATGTGTCCATCAAAAGTCGAAAGCGCTGTAGGTGTAACTTCTCTTTAAAATATGAAGGGAGCCAGGCATGGTGGCTCACACTTGTAATCCCGGCAGTCTGTGGGCCTGAGGCAGGAGAATTGCTTGAGGCCAGGAGTTTGAGACCAGCCTGGTCCACATGGTGAGACCCCATCTCTACAAAAAAAATAAATAAATAAAATATGAAGTGTTGGTTACAAGAAACCTAATTTGTATACCCAGATGAGAAATTCTGGGAATCCAGGCAGATCATCAGGAGCCCATTTGAAATGGAAATCCCCTGATCCTGTGGAATCAACTGTAAATTAAACAGTTTTATTATGATAGTTTGTATTTTATCAACGACTACATTAAAATTGCCTCAGAATTGAATGTTCCTGCATAGCTGTTATTAATCAGCTGAAATGTGTAAGTTTTATATAAAGTATTTAAACCACAGAGATTCAGTCACAAACAGAGAAGGCAGGATTATGGCTGTCCCTATCCCTGGAGTTTAGTAGGCAAGCCAGAACACTCCACGGTAAGACAGAGTCAACACATGCACCCTCGCATCTCAAGTAAAAGCCCGCAAGAGTGAGACCAGCAGGGTGGCACACAAATCTACTTAGAACCCATTCTCTAGGGACAATGAATGTAATTTGCTTAATAGAGTGAACCACAAATCAAAAGAGAAAGGGCTATGTTGGGTGCTAAAAGTGTTACAAACACATAGGCATCCCTGAGGATGCCCTAAAGAGTTTTCTTATTTGGAAGGAAAATCTCCTTCTCTTTGGGGAGGGTAAGATAAGTACAGTGAACTATTATTTGGGGATCAGGGACTAAAAAGTGGTGGCTGCAATCACAGAAAGGGCAGTCACCCATGAGCCAATGCAGTGTGGCCAGGTCAGAAGCTTCCTCCTCCACCATCCCAAGGAGCCGGACCATGAAAACCAAACCATTCTTTGTGGGAGTTAAGGGGAGATGGTGCAGCCACATATCCTAGGAATTATTCCCCCAAACCTCCAGCTGTATCTCAGATTTATATGGCTCACAGAAACAAAAATATAATGGTAAAAATAATTGGGCTCAGAATTCATAACTCAGAAATAACTGAATTTATTTGCATATGTCTTGGACCACTATTCCAACTAACATGTAATATTCATACTCTTAGTAGTGTCAAAGTCACATTAACTATTTCAATGAAGTTCATCCCAACAACTCAGACTTAAGAAAAACTAATCATTCCATGAGGGCATAATCAAGGCTCCATCCTTCACCCAGTACACAGCTGCCATAGTTCTTTGTGCTCATAAACATTTGTGAAATGCATGTCTTGATCCTCCAGTGATAGTCACCGTCACCAATTTTGGCTAACAATGACTTTGCAAGATATCTCTCCCATTCATCCTAGTCTTCAATTGGCCACATCTTGTTTTGCACTGCAGTTTACTTCATTCAATTATTCTCTCTTCTGTGGCTTCAGTTTTGTTCTCTCCTCATTTCCCAGTCCTCAGAATATAAACATGCTAGGTTTCCTATTCAAGAAAGAAAAAGTACTCCCTTGACCCCAACTTCTTCCTTCTCTCTCGTTCCCCTACCCCATCCTCCCTTTTCAAGGCCCAGGATACTGAAGAAACTGTGCTTATTGCTTTTACATTTTTATATGATGAACCATGGCTTCCTCCACCCCAACTCAAAACCTTAAGATCACTGACCTCTAAAAAGGTTCTTTCTCTGTCCTCATCTTACTTGACCCTCTGTTGGCATTTTGCATCATTAATCACTCGTTTTAATTTTGCCCTACTCACAACACCATGCTCCCTTGATTCTTATCCAACTTTGTGATAGCCTTTTCTCAAGCTTCTTTGCAGGATCCTCTTCCTCTGATGACTAGGAAATGTTGGCTTACCCCCAAGCTCTGTACTTGGCCCTTTCCTATTCTACTTCTGCTTACTCTCCTTAGGCCATCTTATCCATACCAATCAATTCCACAGACACTTATAGTCTGGTGATACTTAATTATGCATCCCATTCCAGAATGTAGTCCAACATTCCAACTTAATAGATTCAAATCCATTCTTGGTTGAGCACGGTGGCTCATGCCTGTAATCTCAGCATTTTGGGAGGCTAAAGTGGGAGGATCACTTGAGCCCATGAATTTGAGACAAGCCTGGGCAACAAAGTGAGACCCCATCTCTACAAAAAACAAACAAACATAGCTGGGTGTGATGGCGTGTGCCTGTGGTTCCAGGTACTCAAAAGGCTAAAGCGCAAGCATTGGTTGAGCCCAAGAGGTCGAAGCTGCAGTTAGCCATGATTACAACACTGTACTCTAGCCTGGGTGACAAAGTCTCAAAAAAAAAAAAAAAAAAAAAAAAGTTCTCTAGCTCTAATCTCATTTCATTTCTCTCTGTCTCTCTCCAATTTAACCTCCTGCAATGATCTAACAAAATTGTGGAAATCCTTTCAATTGTTAAGAATTGGGAGGGAGGTGGGCCAGGCGTGACGGCTCATGCCTGTAATCCCAGCACTGTAGGAGGCCCAGGTAGGTGGATCACTTGAGCTCAGGAGACCAGCCTGGGCAACATGGTGAAAAAAATTAGCTGGGTGTGGTGGTGTGTGACTGTGTAGTCCCAGCTACTCGGGAGGCTGAGGTGAGAGAATTACCTGAGCCCAGGAGGTGGAGGTTGCAGTATACTGTGATGGCACCACTGTACTCCAGCCTGAGCAACGAGTGAGACCCTGTCTCAAAAAAAAAAAAAAAAAAAAAAAAAAAAAAAGAAGAATTGGGAAGGAGGAAGCAAACTTCAGATTCCTTTGTACATTCCCCAAGACCTCCCCTGATCCAGCCTCTGCCTCATCCACTAGCAAGTCTTAACATTATTTACCAACAAAACTACCTGGAGTTCCTAGAAAACATCATGTTACTTCATGCCTTCCATATTCTGTTTTCACAATTAAAATGCCTTCTTCCACTGCCTATCCACAAGGTGAACTCCCTTTATCTTTCAATCTTCCAATGTCCAGCTGATGTCTCAGGAGTCTCCTTAATCACTGCCACACACACATCATCAGCAGTGTGTTGGTGTGCCCTGCTATATGCCATCACCTCTGTACCTTGCACATAAGTCATAACATTCATCACACTAAACCCTATTCAGTTATGAGACAACTGCTGGACTTTGAGCTTCCTGAGGATAAAGCCAGCACTATAATTATTTTTTTATCCTAATGCTCAGTGTGCCTGGCAATATAGACAGTGCTCAATAAAGGGTAATTGAACAATAAAAGGAGGAATTAATGAAGGCATATAGCCACTAGAAATGAAAAATGAACTGAAGAATTGGTTTGCCCAAAAGCACAAGTATTCTAACACAACTATTTCCTGTCAAATGATTTTCTTCATTCATGCATGCATGCAAAAGGCTGTACACAAGACACAAAGTGCTGGTAATATAATCTTCCCAGCTTTCTCAAGTCACTGAAAATCCTGATGATGCAAGAGCCTTCCTAGTCAATCCCACACATTCCATTCCCAATGGCCATTAGGAAGAAAAAGAAACATACAAAATGTTGGGGAAATGATCCCTAAAGGTTAAGCATTATAATTAACTTTCTGTCTTGGCACATCCTTTAACTTATTCCTTCTTCCTTAACACACGCACCTGCTTGTTCCATCATGAATTTGGAGTTCACCATTGCCTGTGCAAACATCTATATTACCAATTCCATGCCATGGTAATTACATATTCAAAAGTTACAGACTCAACACACAAAAAAAATCCCAAATAATTTGGGTTGATCCAAATCACACCTCCAAATAGGTACACAGGCAAGCCAACTCAAATAAATTCACAGGGGTATAAGGTATAAATCTTTATAGCACATAAACAAATGTTTATGCATTAGAATTGAGTATGAAAAATAAAGCCTTAAGAGATCTAGAAGAAAATACAGTAGAATGTTTATATAGTCACAGATTGAGAGGAGGCTATTTTAGCATAAGGCCAAAGAAAAGACTGATAAAGGTAACTACCTAAAATAGTTTGGATATTTGTCTCCAACCAAATCTCACATTGAAATGTAATCCCCAGTGTTATACCTGGGGCCTGATGGGAGGTGTTTGGATCATGGGGACAGATCCCTCATGAATGGTTCTGGAACATTCTCTTGGTGGTAAGTGATCTGAGTTCTCTCAAGATATTGTCATTTAAAAGTATGTGTCACCTCACCCCAACTAACTCACTCCTTCTCTCCCTTTCTCTCTCTCTTTCAGTGGTGCTTGTTTGCTCCTGTTTTCACCACATGAGGTGCCTCCTCCCCCTTCACCTACTGCCATGACTGTAAATTTTGTGAGGCCTCCCCAGAAGCCGAGCAGATGCCAGCACCATGCTTCCTGTAGAGCCCGCAGAATTGTGAGCCAATTAAATTTCTTTTCTTTATAAATTACCCAGTCTTAGGTATTTCTTTACAGCAGTATAAAAATGGCCTAATGCACTACCTAAACATTCAAAGCTTCATTATATTAAACAAATGCATATTTGAAAAAATGCTTTATATCACATCATAAACTGTTAACATTCTTAAAGTTTAAAAACGAAAATTATATGTATTAAATATATAGCTTAAACAAGTAAATTTTTAGATGAGCATCCCAATAGAAAAATGGTTGATAAACATCCACAAGAAATTTATGAAATACAAATGATCGATGAGCATAAGAAAAAATTGTGCCTAACTTAAAGTGATTAAATAATCTAATTTTAAAAATAAAATGCCATTGCCCCCAACACATTGATAATCTTTCTAAATTTATAATATTCAGTTTAATGAAGTTGCTGCACTTTCGAGCACTGTGATCAGGGGTTTCAGTATGGAAAAATCTCATCCTGTCCCTGAAGGATGATTTTGGCAATATGTATCAAAAGCCAGACAAACACACCCTTTGACCTAGCAATCCTACTTCAAGATGTTTATCATTGGAAAAGAAACAGCAATCTGTGCTAACATACCTATTGAAGACAATCATTACAAAACTATATCCGGGAAATTGAAAGCAACCCTAAGGTTTCGAGAAGTGGTATTAATTTAAGATGCCGAGCGCGGTGGCTCACACCTGTAATCCCAGCATTTTGGGAGGCCAAGGCAGGCAGATCACCTGAGGTCAGGAGTTCAAGACCAGCATGGCCAACATGGTGAAACCCCATCTCTACTAAAAATACAAAAATTAGCTCGGTGTGGTCGTGGGCACCTGTAATCCCAGCTACTCGGTAGGCTAAGACAGGAGAATCACTTGAACCTGGGAGGTGGAGGTTGCAGTGAGCCAAGATTGTGCCACTGCACTCCAACCTGGGCAATAGAACAAGACTCCATCTCAAAAAAAAAAAATCTTATTAATAACAATATATTTGAAGGACAAAATATGTCCTGCTATTTTAAAAGTCACACTATAGACGTCTTTTCCCAGAATACTAAGAGCAAAATACAGTGAAAACTCTTCTAGCACAAAAACATGTAAAACTGCTGTGTGTGTATGCATACATAAGCACACACCTCCACCTCTGTAAATGTTTACCCAAGTTGGCAAAAGTCATGAATCTCCCAAGAAGCAAAAGTAATCAAGAAATCAACTCGGAAAAGAAAAAAATAACAATAATAAACTAGGGAGTCTGTCAGCCGATTATATCCCAATAATCCCAGGTGACCTTGAGTTTTGGCTTTTAAAAGCAGAAATCAAGTGAAAAATGGAAGTCAGATCAAAGACCTCTGCAAAAAGCTGGGACATCCTACCCTTAACAGCTGAACTAATAGAAAAAATACTGACCCAAGTCACACAGGGAGAGGGTCAGAAAATGTGACTGTCTCACACATGGATCTACATGGATCTAGGTAGGAAAGAGTCGCCCCTGAGAATTTATATCCGGACACTTGCCCTTAATAAACTGGGGATGACCTGAATTCCTACTGCTGGTGTAGCCACCCAAAAACCTCAAGCTAATAATTCAACCTGATGTGGACATGGGTTGAGAGTGCCTTTAATGCATCAAACAGAAGAAAACACAAATTCTTTCTGAACTGATTCACCTTAAGCTCTCAAAGAATTCCCAGAGAAAAAGTTCCTAGAAACATGAGCTTACATTGGGAGAATGGGGAGTGGGGTGGGATCGCAAAGCACATACAGAAACAAGTCAACATTTACAAGAGTCATCAAAAAGAACAAACAGTCGAAGCAGACTTACAAAGTCTACAGATACTGGGATTATCCAATACAGACTATAAAATAAAAATGTTTAATAAGTTTAAAAGTAAAAGAGGACATATTAAAGGATAATATATTAAAAATGACTTACAACTTTTAAGAAGATGTAAACAGGGTTCCTAAAATAAAAATAGAAACAGGGTTCCTAGAAATATAAAAACACAGTATTTCAAATTAGATATTCAGTAGGTGAGTAATACAGCTGATTAAGTGCAACTGAAGAGATAATTAGTAAAGTGGACCATCACTACAAACGAATTACACAGAGGCACAGATGGGAAATCTCAAAGTGAGGTTTAGAGTCAGGAATGAGATTTAAAAAAAAAAATTCATACCAAAACAAATTTTATTGAGCATTTATTAACACAAAAATGTTTGATACATTCCTAAATATTTTTTAAAAAGCCACAAAGCAATATATACTTGTGTCATTTTTATTTTTTGAAAAGTGTGGGGTTTACAGACATAAGTGTACATATTTGGAAGAATTGGTAAAAATGATTGGTTTATGTTTGAGTGGAAATATTTCAGTCCATTTTTTGTTTACATTTTTATATTTTCCAGGGGTTCTGAATTATATATGAATCACTTTTATAGTAAAAAAAGTTATTTAAAAATTAATAGAAAATAATACTGGGCATATATATATGTATTTGAGTATATGAAGGGACATATACCAATACTGTTAACAGCTGCTATTTCTAGTTTTTCAGAATTTGCATGATTTGGATGATTTTTACCTATAATTTCTAATCAATAATTGAATAAATTATATGTCTAAATATGGAGGGGAAAAGACTTGGTACTTACAAACACTAATAGAGATTTTATTATGGATGCTAAGTTACTATGATTTTTATATTTTACAAATTCTCATTTGTTTTTGTTGTTTATATAGTTTACACTTTACATATTTTCATTTCTCATTTCATAATTAGGAAAATATATATATATATATATATATATATATATATATATATATATATATATGGATACATAGATAGGTCAGTTGGCCATAGAATTGTATACAAACCTTTGTGCAAGAAAATCCCACTTTAAAATTGAAAACAAATATGCAATATATCTATATATTTATATACAATGTTTTCAGAGACTTACAATGTGACAGGAAAGCACTGCCTTTAAATGTTAAAATTTTAAAACACAGAACAAAAATACATTCAGCTCTCATAAAGGTCTTGCAGAGGAATAACAGGCAGAAATTATAGGAGAATGTTAACAGTGGCTGTTCCTGGTGTCCTAGTTCCCTTCTTGCATTAATATCTGGGGAGGGAGAGAACAAGAGCGCCAGTCAGAGTTTCTTGATGTTAACATACATCTGGCCTCAATTTTGATTCTTGGGAACCAGAGCAGTGGAAGCAAGAGACCAGGAAAATAAGGTAGGGGCTAAAACCACCTATCTTAAAACATGTTAAAATGTACAATCATTGAGGTGAATTAGAGGCAAAAAGTCAACATTTACTACCGCCTTTCAAGATAAGGGAAAAGGACCAGTGCAACCAAGAAAAGGGAAAAGCCAATAATACTTAGCTGTTGCCGCCTTTCTTAATGACATAAAAACCCACATCAGACAATTTTTTTTGGTACCCTACCCTTGAACTGGAAACCACAGATTTTAATCTCTAATTTATTTAGGAATAAAAATTCAGATCACAGGCAACACACTTCCATGTGACTTTAAATGTATATTATTAGCTAATGATAGGAAAACCTCACATTGCCCAGTTGAGTTCACATAAAATGTCATGACTTCCCTTCTCCTTCCAGAAACAGATCTCTGAAAGCATATCCCTAAAGAAGAATACCAAATATTAGCCAGAAACTTAATTTATTCTATCCCACATTCCTCTGATCTTTGAAAAAGTGATTCTGCAGTGCTTTCCAAATTCACAGCAGACATAATGTATGAACATCAAATCATCAAAGACAGTTCAAGAGAATGCCTCACTTTTAGAAACACTACAAACTAAAACTTAAGAGCTTCTACACCTGCAAATAATAAACTTCAAAGGCAATCCAAACTATCCTGGCATTTATCATTTGTGAGCATAAGTGTATGTAGTGGGTGTAAGTCTGTGCTTGGTTTTAATAATCAATTGACTGATTATAGTTTAACTAGTCTTATTTCAGCCTCGAATTCGTGTAGAGTGTCTTAAAGCTATTTTAAGTATGTTGTTCATAAAATTTATAGCATCTCATCATTGGAAGAAAACTTCTGAGGTCTAGTTCTACATCTTATCCAATCCTTTAGTCACTGCAGAATCTATTCTCTATGTCTGCTGGAACACTTCCAATAACGGGAAGCTCACTACCTTCCAAGGCCAGCCATGAGATCCTTGGACAGGCAGTTTGCTAGAAATTCTCTCTCAAATGTAGTTCAGATTATCCTAACTGAAAAACCCATCCCTGGGACCCAGCTACTCTTTTGTAACCAAACTGAATCCCGTTCTTTAAACACTTCAAATCTTACCTGGCCGATGAAGATAGAGATCAGATTGTCTGTTTCTTTCTTTCCTCTGTCTCATAATTCTATTTTGCAGATCCTTTAAAACTTCTTTCCACTTTTCACTGAGAACACGACAGCTGATTTATTCTATCCTTCAAGGATGACACCTAAAACACAATATAGTACCCTTGCTGGCTAGTTCTGACCAGTCCAGAATATGATGAAGCCCACTTGTTCTTAATGTTTGGATATGAGGTGTTTAGAGAGCACATTATAATGAAAACAAAATGTCTACAGTTTGATAAAACAGTCATTTCAAATTGGCCCAACTTTGAAAAATGCTGCTACCGTGAGATGGAAAATAATAATAACTAAAGTCCCCAAATCCACTGTTTCTCAAAGAACATGTGGCCCACCAGTTGTCTGTTAAAAATGCAGAGTCTCAGCTAGGCACAATGGCTCATGCCTGTTATTCCAACACTTTGAGAGGCCAAGGCAGAAAGATCACTTGAGCCCAGGTGTTCAAGACCAGGCTGGACAACATAGCGAGACCCTGTCTCTACAAAAAAATTTTTAAATTAGCCAGGCATGGTGGTGCACATCTGTGGTCCCAACTACTCAGGTAGCTGAGGTAAGAGAATTGCTTGAGCCTAGGAGTTCAAGGCTGCAATGAGCAGTTATCATGCCACTGCACTCCAGCCTGGACAATAGAGCAAAACCCTGTCTCAAACAAACAAACAAACAAACAAAAAATGCAGAGTCCTGGATCCTTCCCAAATTATCTGAATTGTGAACACTGTGAGCAGGCTGAAAACTCTGCATTTAAATACACATCTCTGGCATTTCTGATGACAGTAAACAGTGAAAACCAATGCCTTATCCTATGCTTGCCGAATTGTTATTGTTTTAACAAACACAAACACACACATGCATGTACGCACGCGCGCACACACACACACACACACACACACATACACACTCAGTATCCTGGTAGTCCACAAAAGCAGAATTGAATCTGGGTTGGTCTCAGTTGATGGTAAAGCTAGGATTAGAACAAGACCCTGGTAATCACATCTTTCAGTTCCAGTCCAAGCTTGTCCCCTAAAGAAGAAAACAATATCTGGGATGTGGTAGGAGGATGAGACAGAGTTTTAAATGGGGCTGATGGGGCAAAATAAAGAGCCTAAAATAAAGCAATTACTTCATTCACACTTGATCCTTTGAGGTTGGTGGTAAAAAACTAAGAAACTGTTCAATTGAGAGAAATATGCCAGAAGAGAGGAGAGGAAAAGGCAAGGAAAGAGAAAGGAGAGGAAGAAGGAAGGAAAATTTCGTTTAATAGTAAGCGGGAATTCCTGTGACTGGACAGGACAGACCAGCTGGATTCAGCCTGTAACTTTGTGAAAGGTCTAGAATTTCACTCTTAAAATTTTAATTTTCAAATTTTCTTCTGTTAATGTTAAGCTTTACGTGATTTAGAAAATGTTCTCCCCTAAATAAGCAAACTCGTCATGAAAATCGCTGATATCTGCATTTGCTGCAACAAGAACAACAAAAAATACATTCAAGGATTTTTTTTAATTCCAGGATAAGGATCAAATTTATTTCCTCATAGAACAAGAAGACACTCTAACAATGAAGGCCAAAAGTGCTTGTAAAATCCTTTTTGCTGTTGGGGTCGTAGTTTTAAAAAGTACACTTCATTCCAGTTCTAAATACACACGCAAACTACAGACAAAACATCCTACCACAAAACTAAATCTGAAAATGTCCAGGACCAACCAATCCACAATAAAGAGGTTAAACACCAAACCCAAAATGGTAAATGTAATAACCATGACCCTCACCATGTGGTAAGAGATGAATCTAATTAATGTTACCTTAAAAAGAACTTAAGTAACTCCTTCCTGTCCTAATTGCCCATTATAAGCCTCAGAAGCCAGCTGTGTGGTAGAGACAAATCAGTGACATTCAGCAAACCATGTTCTGACCAAAGTACCACTTTACCCTGTGTGAACTCTATGAAACATGCGTTAATGGATTCCAAGGGCATTTAAAGAGGCTATAACCTGTCAAACATTTACAATTACAATGGGATCAATAAAAATGGGATTGTTAGATGGCATTTTTCAGATTGCTCTATTCTGATTCCAAAAAGAAAAAGAAAAAAAGGGTGATCAGGGAGCCGTGACACAAAACAATGACATTTTGTTAAATCCTGAGGCTGGAAGAAACCTTAAAGGTTATCTAGTAAATTTCCCCAACCTTCATTCCCTCTTGCAAACAACTCAATCATCAAGCAAGTCATTATCAAGGGCAATTTCATCACACCCAACAGTCTGACCTCTCAAGTTAGTTTCTGAATTGACTATACCACTTAGCCCCTCATCATTCAGAATTGCCTGTGACACTTCAAAATCCCCCTTTATAGCTGAAACTATGCATCTATGCAGCTGTTTGTGCTCATACACATTATTTCAGCCCTCCAAAATACCCAGCCTCCTGCTCCCTCCATTCTTTCCTGTTCACCAGCCCTATCCAAGGTCAATTCTCACAATGCCCAGCCTAAATACCATAGTCAGCCCTCTGGGCTCCCCTCACACCAGCCTGATACCTCCCATGCTCCTTTCTGCCAATCTGCCCTTTGACACCACAATCATGATTAAACTCCAAACTGCCTGTTCTGCTCCCATTCACAACCTCCAGAGGCCTTGTGGGGAAAACTTAAGGACAAGGTAAAGCTGTCACTATTAATGAATGCATTCTAATCTCAGGTGAGCCCAAAAAGAGAAGCCATCAGTGCTGCCATTTCTCTCGGCGCCTCTTCCAAGCCTTAAATCCCCTAAAGGAACTCCCCAGTTTGCACATCCATCATGGAGAAGTTGATGAACATCAGGCAAGAAGCCCCCCAAACTCCCATCCTTCCCATCCTTCTCTCTCTCTTACCAACCACCACTTGAATGATCCGAGCCATTCTTTCGGATCTCTTCTCTACACTTAACACTAGACCCATCCTCTCAACCTTGGATCACATTAGAATGACCAGGTGTCTGCCCTGGCCTCTCTTTCAAAGACTGAGTCATGGCCTGAAGTGAGCCCCCTGCACATGGCATGTTTCAAAAGCTCCCCCAGGTGTTCTTAAAATAAGCCAAGGTTGGGTATTACTGGTGAAGACAATTTTTATCCATGCCCATGATTTTAAATACCAAATCTGGAGTTCTTTTCTGGGCTGTGTTCTCACACATCCAAATGCATTATAGAACCACCACCACCACCCTACATACTCCATAGGGTTTGCAAATTCAACATGTACCAAACTCTTCATCCTTCCTGTTCTAGGCTAAACTGTGTCCCCCCGAGAAATTCATATGTTGAGGTCCTAACTCCCAGTACCTCAGAATGTGACCACATTTGGAGCCAGGGTCTATAAAGAGGTAATTAAGTTAGAATGAGGTCATTAGAGTGGGCCCTAATCCAATATGACTAGGGTCCTTATAAGAGGAAGAAAGTTGGACACAGGCAGGTACAAACGAAAAACCACATGAAGACACGGGGAGGAGACCATCACATGCAAGGCAAAGAGAGAGGCCTCAGAAGAAAACAGTCCTCACAATTCTCTATGACTTCCAGCCTCCAGAATTGTGAGAAAATAAATTTTTGTTGTTTCAGCCACCCAGTCCGTGGGACTTCATGGCAGCCCTGGCAATCTAATATAAATACACTTCCCATGTCCTTGTTACTCTCTCCTACTTCGTCTCATTCAACGGTATTGTCATCCATTCACTATCACTCCTCCCCCTCCCTCACCCACCATATCTATTCAATAGCCAAGTTGCATCAATTCTTCCTCCTAAATGTCTTTCGTATCTACCTTCTTCCCTCCAAACCCACTGTTACTGCCTTAACTCAAGCCCTCTTAAGATATCTCAGTACTATACGATCTCAACTTATAGGTAGAATCTTAAAAAGTTGAACCAAGAAGTAGAGGGTAGAATGATGGTCACCAGAGGCTGGAGGCAAGGGATGAAGAACAGTGGGGTGGGAGATAGGGAGTTGTTGATCAAAGGGCACAAAGTTTCAGACAGACAAGAGGAATAGCTTCTTTCTGAGATCCACTGCACAGCAGAGTGGCTAGAGTCAATAATAATGCATTGTATATTTCAAAATAAGAGTAAATTTCAAACGTCTCACCATAAAAAATTATATAGGTCAGTGAAATGGAGGAAAAATAAAGATGTTTTCATAAATAACTTTTTTTAAAAAGCTATTCTAGTCCCTTCTACCTGCAACTATTTCTCCTGGGTGTTTGGAGAATAACCTTCCTAAAACAGAAATCTAGTATGGCAATGATCTGTTTCAAACCTTCCCATGGTTCCCCATTGCCCCAAGGCCAGCCTCCTCATGCACGGCAAACTGAGTCCTTCAGGTACTTCTGGCTTAGGCTATAATTCACCTTGCTTGTTAAGCCCCAGCACTTTGGATCTACTCAGAAATCCCCTAACATATAATGCTAATCCACACAGCTGTCTTTGCATATGCACTTGGCTTTTCCTGGAATACCCTCCCTTGTCCAAATTCTATGCCTGGCAAATATCTACTCATCTTTCCAGTCACAGCCTTTCAATGAAGCCTTTTATGGGTCCTATTCCCCACCCAGATTAATCACCACCTCCTCTATGCTGCTTCTGAACTTACACATACATCATTACACTGTGACCATATACCAGCAAATGTCACAAGCACAAATACCCACAGGGACCAACCAGGTATCATAAATACATGAAGTGCCAATGAAAACAGATCTTTAGCTTCCATGATACAGAAACTACACTTGCACGAGGAACAATCATAATGCCCACCTGTCTATGCTGACTTTTGAAACTTGACCTGAACAAATAAACTGTATGTGGGGCCAAATTCATTTAGCACATAGACTTCCAGTCTTGCAAACTCTGGCCAAAGGCATCAACTGTCAGAGCCTTCATTTCTCTTCCTTCTACTCCCTGAAGTAAAAAGACTCCACAAAATCCGTGCTCATAGGCTGATCTTTGTTCATGCTACTCTCAGTCAAGTCAATGCTTAAAGCACAGGAACCCACACTTAACTGACCACAAAGAGAGGATGCAGTATTGAGCTTAATAACCTTGAACTTACTGCTACTCAGTTCTTATCAAAAATATCCTTTTGCATGAAGTAATATTCATAGGAAACATCCTGAAAAGTATCTAATTCAGCACTCCACAAAGAATGTGGAATGTCTATGCTTGGACAGAGCCAGCAGTGAGCTGCTTGTCTGAACTGTCTTGCTTTGGCTCTTACAGAATGGCTTTTCTGAGATAAGCAATTGGCATTATGCCATTAACCTATATTGAGCAATACAGTTTTTTTTAACCCCATTGTCACATTCATTGTAAGATTGTATTTGGAGACACGACTCAATACATTAAAGTACCTAACGTTTGGAGAACCATGGATAAAATCCTCTCTCCTCCCAGCACATGAAGAGTTCTCCTCCCAGCACATGAAGAGTTGTCCCCCCTGGTTAGTCCTTATCTTCATGGGCTTTCTGGGTAACACAGCTCATTGAGTCCCCTCTTCATGTCAACTATGAGGAAGAACAGCAAAATGCGTGGCCCTTTTCTAATACATGAATAGCACCCTAAGGTGGGCCCTTGGTCTCGGTCTCTGCTTAAATTCACACTCACTTCCTCTTACCCCATTTCCTTCCTATGCTTATTAAATTTCACTATATTTAGTAGGAAAACAGACATGCAACTAACTTATAACATTGCATTTATCACATGGTACCTTCATTCAGTTCCCATCCCTCGAGTCTGAGTTTTTTGAAGGTGGGCCTCCATCACTAATGAGATATCAAATTTAATTGGATTACATGTGACTACTTCCAGTAATGGGTGAAATTGCAAATCTATTACCTCCTAAGGAAGCTCACTTTATTTCCCCAAGGCACAAAAGTGGTCCCTGACTGTAATATCAATGGCATCTAGAAGAAAATTGAGCTTATGCGGGTAAATATGCAAAATACACACTAAACCAGCACAGGTATAATTACCATTTAGTTTTTAATTCTTTGCTATTCATTTTTAGAGCACTTGCTCCATTTTCTAGTAGTTAACCAGTTATTTCACAGAAGTATACTCATCAGGAATACCCTACCATCAGTTGATGCAGTGTATACAGTTAAAAACAAAGCTTGGCTGGGCGCAGTGGCTCACGCCTATAATCTCAGCACTTTGGGAGGCCGAGGCAGGCGGATCACGAGATCAAGAGATTGAGACCATCCTGGCCAACATGGTGAAACCTATCTCTACTAAAAATACAAAAATCAACTGGGCATGGTGGTGCCTGCCTGTAGTCCCAGCTACTAGGGAGGCTGAGGCAGGAGAATTGCTTGAACCCAGGAGGTGGAGGTTGCAGTGAGCCGAGATGGCGCCACTGCACTCCAACCTGGCGACAGAGCAAGACTCTGTCTAAAAAAAAACAAAACAAACAAACAAAAAAAAACTTTTTCACAGCATATTAAAGGACATAAAACTAAGGGAAGCTTGAAACATAAAGTTCTCTGTTAGAAGACAAAACTGTGGATGAGTGAAAGACATGACCACAGTGGAGAGAACATCCACCAATGAGGTCTAGTCAATGTCATCCAGGACAGATTATTATTAAAGTTTCCCATTGCTCTAATCATTTCACATTTCACTTATACTAATTTCCATCTTTAAGTTTTTCTCAAACTCTGCTGGTAGGAGTATGAAGCATTATCATTGTTTTGGAAATCAATTTAATCATTTCTATCTCTAGCCATAAAAATCATCCCTGCCTTTTAAGGCAACAAATTATATTACCAGGAATCTACTCTAAAGAAATTACCTGAAATGCAAAAATAGGCTTGCAAAGATATTTACTGAAGTGAGTTCACTATAACAGTAGCTGAATGGAATTAACATCACTTCCATTTACTGCATACTATTAAGAGAAAGGACAAAGTACTGATTATGCCCAGTAGGATTCCAACTAGATAAAATTTACAGAGAAAATATTAAAAGGGAATATCCCATAAACTTGACAATGGCTATCTCTAGGTGGGGAGTATGGGTACTTTTTCCTTCTTCTTCTTTATATTTTTCTTTGTTTTCTAAAATGAGCACAAACAGGTGTTACTTTTGAAAGTTAAGTTTTTAAACTACCTTTTAAAATCTACTTGGAAACCAAATGATATTACTTTCAAATCAGTGATCTCACTCTTAATCAGTCTACGGAAATTACATAAAAGTTGTTGAGTACAATACTTTTTAAAACAGCAAGTACAAAGGAAATAAAACTGTGTAAAAATAGGGCAATGGTTGAATGAACAGTTTAACAGCTTAATGGATTATTATCAGGCTATTAAAAATATGATTCAGACTATATCGCCTTATATAACAGTGTGTTAAAAAACAATCAGTAGAAATAAAAACACACATTTGTTACTTCTAGGTAGAAGTAGACCATAAAATAGAACATAATAGAAATAGGCCATAAAACTAACATGACTAAATAACAAATACATTCATTAGGGAACTGCAAATACAAGTGGGTTTATTTAAATATTGCCATAATGTGATTTCAAAAATAATTTTTTTAATGTTTTTAAGAATACACTAAGGGCCAGGTATGGTGGCTCACACCTCTGATCCCAACACTTTGGGAAGATTGCTTGAGCCCAGGAGTTCGAGACCAGCCTGGTCAACATCGCAAGACACCTTCTCTATTAAAAATAATAATAATAGAGATATATTTTAAAAGATAATAAACAGTATTTCATATAAAAACAATTGGTTTTAAATAAGTTGAACAGTTTTAAATACTTTAAGATGTGTTCACTGGAACATTTTTACTCACTGAGTCATTCTGCCACTAAAACGGGATGAAGAAGGAAAAAGGAAGAGAGTTAGGCAGGTAAATGATAGTGTGTGTTTTCTGCTGAACGGCTACTGGACAGAGTTACTTTTATTCCCTACCCAAATTAGTGGAATGTTGTATTAGCTTAGGCTGCCATTAAAAAGTTCCTTGGGAGGCCGAGGCGGGCAGATCACAAGGACAGGAGATCGAGACCATCCTGGCTAACATGGTGAAACCCCGTCTCTACTAAAAAAAAAAACATACAAAAAATTAGCCGGGCTTGGTGGCGGGCACCTGTAGTCCCAGCTACTCAGGAGGCTGAGGCAGGAGAATGGCGTGAACCTGGGAGGTGGAGATTGCAGTGAGCCAAGATCACGCCACAGCACATCAGCCTGGGCGACAGAGTGAGACTCCGTCTCAAAAAAAAGTTCCATACGTTAGGTGGCTTAAATGAAAAAAATTTATTTTCTCATAATTCTAGAGGCTAGAAATGTAATACAGGGTGCCAGCATGGTTGGTTTCTGGTGAGGGCTCTCCTTTTGGCTTGCAGACAGCTGTCTTTTCACTGTTTGCTCACACAGCCTTTCCTTGGTGAATGTGTATAGAAACAAAGATCTCTCTCTTCCTCTTCCCATAAGGCCACCAATCCTATCAGATTAGGACCCCACACTTATAATCTCATTTAATCCTAATTATCTCCTAAAAGCCTTATCTCCAAATACAGCTACACTGGGGGTTAGGGCTCCAACATGAATATTAGGGAGAAAATCCAGTCCATAGCAAATGTTAAATATGTTTTATAATAAATCTCTTGTAGAAAGAATACATTTAGTCATGAGACCTCAGCTAATTCCTGCTCCTAGAGAAATAGTATTCAACAAGGTTCTTAATCCCTGAATCAGATGAGAATTTGTGATTTCAAAGCCCTCTACTTTAAGATGACCAAACACTTGAAGAGAAGCTGGGACTTTGTCCCAAGGTCATGGTGACTAAACCCCTGCTTGAGTGTTGAGATTCCCTTGAACAATCAGCGAAGTTCAACTGATGCTTCCAACTCTGAAAATAAATTTCTCCTGGGAGCTTTAGACTTTTGTCTACACCACTTCTCTCTTAGGGCTATCCAGAATGCCTTTTATGGAATTCTAGGCCAGGCATCTACATGCTCTGTGCCTCTTCCTGGCTTTGTCTACCTTGAACCTACCCTAACCCCATGACCCCAGCCCCTTCACACCCAACCTGTTTCTAGTACTAGCATTGAGCACCTGTGCCTAGTACCTACTTGGACCTACACATTGCCAAACATTGCCTGTGCCTGTGTGACCTGCCCCTGCCTTGTCTCAGATCAGGAGCCTGGAGTCCTGGCTGGTTTCCATATAATAATCAGCTTAAGAAGATATTTAACAACAAATTAAAAAAATCAACTGATGAATCAGCACCAAAACACACTAAGTAAAATCTCCAGAGTTACCTGGACTTCCTGAGTAAATATTTTACTATGAATGAGGAATTCAGCAGAGTTCAGACAAACAGAAAAAGCATGCATCTCATCTTTCTTCCCTCGATTTCTAAACAAAAAATAAGAACGAGTGTAATAACATATTCACGTTACAATAAATGAACTTGAAAGACTGAATATATTGAATTACAAAAAAATAATGTTGAAATGTATTTGAATCAAATGATTTAATATACTGGTAAGAAAAGCTGAGTTGATGGGGGAAAGGGAAGATGCTGGTCAAAGGGTACAAACTTCCAGTTATGAGTAAGTTCTGGGGATCTAACGTACAGCATGGTGACGATACTTAATAGTACTCATTTCACAGTATATATGTATATCACCATCATAAGTAGAACTTAAATACAGTTTTGCTTGTCATTATACATCAATAAAGCTAGGAGGAAAAAGAAAAGATAAGCTGAATTGCCAAGTACCTTTAATTCTCTTTCACATAAGCCCATTTCTTATAAAATATTCCTTAAACTTGGTGTAGTCATTAAAATTGAATTCATCTTCCATATGATTCCTTAGCCCTTTAAAATCTTTTTAAAATAATATCACCCTCATCCAATGGGTTTTTATAAAATGTGGAATATATATAACTTAGATGCTGCATATTTCTCCAAAGCAAGCATCCAGCATATAAACATAAGATAATCATATTTTTCCATGTTTGCTGAATCTGAAAGGATAAAAAAAATTAATTCCAAGTGTTGTCAAACTGCAAACTATGATATAAAGTCTTAAAAGATTTAGGCCAGTTGCCGTGGCTCACGCCTGTAATCCCAACACTTTGGGAGGCCCAGGTGGGTGGATCACCTGAGGTCAGGAGTTCAAGACCAGCCTGACCAACATGGTGAAACCCTGTCTCTACTAAAAATACAAAAATTAGCTGAGTGTGGGGGCAGACACCTGTAATCCCAGCTACTCAAGAGGCTTAGGCAGGAGAATCGCTTGAACCACCCGGGAGGTGGAGGTTGCAGTGAGCAGAGATCCCGCCACCGCACTCCAGCCTGGGTGACAGAGCGAGACTCCGTCACAAAAAAAAAAAAAAAAAAAAAAAAAAGTCTCAAGAGAATTCTAATCTTTACCCATTCTTCCATGTTGTAATGAGAAGCATTAGTAGTGTTGCCCAATGTGAAGGAATTAGTGCCACCTGAGCCTGACCCCACAAAGACACAGAAAGATGCAAATACCTGGAGTTCTCCCAAGTTTGGCCTGAGCTTGTTGGACTAGGTTAGTTAAATGGTGGGGTGCCAAGTCTTTAAACAGCCAGAGCAAAGTTGAAAATAGAAAGCATAAAGGCACTTAATACTAATAATAGGACTGGGAGAATGATTCTTGCAAACTGATTTCAAGTCCTCCATTTTAAGACAAGGCTCCCAGGGCCTCAAAGGTTGGGTATTGTCAAGGGTATCATGCACAGCAATGGAAGAACTGGCAATTGAATCATGGTCTCCCATCTCACGTGGTCTCCAACTTACTTTATGGACTTCTAATTTAAAATCTTTCTTTTAAACTCTTCAGTTTTAAAAGAGGGTGGGGGGAATGAACACTAAAATCCTACCAAGGTAAAAAAAACAAAAATCCTAGTGCAGTAATAATTCTTACCATTATATTCAAATCAACAAGAAGCAATGAAATACTCACCCAACCATCTGATCTTCACTTACAAAAAACTTAACTTCAGTGTTATAATTTCTTACAAATTATGCATAGTTACTAAATTGGTAATTATATTATATAAAAGTATTTTTTAATCCAACCAAATCTATTTCTCCTGCATATCGAACACAACTTTGTACAGCTCCTCATACAGAGCAAGCCTTCAAAAAACCCTGCTATTGCCGGGCGCGGTGGCTCAAGTCTGTAATCCCAGCACTTTGGGAGGCCAAGGCGGGCGGATTACGAGGTCAGGAGATCGAGACCATCCTGGCTAACACGGTAAAACCCTGTCTCTACTAAAAATGCAAAAAAAAATTAGCCGGGCATGGTGGCGGGTGCCTGTAGTCCCAGCTACTCAGGAGGCTGAGGCAGGAGAATGGCGTGCCCGGCAAGCAGAGCTTGCAGTGAGCCAAGATCGCGCCACTGCACTCCAGCCTGGGTGACACAGCAAGACTCCGTCTCAACAAAAAAAAAAAAAAAAAAAAAAAACCCTGCTATTTAGCAATATACTATATTGCTCTAATACAAAACTACTTCAACAAACACCAACACCCATCTCCCCCAAAAAATCCTTGACATTCCTATTTGACTTTTGTCAAGTAAGAAAAAAAAGCCACAAACAGGAAGGCCTACTAAGTATCACAAAAAATGCCAACTCATCAAAGAAGATTGCCTTCCACCTGTCTTTCCCTTCCGGTTTTCTATTTTGCTTCTGTTACTATTTCTTCCATGACTCTGCAATCCCACGCACACACCCCTGCTCAGTCCTTCACAGAGTTAACACATTCTCATCTGCAGACCTAACCAAATGTCAGTTCCCCAGGGAAATCCTGAATCACCCCCAAAGTCAGATGAGGTTCCCCATTTAATCGCTTTTGCTCTTTTCCCCCACAGAATTTATCATGCAGAGTATTTATACATTTGGATGTTTTTTTTTTTGGTTCATATGCTCCATCCCACTAGACTCTATGCTTCATGCCACCAGTGATAACGACTGCTTTACTCATCACTCTATTCCCAGCTACTAGCAAAATAACCGATACTGTATTTAACAAATGGATGTTGAAAAATGAATGAACCTGATTTTAGACAGCACAGCAACAGACTAGATCAGTGTCTTTCAAACTGCAGTTCATGACTAGATAAGTGTTTTCAAAATGTATGAGTTATAACCAGTACTTTTTAAAATGAAAATGAACAAATTATCATAGGAAAAAATAGAAAAGAAAATGTCAGAGTTTACTATGTGTAGTAAACTATATACAACTAATGTCTCATTCAAATGTATGGACAAACATTTCTAACTATGGGTCATGACTAAAAAGTTTGAAAGCCACTGAACTAAATGTCCCAATAAAACTCATCACAATTTCCAGTTAAAATGCTCAAGAAGGTGCACACAAAGACAAAAATTGGCAATAGCACTAAAAATATACGAGGAAAAAGCAGCCAAAGTCAAGGCATTATTTCCACTAACTACATAGTACAAAAAATGGGTAAGAAGCATGTTCTTGGACCATATGCACAATGCATACCACACCTTTTGAACTTCAACAAGATAGATTCTCTAACAAATGTAGAAAAAAATCCTGAGTTGAACTCAGGAAATGCAGAAGATGCAACTGGCCAGATAAATCTGAAGGGCGTAATATTAGACTGAACCGTACAAAACTACCATTTTATAGGTCAAGAGCAGTCAAATACCAGCAATCTCATATGATTCAACTTACCAATGAAGATAATGAAAATGGCAGCTAATACATTCAGTGTGCTGGGCATCATATATATACATATTTTTATATATATACACACACACATATTTATATATATATTTATATATACATATATAATTTTTATATATTTTTATATATACATAATTATATATACATACATATTTTTATATATTTATATATACATAATTATATATATTTATATATATGGGAGTGTGTGTGTGTGTATATATATACACACACATATATATACACACACACTTTAAGTTCTGGGATACATGTGCAGGTTTGTTACACAGGTATAAATGTGCCATGGTGGTTTGCTGCACCCATAAACTCGCCATCTACATTAGGTATTTCTCCTAATGTTATCCCTCCCCTTGTCCCCCACCCCCCAACAGGTCCCAGTGGGTGATGTTCCCCTCCCTGTGCCCATATGTTCTCATTGTTCAACTCCCACTTATGAGTGAGAACATGCAGTGTTAGGTTTTCTGTTCTTGTGTTAGTTTGCTGAGAATGATGGTTTCCAGCTTCATCCAAGTCCCCACAAAGGACATGAACTCACCTTTTTTATGGCTGCATAGTATTCCACAGTGTATATGTGCCACATTTTCTTTATCCAGTCTATCATTGATGGGCATTTGGGTTGGTTTCAAGTCTTTGCTATTGTAAATAGTGCTGCAATAAACATACGTGTGCATGTGTCTTTATAGTAGAATGATTTATAATCCTTTGGATATATACCCAGTAATGGGATGGCTGGGTCAAATG
Source organism: Homo sapiens (assembly GCF_000001405.40). Classification (NCBI taxonomy): domain Eukaryota; kingdom Metazoa; phylum Chordata; class Mammalia; order Primates; family Hominidae; genus Homo; species Homo sapiens. The sequence goes on from NC_000009.12 coordinate 111,025,090, forward strand.
GTATTTCTGGTTCTAGATCCTTGAAGAATCACCACACTGTCTTCCACAATGGTTGAACTAATTTACACTCCCACCAACAGTATAAAAGCATTCCTATTTCTCCACATCCTCTCCAGCATCTGTTGATTCCTGACTTTTTAATGATTGCCATTCTAACTGGTGTGAGATGGTAGCTCATTGTGGTTTGATTTGTATTTCTCTAATGACCAGTGATGATGAGCTTTTTTTCATAAGTCTGTTGGCTGCATAAATGTCTTCTTTTGAAAAGTGTCTGTTCATATCCTTCGCCCACGTTTTGATGGAGTTCTTTTTTTCTTGTAAATTTGTTTTAAGCTCCTTGTAGATTCTGGATATTAGCCCTTTGTCAGATGAATAGATTGCAAACATTTTCTCCCACTCTGTAGGTTGCCTGTTCACTCTGATGATAGTTTCTTTTGCTGTGCAGAAGCTCTTTAGTTTAATTAGATCCCACTTGTCAATTTTGGCTTTGGTTGCAATCACTTTTGGTGTTTTAGTCATGAAGTCTTTGCCCATGCCTGTGTCCTGAATGGTATTGCTTGGGTTTTCTTTTAGGGTTTTTATGGTTTTAGTTCTTACATTTAAATCTTTAATCCACCTTCAGTTAATTTTTGTATAAGGTGTAAGGAAGGGGTCCAGTTTCACTTTTCTACATATGGCTAGCCAGTTTTCCCAACACCATTTATTAAATAGGAAATCCTTTCCCCATTGCTTGTTTTTGTCAGGTTTGTCAAAAATCAGATGGTTGTATATGTGTGGTATTATTTCTGAGGCCTCTGTTATGTTCCATTGGTCTTTATATCTGTTTTGGTACCAGTAATAGCCTTGTAGTATAGTTTGAAGTCAGGTAGTGTGATGCCTCCAGCTTTGTTCTTTTTGCTCAGGACTGTCTTGGCTATACGGGCTCTTTTTTAGTTCCATATGAAATTTGAAGTAGTTTTTTCTAATTCTGTGAAGAAAGTCAATGGTAGCTTGATGGGAATAGCATTGAATCTATAAACTACTTTGGGCAGTAGGGCCATTTTCATGATATTGATTCTTCCTATCCATAACATGGAATATTTTTCCATTCATTTGTGTCGTCTCTTGTTTCCTTGAGCACTGGTTTGTAGTTCTCCTTGAAGACATCCTTCACATCCCTTGTAAGTTGTATTCCTAAGTATTTTATTCTCTTTGTAGCAATTGTGAATGGGAGTTCATTTATGATTTGGCTCTCTGTTCGTCTATTAATGATGTATAGGAATGCTTGTGATTTTTGCACATTGATTTTGTATCCTGAGGCTTTGCTGAAGTTGCTTATCAGCTTAAGGAGATTTTGGCTGAGACGACAGGGTTTTCTAAATATACAATCATGTCATTTGCAAACAGAGACAATTTGACTTCCTCTCTTCCTGTATGAATATCCTTTATTTTTATCTCTTGCCTGATTGCCCTGGCCAGAACTTTCAATACTATGTCGAATAGGAGTGGTGAAAGAGGGCATCCTTGTTTTGTGCCAGTTTTCAAAGGGAATGCTTCCAGCTTTTACCCATTCAGTATGATATTGGCTGTGGGTCTGTCATAAATAGCTCTTATTATCTTGAGATATGTTCCATCAATACCTAGTTTATTGAGTGTTTTTAGCATGAAAGGGTGTTGAATTTTATTGAAGGCCTTTTCTGCATCTATTGAGATAATCATGTGGTTTTTGTCATTGGTTCTGTTTATGCGATGGATTACGTTTATTGATTTGTATACACCGAACCTGCTTTGCATCCCAGGGATGAAGCCAACTTGATTGTGGTGGATAAGCTTTTTAATGTGCTGCTGGATTCAGTTTGCCAGTATTTTATTGAGGATTTTCGCATCAATGTTCATCAGGGATATTGGCCTGAAATTTTCTTTTTTTGTTGTGTCTCTGCCAGGTTTTAGTATCAGGATGATGCTGGCCTCATAAAATGGACTAGGGAGGAGTCCCTCTTTTTCTATTATTTGGAATAGTTTCAGAAGGAATGGTACCAGCTCCTCTTTGTAACTTTGGTGGAATGCAGTTGTGAATCTGTCTGGTCCTGGGCTTTTTTTGGTTGGTAGGCTATTAATTACTGCCTCAATTTCAGAACGCTCCACCCCAAATCAACAGGCCAGGTGCGGCGTTCATGCCTGCAATCCCAACAGTTTGGGAAGTCAAGGTGAGAGTTCAAGACTAGCCTGGGTAATAAAGCAAGACCCTGTCTCTACCCAAAAAATAAATAAATAAATAAATAAATAACCAAACATGGTGGCATGTGCTCACAGTCCCAGCTACTCAGGAAGCTGAAGCAAGAGGATGGTTTGAGCCCAGGAGTTTGAGGCCACAGTGAGCTATGACTGAGCAACTGAACTCCAGCCTGGGTGACAGAACAAGACATGGTCTTTAAGAAACAAAACAAGAAAAATATTTTGGGGAAACAGCAGAAAATAAAAATACAATTTTTTTTAAGTCCTGTCCTCATCTAAGAAGTCAGAAGAAAAGTGCAATGGAGAAGAAAATATCAGGCAAGCTGGGTAGACAGGAAAGGTCACACAATTTTAAATGTAGTGATAGAAAGCCTTAACTCAAAGTTGACCTTTGAGTTAAGACATGAAAATAATGAGAGCAGGCATGTGGATACCTAGGAAAGAACATCCTAGGCAGAAGGACAAAGACCAGGAAACCACAGTCCACTGTGTGGATAAGCTCAAAAATGGAGATCATTTAGAGTAAGGATAGAACTCTGGGAACATCAACACTGAAATATGGGCAGAGAAGCACAAGTCCTCAAAAAAAAAAAAAAAAAAAAAAAAAAGAAGCAAGCGGAGAAAGGGAATGACTAAACATAATTAGGTATGTTTAATCAGTCACACACACATTAAATAGTGTGACTAATATGTAGTCATTAGAAATTAAAAATGAAAGATTTTAATGGCCTGTGTACATACTTATGATACAAAGGAGAATGCTGTTAAATATTCCGTAAAAGCAAATATTTTTAAAACTGCAAGAAATTATCCCAAAATGGAATAAGAATTTTTTTTTTTTTTTTGAGGCAGAATCTCACTCTGTCACCCAGGCTGGAGTGCAGTGGCACAAACTCTGCTCACTGCAACCTTAGCCTCCTGGGTTCAAGAGAGCACATCCAGCTAATTTTTGTATTTTTAGTAGAGACAGGGTTTTATCATGTTGGCCAGGCTGGTCTTGAACTCCTGACCTCAAGTGATCTGCCCACCTTGGCCTCCCAAAGTGATGGGATTTCCAGCATGAGCCACCATGCCTAGCAAGAAAGTCAATCTTAAGTGATGGAACTACACATGAATCCCTGTACATTCCACATATTTTAAAATGAGCATATACTGTTTTTTCCTATCAAATTGAAATGAGTATAATTTAAAAGAATCATAATGGCTTAGAAAAAAGAAAACTAAGAATAAACTTGTCTTTTTTCTATCTTGCATGCAAAAAGGCATGCCAATAAAATTATCTAAGGTGAAAATAAATTCTTAATTAGAAAAAGACTTTTTTTTTTTTTTACCAAGTAAAGGACAAACTTGTACTGCATCCTACTTTTTAGTAGGCAACTAAAGCTTAAAATTATTTGATCAGACTTTTAAAACCTCTATGACAAACCTTTACGAGTTTCTCAAAGCGTGGTCTTTAGGCTACTGAAATTTCCAAAGTTCTTCTGGAAGGTTTACCTTTTATATGACAGCAATATGAGACTCACTGCCACTAGTCCTACAGTAAATTAAAACTATATCTGCAACTTCCCCCAGACGTCAAATCACCATCTAATTATTGTAAGGATTTTTTTCCAGATAACAATAGCTGGAATGGGGTGTTTCAGGGATTTTTTGTTCACCCCAGTGGGTATTGTTGAAATTTGCACCATTTCCTTCCTATCTCCCCAGGACCACCTATCAAGAGAAGCCATAGTAAACGCTCAACAAATGCTTGATAACCGATAAAACTACTTTAATCTGCTAAAGAAAAATAACCTAAAGAATTGAAATAAGCCTTGTCCTTGTTAAAATATATCAATCTTTTCACTCTAAAAGTGCTCTCCAGCTTATCACACACATTTTACTGGCATTTACTTCTACATTTAGCAATTATGCCTGAATACTGCCAACTGACTTCTCAGCTAAACTTCAAACTCAAATTGCCAGCCACCAGCTGAAAATCTCTGCCTGCATGGTTTTAGACATGTCTAAAACTAACAAGCCTCACTGCAACAATCATCATGCTCTCGTGTCCTGTCTGGTAATGGCATCAACATGCCCTTTTTTGTCCACAGTAGTCTCCAGTACCCTTCTACCTCCACAAGCTTCGAGATTGGTCCCACCACTTCCTGCCACAAACCGTCAATTTCAGGCACTCCTCCCCAAGCCTGTCACTCACTGGGTCTTCCTCATTACTCTTCTGCATGGAATGAGCTCCACAGACCATTGAGGCTGGCATCCTGCTGCAAGTCATTTCCCTCCTCTAAGGCTGACTTACCCTCTCCATCCTCAGATATGCAGACAGCTCTTTGTTTGAAACTTGGTTTACCGTATTCATCACTACCTACCTGATCTTAATCATTTGAGTCCATATCGCTCCATGTTCATGAGCTACTCAAGAGCGGGGACCGTACTTTCTTAATTTTTTTTTAATTTTAGTGTCCTCAGGCCAGGCACGGTGGCTTGGGCCTGTAAACCCAGCACTTTGAGAGGCCGAGGCGGGTGGTTCACTTGAGGCCAGGAGTTCAAGACCAGCCTGGCCAACACAGTGAAACCCCATCTCTACCAAAAAATACAAAAAAAATTAGCCAGGCATGGTGGTGCACGCCTGTGGTCCCAGCTACTTGGAAGGCTGAGGCAAGAGAATTGCTTGAACCCAGGAGGCAGTGAGCCAAGATCGTGCCATTGCACTCCAGCCTGGGCAATAAAGTGAGGCTCTGCCTCAAAAAAAAAAAAAAAAAAAAAAAAATTTAGTGTCCTCAGCCAAACGTAAGGACACAGAAGTTCTCCAAGATATCAGCTGCATGAAACTAAACTGACAGCGTCTCAAAGTGACCAGAGAACAGATTGTGCTAAATCTGGAAAAGTCAGTCATCTTGCCCTAGCCTTTGAACCTTTACTTTTCTGTGCCTAGTCAGAAAGTAAAGCAAGCAGTTCTCTGTGGAACTACAATAAATAGTGGGTACAGAATGAATGCCTCACTTAGTTGACAATAATCCTTCTCCCCACAATCGTAGTCCAAGAAGGCAAAGCATCCCCTTAACAAAAGGCAATTCTGTTTCAGTTGTGTTATTCTCTTAGTAAGAACACACCATCCTTATCATCTGCTGATTACAGACTTCCAAGGCGGGGGTCCTCACTGAATACTCCTACAATGAAACCTGCCTATAATGAGTAACTCTACCTATCTTCTCTGCTCCAGAAGTGGTTGAAAGGCCTTTCATTCAGGCCTTGTTTTCTACCTAACAAAAGGTTCACAGATGCCAAACACGTGCTCCAAAATGCCCCTCCTCCCGTCGTCTGAGACCCAGATGAAGCAGGGTCCTTGTGGCAATAATATTCTCTGCAATGCTTTTTGTCGTCTTGGTTGTCACACAGCTGGAAATAGTTTTCTTATTCCCGTTTACAATAGCCAGACATTCATTATCACTCTGACAAGAACTCTTGAGTGATGTCATGCTGCACATGCTGCACCAGTTCAAGAAGGGCCCATGCAGGCTCTTCCAGCTTCAAACTTCTCACTCTTGATGGCAGCCTCAAGTATAGCCTCTCTAAAGCAAAAGAAAATGGAGGCAGGCACAGACAGATACACACACAAACATACATATGAGTATGTATAAACATATCCACACTTATCCCACACACACATAAATATACATAAATATTAATTTTTGTAGGTTTGTATAAGTAAAAGGACAACTATGGAAGGCTATGGAACAAACTGATATCAGATGGGTAAGGTTAAAGTGGCAGAGAGAGATTTTTACATTTACTTTAGACACATCTATAGTGTTTGAATCATTGCAAAAAAAAATTTTGTAAATGAATGCAGCTACCCTCTCCTGGTTGGGATGCATTTTATTGTGTTTGTATCCCTGAGTGACTTCAAGATCATAAGTGAAATACATTAGTGAAGCAAAGCACCATGACAGGGTGACTTCAAAATAAGTATTAGCCAGATGCGGTGGCTCACAGCTGTCATCCCAACACTTTGGGAGGCCAAGGTGAGAGGATCCCTTGAGCCCAGGAGTTTGAGAACAGCCTGGGTAATGTAGTGAGAGCCCATTTCTTTAAAAAAAAAAAAAGAAAAAAAAAAAGAAAAGAAAAAGAAAGAAGAAGAAAGAAAGAAAAAGAAAAAAAATAGCCAGGCATAGCGGCACACACCTGCGGTCCCAGCTACTTGGAAGGCTGTAGTGGGAGAATAGCTTGAGCCCAGGAGGTCAAAGCTGCCGTGAGCCAGGATTATGCCACTGCACTCCAAGACCCTATCTCAAATAAATAAAAAATAAGTCTGACTTTCTACAGGCACTAGGTTTGAATTATTCTAGAAAGCAAACTATATACTGAGCAAAGAATCTCAAACACAAGTTGGGTTAAAAGTAAGAATAGGGAAAATGAGATGGAAGCAAGGCAGGGCTACAGATAAAACACAGCTATGTCTATCTCTAGACTTTAAAACAGATAAATCCTAGCAAAATATTTCAAGCATATAAAATGAAAAGGAGATTACCGGGCTCTGTGGTCTCCTTCCTTAAAAGGGAAAGGCCAACTCACCTCAAAGTATTGAGACTACCTTGGAGAAAATGTTCCTAAAATGGAAGAATAACAAGATACATATGCCTGAGTTTGAAGGCATTCTAAAAGAACTTCTCTTACTAATGTCATATGATAGAGGGCAAGCTCCATGAGAGAAGGGGTCTGTCCACATCTTGTTTCCTGCAGTGCTATCTTCCCAGTACAGGGTGGGTACAAATGCCTACTGAATATGGAAGAAAGAGTAATATAAAGGATTAAGGAACACATAGTAAATGAAAACTAGAATTACCAACCAGATATCAGTTCTTATTCTTATTTTCCAGATGTAAAAAGAGAGGCACTTTGACCTACCCAGGAGTAGCGAAACTGGAGATAGAAAGCCTCTTGATCCCTTTTTTACCTCTTCTAGGCTTGGTTTATCTCCCAGGATCCTTCCAGATCCTAACCTTCCAGGAGCATTCCCTGACCTCCACCACCTCACCGCTGAGGGTCAAGTGCCCCCGCTTGGTGCTCCCGCAAAGTCTTCTCTCTCATAACACTTGTTACACTGAATTGTAATTATCTGTTAATCGTGTGTAAGCTCCTCCTGGAGGGTGGGAATCCTGCCTTATTCACACTCACCCCTAGTAAAACTAGCACAAAGCCTGGTATATAGCAGGCAGTCAGTTAAGTGCTCCTGAGATGGGGGGAAAAAAAGTTTCCTCTGCCCCTGAACCATTTCTCCCTCCAAAGACCCAGGAATATCCTTCAATTAGAGCAGAATTTCAGAATCAGGGCAGTTAAGGGTTGGTCAAAGAGAACCACCTAGGCATAGGGGAAGAAAATTTAGTAGAACAGATCGATATAAAGTCTAATCTAGAGCATTGTTTAGACACATAAGTTAATGAATATAGGGAAACTTGCTATAACAGGAATGGTTCACAGTAGCAATCTCAGCATAGCAAATCCTAAACTCTAAGAGACATAGCACACATAATGGCCATAATGAACAAAATTTCCTTCAACCAACAGCTGGAAATCCCACCCATGGCCAGGTATTATTAGTCAAAATTTTTTCTTTTAGAGAAAAATGCTGGTTTTGAAAACATTTTCCTTTATTTTCATAATACAACAAACACAGCTTGCCCTGCCTCATGCAGGCTTATTGCACGTTTGTTTTAGCACTGGACTAAAGTTAAGGGTCTGCCCTGTCATTATATCACTTTTTTAAAACAGTATCACAAAAATAAAATAAATTATAACCTAAATCCATGAATGTAGTAAAATAGTTCTCTTTCATTTCTGGAAAAAAATAATTACAATTTTACATGGACTTCAGGGTTAAAGTTTCTATAGCACTGATTAGATGACAGGGACATGCAAGTATTAAGACAATATTCTTTGGCCCAGCCCCACAAGTTGATAATACAACAACAACACTACTTTGAAATCATACTAACCTGCTAAAAAATGCCAAAGAGTTTAAATAAAATCATCACCACCACCATGCCACCCCTCCTCCTCTCCTACCAAAAATGTATCCTAAAATAAAGTATACTAACCTTGGGCTTCTCCAACTTAATTAACTTAATTTATTAAACATGCCAAACATAAGTTCCCTTGCAGAAGATAAAACAAACTGCTGGGAAGATCATTCATTAAATTGAATTCACAAGGTAATTGAAAGAAATTCAGCCACCTTCTTTTTCTTTTTCTTTTTCTTAAGTTTTTTGAGATGGAGTCTCACTCTGTCTGCCCAGGCTGGAGTGCAATGGCACAATCTTGGCTCACTGCAACCTCTCCCTCCTGGGTTCAAGTGATTCTTCTGCCTCAGCCTCCTGAGTAGCTGGGATTACAGGCGCCCAGCATCACACCTGGCTAATTTTTTGTATTTTTAGTAGAGACAGGGTTTCACCATGTTAGCCAGGCTGGTCTCAAACTCTTGACCTCAGGTGATCCACCCGCCTCAGCCTCCCAAAGTGCTGGGATTACAGGCATGAGCCGCCGTGCCCAGCCTCTTCTTTTTCCTGTCTGTCTCCTGGGTACCCTAGCATCTCCAGATTCAACAGCAATTCAAAGACATCCAAGTCAGTTCCACCTCTGACATGCAACTGAAAACCAGTGTATATCCTCCTGTGACACAGAGGTACTGGGGAGCAAGTGTGAACCTATAAAGCTCCTGAATACCTCTCCCAAATGGATCCCACAGAGTGAAGATAATGAGTTAAATGCTTTAGCTCTAGGGATTTAAAATATATAGAAAGCAAGTTACTTCTACTGGAAGTTAAACTTAAAGAATTCTCATGGTTATGTCATCTCTCACTGCAGTACCGAGTGTGCTACTTGGCTTCCCTCTCTCCTTCCATCTACTGCCTTGCCCTATCATTTACAGAGGCATTAATGCCGGTTTCAAACTAATAATAATTCTTTTTCTTCTGTGCTGCAAATACCCAATCACTGTGGTTAAATACCATGTATAACATAAACAGGGTCAAGAATGCCAGCTGCCAGAAGAGTCATGTTTAAATTAGCATTAACCAGCAAGCCCTTCCCTAAACAAAAAAGAGAGGGGAAAAAAAATGTTTTCTTGGACAGCTCTGTGCCTGCAGAATGACTTCAACCCCACATGTTCAAAAGGCTCCACAAGGTCCAGCTATAACACAATAGCATCATTAATTTTTACTAAATTAAATTTCTCAAAAGTATAAAGCACTATCAATTTGCGGAGAGTAGGGAGGAAGAAACTACTTATTAGTTTATTCTACAACCTTTATATAATTTGAGTAAACAGGCAATAGTGTCTTAAAACGTAGCAGCCATAAGTTACACGGATTGTAATGGAATAAAAGCCCAGTCCTCCATCCATCATCGCACCCCTCACTCTGCCCCAATATGTGTTACTCAGTGTCTTTCCACATCTTGAGGTTATGTAATACTTCCTCCTTGCCTCCCTATCCCCATGTAGCATAACTCCTTAAAATAACATCAGAGGTCCCCCACAATTTGTCCCTTCGTAACTTTCCAGCCTTCATCACCCCACACTCTCACTTTGTCTTCATTCCCCCACCATTCATCTTTTAAAAGATATGTTATTCTTCAAGCCACATTTATAAATTCGTCCCCTGAATCAAAACGTAATTCTCCATTCCCTGGCATGCCAAAGTTCTTGGACTCTACAGCTACCACCCAGTTACACAACACTGCATATACATATTCGGTATGAACCGTGAGGCTCACTGCATCTTTCCCCCCTGTGTTGCAGTTCTTTCTGGAGCTTCCTTTTCACCATCCTTGCATCTACCACATGGAAGGAATTCAATAATTGTTTGCTGAAATAGAATTACCTCCTTTTCTCTCAACTTTCTAAGACATCCATAATAGTTTTCCCTAAGATTTTTTTTTTTAAGAGACAGAGTCTCTCTGTCACCCAGGCTGTAGTGCAATGGCACAATCACAGCTCACTGCAGCCTTGAATCCTGGGCTGAAGCCATCCTCCCTCCTCCGCCTCCCAAGTAGCTGAGACTACACGCACATGCCACCATACCCAGCTAATGTTTCTATTTTTTTTATAGAGACAGAGTCTCACTATGTTGCCCAGGTTGGTCTCAAACTCCTGGCTTCAAGCGATCGTCCTGCCTCAGCCTCCCAAAGTGTTGAGATTACAGGCATAAGCCACCACACCTGGCCCGGGATATTTAAATAAGAGGGTAACATGATATGTAAAAATAAGAAACCAAACAGTAGTATGATGCTGACTTAAGGCCAGAGAAGACTATTGGACTTTAAACCAAGAGCTTATGTTTAAGTTTTTATTACATCACAGTTCAGCTTTTACAATAAATAATGTTCCTCAAGGGTGTAGGCATATTGATACCAAAACATCAAAGAAAAGGAAGACAGGCCACACATCAAACACAGACATTAAAATCTTGACCTCAAACTAAATTCTGAAAGTTCTGTTATCTGCTGAATACTTGGAGCTTCCCAGTGAAAATGATACAGTGTATTCTGCCCAGATTGCAACTTTCCATACTAAGCATTTGAAATGATTCTTGGCCCTAAATATCACTTACTTCAGACTGAATGTCACTGTGTATCAAAAACACTGAGCAAGTGAGATTTTTATTCTTTGAACGTTCCAGTAGGTCACTAATGGAATAGATTCAGTAAAACCTTGCAGCCTACGGTATAATTTGAAACAACAAAAAAATCAAATCACTTTTTGGAAAATATTAGGTTTGAACAAAAATAGAAGTTTCGAAAGGGCTGCCACTTACATTCTTACCTCTGTTAGTTCTTTCCCATCACTCACAGGGAGACTGAAATCCATGCTGAGTGCCCACAGACCTGGGCAGGAGCTGTTCCCTTGAGAGACAATGATGCAAATGAGTCAAGTGATGCCTAGTAGAAGTCAGACTGCAAGGATCACCTTGACCTCACCCTAGTGCATTAGCTAAGCAAACTCACAAGCTTTAAATAATAAAGGTAACAAGAGATTGATCTGAGGTGGGGGAAGTATTATTGAGTCCCTTGAGGAAAGGAAAAAAAAAAAAAAAAGAGGAAATGAGCTCCCAGCTCAAGAATTTTTCTCCTCCAAGCATCCTCTGTTGCTTGTTTTCTTCCATCTTCCTGGCCCTCTGGACCTCTCACTTCCCCCTCCTACCTTTTCCTACTGCTCTAACACAATAAGATAACCTCCCACCGGTTTCTCGCTATTTGGGAAGCTGGAAGGAACAGCAACGATCACCAACCCCTTCCATTTTCCGGATGGGGAGACGGAGACCAGGATCTGAGCTGACCCGACTGGCTGAGGTCGCGCCGCTAGGGGACGTGGTGTACCTTGCGGGCTCGGATGATGACAACCCAGCCTTCCCTCCTCGCTCCTCGCCCGTGCCTTCCTGCCTCAAGCTACCTCCTTCTCTTGCCACTTGGTGTTTTTATCCTCAAATCAGACAAGTATCAAGAAAAAAATGCAACCTTAATATACTTACAATGCTGATTATTATTCATAATTTTGCATTTGGGGCAATTATACTCGCTCCTACTGGGATATGGAAATCAAGGGCAGAAAGAACTAGGTGACATTCTACCTCCCTGTGTATTTTAATGATGTTTAGTTTGGTTCAAATAACCATACCTCTAAAATACACCCTTTTTCCTTGGGACCCACTCTTCTATCCGGCAAGGGAATAACTTCTTAAAAAACTTCGCATTTTCCAAGTGTACAGTCTCCCCTTAACCAGAACTGCAGACTCTGAATCACAGACCTCTGGCTTACCAATTATGCTTAGCTGAGCAAACACACTTATGCAAATACGTGAAAAACAAACTGTTAGAGCCTGAAGGAATAGAGGATTTCGCTGTGATCATCAATATGTGATCATCACATTTTCAATATTTATGTTTACCAATATCTATCTAACCCCATAGGAAACGACGCGTCCATAGTGAAACAAGCCAGCACCCACATTTATGAAAAAATCCACGGATTTCAACAAAAATGAAGAGAGGAGAGCAGAAGCGGAGAGCCACAACCTCAGGCCCCAGACAGCAGGCAGCAGCAAGTCCTGAATGCCTTCACTCTTAACATTGCAAAGACCAAATGGCAGCAAAGAAAAACAAGAATAAACTTTAAATCCATTCACCACAAAGGAGTCCTACGCAAGTCAAAGGAGCCGTCGATTTCAAAACCATCAACTTTCAAAGCCAGGTCCCTCCCTTGCCTTACAACCTCCTGTTACTTGTTAAGCACGTTTGTTAGGCGGCTGGACAGAAACTTAGTTAAAAGTCCTCAGCCCGGTGGTGGGGGACAACCGAGTCGTCAGTGGGAAGCGAGAGGTGCGGAGCCCCAGGGGCGCAGGGACCCCTCGGAGGTGCAAGTCCAGCGGGACGAGGTTTTGGGAGAATTTCGAGGGCCCCTCGCAAGCCCTCCCGCGCACCCACCCCGACCCAGGTAACCGGAGGCCACCTACGTGTCACTGGGCGGGCCCCGGGGCGCACTGACCTGGCGCGGGACAGGAGGGCCGGCGGCCCGGGCGGCTGCGGCAACTTCCCTCCAGGGGCTCGGTCCGCCGCTGGGTGCGGGAGGCCAGGGGAGCCTCGCCTCCTGCAGGCCGGCTCGCAAGAACGCACGGCCACCCACCCGCGCCGCGGCCCACAGCGCGCACCCACACTCTCACTGGCACTCGCACGCGCGCCCCCAACCACAAAGCCCGTCCGCGGCGGGACAGTGTGAGCCCAGCGCGCCGTGTGGCGGGCCGAGCAGTCGCCGCGGCCTCTGGCTTCGCGCCCAGGGGGCGCCGTCCCCACACGCCGCGCCGGCCCCCTTACCTGCGCTCGCTGCCGCCGCGCGTCCCTCTCCTGCCGCCCCCGGGCTGGCTTCAGGCCGCGCGCCCAGTCCCGGCGGCCCCCGCCCCACCGCCAGCCGAGCCCGGCCCTCCGCCCGCCCCTCGGCAGTCGCCCAGAGCGGGGCCGCCCCCTGCGCCCACCCCGCCGGGGTCCCGTGCTCGGCCGGGCGGCGGGGAGGGCTCCGCGGCTCCGGGCCCTGGCCGCCCCAGATCCGGCCCGCGCTCCGCAGCGGGGCTGGAGACGGAGTCGCCACTCAGGGAGCGTCAGCCGCCAGTCGGCCCCTACTGCCCGGCTTTGGCGCGCTGGCAGGAGGAGGGGGCGCAGAGGGAGGGCCAGAGGAGCAGCGCCGACGCCAGCCTCCTCTCTTCCTCCGCCTTCCTTCTTTTCTGCTTGTTCCACGTAGCACAAGTCAGCAACACCCGAACCCCCAGAGTCCGCCCTCCCCGCTCCCAAGCTGGACCCCTTACCTGGTGTGGCGCCCCCAGCGCCCCTGACCTCTGCGCCCCCTCCTCCATTCATTGGCTCGACAGCCCACGGTGGTGGCAGGGCCGGGGCTGGGGGGTGGCCTTAGCCTCCCATTCATTATCTCAGCAGCCTCCCCCGCCCCGCCCCCGAGTCGACACACCCGCAGCGGGAGACCCGTGGCCGCCAGCTCGGGTCCCACCCCCGCCCCTCCTGCGCTTACCCCAGCGCCGGACAGCTGGCAGGACTCCGGTGGACGCCCCGGCACGGGGCATTTTCACGTTGTCGCTCTCCTCTTCCCACTCGAAAAGCTCTGGAAAACATCGCGGGGCCCGCAAAACCCCGGAAATGTGGCCTCTCTTTCGTGGCTCACTTTCTAAACTTTCCAGAAGGCGCAAAGTTTCTCCCAGCGCCGCCCTGCACTGGAGGCTGCGAAGAACGCAGAAGCGGCTTTGCTGCTAGGAAGGTGCATACGTTTCTAGTTCTGATTTTTCACTTCACTGGATCTGTAAACGAAAGCAAGTGTGTCTGCTCCCCTAGTTCTCCATATCCACGATTATAAATTTCTCTTCCGCTTTCCCAGTGTAGCTTTGCAAGTGTAAACTATCAATTTTAGTGAGAGTAATTAAGGGCGGGGACTGCACACCTGGAGGTGTGGGTGGGAGCGGCGCGGGACTAAGGCCTAGGGAACATTCTCAGGAGAGTGGCAGCCACAGGGATTCGCCCAGGTCTTATAACACACCCACTCGATGGGGTCTCCCTAGCCACGCCACCTCACAACACCCATCTCCCACTTCTGGCTTCCCAGGATTTCCGGAGTGATCACAATTATCGGCCTCTCGCTCCACAGCTAAGGCCACCGCATATCAAAAATAGCAGCGTGTGAGTAAAAGTTTCATGAGCCCTCGCCTTGAAATGGCACAGAGGACACAGCACACCAGCAGTAAGGCATGGGGACTCGGCAGGACTGATCTGATTGAGAGAAACGCAGGACAGCGAGGCGGGGCTATGTTGGTGGTGGCCACCAGGTAACCGTGGGCTTTGCAGAAGAGAAAGGTCACTGCAAACCGTAGCTGGACGGAAACTTTTCAAGCCTCAAGTGAGTTATGCTGTGACGGGACCATGACCATCTCCCACCGGTGACTGCTTAGAACCTTGACCAAGCTCGTGTGGTTTTCACAGGATGCTCAGGGCTGAGTCCTGGCTGTAAATAATTTACTATCTAAAGCTGTTTCCTTTTAAAAACAATGGTTCTAATCTTTTTTTTAAAAAAAATCATTCAAATCTTTTTTAAAAATCCACTTTAAATAACTTTGCTTTCTATACCTTTCCTACGAATATATGATTTATTTTATAACCTACTATGTGAAAAAATTGAAATTTTAGTACATGCACAGTGCTAATATGTTCATGCACAATGCTACTTATGTTTGTGTACGGCATGCAGAAATGTGTATAGATATGTATACCCATGAATACAAACCACTCCCTTATCTCACAAATAATCATAGGGGTTGATACCAAACTATAAGAAATATTATATTGGGATGAATAGGCAAATGTTCACTATAAAATCTCAGTATCATAAAAAGTATATATTGGTAAGAAAAAAATATACTCGAAAGAGGTTTCCATATATTTTTAACCATAGCTCTACTCAAGTCAAAAAATCACTTATTAGCTAATTTTCCCGTCTCTTTCTTCCTATACACTGTACTTACTATCAGATTTCTTAACACCAATACTTCTATATCTAATATAAAGACATTTTAAAATTAATTATTTCCATGTTTAGCCTTTCCCCATAAATCAAAGGTAAAGTAAAAGGAGTTTCTTACCTACCACTCAACTTGAATATTTTTAATATGTTGATTTTGTCTCTTACCTTCTTAAGGAATACAGTTGCTTCTGTTTTGACTATCTTAACTACTCTGTGGCCCCTTCTAACATCAAATTGGGAGGCCTGTCCGTACAAGACATGTGTATTCAACAGTAAGTTATTTGCTATAAAACACTTCATTTCCTCTTTATTTGGTCTGCTGTGGCCTGAAATGAAATATAGAACAAACTGAAAGGTCTGCCTGGACAGACCTGTCTTCCTGACAAGCGTGGACCTGTCTAAATGAGACAGCTTCTGCAGCCAGCTTTAGATCGATAACTCTAAAATTAAATGTAGGTATGTACATCCAGTAGAAAAGGACAGAGAAAATGAAATACAATACAGAATTCAGTTCAGCATCTAGATTAATCCATAAAACCTAGCTCATTATGTTCCAAATGAGCTACTTTTCTCATCTGTAAAATGGAATAATGGTACCAGTGCAGTCTTTTATATGGTTCCAAGTTGTCTTTTATCAAAGTAAAATAATATATTTGGGTGGGCTTCTGAAGACACTAACATTGATGATGAGGTTTCAACAGGAACAAAGAATACCTTGATAAATTTTCTTGAATGTTTTCTCCTGTCTGTAGTCCTCTTGTCATTCAGACATTCCCTTTCTTGGAGAGTCATCCTGATGCTTTCTGTCCTAACCTTTCTCTCCTCCCCTCTGCCAAGCAGTATTTCTTTAGATTTGTTTCTTCAAATGACTTCAGCAGAGGTAAAGACCCAAAGACAGCTGGCGCTGTCAAACATGACAAAAAATATTCTTAGCCACAGTGGCTCATGCTTGTAATCCCAGCATTTTGGGAGGCTGAGGCGAGAGGAGCGCTTGAGCCCAGGAGTTCGAAGCTGCAGTGAGCTGCCATTGTGCCACTGCACTCCAGCCTGGGCAACAGCCAGGCCCTGTCTCTTAAAAAGTTTTAAAATTTTTAAATATATATGTATGTTCAGCAAAATGAAGCCAGGCATGGTGGCTCACACCTGTAATCCCAGCACCTTGGGAGGCCAAGGTGGGCAGATCGCTTGAGGCCAAGAGTTTGAGACCAGCCTGGCCAACATGTCTGTCTCTACTAAAACCCTGTCTCTACTAAAAATATAAAAATTAGCCGGCATGGTGGTGCATGCCTGTAGTCCCAGCTGTTGGGAGGCTGAG
Source organism: Homo sapiens (assembly GCF_000001405.40). Lineage (NCBI taxonomy): Eukaryota > Metazoa > Chordata > Mammalia > Primates > Hominidae > Homo > Homo sapiens. The sequence continues at coordinate 111,041,682 of NC_000009.12, forward strand.
GCATAAGAATCTCTTGAACTTGGGAGAGAGAGGTTGCAGTGAGCCAAGATTGCACCACTGCACTCCAGCCTGGGCAACAGAACAAGACTGTGTCTCAGAAAAAGTTCAGCAAAATGAAACATTGTGATGGATATTTCAAGTTCAGGTTTTACATTAATATCTGGAAGGACACCATAGACTTTGTCAGACTATTGATATAAGCTAGTGATCCAAGGACTATAATTTGAGAAGCATTTCGGGTGGAAAAATTGGCTGTCACTGCCTTTGGCACTATTATTTGTTCAAAAGGTTCCCCAGTCATGGCACACTCATGGAAGAGTTCTCTCTTCCTCCCTCTGTTCGCTTCCCTCTGGCAAAAAGCTTTTGAAATTTTCTGTTCGAGAGTAATCAAAACTATCAGCAAAACGATCTGTTGGAAACTTTCCCTCCAGTCTATTAAGGTAGAGACTGATTCAAAGACAGTATTTTGGTGAAACAATACCCTGAGAGAACTCAGCCTTTTCCGGAAAGTTTTGCAGATGATGCCTCCAGGCATAGTTTTCTTCCTCCTTGAAATGGGGTATTTGTGCCTCTCCAGTGTTTTTCCCCTTGGCTAGGGGGGAAAAAAAAGCATTCTCCTTAGGAAACCTTTCTATTTTAAAAGTCCAGCGGCAAAGGTGGGTGGGGCAGCCCAATTTAGTAAAAAGTAATAATAATAACACTCTTCAGAGTGCAGGTGGCATAAGGAGATTCCAAGAATGGAGAGAATTTGGGTTTGCATGCAGCAGCCTCCTGCAAGGACTAGGCTGCAATGAAAGCCCCAAACAGAGTAACTCTGTGTTCACCTTTTTCTTATCACATACATCTGCATGAATACTCTGGGTAACATCAGAAGTAGGTCAAGGCTAGCAGATCCTTTCTCTGTAGTCTCCCTCATCCAAAATAAAAAAGGCTTAGATCTAAAACAGAGTGAAGAAAGACAAGGAAAAGGAAAAAAATATATGTGTGTTATATATACAACTATAAAGCTAAAAATGGATCTGGATACAAAGAAATCATAGAAAGGGTCAACAAAACAAAAACCTAGTTCTATAGAACAATAGCAAGATAGATAAATTTCTGGTAAAATTGACAATGAAAAAAGAGAAAAGAAGGCTATGAATATGGAGATTATAATTACAGTTTCAGTAGAATTTTTTAAATCCTAAGAATACTATGAACATTAAAAAACTTGGCTGAAATACTTTCTTCAATAAATTAATTTTTAATTCAATAAAAGATGAAAATTAAAATAATACATGATTTTACATTTTCCTTTGTTGACAAAGATTTCTTTTAAATAATGATACTTGAAAAATAGGTGTAAACTCATGCAAACTCTCTGTAATGTAATTTAGCAAAACAGTACAGTTACATTTTGTATGATTTTAATTGAAGTACATTTATTTAAGACGGAGTTTCACTCTTGTTGTCCAGGCTGCAATGGCACAATCTTGGCTCACCACAACCTCCACCTCCTGGGTTCAAGTGATTCTCCTGCCTCAGCCTCCCGAGTAGCTGGCATTACAGGCGTGCGCTACCATGCCCAGCTAATTTTGTATTTTTAGTAGAAACGGGGTTTCTCCATGTTGGTCAGGCTGGTCTCGAACTCCCGATCTCAGGTGATCTGCCCACCTCGGCCTCCCAAAATGCTGGGATTACAGGCATGAGCCACGGCACCTGGCCAAAGTACATTTAAATGTATGATAAACACATCAAGAAAATTTTACTTTATGTGCAAAATTTTTAAATAATACAAAGCTCAGTATTTTTAAAACTTGAAAAACAGCAAAATTACAGAGCTGAAATACTTTTTAATAAATTGTAAAATTGCATTAATTCAAAAATAATACAAATGTATTTAAAACCATTAAATAATTTAAATTCTTATTTCTAAATAAATATGCAAAAAAGTTCAAAGTTTTGGTTGGTAAGACTTACCAAATCTTCATGGACAAATAACCTCTATTCAAATGGTTGCAAAGCATAGAAAAAGAAAAAAAGCACCCCAGTCCATTATAAGCTAATAAAATTTTGATACCAAAACCTGACAAAGCCATAGAAAAGAAAATACTAGACCAATCTAATAAGGAATAAAAAATGATAAATTCTACATATAGTATTATTAAACCAATTTCAATGTGTTTTCACAATATGCATAATAAACATATTGGGTTGATACCATAAATGTAAAGATGGCTTAATATTAGAAAATGTGGCGGGATGCAGTGGCTCACGCCTGTAATCCCAGCACTTTGGGAGGCTGAGGTGGGCAGATCACGAGGTCAGGAGTTCAAGACCAGCCTGACCAACATAGTGAAACCCCATCTCTACTAAAAATACAAAAATTAGCCAGGCGTGGTGGCGCACGCCTGTAGTCCCAGCTACTCAGGAGGCTGAGGCAAAAGAATCACTTGAACCTGGGAGGTGGAGGTTGCAGTGAGCCAAGATCGCACCCCTGCACTCCAGCCTGTGTGAGACTCCAGGGGAAAAAAAAAAAAAAAATATATATATATATATATATATACACACACATATATATATATACACCTATATACGTATATATATGTACATATATACGTATATAGGTGTATATATATATACGTACATGTTTCATGTTCAGGAAATTCCTCCCTATTACTACTTTGCTAAGATAAAAAAATGAGTTGTGAATTACTTTACATTTTCATATATATATATGTATATACATGTACACATATACGTAAGTGTACATATATGTATATATGTATATGTGTAATATATACGTATATATGTATGTACATATATACGTATGTATATATATGAAAATGTAAAGTAATTCACAACTCATTTTTTTATCTTAGCAAAGTAGGAATAGGGAGGAATTTCCTGAACATGATAGAGTTGCTACCAATAACCCAACTCCAGAAGCATTATTTTTAATGTTAATTCATTCAATATTTTTCTTTCAAAATTGACAACAAAACAAAGATAGCTTTTGCCATCTCCATTCAACATTGTACTGAAGCCACTTGTCAATATAATAAGACAAGAAAAACAAATTAGAAGGTATGAAAGTTAGAAAACAAGAAAAATATGATTTATAGGTTATATAGTTGTCTGCTTAAGAAATCCAAGCAAATCCAATAAAGTATCTAATAAAGAGAGCTTAGCAACATTGTTGAATATGAGATCAATATGCAAAAAAGCCACACCCCCTTAGAAAAAATAATTTTTGAAAGGCCTCTCACACATATTGATACAGAATGGCTGAGCTCCTGGCTAAACCCCACCCTCAAGCCTAGAACCCCTAACCTAAGTGAAAACAGCCGATCCTGAAGGGCTGGGCTTCTGGCTAAACCTCACCCTCAAGCCTGGAACCTTGGCCCTAAGTGAAAACAGCTGACCCCATTTTTCGTCCCAAATAATTGCCTTTTGGCCCACCCTGCCCCCTATCCTGTGCCCATAAAAACCAGACCAGCTGGCAGAAAAAAAAAAGGAAAAGAGAAGCACAAGCAGCTGACTGGCGGGGATACAAGCAGCCAAGCAGCAAGCAGAGAGGCAACTAAGCATCAGAGGCTATGGATAAATGTGGCTAACTTCAGAGGGTGCAGTTTCAGAAGGGTGCCCAGCAAGAGACAGCTGGGCTTCAGGGAAAGATCACCTTTTTCCCACACCATCCCCTTTCCAGCTCCCCTTTCACCAAGAGCCACTTCCACTGCTCAATAAAGTCTTCTGCATTCATCTTTTAAACAGTTCATTTGACCTGATTCTCCCTGGACACCAAACAAGAACTCAGGGTCAAAAAGGGCAGGTGCAGGAGGCTGTCACCCTGACCCTTCACTGAGCTGTTAACACTTAGCCATCCATGGACTGCAGGCTGAGTGAAATGAGCCACTCCATTCCTGTCCATGAAGGGGGTCAAGGTCAAGGGAACAAATACCATCTCAATATTAGCAACAAATTTTTTTAATTTTTTTATTTTTTTTTGAGATGGAGTCTAGCTATGTTGCCCAGACTGGAGTGCAGTGGCACTATCTCGGCTCACTGCAACTTCTGCCTTCCAGGTTCAAGTCATTCTCCTGCCTCAGCCTCCTGAGTAGCTGGGATTACAGGCATGCACCACCACGCCCAGCTAATTTTGTATGTTTAGTAGAGACGGGGTTTTACCATTTTGGCCAGGCTGGTTTTGAACTCCTGGGCTCCAGTGATCTGCCCACCTTGGCCTCACAGAGTGCTGGGATTACAGGCATGAGCCACTGTGCCTGGCCCATATTAGCAACAAGTCTTTATTATAACTTTAATGGAAACTAACAGGAAAGTACAGTGCCTATATGGAAAATTATAAAACTTTATTAAAATACATAAAAAGGCCTGAATATGCACCGTGTTTGTGGATGCAAAACCTCCAATATATGTAATGCAATCTACTCAAAATTGCAATAGGGTTTTTCACAGCCCCTGACAACTTGATTCTAAAATTCAAGGGTAAGCCTAATAAGCCAAGAATAATCAAGAGAATTCTGGAGAAGCTTAAGGAGGGAAAATTTTCCATCCAGCTATCAAGATAATCTAAGGCTTCTTTCTCAAATTAAAAAAAATAATAATAATGTGGTATTGGTGCAGTGGCTGATAACGTAGCGAAAGAGAATTCAGAAACAACTACATGTAAATGTCCAAGTCCATGTAAATTCATACATCAAAGATGATTTGCTTAAAACAACAAAGCTGAAGGCCACCCTACCCAACTTCCAACTATACAACAGGGCTACGGTAACCAAAACAGCATGATACTGGTACAAAAACAGACACATAGACCAATGGAACAGAATAAAGAACTGAGAAATAAGACTGCACACCTACAACTATCTGATCTTTGACTAACCTGACAAAAACAAGCAATGGGGAAAGGATTCCCTTTTCAATAAATGGTGCTGGGATAACCGGCTAGCCATATGCAGAAGATTGAAACTGGACCCTTTCCTTACACTATATACCAAAATTAACTCAATATGGATTAAAGACTTAAATGTAAAACCCCAAACTATAAAAACCCCTTGAAGACTGCCTAGACAATATCACTCAGGACATAGGCACAGGTAAAGATTTCATGATGAAGACACCAAATGCAAAAATTGGCAAATGGGATCTAATCAAACTAAAGCGCTTCTGCAGAGCAAAAGAAACTATCAACACAGTAAACAACCTACCGAATGAGAGAACATTTTTGCAAACTTTGCATCTGACAAAGGTGTAATATCCAGCCTCTATAAGGAACTTAAACAAATTTACAAGAAAAAAACAAGCAACCCCATTGAAAAGTGGGCAAAGAACACAGACATTTTTCAAAAGAAGACATACATGCAGCCAACAATCATATGAAAAAAAAGCTCAACATCTCTGATCATTGGAAAAATGCAAATCAAAACCACAATGAGGTACCATACCATCTTACACCGGTCAGAATGGTTATTATTAAAAATTCAAAGAATAACAGATGCTGGTGAGGTTGTGGAGGAAAAAAAAAAACAGTGTATACACTGTTGGTGGGAGTGTAAATTAGTTCAACCATTCTGGAAGACAGGGTGGCAAGTCCTCAAAGACCCAAAGACAGAAATGCCATTCAACCCAGCAATCCCATTACTGGGAATATACCCAAAGGAATACAGAAATCATTCCATTATAAGGACACATGCACACATATGTTCATTGAAGCACTATTCACAATAGCAAAGACATGCAGTCAACCTAAATGCCCATCAGTGACAGATGGGCTAAAGAAAATGTGGATAAAGAAAATGTGGTACATATACGCCATGGAATACTATGCAGCCATAACAAGGAATGAGATCTTGTCCTTTGCAGGGACATGGATGGAGCTAGAGGCCATTATCCTTAGCAAATTAATGCAGGAATAGAAAACCAAACACCGCATATTCTCACTTATAAGTGAGAGCTAAATGATGACAACACATGGACACATAGAGGGGAACAAAACACACTGGGGCCTATTGGAGTGTGGAGGGTGGGAGGAGGGAGAGGATCAGGAAAAATAACTAATAGGTACTGGGCTTAATACCTGGGTGATGAAATAGTCTGTACAACAAACCCCCATGACACAACTTTACCTATGTAACAAACCTGCACATGTACCCCTGAACTTAAAATAAAAGCTAAAAAAAAAACATGTGTTGTTGCTTAATAAATGATGCTGAGATAATTGGCACTTTATATACAGGAAAAAAATCAGTTCTCTACATCACGCTATTTTTTAAAAGGTTGTTAACCTTTTAAACATAGGTTTTGACATAGGGATCCGATATTTCTTCCTCTTTAAGAACCTTTAAAAAATAGTGTGACATAGGGATCTGATATTTTTTCCTCTATAAGAACCTTTTAAAAAGTAGTGTGATGTAGGGATCTGATATTTTTTCCTCTGTAAGAACCTTTTAAAAAATAGTGTGATGTAGGGATCTGATATTTTTTCCTCTACATAAAGTGCCAATTATCTTAGCATCATGGCACATGTATACCTATGTAACAAACCTGCACATTCTGTACATGTATCCCAGAACTTAAAGTATAATTTTTAAAAATTAATCAATTAATTAATTAAAAAGTTACTTTGTTATATATGAGTATTAAATAAGTTTTTTTAAAAACAAAAAGTTCTTAATGAATTAAAAACCTAAATTTGCAAAGTGAAACTTCCAGATTTTTGGAATATCTTCATCACTTCAGGGTAGAGAAGAATCTCTTACAAAAGACACAAAAATACCACAAAAAATTGCTCCTTTCTTTCACATAAAATATGGCTTGTTCTAATATGCTGGATTTTTGTGAGATCTAGTAGCTCATAGGATGTCGACCTCAAGTTCTGCAATGAGTATTCCAAGGAATATGAACAGTATTATGTCATCCTGTGCAACAGCAGGATTTTCCTACATTATGTGTATTTTATGTCATTTTTGTGTCTTGCCTTGATGGCCCAGTATACCTTCTAGGGCAAGGTGGAAGCAGCAGTGCCCACATGCCCTTACAGCAGGCTCTGAAACATTTCTGGGTATAGACCCGGCCCTTTGAGAACCTAATCAAAGCTGTAGATAAATGTAGAATATACATATTGTAGGAGAGGCCTCTAGTGACAATATCCATTCTTGCCCTCTTGGACATCAGCTTCTTTTGGAGATAGTTGAGGACATGTAACAGTTCTCTCCAGTCGAATGTGAGCATAAGTGACTTCTGCCAGTTCTGAGACTACCTGTAAAATTCTCCCATGGGTGCTCCTCTGTGCTGTGAGTCCCTTCTGGCTAAGATGGTGATGCCCACACCAACTTTGGAAGCCAAGATAATAAGCAGCCATAGTCCTGACACCTAAGCATCCATGTAGAGTAGCACCTCTCTGCTAACATGGATACCCACTATGGATTCTTGTATGAAAAAAGAAATTTCCTTGATCCATTAAATTGTGAGAATTTTAGCTTAACTAATGCATATATTCACCCACCTTCTGAACGTAATCTCAGGGGTTCAATGACACCCTGTAGCCTAGATCATGGATGGATCAGAGAAAAGGAGAGACTCAAATGTACTGCCCCTAGAGTGAGTACTCACTATAAGTGGACAAGTTAAAGAAGTGACACCTTTGCAGAAACTGCTGGATTAGGCACTGATTATATTTAACTGAATGGCTCTGCCAAACCCCTGCATTTCTCAGAGGCCAACATATACTCTGCCAGATACAGAAACAGAGTACATTCCAGTGATTTTTTTTTTTAAAGACACAAATGGAAGACCAGTTAGCACTATCAGGAATGGACTACTGATATACACAATATGGGTGAATCTCAAAACACGCTGAGCAAAAAATGACACAAAACAGTACATACTACATGATTTCATGTTTATAAAGCTCTAGAATAGAAAAAAACTAATCTATGATGAAAGAAATAGAGCATTGATTGCCTTGGGGGTGGGGATTGACTGAAAAGGCACACAAGGAAACTGCAGTCAGGGAAATATCCTGTATATCTTGCTTTGTGTGGTGATTGCATGGGTATATGTATTCCACTAACATGGGTATATGTAACCACCACACAAAGCAAGATGCAGGACATTGCACTGAACATTTAAGATTGGTAGAATTTAACGTTCATAAATTACACCTCAATAATATATTTTAAATGCAAATGAGGCAGGTTGTGATGGCTCATGCCTGTAATCCCAGCACTTCGGGAGGCCAAGGCAGCAGATCACTTTAGGCCAGACGCTCGAGACCAGCCTGGCCAACATAGCAAAATGATGTCTCTACTAGAAATACAAAAAATTAGCTGGGTGTGGTGGCACCACCTGCAGTCCCAGCTACTCAGGAGGCTGAGGCAGCATCGCTGGAGCCCGGGAGGTGGAGGTTGCAGTGGGCCAAGATCACGCCACTGCACTCCAGCCTGGGTGACAGAGCAAGACTATGTCTCAAAAAAAAAAAAAAAAAAAGGTAAATGAAATTATTGGGGTCTATCCATACAATAATATTTCTAAAACAAACTATTATGGAATAATGTTCAGCCATTAGATCCTTTGGGGGCTACTGTTGTGATTAACCACATATTATCACTATAACACCTAACAGCAGAAAGTGATTGTACTCCTAGGTAAAACCAAGACACACGATAAACATGTCCTAAGACAAATTATAAGAAACAAGTTAGTAGTTTGTTCCTATGCATAAAGCTTCTGGTTTCTCATAGATAGTATCCTAATTCCATGTAACCATAAAATATACTTTGATAATCAGTGTGTATAGTTTTTCTGTCTGTAGTGGGATAGAAAAATTAATTGACAGGACTCTATTTTGAGATTCTTATTCCATATTGTCTTCTCCCTGTATTTCCACTTTTCCCTCTCTCATTGTCGAATAGTAATATGCTCTGTGCTTATTGCTCAGGAAAGTACATGACAGGACAGAGAACAGAAGAGCCAAAAATCTTTACAGAAAGATTAGGAGAAAGGGATTTAAAAAGTGGCATGAATAGACCTTAGTTCCCCAGACTAAAAACAGATATTCTACAAGTGAAAGAGTGATAAACAGAGGTCTGTGTATCCTGGAGAGCAGACAGCTCATCTGCCCTGCTTCCCAGCAGTGAAGCTGGGGAGACAGAAAGACCCTGGAGAATAAAAGACTTCAAGGGATAGGAACTCTTAGGTAGATGTGCCCTAGAATAGCTTAGTCACAGATGCTCATGTCCCATGAATGGCATAGTGGCAATGGACTTGGGCAAATGAAGTAGCAAAGTTAACCTCTAAGGACCAAAACTAGCTGGACCTTCTCCAACATGTTGCAACTACAGAAAACTCTGGAATGCTGACTGACCTGGGTAGGTATGTGTAACTGTTCCCTAAAAATGAAAGAAAACTCCAAAAGAGCTGAGCTCCTGTTTTCCCACTAACTCTGAAGAATAAGGGTACCAGAGCAGGAATTTAATCTGAAATAAAGAAAAATACTCTTGTATATCTAAGTTTATTGATGGTGATTCAAATCTACTGTACTGGCCAGGTTCAGTGGCTCACACCTATAATCCTGGCACTTTGGGAGGCCGAGGCAGGAGGATTGCTTGAGCCCGGGAGTTCAAGACCAGCTTCGTCTCTATTTTTTAAAATAATTTAAATAAATAAAAAAGGAATAAACCCACTGTATTAGTTTGATAAGGCTAGTATAATGAAATATTGCAGACTGGCTGGCTTAAGCAACAGAAATTTATTTGCTCAAAGTTCTGGAGTCTGGCAGTCCAAGTTCCTGGTGTTGGCAGGGTTGTTTCTTCTCAGACCATTCTCCTTGGCTTGTCTTCTCCTCGTATCTTCCCTTCATCTTCCCTTGATCTGTGTATATCTATGTCCTAATCTCCTCTTTTTATAAGGATATGAGTCATATTGAATTAGGACCCATCCGTATGACCTCATTTACCTTAATTACTGTTTTAAGGACTTATCTCCAAACACAGACACATTCTAAGGTACTGGGGTTTAGAATTTCAAAATAGGAATTTAGAGAGGGAAATGTTTCAGCCTATAATACCCACGAAGTGTGGAGTCCTCATCCATGATTGCCAGGAACCCTTGGGCACCTCATGTCTGCACCATGGAAAGATTACAAATCCTAGAGTAAGAACCACTTTGGTATAAGACAGTTACAACCTGGAGAGGATTACTATGCACACAAGAGGTGACCTTGCAAAATCACTGCTAATTTGCAGAATACAAATTGACTGTAATGAGTTTGAAACAGTAACAGAGCACACTTTAAACCCCTTGGGAAGATGCAATATGATCAGAAGAAAGAAAGTGATAGCACTTGAACGTTACTAGGATTTGCTGATGAGGATAATTTATTTCCAATTTCTAAGAAAATATCTAGAAAGGAAGGAGTATGAAAAGTTATCTTTAAAACCTTTTTCTGAGACTTTAGGTTTCTGAAAGATTAACAATAGAAATTACTAGACTTCTTCCCAGAGAGAGATCTGCACTGACTTGTAGAAATTTAGATTGAGAGAGCATGGATCTGACCATTAGGGACAAGTTTTGGCAAGTGTATTAAATTGAGTACCATAATCAATCCCAAGATGAACCTGAATGAACACGATCCTCCCTGTCTGTAATTTTTTTTTTTTTTTTTTTAGGACGAAGTCTCGCTTTGTTGGCTAGGCTGGAGTGCAGTAGCACAATCTAGGTTCACTACAACCTCCGCCTCCCAGCTTCAAGTGATTCTCCTGCCTCAGCCTCCTGAGTAGCTGGGACTATAGGTGTGTGCCACCATGTCTGGCTAATTTTTGTGTTTTTAGTAGAGACAGGTTTTCACCATGTTGGCCAGGCTAGCCTCGAACTCCTGGCCTCAAGTGATCCACCTGCCTCAGTCTCCTACAGTGCTGGGATTACAGGCGGGAGCCTGGCCCCCGCTTCCATAATTCTTCCAACAGGCAAAGGAGAGGAAAGAGGTAGAATTGCTGCTTATCTTCTCAAGCAGGAACACTGAGTCAGCCTTTGTTAGCAGCGCTACCAGTGCTAACACAATGAACAAATGAATGAAGTGGCCACCATGGCAAAGAGGGAGGCTGCACGGACCCAAGAGCATGGAATTTCCACTTACCAAAGCTGATCTAGCTAGTGTTATTTCTGAGCGTTCAAACTGCTAAAACAGAGACCAGTTCAGCCCCTGGATTCCTTGATGAGACCAACTAGCAACTTGGTAGCAAGATTGTTAGGTTGGGCCTCTTCTTTCTGGACGGATGAGTAGTTCATTTCCTTAGGAATAGACATCTAGTCTGTATATGTCATTTCCTTTCCTGCCCTTGGGGCCTCAGCCAGTATGGCTATCCAGGGCTTATGGAATGCCTGATTCATAGGCATGGAATACCATGCAACATTCAACCAGGGCATTTAGTTTACAGTGAAGAAGGTGCATATGGGCATATCACATACTGCACCATCCAGAAGTTTCCTACTAAAGTATGGAATGTTTCAATGAAGACGCAGCTAAGGCACCAACTTGGGACAGTGCCTTGCAAGAATACGGAACTGTTATTCAGGATGCAGTATATGCATTGGATCAGGGATGTTTATGCAGTGCTTTGCCACTAACACGAAAAATACATGGGTCCATGGACCAAGAAGATGGAAGCAGAAGTGACCCCACTTATCATCACTGTCAGTGACTCCCTGTGGCACTTTGTGCCCCCCTTCACACAACTTTAAGCTCTTCAGGGTTAGAGGTTCTGCACTCTTGCAAAGTTTCCATTGAACTACAAGCCATGGTTGTTGTCTGGGAAAACTGTGGTCCTTACGCCTAGAAATCAGCAGACAAGAAGTGCAATCACCATCCTTTCAGGAATAATCCACCCTGATAATTAACAGGAGGAGATAGGGCTGCTGTAATTAAATGGGGGCAGGAAGGAAGATTTATGAAACTCACAGGACCCACTTGGTGCCTCTTGGTACTTCCTTGTCCAACTATGGCTATGAATGGACAAACATCACAACTAAAGAAGAGTACGGTTACAAAAACACAGATCTGTGAGGAATGAGGGTTTGGGACACACTATGAGGTACATTAGCAAGACTGGCAGAGGTGTTCACTGAGGGTTTAGAGAATTAGCCTGTATAATAAGGGAATAAGAGGGTGAGTACTATTTTTGGTCCTGAGACCAACTATTGTGATGAAGCCTGACATTCATCCTGCTAGTCTTCCTCTTCTAAGTTTTCCTGCAGGCAAAGAGGCCCATCAGACACTTGGAGGTGCTGCTACCTCAACAAGTTTGGGGAAATAGCTCCACACGGAGCAAGGGGTGGACTATTGAAGACATGGAAATGTGCCATTCAGATCCCTTTCAAGAAAACACACTGACCAGCTGCAAAGAATGTAGTTAGCTAATAGCCCATGGTATTTAGCGCCTTCAGGGTCCTGTGTAGCTTTGGAAGTGGGTTCATATTCCTCTCGGGGCATCCTTTCAGCCAATGAATGAGCAAAGAGGTGATAGCTGAGATTATGCTCTTCTCATGGTGTACCATGCCCAATGACTGAGCAAGGGCCTAATAAGTAGCTTCTCTAATGGGCCACCTTTTTCCCAAGATCCACGTCGGGATAGCAAAGACTTTGTAGGGTCTGCATCATGATCTGTTGGCATCCCCTGCCCTATCCTGCTTCTCAACCTTTTCCTTTCACAGATGTTACTCCCCAGTGAACCGTTTGCACTCCTAAATCTCCCCCATCTACTTCCTGAGAACTCACCCTACAACAAGTCTTTTCCATAGCTACTATTCTATTTATCTTTAAATAATTTTTATGTAATAATCTTTTTGTTGAGATTTCAAATTGCCTGAACTGAAATTGTTAATGGTATTTGCTTACTGTATTTTACCCATTTGTTTACCCTAGTACTGTAGATACTTTTTAAAAAAATAATTTGCAAAATCAGATCCAGGATGTATTTATCAATGCTGTTCATTTTACTGTTGTGTATCTCATTAATTATTTTGCTTACAGTCAAATCCTTGGGTTTAACTACTGACTTCCTTGGGTTTATGTTGTTATCCTCTTTCCTTTCTGGTGCTGAACGCTCAGTTTATTTTTTTCTTCCTTTTTAATAATTATCTTTATTATTTATTTACTGGGACAGAGTCTTACCCTGTTACCCAAGCTGGAGTGCAGTGGCACAATCATAGCTTACTGTAACCTCGAACTAGACTCAAGCAATCCTTCCATCTCAGCCTCATGAGTAGCTAGGACTACAGGCACGTGTCACCACACCTGGCTAAATTTACTTTTTAATTTTTTGTAGAGATGGGGTCTCACTACATTGCTGAAGCTGGTCTTAAACTCCAGCCTTGAAGCGATTCTTCCTCCTGGGCCTCACAAAGCACTGGAATTACAGACATGAGCTGCCGCACCCAGCCCTTAATACTACTTTTTAAATGCTCTCAACTTAGTACACAACTCAGTTGCTTGGACTAATCTTCACATTTTTCAACACGGCCTGCTGGGTGGTTGCTATGGTCTGAACATTTGTGTCACCCACAAATTTATATGTTGAATTCTAATCACCAGGGTGATGATATCAGAAGGTATAGCCTTTGAAAGATAATTAAGTCATGAGGTCTCTGCGCTTAGGAATGGGATTAGTGCCTTTGGAAAAGAGGCCTCAAAGAGATGCCCTGACCCCTTTCACATGTGAAGACACAGCAAGAAGGTACCATCTGTGAACCAGGAAATGGGCCCTCATCAGACACCAAATCTGCTGGTGCCTTCATCTTGAACTTCCCAACCTCCAGAACTGTTTTAAATAAATTTCTTTTGTTTAAAAGCTACCCATTTTAGTGTATTTTACTATAGCAGCCCAAATGCACTCCAGCAATGATCTATATTTTAGTCTCAGCACATCTTTAAATGTTTTTTTCTCTTAAAAAGCTATGTTGGAACTAAGAAACCCTTCAAATCTACACAAATAGGTCTTTGTGTAATAGGATTATAAATAAGTATATAAACCTTCATAAAATAGGTTCAGGAAAGTTTTCCTCTACCATATATTTAATTGTGGCTTTTGTTCATTTCAGTCTCCTTCAAGAACAGCCTTATCCATATATTGAGATCTCTGTTCTCCATTCAGTCAGTCACTTGTCATTTTTATCTCTTTGCCTTTCCCCACTGCATCCTAGGAGAGCTTATAAACTGTAAAATCCACATTGCTATTATCCAGAACATTTTTCTCTTCAATTACTCCAATATAGATTTTATTTAGAATGCATTTTAATTTTTCTTGCATGTCTCCCTTTTGTCTTCCATTTTCTTTTTCATCTTATCTGGTTATCTTTTTTAAAAAAATCTCTCATGCTGTTAACATTTTGTACCAACCTACCCTTTTCACAACCTGCCTGTTCCAATTTCTTTAAAACCACTTTTTTGCACTCCATTAAATATACCTACCTCAGTATCTAGCACTTTCTAGTTATACAGTAAATATTTGTGGAATTAATTAATTTTAAATGAACAATTGAACCTTAGACTGTAGGTCAAGTTCCATAGTAAATGGAAAAGATACTATGCTAACAAAATTGGCAGTGCATCCAAAAGAAAACAAAATGTCTTTGCTTTTTGTGTTCCAGTTTTATCCAAAGTCCGTTTTTAAGGTGTAGTTTAAAAAAAGTATCCAAAATTTAAACCTGTTTAATAAAAATAACTGATTATCATTAATACTGGATCCAGCCTATGTAATAAGGCACTTCTTTTAAAAAAAATTGCCTTGAAGAAAAAATTTCTTTCTGAAACATTGAAACCTCCTTCTGCTCACTTTCTTGCACTCTATGAATGTATTTGAAGCTTCTTCTTTTTGTGTTTTGCTGGGAAAAGGTCCAAATTTGAAATATTAACAATAGCACAGTTTAAAAAAAAAAAAAAAAAAGGAAAGAAAACTCTTTTGGTCATTTTAACCAGCCACAAGTGGCCAGCGTAAACTTCCTTCATGAAAGCTTCTTGCCTAGAGGTGGAACTGGGTCATTATATCTGTACAATAACCACCCCTACAAACAACATACGAATGCCAGATGGTTGGAACTGTTCCATTAAGAAACTGATGTCTTCATTGTTTGGAATTTGATTTTGTAGCTTTCTCCATATAGTGATTTGATTGCAGTATTTGGAAGCTTTGAAAGCTTTCCCATAAATTATTCCACCTCTTGAATGTGAAACTAGGGTAGGCTCATTAGCCTGTTTTTCCGTTAGTATGCTACTTCCACCTTCTTACTCAGAAGTGGATAATTTAGGCAGAATTCATAAAAAGAAAATCTGGGTTTTATGCTTTGGTTGTTTCTTCAAGGAACTTACTACTGCATATTTCTCTCACTTTAAACTTTTTATTTCTTTTCTTTTCTTTTATTGTTATTGTTTTGTAGAAACAGATTCTCTCTATGTTGTCTAGAGTGGTCTCGAACTCCTGGCCGCAAATTCCTGGCTTCAAGCAAGCCTCCTGCCTCAGCCTCCCAAAGTGTTGAGATTACACGCATGAGATTGAGATTACACTTCACCCAGCCACTTCTTTCACTTTGTTCATGGAATATTTATGTAGCAATTCTCATGAAAAATAATATAATAATCACTAACAAAGTTCTTAGTATGTCCTTACCTGGCTCTTATATTACTTTCAGGTTCTTACACTACTCTAAACATTTTATACACATTAACTCCTATGAGCATCACAACTCTGTGACATGAATACTGTTATTATTTCCATTTTATTGAAGAATAAGGAATACTGAAGTCAAGTAACTTACCTAAGATCAAGTAGGCAGTAAGTGGCAGAACTAGGATGTTGATACAGTCTGTGTTCTTAGCCACCTCGCCACACAGCACATTGTGGAAGTCCCAACTAATCTATCTTATTCAAAAGAACAATGGTAAAACAAAATTCTCTGCTCCCCACTTATTCCTCATCAATATGAACAGAGCCTTGGCATTAGTGTAACAAATGGCTTGTCTATTCCAAGCCTTAGAGAAAACCCCACGGTATACAACCACCTATCAATAGGTCCAGTCTTTAAAGAATCTTGGAGAGCCAGCTGGGCGTGGTGACTCACGCCTGTAATCCCAGCACTTTGGGAGGCCAAGGAGGGCAGATCACGAGGTCAGGAGATCGAGACCATCCTGGCTAACACGGTGAAACCCCATCTCTACTAAAAATACAAAAAATTAGCCAGGCGTGGTGGCAGGTGCCTGTAGTCCCAGGTACTCGGGAGGCTGAGGCAGGAGAATGGCATGAACCCAGGAGGCAGAGCTTGCAGTGAGCCGAGATCGCGCCACTGCATTCCAGCCTGGGCGACAGAGTGAGACTCCGTCTCAAAAAAAAAAAAAATTCTTGGAGAGATCCATTATTCTGTTCATTAAATAAAGGTTTCTTACCCCTAAAATTCTTTACAAACTACCTTGCTATGAATCTTTGTGTACCCCCATTTTCTTAAAGTGAAACATGAAATTTAAAAAAATATCCATCTGCAGGAGAAACGAAGTGTGGCATGAAGTTACAGAAAATGGAAGTGACCTATAAAATCAACACTACAAGGAGTTTTACAACATGGTCATTATTGTGATATTACTCAGGATCAGTAGGTCCTAGGGGAAAGACATATGCCTGACCTGAAAGTGAAAGAACATGGGGACATGATAACCACAAACACTTGGAATAAGACACTGCAAGAAGACGACTCAGGGAAACTCAGTAGTTTAAAGGGCTCTAGAGAACATCCTTATTCAAAGGCAAGTATTTAAGAGTCATCCTAAGATTAGCCAGATTCGTTAACTCCATAGGCAAATGGATGAGTGGTGGACATTTGTTGTTATTTTGTTGCCTACCATCCAAGCTCCCTTCTGCTAACAGAACCTTGATTTTCCTTTCTACTACTTTGTGTGATGTTAACCTTTTGCTCTTTATGGGTGTCTATGATGTGGATGATGTGGTACGGGTCATTCAGAACATTCAATGTGATCATGGAATTGAAAAATTCTAAGATGTACCAGTGATCCAGTCAGAGCCAATGTTAATGATCTTGGGTACTTTCACTTGACCTGATGAGAAAGTGGTATATTCTCTTTTCTTGCTAGAATTAGGGCTGTTGAGTTCAGGTGCAGTGGCTCATGCCTGTAATCCCAGCACTTTGGGAGGATGAGGCAAAAAAAAAAAAAAAAAAATAGCCAGGTGTGGTGGCATGTGCCTGTAGTCCCAGCTACTCAGGAGGCTGAAGTGGGAAGATCACTTGAGCCTGGGAGGTTGAAGCTGCAGTGAGCCATGATCATGCCACGGTTTTCTAGCCTGGGCAACAGAGTGAGACCCTGTCTCAAAAAATAATGATAAAATAAGATAGAATTGGCACTGTGAAACAAAAACTTGAAATGTTGGAGACCGCCATGAATGAGAACTTGCCAAAGGGGTAAGCCAACACTCAGAAAAGTAACATTAGGAGACATATCCTGATGACCTATTTTGAAACCCTGGATCAAGGTGTATCTCTTGTCTGTTCTGTGAACTTTTACATTGCATAAGCCAATACATTCCCATTTTTATTTCAGAGTTTAAAATTTTCCCTTGCTATCCAAGGAGTTCCAACAGAAGGAAGAGAACCAAGAGTCCCTGGCCCCTTTGGGGAGAATTTCTCCATCTTCCTTTGTTAAGGGAAACAATGGAGCACTTGAAGAAGGCTCTGGAGAGAACAAGAGTTGGGATTTGAGGATATCCCTGAATAGACTTTCTTCATTTAGGGTATTTAAATAAATAGCCTAGATTGCTACCTTTTAGAACATCAGAAAAAGTATTCTGCACTTTTGCACAGAATCTTTGGGGATGAAGGGAAAAGAAAATTATTTCAACAATTTAAAAACCAATTAAGTTTTATGGTGGTAAAAAAGAGATTCCATTTGTGCGCCTGCACCAGACTTCAGAGACTCACCTTTTGGCTTGTGAGCCACATAGATGACTTTGGGCTCTTAGAGAAACATTATGACCTGGCTTTACATACTTTTAAAGAGATCTGTTACCTATCAGCTTGGTGTGGCAGACTGCTAGTGGTCACCAGAAATCTTTTCTTCTCCTCTTCCCTAGTAGTGGAATTTTAGCTAGGCATATGGATATTCAGTTTTAGCCTCCACTTCCCAGCCTACTTTGCAACCAGTTATGGTCATGTGATTAGTTCTCATCAATGGAAATGGAAGAGGTATGTGAAAGAATGTGAGTGGAAGAGATGTCTGCAGCAGCTTCTGTATCATTTTCATGAAAGGAAATTGCTTGCCCTTCATCACTGTACTTTCTCCTTCTAGCTTGATCTAATTTCAGCCAGTTAAAATAGCACCATAGGGATTGAAGAAGCAACAAGATGGAAGAAACAATGTCCTCAAATGACTAACTGAAGATAGGAGAGCTGCCCCACCAACCTGGACTACTCACTACTAGACTGTTACTTGACAGAGAAATAAATCGGTATATTATTTAAGTCCCGGTATTTTGAGGTTCTTTTTTTACAGCAGCTTAACACCTATTCTAATACTCCCATTTTCTGAATCTTTCACCACAGCCTTCTCTCCTTTCTCATAAAAAGGGGATGAAAGAAGGGAAGAGTCCCACCAAAGAGTATTAAACATAATCCAACCAGATTGTTAAGGAAGCCCATGAAGGGAAGGGAAGAGAAGGGAAGAAAGGGCGGGAGAGGAAGGAAGGGAAGGGAAGGAAGAAATGGAGGGAAGGGCCCCACCAAAGAATATTAAACACAGTCCAACCAGATTGTTAAGGAAGCCCACGAAGAGAAGGCAAGAGAGGGAAGAAAGAGGGGAGAAGAAGGGAGGGAAGGGAAGGAAAGAAAGGAGGGAAAGGCCCCACCAAAGAATATTAAACACAATCCTACCAGATTGTTAGGGAAGCCCATGAAGGGAAGGCAAGAGAAGGGAAGAAAGGAGGGGAGAAGAAGGCAGAGAAGGGAAGAAGGGAAAGGAGGGAAGGGCCCCACCAAAGAATATTAAACACAATCCAACCAGATTGTTAGGGAAGCCCACTGGTGCTGATCATTCTAATCCTCATTCATAAGTAAGTGGTCAGTGAAAAATCACCAGATGAAAGAAAACAATCAGTCACTAGAAGAGAAAAGGAAATTTTTTTAAGATCAGAAAAAAATGGCCTCAGTGGAAACAATGGTAATGAAGAACCGTAAATAAGGCCTCTAAAAATTTTGAAGTGGCATTTCCAATAAAATCTATTGGATAATGCATAAATACAATAAAAAACATGCTTCCATTAGAATGTATTAGAAAGTAGTAATTGGAAAAGAAGAATGAATTCTAATAGATTTAAAAACATGACTGCCAACAAAGAAAAGCAAAACCAATTAAGTAGCAGAAGTCTGGAAATCAAATTAATGAGTTTGAGCCACGGGTATACACTGTTCGTCTTCTAGAACAGAGTATGACCATGGCAGCATTGTGATGGCATCATGAACATTTAGTTAGAAGACTTGAGTTCAAATCATAGCTCCACTCCTGTTTAGCTATTTAGCCTCATACTGCTTTAGTTAACCTTTCTAGGTGTCAATTTTCTCACCTATTATATTGAGCTAGTAGTGCCCCTGTTACTGAATTGCCATGAGGATTAAATGAGGTAATTTATGCAAAATTCTGAAGGTCTGACATAAAATACTTAACAAATGTTAGCTATTGTTATTAATATAAAGCAAAGATATGGGAGATCAACTGCTTTACAGCAACTGATATGGTGCTGAGTATAAGTTTTCTCATTTTTCAAAAGTGGGTAATTAAGGTTGACAGCTGAAAATAAAGAGCTTCCAAGTGTGCACTTTCTAAAGAGAGATGCTAAAAAGTGGGGGCAGACTTACAAGCTGTAATAAGAGATGGCATAATATGTCCTAGCTATTAACAACACTTTTTCCCCCAACCTCAGTATATAATAATAGAAAGTAGAAAGGTAAGAGTTTTCAGAAAGTTCATGTAAATGACTACACATGCTTCTCACTGATTATACATACTACCTTGTGAAATCACTACTAAGCCATGGACATAGCAGACATAGCAGGGAAAGATGATGTTTGTATCTAATCCACCTGACTCTGGTCCAAGATGTTGATGAAACCTGAAAAATGTAAAATAAATGAGAGGCTACCAGTGAAATGCACCATTCATTGTTAAGTCCAAGGGCTCTCTCTTGACAACTCACTCTGGGACAGTTTTAGGTGAGGAATTTAAAGGGTGGAGTAAGAAAAACAAAATCAGAGATAGAGGTGGACCTTTAGATTAAACAGAATTTAAGGGACATATTGGCCAATTTCAATGCTTAGACATTAGTTGGATTATGATACAAATAAATTATATTTTGAAAAATGAGCCAGACATGATGGCTCCCACCTGTAATCTTAGCACTTTGGGAGGCCGAGGCTGGTGGACTGCTTGAGCTCAGGAATTTGAGACTACCCTGGGAAACATGATGAAACCCCATCTCTATAAAAAATACAAAAATTAGCTGGGCATGGTGGCATGCACCTGTAGTCCCAGCTACTCAGGAGACTGAAGTGGGAGGTTGGCTTGAGCTCAGGAGACGCAGGTTGCAGTGAACTCAGATCATGACATTGCATTCCAGCCTGGGCAACAGAGCAAGACCCTACCTCAAAAAAAGTAAAAGAAAAAAGACAGACAATTGGAATATTCGAATTGTAATTGAGTACTTCATGATATTAGAAACTATTATTAATTTTTAGGTGTGATAACACTATTATAGTTATGTTTTAAAAGAAATCTTTTTGAGATATTAACTGAAATATTTAAATGTAAAATGATATGTCTGAGATTTCTTTCTAAATAATTGAAGGACACATGGATGGTAGCAATAAAAACAAGTTTGAACATTTTTTTAAAGGTTGAGTGAATTTTAAAAGTCTGCTGTTTTTAAGAAGCATGCCTAGAATGAAAAGAAAACATAAGTTTGAGAATAAACAGGATGGGAAAGTATTAAGCCAATGCTAATTTAAAGACTCATGGGTGGCATTATTAAGATCAGATTAAGTAATATTCAAGGAAAAAATTAAATGAGGTAAACCTGGACAGTTCATAGGAATACACAACATAATTTATCAAAAAGGTATAGGAGTGAACCTTTGAGCTTCAAGCAATATTGCCTTAAATTATCTAAAGCAAAAATTATTAGAAATACAAGGAGATTTTAATACAGTAAAACAAAGTGCAAACCAATCTGACGTTAAATATAGATTAAAATGTTTTAAAGGCAACATTATAGAGTAGACTCCATTATTATGAAATTTAAAAATAAGTACATAAAATTAATTTTAGGTGTTTAAAAGTGACTTGTAATTTTATTCATAAATCATACCAAAATGTGGTATATTTTTAAAAAGACATCTTAATAAAGGTAGTAGAGTCCCATTTTAGACCTTGGGGATATGACAGTATACAAAACACAGCTCTCCCTCAAGCTTCTGTTTTAATGGGAGGAGACAGAAAATTTACTAATAAGCAATATGTCAGGTAGCAATAAGTGTTGTGAGTGCTTATTTTAGATAAAGTGATCAGAAACAAGCTTTTGTAATGATGGCCTTTGAAGAGAGACCTGAGGAAAGCAGATAAAGAGGTCAGGAAGGGACAGGAGTGCACATTCCAGGTAGAAGGGAAGGCAAGTGCAATAGTCCTGAGATGGCAGTTTGCTTCCCTTATTCAATGAACAGCAATGATGTCAAGGTCATAGCTGAAGAGAAAGGAGTAAGGGAAAGAAGGCTGGGAGAGGAAGTCAGAGAAGGTTGGATGTGGTGGGAGTTGGTGTGTGTGTTGTGGTAGAGACCACAGATGGCCTCGCAGCCCGTGGGAAGGACTTTGGATTTTCCTCTAAATGAGATGGTAATCTGGTAGGTTTTAGGCAGAAAAATAACATGTATTAAAAGAACAATCTGCCTGCCATGTTGAGAAGAGACTACCAGGGGGCAGGGAAAAGGAGACCATTTAGGAGGCTACCGCAATTGACCAGACAAGAGATGGTTGGATTCTGAATATATTTCAAAGGCAAAGCTAAGAGGGTTTGCTGAAGGATTGAATATGTTAACATAAGAGGAAGACAGAGTAAAGACGATGCCAAAGTTTTGCCCTGAACAACAGGAAGAAAGGAAGTATTATTTACTAAGACGGGGTACTGCAGTGGTCATTCATGAAATAAATACCTACATTACATACAAAGGCATTAGAAAACTATATGATTGATTTTTTAAAAAAATCTTTTGATTTGGGGATGGCTTGGCATGACACCACTGGAAGAAAGCCTAAAGAAAAAGACTGATAGATTTAAATTAAACAACAATTTAAAATGCCTATAAATGAAAACAAGGAATGTGTTTTAAAAATTATAAACTGGGGAAAATATGCAATATGAAAATTATTTTTTGAACTATTTTAACGTGGTTTTCCTTTTTTGAGGATCCATCTAATTTGGGCGATAGTCAGGGATGATTAGGACTGTTAACAGCAGGAGCACAAGAGAAAGAAAGGAGTCAATGTTCAGCTTCTGACTGTCAAATGGCTTTGACTGGCAGGAAGGGGATTTCCTAAATTATCGGAGTTCTCACTTACATAATCACTAGTTTGATCATAGAGTTTCATTACAAGTATAAAGTAGACAGCACTCAACAAAGCCCCTGCCACATAGGAAAGAGTGAAAGTCCATCCTTTCTTTTTCTAGCAGAGTTTTGAGAGAAAGGAAAGGATGAAATCAGACACCAGTGTCCTCACTTTCCTCCTCTTAGAGAAGAGGAAAACACCCAGAAAAGAAAAGGTGTCAGGGAAACTGAGAACCCTGGAGCTCATGGAGTGCTTTCTTGGGACTAGGGGAACCCCCAACTACACTTGAGCAATGTGATGTCCAACAACGTATGAGAGCTGTAACACAGCACTGGCCGAGAGAGTGGCTGGATAGATGGCTTCCCACATTTGTGTGAGCCATACAGGGGCACCTGACATTAGCACATGCCTTCCCGTGGAGGACATAAGGACACTGAGGAGACTGGCAGACCAGTGCACGTGAATGCTGTTGAAACAAAGAGGCTGCAGTGATGAGATGTGTATAGGTTATTCCAAGATCTTGATAGTCTAAGTAGAGTTCCCTCCAGAATGCAGACAATAGGTTGTCTTTTCGAAGACTCATGTTTTCATTTTTTTTCTGTGGTTTTATGGACATTTTAGTGAGACATGTGAATCTGCTTCAGGGAAGAGTATCCTTGTTGGCACACCAAAAAAAAAAAGAGACTAGGATAGCTTTACCCACCCTTACTCCAATACCAGTAATCTCCATCACCCCTTATTCTTTGAGAGAAACAGCTGACTTTCTCAAACTTAGGTAAAGTGCTGTGTGAATCCAACTTTAGGCTTCCTTCCAACACTATTGCTGCCTCCAGGTTTTTTATACATAAAAATTTTGTAATCATCAGTGGCTAACCAAGTACCATTTTCATCTCTAAACCCTTAGAACAGGCACTTGAGCTTTGAAGTTTTCTTTTTTGAGGCAGAGAATAACAGGCTTCCATCCTTCTGTTGGTGAATTTTTTGATCCTATCTCTTCTGCAACAGGTTTGCTTCAGCTACTTTGAAATACCATCTTCCTCTCTAGGAATAAGGGCACTTATTTCAATCAGTCATTTACTTCTGATGGTACTTTCTTATGATTTCTCTGTTGTGCAGTAAGTATCTCAAAGAGAAATGTTGGAATATGTGACCACATGATCAAGAAATTTAGCCGTAAGTTCTAACTTAATGAATGCCTTAACAGCAACATGGTCGTCTTCTATTTCATTTTGGTAGGCAAATCTACACGTTATAATCTAAAATGGATCTCTGTAGCTACTCACTTCCTCTTTCAACCCCCCTTCTCCCACATCTCATTATTGTTACTTTTGTTTTGCTCATTAGACACTTCTCTCCCCGTGTCCTCTAGTTCCATCTGAAATGTTCATTCTTTCTGTGTATGTGACTTCATCCACTGCATATAGCCTGTCTTCAAGCAACCTCTCCAAGGCTCCAATACCTGTATGAACTGCTTTTCAACACTAGTATTACTATTAAATATGTCCTTGTTCAAATGCAGATTCCCAGACCCCAGCCCCATCCCAACAAATCAGAAACTCTGGGCAGGTCCTGGGAGTCTGTGTTTCGTAAGTTTTCCAGATGATTATGATAAATACTAACACTCAAGAACAACTGACCTACAAGCCTGGGCATCATGGTGAAACCCTGTCTCCACAGGAAATTTTTAAAAAGAAAAATTAGCCAGACATGGTGGTACACATCTGTAGTCCCAGCTACTAGAGAGGCTAAGGTGGGAGGATCGCTTGAGCCTGGGAGGTCGAGGCTGCAGTGAGCCAAAATCACTCCTCTGCACTCCAGCCTGAGCAACAGAGCAAGACTGTTTCAAAAAAAAATTTTTACAAAAAGAACTACTGACCCAGAAAAGAGGCTAAAAAAAAAATACATAAGGTCCTTTTGTCCTCTCAATTCTTGGTTATTTGGTTCCTTCCTTCTTTTCTCCCTTCCTTTTTTCTATCCTTGGAACCTAATGGAACACACTGGGCTCACTTTCTGGGAGTCTTTCTTCCTCTTTTCCCCTTTCTTCATCTCTCTTTTCTCAGCCTCTCCCCATCTCCTCCTTTCCTGGTCTCCCCCAAATCCCTGCACCACCACCCCTGCCCTGCCTTGGCCTGGCATTTAAGCGCATCATGGCAGTATGCTAAGCATTACAAGTATCTGATATTCTTTATTTTAAAAAAGAAAAGAAAACTAACTTGTGCAAGAGCTGCTGGATCAAAATCTCCCTTGAGCTTTGGACATGTAGACTACAGAATACAGAATGGTAACGAGCCAGGAAACCCGAAAGTAAGCACAGCTGGGATCCATAAAGTCCCCTCCCCTCTTTGATTCAGAGAGAAACATTAAAACAGCTGACCTCTTGCTCCAGCATTTCTTTTCTATCATCTGGAATGTATGATAAATAGATATTTAAAAGCTGACATTGTCCTGGCACCTTTATCCTTCACCATAATTTTACTAGCTCATTATCTTTCAAGAAAGCTTCCATCCTATAGACCTTATGAAAAAAGGCTTAAATATTCCATGTGATACTAGAGTTCTGTGTTAGAAGAGTATGGAAAAAAATCTTTTTAAAAACTGTCAGCTGCAGAAGTGTAATACAGGCAAAGACTGTGGTTGTTTTATTAAAAATAGTTAAAACTCAACTAATTAGAAGGTTGTGGTCCTTTATTGCAATCTGTTACTGAAAAGTTACATGTTGATGAAATTATGGTTAGTAAAAGTATACTTAAATAGTATTGCCAGAGTCTGTAATTTAAAGAAATTGTGTAGTAATTTTTTGGTCAAGTAATTAATTCTTTTTGACATGAAAATATCCATCCTATTGTGTCTTATTTTGTAAATTAAGGTTGACAAAAATTTATTTTTCTTAAAATAGAGGCATGTCTTTCACTGAGTGTTTTGTTTTAAAGGTTGAGATAAACACAAATGCTGCAAGTATGTTTACGTTGCATCAGAAACATGTTAATTATATGTAAGTTAACTCATGAGTATCACAGCTTATAAAAAACATTATGGGGAAAGTGGATTGAAAAATGTTAGTTTGCTTTAGAGTTGTCTCAGGTCATGAGGCTTCGTGATCCAGAAACTAGATACTTCTTTCATGTGAAAAAACTGTTTAATCATCCTCAGTTGGTTTTTAAAATAACGAATTCCATTTTTATTTGCAAAAGTTCACAAAGAAACCCATTTGATTTACTGAATTTAAATAATTTATAGACATAGCTTTCCTAGAGATAGGAAGGAAAAAAATGTAACAACAGCACCCACTGAGAATTATCTTCCAAATACCGCCTCTAAGTCTGGACTTCAGATCAAGATCTGGCAAACACACAGTACTGAAATTGTCAGCTCTCTGAAATAATCACAGCTCACTGTCAGTCAGAGGTTTTGCAATTGAATTAATGCACATTTCTCTCTTACGCAGCAATTCCCCTTTAATTCTTAGTCTTCTCACTCGCTTTTAAAAGAATTTTATTTCTGCCTATACCTCTCTCAGCTGTACAAATCCACAACAGGAAATATAGTTAAGGCACTGAGACTAGTAGGGAAAAAAAAGTGTGTATATGAGAAAAAGAAGAGACAGGGAAAGAAAGCATCAACTTCTGAATAGCTTCAATATGCCCATCCCAAGTCTGATAAACATCCCTTTCATATTAAATATTGGCTGGAAGTACTTTTACATAAAGGAAAAGAGAAGACCTTTTTATGGTTTTGAAAGGTGATCACAAGATGAAAGCAGCCAGCATCGAAGTTCCTTGACTGGAATTCCACCAACACAGATGGAAAACCCGTTGTTGTGGGACTTTTTGTGTTTTGTTTTTTGTTTTTTGTTTTTGAGATGAAGTCTCACTCTGTCACCCAGGCTGGAGTGCAGTGGCGCAATCTCGGCTCACTGCAACCTCCGCCTTCTGGGTCAGAGCAATTCCCCTGCCTCAGCCTCCTGAGTAGCTGGGATTACAGGCACATGCCACCACGCCCAGCTAATTTTTGTACTTTTAGTAGAGACCGGGTTTCACCATGTTGGTCGGGCTGGTCCCAAACTCCTGACCTCATGATCCGCCTGCCTCCGCCTCCCAAAGTGCTGGGATTACAGGCATGACCCACCGTGCCCGGCCAGAAAACCCATTTTTTAAAAACTCAAATATATTCACAAATAAAAATAAGCCACTGGGTTTTAAAAGCCCTGGCCTGTGTTATGTGGAACATCAGGAACCAATTAAATTGCTCTCCCGTTCTTGTTTATCCTAAATAATACGGTCTTTTCCCTCCTCTGATTATACCAGCTTGTGTCCCTGTGGCAGGGATCTATTCTCTCACTCTCTACTAAAACCCTTTCTCCACAGCACATAAGAGTTGGAAAAGATCGAAAGCCTGCGTTTTATTATGCTAAGGAAAACTAGCTAAATATCCGTCTTATATCTTGTAATATTTTCTTCTGCCCCCAAAAGACAATTGGCAGTTGGTTAATGAGTTGGTGCGTTTGTATGTGAATCACAATATCCAACCGTTGACAATGATTCTGTTTTTCATTTGCTTAAACTTTTCACCTCCCTCCTGAGCTTATAATGGAACATATTCTTCATGTTCTGCTTTTAGTTTTCCTTTTTTAGGCTTGTGCGCATGATTCAGTTCTGAAGGGTAGAGAGCTAGACTTCGTGCCTTATTGTGAAATATGGACTATCAAGTGACATCAATCCCTCCATTTACTGTTTGAGAGCACACCACTCAGCATGTCTGTTTCTTGTCTGACCACTGGGACCACAGCCTCAGTAAAGGTACTATGTCTCATGTCTGCCATCAACAAATTTACATATCTGCCCCTAGGGTATATTCCTAGGAGCGGGGTGGATATTACCCATTGGAAAGAGCTACCAGTTAAGTTCATAAAACCACAAGTCACATGGCTCTTGACTTGTACAATACACAGGCATGGTCATCCTTGTATATTTTCCTATAAAAAACAAATGGAGAAAGAGAAGGAGTTTGAGCCAGTGCCCTTTTGCATCTGTCCAGCGTGAATAACACCACACGAGTCTCAGAGTGCTTAGATAAGCTTGACCTCTCCCAAGAAAAGAGACTTTTTGAAGCTTCTATTCTGTGTGAATCTGAATCAGTGAGCTCAATGTTTAATGTCTTGTTAATGTCCAATTATGCCAGAAAATGACAGATGAAATATTATCTCAAAGTTGGAAAAAATAGCTTTCTTATTATAGCCACAAGATTCCAAAAGCTTAGCTCCACCATCCCAGTGGCCCATCAAGAAACACTTTTTCATTAATAAATACTTACACTGTTCTACTCAGATCATCTAAGTGCCTGTCCTTTCCTATTATACAATATCTTACGGTTTTTTTCTATCTAATTCGACCACCGGATTAAATTATGTACCTTCAGGGACAGTTGATTGGTCATCTGCCTTGCTGTCTCCATGATAGGGCTACTTTTTACACATTTCTAGGAAACAGAAAGGAATAGTTGCCTTTTTAGAAACTGCCTAGTGATGTGGCATCACCAGATCTATTCAGGTTACCTAGTAGACATCATTCAAACTTGAGTGGTGACGAAGTGTAATTGAGGTGGGGGGAGGCAAGTATCAAACCAGGGAAATAAATAAAACCCCTAAATTTGGCCAAATCTCTTCATCGAAGATGACACCTAACCTGTAAGCCTCAGTGTTCTAAACTATTAAAAGGATAGCAGAAAATTAACATCCACTGAGTAGCTACAATGTTCCATACACTTCAGAGAATTGCTTCAATTTTATTCACACAAAATTCTTGCAAAAGACTTTCTGGGCCGGGTGTGGTGGCTCACGCCTGTAATCACAACACTTTGGGAGGCCGAGGCAGGTGGATCACGAGGTCAGGAGATCAAGACCATCCTGGCTAACACGGTGAAACCCCATATCTACTGAAAATACAAAAAAATTAGCTGGGCGTGGTGGCGGGCGCCTGTAGTCCCAGCTACTCGGGAAGCTAAGGCGGGAGAATGACATGAACCTGGGAGGCAGAGCTTGCAGTGAGCCAAGATCACGCCACTGCACTCCAGCCTGGGCAACAGAGCGAGACTCTATCTCAAAAAAAGAAAAGAAGAAGACTTTCTCTCTCCATATATGCATGAGGAAACTGGAGTAGGGGGACAAAGAGAGGAAGAGGAAGAGAGGGAGAAGGAGATAAGAAAGAAGAGAGGAAAAGAAACTCCAAGAAAGTGAGCCCAGTGTACTCCATTAAGTTCTAAGAAAAGAAAAAGGGAAGGGAGAAAGGAAGAAAGGAACCAAATGACTAAATAGGTTAATTAATTTCTCCAGGGCCACTAAAGGTGGCAGGGCCAAGATTTGCATCTATATGAACTGGCTTCAAAGGTGTTGCCTCCCTGAAAATACCTGTACAAAAATGTTATGCTCGGTGCATAGTTCATGCTTGGTAAATGTGCTTTTTCCTTCCAAAGTCCCTTTGAGCTTTGAAATACAGATTCTATGATAAATTCTAAGTTTCAGACCTATTCATTAATGCAAATCATGAAGTTCACTGTGCACATATAGCTTGGCACTATCTGCTGAATTCCACTTTTAATTCTCACCATGCTACTCCCTCTTTCAACATCATCATTTCTCTCAGACTAAATTTCTTGTTACCCTCATATTCCATTGTTCCCACATTTCCATCTTTGGCTTTAGTAAGGTTATGCTCTACCCTTTAATACCATTTGCAAGGTTCTGACCCATTTTTTGTATGCTAAGAGCTCTTGAAATTTCAGCTTTTGTTAGAGGTATTTTCTGAAAAAGTTAAAATAAGGATAGTAATTCCTTGATGCCTTACCACCTAGTTAACAACTTATTTTCATTAAGCAAATTATATTCAGGCTGGGAGTGGTGGCTCACGCATGTAATCCGAGCACTTTGGGAGGCCGAGGTGTTCGAGACCAGCCTGGCCATCATGGCGAAACCCCATCTCTACTGAAAATACAAAAATTAGCTGGGCATGGTAATGCACGCCTGTAATCACAGCTACCTGGGAGGCTGAGGCACAAAAATTTCTTGAACTGGGGAGGCAGAAGTTGCAGTGAGCTGAGATGGCACTACTGTACTCCAGCCTGGGCGACACAGTGAGACTCTGTCTCCAAAAAAAAAAAAAAATTATATTCAAATGAAATAATGTGATATGCTATATATACTATGATGTATGTGTATATACCATATATGTAGTGTAATATATACCATTAATATTATAATATATACTATCATAGTATATTATTCTATATAGAATATGGAATATTCTATTTTATTTAAATATAATTTGTATAAGACGTATACACTATATAATTTGATTAAGATATATATAAAATATATATATACCTTGTGAGCTACTTTGTTTGGATTTCTGTGTTTGTGGGTGTCTATGATAACGCTGTTCTCCCAGGCTGATGGTTCATGAATGTTTATGAATCTAAACAGTTACTGTTAAAACTGAAATAGTATCCTGGTTTGGACATACGTTGTCATAATACAGCACTATATTCTTCTACATGCCATAGAATAAAAATTATCATTTTAATATGAGAGATAGTTTGATTATAATAATTTAATGTCAATATTTGGGGAAACTCCTTAGGTGGCCAATAGGCTTTTTAGAAGAGACATATTAATAATCAAACTTAAGTTGTTTGTATTGCTGTAAGATAAATATCTTTCTTTGCCTCACAACTTCAGGAGAGCCTGCTATGCACATATTAAGGGGAGAAAGCAAGGTTGTCATGGAAGAGAGAGAAGAGATCACTCATAGGAAAAGTGATGCAGTCAATTTTGGAACAAGAAGTAATCTTGAGAATATAAGTGAAACCATGGGCTAAAATCTGTATTTCCCAAGTCCTTGGGATATGGGCCATGAGTTAAGATTCTTAGATTTTATGTAAGTTTTCAAGGACAAGGGGACGGGGTAATTCCTTTTTTTATTTTAAGTTCCAGGATACGTGCACAGGATATGCAGGTTTGTTACATAGGTAAACGTGTGCCATGGTGGTTTGCTGCACAGATCAACACAGCACCAAGGTGTTAAGCCCCACATGCATTAGCTATTTATCCTGATGCTCTCCCTACCTCCACCCCCACCAGCAGGCCTCAGCGTGTGTTGTTCCTCTCCTTGTGTCCATGTGTTCTCATTGTTCAGCTCCCACTTATGAATAAGAACATGTGGTGTTTGGTTTTCTGTTCCTGCATTAGTTTGCTGAGGATATGGCTTCCAGCTCCATCCATGTCCCTACAAAGGACATGATCTCATTCCTTTTCATAGCTGCTTAGTATTCCATGGTATATATGTACTACATTTTCTTTATCTAGTCTGTTATTGATGGGCATTAGGCTGATTCCATGTCTTTGCTATTGTGAATAGTGCTGCAATAAACATATGCGTGCATGTGTCCTTATAATAGAATGATTTATATTCCTTTGGGTATATAACCAGTAATGGGATTGCTGGGTCAAATGGTATTTCTGGTTCTAGATCCTTGAGGAATCACCCCACTGTCTTCCACAATGGTTGAACTAATTTACATTCCCACCAACAGTGTAAAAGTGTTCCTATTTCTCCACAGCCTCGCCAGCATCTGTTGTTTCTTGACTTTTTAATAACCACCATTCTGACTAGCATGAGATGGTATCTCATTGTGGTTTTGATATGCATCTCTCTAATTATCAGTGATGTTGAACTTTTTTTCATATGTTTAAGTTCCGACATGGGTAATTTCTGCTGTTATTTAGGTCATATTTATTTCAAAGCATTCTGGGTATGAACCAACAACATCTTTAGGGTAGTATAAAAGACAGAAGGTACTACTGCAGCATTGCTAAAATGTTTCT
This sequence comes from Homo sapiens, assembly GCF_000001405.40. Taxonomy (NCBI): domain Eukaryota; kingdom Metazoa; phylum Chordata; class Mammalia; order Primates; family Hominidae; genus Homo; species Homo sapiens. The sequence goes on from NC_000009.12 coordinate 111,073,196, forward strand.
CTTTCTTTAAAAAATCCTCTTGTTCTTCTCTCTAGTCTAAGTCAAGGGTTGACAAGCCATGGCTGGTAGGCTAATTCTGGCCTGTGGATTGTTTTTGTAAACAGTTTTACCAAAACACAGCCACTCTCACTTATTTATATATTGTCTGTGGCCGTTTTTGCACTACAATGGCAGAGTTGAGTAGTTGCAACATAGACTATAAGGCCTGCAAAGCCTAAAATATTTACTGTCTGGTCTTTACAAAAAGTTTGCTAACCTCTGCTCTAGATCAATTATTCACAAACCTGATTGTGCATTAAAATCCCTTGAGAAGCTTTGGAATAATACCAGCTCCTAGATCCCAACCACAGAGATACTGATTTAATTTGTTCTAGGGTAGTATTTAGACATCAGCATTTTCTATAACTCTCCAAGTGATTCCAATATGTAGGCAGGGAGAATCATTATTCTAAATATTTTTTAGCTCACTAGTAAAGGAAAGTTGAAGGATCATCTTCTAATTGCATATGTTCTAGATTTTAACTAACCCACAAAATGTATATTCAGTGACTTTATTTGATGAATATAAAAATCTGGAAAGGGACTTTTTGACTAATAATTCTTTTCTCAATGGCCACAAACCAATAAAATGCTCCATTTTCATTTAAAACACACATGCACCGTCAGTATAGGTGGCAAGAATTTCCTCTTCTGCTGGGAAACATTCTCAGGTTCAACCTGCTACCAAGACTCAGATATAAAGCAGTTTCCAAATATAGGTTGAGGGTTCAAATTGGGCAGCCAAAAAATTACAAACATCTGCTATGATATTGTAAAACAAATTATTACAAAAGGAAAAGAAAGAAAAAAACAAGTTCAGAGTTACTCTTCTACCTAATAAAAAAGAAGCATTTCTAGAATTCAGATTCTTTTTGAGTAAAGTTCAAAAGAGTGTAACATTATAATATGAATTCATTTAATATTTTCTAATTTCAATATCTAACAACTAGTTCATGTAACCTACATTTTCTAGAAATTGTTAACATGTAAAAATCACATCTCCTGATATGATCAACTTAAAACTGTCTAGATTATTTTCTTGTTTGATGGCAGAGAGTCTCTTCAATAGAAACTTCACTTCTATAACAAAAGAATCTGTATTATGTCATTCTTGAATTGCCATAAAGAAATACCTGAGACTGGGTAATTTATAAGAAGTTTAATTGACTCATGGTTCTGCGGGCTGTGTAGGAAGCATAGTGCCAATTTTAGCTTTTGGGGAGGCCTCAGGAAACTTCTAATCATAGCAGAAGGTGAAGAGGGAACAGGCATCTCACATGGCGGCAGCAGAAGCAAAAGAGAGAGTGAGAGGAAGTTGCCACACACTTTACAACAACTAGATCCCACAAGAACTCACTATTGCAAGAGCAGCACCAAGAGGATGGTGCTAAATCATTTATGAGAAATCCACCCTCATGCTCCAATCACCTCCCACCCAGCCCCTATCTCCAACACTGGGGATTGCATTTCAACGTGAGATTCAGAGGAAACACATATTTAAAGCCTATCAGCTTCAGGATAAAATAGTCAGACTTAAAGATACTTCCAAAAGTCTAGGTTATTCTGACTGAATTAGCACCATGAGTTTCCAAGTATGATCTCTGAGAGACTTTGATCGTATCATTGCTTTTGGTCTTTCCTAGTCCTATACCCCACTCCCAGTGAGTGGCCTGTGGATAACTATGAAAGCACACATACACACACTTCCTAAGAATAATAAATAAATTTAAGAAACAGTACAGTCTAAATCATATTTAGAAAAGCAACATTTTCTTAAAGGTTACAAAATCTGCAAAGATCCAACTCTATCCTCAATGATGTCAAAAGGAATAGCAGAGTACTGGCCAGGCATGGTGTCTCACGCCTGTAATCCAAGCACTTTGGGAGGCCGAGGCAGGTGGATCACTTGAGGCCAGGAGTTCCAGACCATTCTGGCCAACATGACAAAACCCTGTCTCTACTAAAAATAACAAAAATTACCTGGGCATGGTTGCACACACCTGTAATCCCAGCTACTTGGGAGACTGAGGCACGAGAATCACTTGAACCCAGGAGGTGGAGGTTGCAATGAGCCAAGATAGAAACACTGCACTCCAGCCTGGGCAACAGAACGAGACTCTGTCTTAAAAAAAAAAAAAAAAAAAAAGGAATAGCAGAGTATTTTAGTTCCTTGAAACTACATGGTCTCTCTCCTCTCCAATCCAGAATAGGGTATTTGTGGTGGTCTTCCCATAACAAAAAAATGTTTGCCTAATTCCCACCATACACACACACACAAAACCAAAGAACTGCTGGAAGTTTTGAACTGACAATGTTTTAGTCAGGAATCAAGCCCTGGAACTATGGGATTCCCCTTCCCTCAGCAGCCTTTCAGCAAGAAATAACTTTTAGCCGTACTCTTGGCCTGGAAAGGAGAGCGAAAGCCTGATATGAAGACAGCAGATGATTTTTTTTCTCCTTACGTAGCAAATCTCACAGGTTGTCACTTCTTTCCCCCCTGTTAAGTGTATTCTTATACCAAGACATTTATTTCCCCACAGGTCTATATCCCTATTTCCTCCCACGGCCATAGAATGTGTAAGAAAAGTAACTTTCTCAAATTTGACCTGTGCTGCTATGATATTCTTGTTTTTGTACTTCCACCATTTTACCTAGCAGTTATTAGAATTTGTTAGTGGGGAAGACAGTAAAAGTATGCTTCTGGTAGGATGGAAAGGAAATCCTACAACTCTCTCTGGACTGTCCATGAACTGAAAATTCTCCAAAAGATGTCTACTTTTGGTTATTTTTACTTATTTTTAAGGATTCCATCTCTGTTGCCCTAAGGGAATAACATTTATATTGACCTTTTGAAAGTTGTGATTTAGCTCCCACCCTAAGCTGAAGAAAGGAAAAGAAAGAAAAACAAAGGAAACCTGGAACCTGTTAGTATTTTTCTTTCTTCATCAAATTTTTCTCTTACTCACTTCCTCTTCTTGCTTACTGGGGATTATAATCCAAGCCCTGCTCACGGGGACTGGTCCTTGACTACAAGAGACAGCCCTGCACTATGCACATTCATCGTTACAACACCAAAGAATCATTAGATGTGGCAGGGCATAGGGGCTCACGACAGCGGCTGTCATTCCAGCACTTTGGGAACCCGAGGTGGGTGGGTCAGGAGTTTGAGACCAGCCTTGTCAACATGGCAAAACCCCGTCTCTACTACATAAAGTACAAAAATTAGCCAGGCGTGGTGGTGGTGGGAAACTGTAATCCCAGCTACTCAGGAGGCTGAGGCAGGAGAATTGCTTGAACCCTGGAGCTGGAGGTTGCAGTGAGCCGAGATCACACCACTGCACTCCAGCCTGGGCAACAAGAGTGAGACTGTCTCAAAAAAAAAAAAAGAATCATTAGATTTTTAGAGTGAGTTCCTCTTCTTAGTGTAAAGGCATCTCTCTATTTCCTGAAAACAAAAAATGCTAAATCATACCTGAGAGTGAACCCAGTCCTACATACTTCCCCAGGCCGAGTGCAGTGGTGGCTCATTCTTGTAATCCCAGCACTGTCGGGGCTGGGGCAGGAGGATCACTTGAGTACAAGAATTTGAGAGCAGCCTGGGCAACATAGTGAGACCCATCTCAAACAAGCAAACAAACAAACAAATAATCCTCAACTTGCTTCTACAAAGCTCTGTTACTGCAGAGAGTAAGAATCTAACTTTCTCATCCCCAATCTTATTCTCTCAGAGGCAGATCATGGGGAAATATTAAAGACAGTCCTCCTTTGCTCTAGGGTAGAAAATCAGGACACATCAAAATCTCACTACTAGGAAACTTTGGTGGGGCAGCGAATTCTCTGGATACTTGCAGTTTCAGATACCAGATTTAGTAGGGAGTACTCTTGTGTTGTGGGAAGAGAGTAAATTTTATATTAAAAACTATTCTAATGCACATAGTCCTCATTTGAACACTCAAATAAGTTTAGATTATTTCTAAATTGGCATTTACAGTGCATGTAATTCCTAGCTTATCAATCATTGTCCTCACTATGACAAATTTACTTTCCACTTACTGCTGTTTCTCTTAGTGACCGGTTTTTAGCAATAATGTATCTACTTAATTCTTGTTTATATAAAATTGTTGTCATCTCTAATAGAATTATTTCACAAGCTAGGAAGGGGATGGGAGAGGGTGAGATAAAGACAGATTGATTATTGGGTACAAAAATACAGTTAGATAGAAGAAATAAGCCTACTGTTTGATGAAGCAGTAGAGTGACTATAGTAAAAAATAATTAATTGTGTATTTCAAAATAGCCAGTAGAAAATAATTAAAATGTTCCCAACATTAGGAAAAGAGAAATGTTTTAGGTGAAGGATATCACAATTACCCTGATTTGATTGTTTTATATTATATGAACATATCAAAATATTACATACACCCTGAAAATATGTACATTGTGTATCAATAAAATAAAATAAAATAAAATAAAATGAATTCTTTTACAGATTTTTCAGAAGGCAAGTAACTATCTTAAAGTGAATGAAATAACATGGCTAATTCTAACATTGACTAGTTATGTGACCTTGAAAAGTTATTATTCAAAATGCACTTCTATTCATTCAAAATGGATGGGATAAGAGTACCTACCCCACAGTGTTGCTGTGAGGATTATGTGAGGTGACATATATGTGACACTAACTAGCATATAACAGCTGCCCAATAAATATAGTTTCCTACTCAGCATTTTGGGAGGCCAAGGCAGGTGAATCACCTGAGTTCAGGAGTTTGAGACCAGCCTGGCCAACATGGTGAAAGCCTGTCTCTACTAAAAATACAAAAATTAGCCAAGCGTGGTGGTGGGCACCTGTAATCCCAGCTACTCGGTAGGCTGAGGTGGGAGAATTGCTTGAACCTGGGAGGTGGAGGTTACAGTGAGCTGAGATTACATCACTGCACTCCAGCCTGGGCAACAAAACGAGACACCATCTCAAAAAAATAATAATAATAAAATAAAATAAATAAAGTTTCTTTTCAAGATCTTTGGGTGGTGAAACCTTTTGTGACTCCTCTGTTTCCCACTGGGCATCCCACTGGGCTGCCACTAGTTGAATTTATTATCTGACCTCCTTAAATCTCATGACTCATTTATTCATTCTCAGACCTAGAAATGTATTTTTACTCTGCCCCTCAAGCCCATAGTTACCCTCCCAGTGTCTTCAAACTTTTGCTGTCACCACTGTGTTAACATCATTTCCACAAGTTCCCTGTGGCCACTACTCCATGCCCCTCAACATCTTCTGCTTGCCACATTTTCTAACTCAGTAACCTTTCTCATCCTCTTTTGGGGGAATTCCGGGCTTTAGCCACAGTCAATCTGCCCTACATAGCATTTCCTATTGCACATACCTATTACAACTTCTGCAGTTCAATTTCCAGAGAGGAGGTGGGGGAAATGTGGCCCTTAGGGAAACAAAAAAGAACAAAGAAAAAAGATAATGTAGGCAATTAGGGGAAGCTAACAAGTAGCTCAATCTAGTTGGGAAACCCTATATTGGGAGTTAAGTGCAGTGTTCATGGAGAACCAAGAAATCATCTTCATTCTCCACTCCAAGTTCTTCTCCAATTTCAGCAATATATGGCAGGACTTTTTGAGTTCTTACTATGTGTGAGCCACTGAGTATTTCACACAGATTATCTCATTTCCTTTTTAACTAATTCTAGAAATAGAAACATTTATTATCACATCCTTATTTTACAGATGTTGAAATTGAAGCTTAGAAAGATGCTCAAGGTCACACAGCCAGGGACTGACAATCTGGCTCTAGCACCTGTTAACTACCCTCTGCTCTACTCTCAAAGGTCAGGGTTAACTACAGCTTCCAGGCTAAAAGAAGGTAATCATCTTACCTAACCAGCTTTTCTTTTTTTCTTTTTTCTTTTTTTTTTGAGGCGGAGTCTCGCTCTGTCGCCCAGGCTGGAGTGCAGTGGCGCGATCTCGACTCACTGCAAGCTCCGCCTCCCGGATTCACGCCATTCTCCTGCCTCAGCCTCCCGAGTAGCTGGGACTACAGGCACGTGCCACCATGCCCCGCTAATTTTTTGTATTTTTAGTAGAGACGGGGTTTCACCGTGTCAGCCAGGATAGTCTGGATCTCCTGACCTCGGGATCCGCCCGCTTCGGCCTCCCAAAGTGCTGGGATTACAGGCGTGAGCCACCGCGCCCAGCCTTACCTAACCAGCTTTTCTTTTTTTTTTTTTAATTTTTATTTTATTATTATACTTTAAGTTTTAGGGTACATGTGCACAACGTGCAGGTTAGTTACATATGTATACATGTGCCATGCTGGTGCACTGCACCCATTAACTCATCATTTAGCATTAGGTATATCTCCTAATGCTATCCCTCCCCCCTCCCCCCACCCCACAACAGGCCCCAGAGTGTGATGTTCCCCTTCCTGTGTCCATGTGTTCTCACTATTCAATTCCCACCTATGAGTGAGAATATGCGGTGTTTGGTTCTTTGTCCTTGCAACAGTTTACTGAGAATGATGATTTCCACTTTCATCCATGTCCCTACAAAGGACATGAACTCATCCTTTTTCATGGCTGCATAGTAGTCCATGGTATATATGTGCCACATTCTCTTAATCCAGTCTATCATTGTTGGACATTTGGGTTGGTTCCAAGTCTTTGCTATTGTGAATAGTGCCACAATAAATATACGTGTGCATGTGTCTTTATAGCAGCATGATTTATAGTCCTTTGGGTATATACCCAGTAATGGGATGGCTGGGTCAAATGGTATTTCTAGTTCTAGATCCCTGAGGAATCGCCACACTGACTTCCACAATGGTTGAACTAGTTTCCAGTCCCACCAACAGTGTAAAAGTGTTCCTATTTCTCCACATCCTCTCCAGCACCTGTTGTTTCCTGACTTTTTAATGATCGCCATTCTAACTGGTGTGAGATGGTATCTCATTGTGGTTTTGATTTGCATTTCTCTGATGGCCAGTGATGATGAGCATTTTTTCATGTGTCTTTTGGCTGCATAAATGTCTTCTTTTGAGAAGTATCTGTTCATATCCTTCTCCCACTTTTTGATGGGGTTGTTTTTTTCTTGTAAATTTGTTTGAGTTCATTGTAGATTCTGGATATTAGCCTTTTGTCAGATGAGTAGGTTGCGAAAATTTTCTCCCATTTTGTACGTTGCCTGTTCACTCTGATGGTAGTTTATTTTGCTGTGCAGAAGCTCTTGAGTTTAATTAGATCCCATTTGTCAATTTTGGCTTTTGTTGTCATTGCTTTTGGTGTTTTAGACATGAAGTCCTTGCCCATGCCTATGTCCTAAATGGTAATGCCTAGGTTTTCTTCTAGGGTCTTTATGGTTTTAGGTCTAACGTTTAAGTCTTTAATCCATCTTGAATTAATTTTTGTATAAGGTGTAAGGAAGGGATCCAGTTTCAGCTTTCTACATATGGCTAGCCAGTTTTCCCAGCACCACTTATTAAATAGGGAATCCTTTCCCCATTGCTTGTTTTTCTCTGGTTTGTCAAAGATCAGATAGTTGTAGATATGTGGCGTTATTTCTGAGGGTTCTGTTCTGTTCCATTGGTCTATATCTCTGTTTTGGTACCAGTACCATGCTGTTTTGGTTACTGTAGCCTTGTAGTATAGTTTGAAGTCAGGTAGCATGATGCCTCCAGCTTTATTCTTTTGGCTTAGGATTGACTTGGCGATGTGGGCTCTTTTTTGGTTCCAGATGGATTCACAGCTGAATTCTACCAGAGGTACAAGGAGGAACTGGTACCATTCCTTCTGAAACTATTCCAATCAATAGAAAAAGAGGGAATCCTCCCTAACTCATTTTATGAGGCCAGCATCATCCTGATACCAAAGCCGGGCAGAGACACAACCAAAATAGAAAATTTTAGACCAATATCCTTGATGAACATTGATGCAAAAATCCTCAAAAAAATACTGGCAAACCGAATCCAGCAGCACATCAAAAAGCTTATCCACCATGATCAAGTGGGCTTCATCCCTGGGATGCAAGGCTGGTTCAACATACACAAATCAATAAATGTAATCCAGCATATAAACAGAACCAAAGACAAAAACCACATGATTATCTCAATAGATGCAGAAAAGGCCTTTGACAAAATTCAACAACACTTCATGCTAAAAACTCTCAATAAATTAGGTATTGATGGGATGTATCTCAAAATAATAAGAGCTATCTATGATAAACCCACAGCCAATATCATACTGAATGGGCGAAAACTGAAAGCATTCCCTTTGAAAACTGGCACAAGACAGGGATGTCCTCTCTCACCACTCCTATTGAACATAGTGTTGGAAGTTCTGGCCAGGGCAATTAGGCAGGAGAAGGAAATAAAGGGTATTCAATTAGGAAAAGACGAAGTCAAATTGTCCCTGTTTGCAGATGACATGACTGTATATCTAGAAAACCCCATTGTCTCAGCCCAAAATCTCCTTAAGCTGATAAGCAACTTCAGCAAAGTCTCAGGATACAAAATCAATGTGCAAAAATCACAAGCATTCCTATACACCAACAACAGAGAAACAGAGAGCCAAATCATGAGTGAACTTCCATTCACAATTGCTTCAAAGAGAATAAAATACCTAGGAATCCAACTTACGAGGGATGTGAAGGACCTCTTCAAGGAGAACTACAAACCACTCCTCAATGAAATAAAAGAGGATACAAACAAATGGAAGAACATTCCATGCTCATGGGTAGGAAGAATCAGTATCGCGAAAATGGCCATACTGCCCAAGGTAATTTATAGATTCAATGCCATCCCCATCAAGCTACCAACGACTTTCTTCACAGAATTGGAAAAAACTACTTTAAAGTTCATATGGAACCTAACCAGCTTTTCTAAGACTTGAGGACACTGAGGTTCTTCCTGGTGCGTGTTAAGGAGGCCGGGAAAAAGGACATGGCAGAGATAAGAGTTACTGCCCTAGCTCCAAGGCACCAAAATTCTTCACAGAATTAAGAAAATAATTATTATCACTATTGAACATCAACTACTTAATGGTGCTACACCAGGAACTTTATTTCATTTCATTTTTACAATAACCCTGCCAAGAGCTTATTCTTGTCTTCATTTTACAATGGAGAAAATTAAGGCTTAAAACAGTTAAGTGACTGAGTAGCTGGGCTGAGGTTTAATTGAGATCTCTCAGACTCCAAAACCCTTCTTTCTAAGATACTGTCTTGTAATTTTTTTTCTTTTAGAAAAAAAAAAAAAATGTATTGCAACTCTTCTTATCTGTAGTTCATGACTTATGACCATCTTTAATTCTGCATGAAAAGATTAAAATGATAGAGATTAAAATGATTCAAGTAATCCATTTCTGATTATCTCAAATTGCCAAGAGAAGCTAACTTATCCCATTAACCAAGACCTTTCCCCAAGAAAAGGGATAAAATAAACACATTATTTTATCTTTCATTATGTGGTTTGCAACTCCCAGTGAAAGAAACTCAGCTGTAAAATTAAAAAACAACCAAAAAAGTGGATTGCAAGGAAGTTCTGGAATCTATTCTTTTTAACAGGTAAGAAAAAGGACAAAGATCAAAAACTGGGCTAAACAACTAAAAGAATGTTGGAATGATCATATTCAATGGAAAGAAAACTAGGGTTTGGGTTCTAGTCCCAGTTCTACACAAGCCTTGTATTTTTGAATCAGTCTCTTTACTTCTCTAAGACACAGTTTCCTCAACTATAAAATGGAGCCAATGTCTGGCTTGTTTAAACCACTGGGTTCATGAAAGAATTAAAATAAGAGAAGGTTCCGTAAAATAAAGAGAAGGTTCTGTAAAGGTTTTACAATTTGCAAAGTTCTATTCAAATATTGTTCCATCATCCTCATTGTCTTTGGAGTCAAATAGGTGAGAGTTTAAGCCCTAATTCAGTCATTATCAACTCTGAGATATTGGGCAGCTCACTTAACCTCTCTGTCCTTCTGGTTTCATTTATAAAATGAGTGTAGTGAATATTTGTTACCTATGTTCAAAATACAATCCATCCTTCTTTCAACTAAACATTATTCATAATTTTAGTTCAGGTATCCACTCTTCCATCATGGGGTTCAAATACTTTAGGTCACCTGACTCCACCTCCAGTTTCAAGAGCAGGCCTTGATAGGATTAAACAAATTAGGGAATATAGTTCACCTTGCCAGAGTGATTGGTTTACAATTAGTAGTCTGAACACCAGAGAGATTGGTTCGGATATAAGCATATTAATTACCCCACTCTGACCAATGAAAGGCGATGGAGGTTTTCAGATGAATGGGAGCTTTAGAAAAGAAGATTTCTAGCTCTTGTGATTTGGTACCTAAAAGTAAACTATATTTTCATCCTTGGCCATGATGGGGTAACTGGTACCAGACTAGCCCTCCCACTGTAAACAACTAGAAAACTGGACAAAATATATAAAACAACTATTTTTAGATATTATATGATAGGCAGCACAAGACTATGATACCTGAAAGAAGAGAAACAAATGAGTGGAGTCCAGTGATTACCCCAGCTTTCCTCATGAAGACTCAAGGAGGGGGAATCTAAGCACAACACAGAAGTCTTTTTTATTTAATTTAATTTTTATTTTATTTTATTTTATTTTATTTATTTTATTTTATTGTATTTTATTTTTGTAGAGATGGGGTTTCATCGTGTTGGCCAGACTGGTCTCAAACTCCTGGCCACAAGTGATCCACCCACCTCAGCTTCTCAAAGTGCTGGGATTATAGGTGTGAGCCACTGTACCCGGCCAGAAGTCTTAGTAAGTTGAGGACACAGATATCAGATTTCAAGGAGGCCAAAATGGCTAAAATTTGTATGGAGTAGCAGAAAAGAATAAGTTTCATAGAGAAATTGCTCCATAAACCTTAGAATGTTTGACCAAATAATAAGCTGTATATGTATAGGATGAGACTAAACAGGAGCAGCTACTAGAGAAATAAAACTAATGTGCAGCTGTAAGTTAAACCACCAGAACTTTCAGTATCAAGGGACATTTCAGTTCTGACCAACCCAAATGGAGACACATCACTGAACACTCAGAACATTTATCAGAATCTGCACCTTATAATCAGTACCCGCTAGAAATGGGGTTAGTTTCTAGAGTAAATGCTACCTAAACATGCTCCAACAGGGTTTTGAAAAGATCAATGCCTTGAAAAGATCAAGAAGATCTAGAAATATTTGTTACCTTCCAGAATAAAATCCAGCATTGACTAAAGGAGGGCAGCAAGATCCAGACACTCAACAAGGTAATAATCACAATGTCCAGCATCCAATAAAAAATTACTGTATGTGCTCAATGTCATTAGTCATTAGGTAATTACAAATCAAAACAGCAATGAGAGAGTATTTCATACTCAGTGGAATAGCCCTAATAAAAATATATGAAAAATAACAAGTATTGGCAAGGATGTGGAGAAATCATTGCCAGTAGAATGTAAAATGATACAGCCAATATGAAAAACATTTTGTTTGCTCCTCATAAGTTAAGCATAGAATTGCTGCATGACCTATCAATTCTACTCCTAGGTATATAATCAAAAGAACTAAAAATAGGTGTTCAAACAAAAATTGTACATCAATGTTCATAGCAACATTATTCACAATAGCCAAAAGGTAGAAACAACCCAAATGTCCATCAATTGATACATGCATAAACAGAATATGGTATATGAACACAATGAACTATTATTCAGCCATAAAAAGGAATGAAGTACTGATACGCGCTACAACATGAAAACTTGAAAACATTATGGTAAGGGAAAGAAGACAGACACAAAAAGTTACAATAGTACAGAATTCAATATACTGTATATGAAATATTAAGAATAGGCAAATCCATAGAGAAAGAAAGCAGATTAGTGGTGGCCAGGGAATATGGAGAGGAGAGAATCAAGAGTGACTGCTTAATGGGTATGGCTTTCATTTTGCTTTTGTTGCCCGTGATTTTGAGATCTTACTCATAAAATCTTTTCCCAGACCAGCGTCCTGAAGCATTTCCCCTGTTTTCTTCTAATAGTTTCATAGTTTGGGGTTTTATCTTTAGGTATTCAATCCATTTTGAGTTGATTTTTTTATAGAATGAGAGATGGGGGTCTAGTTTTGTTCATCTGCATACGGATATCCAGTTTTCCCAGCATCATTTATTGAAGAGACTATCATTTCAGAATATATTATGAAATCATAACGTGTGATACCTCCAGCTTTATTCTTCACCCTTATGATTGATTTGGCCATTCATCTTCTTTTATGGTTTCATATGAATTATATAATTTTTTTCTGTTTCTGTAAAATATGTATTTTGGAATTGGATAGGGACTGCATTGAATCTGCAGATCACTTTGGGTAACGTGGACATTTTAACGATATTAAGTCTTCTAATCCATGAACATGGAAAGTCTTTCCATTTGTTTGTGTCTTGCTTAATTTCTTTCATCTCTGTTTTGTAATTTTCAGTATATAAATCTTTCACCTCCTTAGTTAAGTTTATTCTTAAGTATTTTCTTCTTTTCGGTGCTATCATAAATGGGATTGTCTTCCTAAGTTCTTTCCAGTAGTTCATTGTTAATGTATAGACAGGCAACTGATTTCTATTATCACACTTTTTAAAAAGTATTATTATATGTGTCAAGAAGTATGGAAATTCTTGTTGTTCTTCTTCTTATGTGGAACTTTTATTACAAAACAAGTTTAAAAAAATTAGAAAATAGAAACAGACCCAGTGTTACAGCAGCCCGGATAGAAAAAAAAAAAGACAAAACAGACCCAGGAATGAAAGAGATTATAGAATGAGCAGACAAGGACATAAAAACAGCAATTATAACTAACTATGTTAAATGACCATATTAGTAATATGTTGCTGTGTAACAAATTAGCCCAAAATTTAACAGTGCAAATAGTAAGCATTTATTACTTTATATTTTCTGAGCATCAAGAATCCAAGAATATATTAGCTGGTGGTTCTGGCTCAGAACTTAATCATTTTAATAATGTAATATGATAAACTTGGCAGCAAATTTAAAAGACAGCAAAATATAAAGGGCCATAAAAGTAAACTTGATAAATACGCCAAATGTGGTATTAACTGTAAAAGATTTTTTTGGTTTTTACATTTCTTTTTAAAATAATTGGGAGAATTCTTCCAGTTGTAACAAATAGTTCCCACTGAATGACCCTTCTTCCCGAAGAAAACAAGCTATAAAACTTGTAAAAATACAAAAGTAAACCACTGGGAAGTGTACAGAGAAAGATTTTGGTGATGAGGGCACATTTACTTGGAGGAGGGGAGATGACGAGCCTCATGAGCGCAGTCATGCATCATTTAATGATGGAGATACCTTCTGAGAAATGCATCGTTAGGTGATTTCATCAATGTGTGAACATTATAGAGTATACTTACATAAACCCAGATGGTATAACCTATTACACACCTAACCTATATGATATAGCCTATTGCTAGTAGGCTGCAAACCTATACCACATGTTATTGTACTGAGTACTATAGGCAATTTTAGCACAATGGTAAGTATTTGTGTATCTAAGCATAGAAAAGGTATAGTAAAAATATGGTATTATAATCTCATGGAACCACTGTCGTACATGCAGTCTGTCATTGACTGAAACGTCATCATGTGTCACACGACTATATATTATATTTGCATCGCCATGGCTTTTAGCCTAGGTTAAGTGCAGTCTATATAATGTGCTAAGTGACACTGAGGGTAACCATGAAAAAACTGCTATCTTTCTAGCCTGGGAACCATAAGAGTAAAGCCAGGAAACTGTGTTCACTGAGAAGAGTGGAGGAATCTTGGGAGGGAAAGAGCTAGAGAAGGGATTCTAGAATGTTTTTCTACTCAAATCATTTACTGACTCCTAAACTATGCATATGCAGAACAGATTCAAAGTAGCTCAGCTTGGGGACTACTAGAGGTGGGGAGGTAGGATGGCAAGGACTGAAAAACAAACTATTGGGTACTTTGCTCAGTACCTGGGTGATGGGATTAATTGTACCCCAAATCTCAGCATCACACAATATATACAGGTAACAAACTTGCACCCCCGAATCTAAAAATAAAGGTTGAAATTATAAAACAACAACAATAACAACATAGCTCAGATAAATTTGAAAGATCTGAACCAAAGACTAGAGCTGCTATTCATGAAACAGTCTGCAGTTTGCACCCAGCAAAAAAAAAAAAAAAAAAAAAAAAAGACTTGCAAACACAAAGGAAAAAAGCCAATCATCAGAGAAAAATAACAGAATCCAAGACTTCCACAAGCTTCCAAAAGTCAACATTAATCATATCTAAAATCCAATCCAAAATTACCCATAAAACAAAGAACCAAGAAAGTGGAACCTGTAGAATACGAGGAAAAAAAAAAACAAATCAGATCCCAAAATGAGTTAGATGTTGTAACTAATACATGGATTTTAAAATGGCTATTATAACTATCTTCATGAGGTAACATAGACATATATATATAAACATATATGTATATATATATACATATGTTTACAATGGATAAAAATCTCAGCAGAGAAATAGAAAATATCAGTAAAGCAATGGAAGCAAGAAGAAACAAATGGAAATTTTAGAACTAAAAAATACAGTGGATAAAATAAAATGTTCACTTGGTAGGCTTAACAGATGAGTGGAGATGACAGTAGAAAGTAAGCAAATTTGAAGGTAGAGCAGTAGAAATTATCCACAGTGAGGAACAAAGAGAAAAAAATTAATTAAAAATGAACAGACTCATGGACCTGTTAGATGATACATGGTTGTATATGTTATCGTAATATGGAGAGGGAGGTGAGAAAAAGAGAGAAAGAGAGAGAGAAAAGGAGGGAAGAAAGGGAGTGGGGAGAGAGAGAGAAAGAAAGTGGTACAGTGGCCAGAAATTTCCCAAATTTGAAGAAAGACAAAAATTTGCAGATACCACACACTCAATAGACACCAAGCATGATAAACATAAAGTAGCACTGAGGCATATCAGAGTTAAACTGTTGAAAGCCCAAGATAAGGAGTAAATATTTAAATTAACAAGAGAAAAATGTCATACTACACACAGAGGAATAAAAAATCCAAACATTAGATGACTTCTCATTAGAAATTGTGGAGACTAGAAGAGAGTGGAACCATGTCTTTAGAATATTGGAGAGAACAGAGGAGCCTGTCAACCTAGAATTTTATATCTATGAAAAGTATCTTTCAAAAAATTATGGTAGAATAAAGATAAGTTCAGATAAAAGAAAACTAAGAAAATTCATCCCCAGCAGATCTGTGCTACAAGAAATGCTAAAGGAAATTCTCCATGTATCTAAAGAAAAACAGGTCTTTCGCATTTGTCTAGTGTTATAATCTGTATCTTAAATAGCTTTGTGATTAATAAAGAAATTGACTGGGCAGTTTCTTTTGAAGGAGAATGATACTACATTGAAATCTGCATCCTCAGAAAAGAATGGAGAGCATCAGAAACCGTAAATATCATCTGGACAAATGCAAAAGACCTTTTTTCTTTTTTACTATTTCCTCTTAGTTCGTTCCTTCCCTCCTTCCTTTTTTTCTTTCTTTCTTTCTTTTTTTTTTTTTTTTTTTTTTGACAAGGTCTCATTTTGTTGCCAAGGTTGGAGTACAGTGGCACAATCGCAGCTCATTCAGCCTTGACCTCCCAGGCTCAAATGATCCTCCCACCTCAGCCTCCCAAGTAGCTGGGAATACAGGTGTGCACCATCACACCTGGCTAGTTTTTGTATGTTTTGTAGAGATGGAGTCTCACCATGTTGCCCAGGCTGGTCTTGAACTCCTGGGCTCAAGCAATCCTCCTGCCTCAGCCTCCTAAACTGCTGGGATTACAGATATGAACCACCATGCCAGCCAATTTCTTTATTAACCACAAAACTATTTAAGATACAGATTATAAAACTGTCTTATCAGTTTTATAATATAATCAGATATAATATATTTAACTGTTATAGCATAAATGATAGGAAGTACATAGACTTTAAAAGCTTGCAATATTTCTATATTTTACATGAGTTAATACATTATTAACCATAAGTGGATTGTAAAAGGGTGAAGAGGTATATTGGAATCCCTATAGTAACCACTTAAAAATGACACAAAGTATAGCTATTTAACCATGAAAATAAAATGGAATTCTAAAAAAAAAAAAATTAAAATAAGCATGATCCAAACAAAAAATGCAGAAAAGAAAAAACAGAGAAACAAAACCAGAGAAGTCATGTAGAAAACAGAAAATACAATGGTAGACCCAAGCCAATCATATCAATACATTAAATATTGAAACATAAACATTCCAATTGAAATGTAAAAATTGTGAGAATGAATTAATCCAAAAACAAGACCCAGCTATTTGATGTCCACAAAAAAAAAACACTTTAAACATAAAAACATATATAGGTTGAAAGTAAGCAGATAGAAAAGAATGTATCACACAAACAGTAAACATTAGAAGGCTGGAGTGTCTACATTAACATCCAATAAAATAGGTTTCATGACTAAATGTATTACCTGGGATATAGAAGAACATTTCATAATGATAAAAGAGTTGATTCATCAGAAAAGCGTAAGAGCTATGCACGTGTATGCAGCCAGTAATAGGGCTTCAAAATACATAAAGAATGAATAGACAGTTTCACAATTATGGATTTTAATTGCTACAGATATTGTTAGAGATTTTAATTGCTGACATACCTGTCTCAGCGATTGATAGAACTAGACATAATATCAGCAAAGACATAGATTATTTGATCAACATTACCAACTGATATTTCTAAAACAATACAATCAATACCAGTAGGATATACATTCTTTTTAGTGTACATAATTATTAGAATAGACTATACTTAGAGCCATGAAAAGAATTTTGATACATTTAGGCCAGGCGCGGTGGCTCACGCCTGTAATCCCAGAATTTTGGGAGGCGGAGGTGGGCGGATCACAAGGTCAGGAGATCGAGACCATCCTGGTTAACACGGTGAAACCCCGTCTCTACTAAAAATACAAAAAAATTAGCCGGGCATGGTGGCAGGCACCTGTAGTCCCAGCTACTCAGGAGGCTGAGGCAGGAGAATGGCGTGAACCCGGGAGGTGGAGCTTGCAGTGAGCCGAGATCCCGCCACTGCACTCCAGCCTGGGTGACTCCATCTCAAAAAAAAGGAATTTTGATACATTTAACAATATTAAAAGCACAAGGAGGATTTCTCTGACCATAATGGCATTAAATTAAATAAAAGAATAAAAAAGAATTAGATATCTAAGACATCCAACTAGGTGAAAATTTTAAAATACACAATAAGTAATCAATGAGCTGGCCATGCATGGTGGCTCACGCCTGTAATCCCAACACTTTGAGAGGCCAAGATGGGAGGATCATTTGAGCTCAGGAGTTCAAGACCAGTATGGGCAACATAGCAAGAACACATCTGTGATGGTTAATACTGAATGTCAATTTGATTGGATTGAAGGATGCAAAGTATTGATCCTTGGTGTGTCTGTGAGGGTGTTGCCAAAGGAGATTAACATCTGAGTCAGTGGGCGGGGGAAAGCAGAGGCACCCTTAATCTGTTGGGCACTATCTAATCAGCGCTGCCAGCAAACATAAGCAGGCAGAAAAACATGAAAAGGTGACACTGGCTTAGCCTCCCAACCTACATCTTTCTCCCACGCTGAATGCTTCCTGCCCCCAGAACATCAGACTCCAAGTTCTTCAGTTTTGAGACTTGGGCTGGCTCTCCTTGCTCCTCAAGCTTGCTGACAGCCTATTTTGGGAACTTGTGATTGTGTAGGTTAATACTTAATAAAGTCATATATATATATATAAAAAAATAGATATTCTCTCTATGTATGTATATATGTATATATATGTGTATATATGTATATGTGCATATATATATATATACATCTCCTATTAGTTCTGTCCCTCTAGAGAACCTTGACTAATACAGACTTTGGTACCAGGAATGGTTTTAGAGGAACAGAATATTAAGGATGGAGTTCTTTCGTTGGTTTTGGGATTTCTGGAGTTGGCTGCTTAATACAATTAGACCCAAAAATGTTAAGGATTCTACTTCTAATAGTATGGAAAACCCTGATAGTCCTTGGCATAAACTGTTTAGAATTATGCAAAATAAATGCATTTGACTCTCCTGATTCAGCACTCATGAGAGACAAGGAGTTTAGTGACTCTATGCTTAATACCTTTGATCATATGTGGAGAGCCAAGGTACGTAATGAAGCTGGTTGGTTGCTCCTAAGTTCAGTGGACAAAGTGATAAAAGAAAATGATGAACTCAGGGATTCTGTCTCCTGGCTTCAGAAGCAGATACTGAGCCTCAAATCTGCCAAGATTGCCCTGAGTGAGAATCTTATCTCCTGTAGAGAAAGAGCTGAAATTGGAAAAACAGACACAGCTCTTATCATGCAAGTGGCTGACCTGCAATGAAAGGTGCATCCCAGCCTCGCCAGGTATCTACAGTTAAAGTGAGGGCATTGATTAGAAAAGAATGGGACCCTGCAACTTGGGACGGGGATATGTGGGAGGACCTTGATGAAGCTGGGGACGCTGAGTTTATAAACTCTGATGAAACTTTTTTGCCAAAAGAAACAGCTTCCCCATCTCCAGTAGTGGCAACATCCCCTCCCCAACTCGTGCTGCCATCAGCCTTTCCACCTTTGTCTGAGGAGATGAACCCTGCTCTGCCAGAGGCAATGGTGATGGCCTCCCCTGAGGCAGTTGCCAGGCAAAATTATATTGATTCTCCTCAGGTGCCACCCCCAACTTCCCACTTCTGGTACCAATTTACTGTATTAGTCCATTTTCAGGCTGCTGATAAAGACTTACACAAGAATGAGAAGAAAAAGAGGTTTAATTGGACTTACAGTTCCACATGGCTAGGGAGGCCTCAGAATCATGGCAGGAGGTGAAAGGCACTTCTTACATGGTGGCAGCAAGAGAAAAATGAGGAAGAAGCAAAAGTGGAAATCCCTGATAAACCCATCAGATCTCATAAGACTTATTCACTATCATGAGACTAGCATGGGGAAGACTGACCCCCATGATTCAATTACCTCCCCTTAGGTCCCTCCCATAACACATGGGAATTCTGGGAGATACAATTCAAGTTGAGATTTGGGTGAGGACACAGCCAAACCATATCACCATCTCTATGGGGAAAAAAAAAAAATTCTTTAATTAGCTGGCCATGGTGGAGCATCCCTATAGTCCTAGCCACTCAGGAGGCTAACGCAGGAGGATGGCTTGAACCCAGGAGATCGAGCTTATAGTGAACTATGACCATAACATTGCAGTCAAGCCTGGGCAAGCAAGATCCTGTCTCTGGGAAAAAAAAAAAAAAAGCAATCAGTGAAAGAAGAAATCACAAAGGAATTATATTATAAAATAATTTGAATTGAATGATAATGAAAATACAAGATACCAAAATTTATGGGATAAGATAAAGCAGTACTTGGAAGAAAATATATAGCTTTAAATGCCTATATTAGAAAAAAAAAAAGACTAAAATTGATCATGAGTGACCACCTTAAGAAATCAGAAAAAGAAGAGCAAAATTAAGCCCAAAGTAAGTAGAAGAAAAATATATAAAACAATGAAAATCAATGAAAGAGAAAACAAAAAAAATAGAGAAAATCAGTGAAATTAAGAGTTGACTTTTTGTAAAGTTTAGTAAAATTAAGAAGCTTCATCAGGCTGATCAAGAATAAGAGAAAATACAAATAACCAGTATCAGAGGAACTAAAAAAAGGATATCACTATGAATCCTACTGACATTAAAAATAGTAAGAAATCCTCAGGGCCAGGCATGATGGCTCATGCCTGTAATCACAGCACTTTAGGAGACTAGAGATTTGGGGATCAATTGAGCCCAGGAGTTCAAGACCAGCCTGCACAACACAGTGTGAACCCCGTCTCTATGAAAAATTTAAAAAATTTTCCAGGCATGGTGGCAAGCACTTGTAGTCCCAGCTACTTGGGGGACTGAGGTGGGAGGATCACTTGAGCCCAGCAAGTCAAGTCTGCAGTGAGCCATGATTGTGCCACTGCACTCTGGATGACAGAGTGAGACTCTGTCTCAAAAATTGATGATGAAGAAGAAAAAGGAGGAAGAGGAGGAGGAGGAGAAGGAGAAGGAGAAGAAGAAGAAGAAATCATTAGAAATCGCTTATGTCAATAACTTTGACAATTTAGCTGAAATAAATGAATTCCCAAAACTGATGCAAAAAAATGAAAATCTGAATAACTATTAAAGTTAAATTCCTAATTAAAAATCTGATGTAAGTCATTGTTTAGCCTTTATAGAGTCCAACATCTGTGACACATACATACATGTGTGTACATACACACATACATGATCATACATGTCATATATAATCCACTTCTGCATCTACAGAGATGGTATCAGGATTGCATATATCACCCTTCCACACCCCTATAAGGGTGCCCCTGAACACCAAGTCCCCAGAGGTTTCTCCAAAACCTCTCTCCAAAGCTGTCCATGACCACTTTAGCCCACGGGGGTGACTCCCTCGCTTATACTTTTTGCTCTCTCTCATCTTTTCAAATATGTGTGCCTTCTTTCCCAAAAGGTGTTGTCTATACTTAAGGGCAGGCATTTCTTGTTTAGAGCTCCCTCTGTAAGCTCTCATATAATCAACATTTAACAATACTTGTAGGTTGCATAGAAAAATAGAGAACATTGTCTTAATATTCAGCCACACAGAGTTAAAGGGCATGTTACTCCACACTCAGTGACGCTTCTGAGATTAGTTCTGAAAGATACAAAGGAATAATTGCCATTTTAATGTTTTGTTTTGTTTTTGTTTTTGTTTTTGTTTTTTTGGTAGAGACAGGATTTCACTATGTTGCCTGGGCTGGTTTTGAACTCCTGGGCTCAAGCAATCCTCCTATCTTCATCTCACGTAGTGCTGGGATTATAGGTGTAAGCCATTGTACCCAGCCTCATTTTAATATTTGATTAAACTCAAGAGTTTATTTATCGGGGACCTACTTCAGCAACAAGATTTACTAAGATAAGTGTGAGAGGTTCATCTCAAAATTAAAGCCCCTGATCCTGGCCTGTATTAATGGGAAGAACAAGAACATTGTGACCTCTCTGTGGGATTCTGCATTGCTGTTGCTGTATCTATGACAAAGAACCTCAAAAGGGGGACTTTCTAGGTCAGAGTTGAGGGTTAGTTCAGAGAGAAATTCAACCTTGGCCTTGGTTCTGATCTCCCCTGGCTTTTAGCCACAGGATGACCCCTTCCCTGTGTCTTTGATGGTCAGGGGGTGGAATATCCCCAGAGTCCCTATTTCACTTCCCTAAAGGGGAGGGAGTATTCTGGATTCTAGAAAATTAGAAACCAAAGAGCATTGTCTTCTGAGAAGTAGAGTTAGAGAAAGAGGAAGAGATGGTGAAGCCAGGAGGGGCCAGGAGAGTTTACACAGACTTGCTTCTGACTGTCCATGACTAAAAACTTTAGCAGTGACTCAGCATGGACCGGGAGGTGGGACTATTATAACTAGAGCAGGACACACTTATTGGAATCATGGCAAAAGGCCCTTTTCTCTGGCGTCTTAGCAAAAGGGATACAGTGAGATTTTCTAAAGTCAACAAAGTCAGATTCTTTGAATTTGTAAATCTTCCCTTGTCACTTCTCAGCATGAAGAAAATTGCTTATAGCTTTCAAGAATAGTACCATTATTCTTTCAATTAGCATTTTATGTACTACCCCCTGTCCATCTTCTCTCAATGAGACTCTCCTGAAAGCATGCTGTCTTTTTCAACCTGTTTCTGTGAAGAGGAGAGCATGAAATGTGTGGAATACTGTGCTGAGACCTTTATCACAAGAAAGAACCCAGAGGATTTAGACAGGCAAGGGAGTCAGGAAACTTGCATGTCATATCCTACAGGAGGCATAAAAATCATGAGGTAAGGCTTGCCTGGTTATATCATTTGCTGGAACAACTTTAGGAGAAGAGCAATGGGGTTCACTTACAGAACTTAGACAAGACCCATGTTAGCACAAACTGGGAAAAGATAAAGGTCAAATCAAATAGCCCTGGTATGAATTTATTATTAGGACTGCTTTTTTGAAAAACAAGATTCTGTTATATCACAGAGAGAAGCATGAAGTATCTATCCCTATGGAGTTAAACACGGAGTGAAATTCTAAAATCCTTCCGTCTAACAGCCCCTACATGCCATAAAACTGATGTGCTTCCTGCCAGTTGGGACGTTCCCAGCAACTGATAACCAAGAGCCATTTGAGAGCTCTGAGGAGTCCTTCCAGACGGCTTTGTTAGACAATGTCATTAAACTTCTTGTTTCCATGTGCACCAAAGTGTTTGTTTTAAACAGATTTCCTATGACCCCCACATGTGTTTAAATTTTCTGGACTTGATGTCTTATTTAGAAAGCCAGCTTAGCCCATGTCTGAGCAAAGTAATGTGATATGACAAGCTAACTGGGCATGAAGTTCATCCCAGGCATGCTTGGGACCAGAAAATTGAAGAAACACGAGTACTCACCCACCGTGAGGGTGTAACAAGGGAGGGGTGGGGAAGGTGGAAATCCTAAGGGGGAACACAATAATTTTTTCATAAACCGAGTGAAACAAATTAAGATTTTAAAAATTCCATGATGGCAGATTTTGACATCAGCAATTATCAGAGGATCAACCTCCTCTGCTCTTTTGGGTTTCAGTATATTTAAAATCTCCTATTTTCTGTGGGACTTAGTAAAAATTGACCACCCCTCTTCTGCACTGGTTCCCAGACCTTGCTGTACATTGGAATCACCTGAGAAGCTTAAAAAACTACTGATGCCGACATCCCACTCCTAGAAATTCTGATTTAATTGGTCTAGAGTGCAGCTGGGGCACCAACCTATTGTGAAGCCCCCCTGCTGATTCTAATCTAAGGTTTGAGAACAAGGGCTCGGTGCTTTGTTACTCAAAGTGTGGTCTGAGGACCTGGGAGCTTGTTAGAAATACAGATTCTCAGGCAGCATCCGGACCCACAGAATCATGATCTCCATTTTAATAAGATCCCCAGGTGACTCACATGCACATTAAGTTTGAGAAGCATTACTCTATTTTTCCATAGCCTCCTTCTGCTCTGCAGAAGAGAATGTAGCTCTTAACAGTGGTTGTACATTAAAATCACCTAGAAAGGCTTTCAGAAATATTGATGCCTGGATCCTCTCTCCAGAGATTCTAATTATGATTGGTCTTGAGCGTGGATTCTCTCTCCAGAAATTCTAATATAATTGGTCTTGAGTATGGCCTGGGCAGTTTTTCAAACAATTTTTTAAATCTTTCCAGGGGGTTTTAATATAAACTCCAGGCTGAGAATCACTGCTATAAAAAGATGTTTTTTCTTCTTTTACTTTAATAGTCTTTGGTATAAAGTGACCATATCTGCTAAATCATTAAGTTCCCTGGGAGAGAACCCTCTATTCTAATTTTCTGCATTGGTTATCAAAATTTGCAAACCAACAACGGAGTGCCTTCCCTTCAGAGAGTTTTCTTTGGTAAGTTTGGAATGGGGCCCAGAATCTGCATTTTTTTAAGTCCCATTTGGAATTCCAACATGCATGATTCTTGTACCACATTTTAAAAAGCACTGCCTTAGCATGACAAAAGAATAGGAGAGTAGACTTTAATGGGCACAGGGAGAAAAAGGAGAGTGGGTAAGGTCTCAGAGTAAGGGTTAGGGAGCAGAAAGAAGTGATGCAGGTGGCACACAACATGGAGCTCCAAAGGTTGATGAAAGAGAGAAAGGAGAAACTGCATGGCACAATTCTTAGGAATGAGCAGTAAAGCTCAAGCTCTGTACAAACCAGGCTACTTCTTGTTTGATCAACTCCAAGTTGCCCAGGGAACAGCAATGTGCCTCAGTGAGCACTGTCTTGGAAGCCCCAAGAGAAAGAACTTTTGGGTTTTTAATTGCTTCTTCTCAAGGCTCCTGAAGTTTTTTTTTTTTTTCTTTCCTTCCTTCTTCTTAAGCCAGTCAAATTTAGCAGTGGGGGATTGTCTTCCAACTTTAGTGACACTAATGTTAATAAGTTCTGATAACCCATCGGACCAGCCTCCTTTCCCTTCTTCACCCATCAGATTAAAGAATTAGAAGAACTTGACTTGAAAGAACACTGTCCAAAACCTAAAATCTTTAACTGCACCTTGCCTTATAGAAAAGATGTATGCAGAAAAATTGTCTATAAAATTTTGGTAAATCAAATGATATTTTTAATGACTACAGAATAGGAAAGGAGCTTGCAATTTAAAATAATCCTCTGACAACCCTCTGAAAAAATCTTTCTTTATTTTTTGAGGTTTTATTTTTTATTTCTCTCTATATCTGATTTTTCTTAACAAAGAATACACATTTAATATTGACCATTCATGGAGTCATTATTGGATTAAACAAGAAAATGAATTTAAAGCATTAAGATAGTCCCTGGCATGCAGTAAATATTCAAAAAAGTTAGATTTTTTAAAAGACATTTTTTAAAGAGTAGCTTTAGGTTCACAGCAAAATTGAGAGGCAGGTACAGAGATTGCCCATATACTCCCTGCCCCCTACACATGCATAGCCTCCCTGATTATTAAAATCCCCAGCAGAGTGGTAGATTTGTTGTAATTGATAAACCTGTGTTGACACATCATAATTACCCAATGTCCATAGTTTACATTAGGGTTTACTGTTGGTGGTGTTCATTCTGTGCATTCAGACAAATGTGTAATGGCATGTATCTACCCTTACAGTAACATACAGGGTGTTTTCACTGCCCCTTGAATCCCCTGTGCTCCAATATTATTTTTACTATGATAATAGAATTTGTGCAGCCTAAACGTAAGATACGGAGGGTTATATATCTCTACCTAGCCATCTCAGAGGTCAAGACCAGCTCTGGGACACTTAATGAGATTTCTCTCTATTATGAAAGAGCTTGCAGGCAGAGGGGAACATTGTCAGGCAAAGCCAGAGACTATCAACAACGATTGACCAAATGATAACCCCCTAAAGATGACTGGAGTAAAGAAAGCAGGGAAATCCAGATTTCAGTCTCCAGTACTGGCAAGGAGCGGCAGTAATTTTTTTTCCTAATAAATCCATTTACAAAGCATCTGGTCTCATTCAATGAGGGCTTACTATATAAAGACACAAGCTTCAATCTCATTTAACCCCTCGACATTATTAGCTTCACTTTATCGATGAGAAAAGGTCTAGAAAGTGTCTCAAGCAGTTCCTTAAATCTGTTTGCATCTATATCCAAAGCCCAGGTTGTAACCACTTTATATGTTCCCCCTCCTCAGTAATTGTTACCCCAACAAATGTTCTCTTGAACTCCTTATCAAAATAAGCAAAGACAAGTCATTTGTAAGGTGACACTCAGGCATGTTAGAATAAGGCTTCAAACTCTTGAAACAATCTTGGATTACAGAATGTGAAGCTCCTTCTCTTA
This sequence comes from Homo sapiens, assembly GCF_000001405.40. Classification (NCBI taxonomy): domain Eukaryota; kingdom Metazoa; phylum Chordata; class Mammalia; order Primates; family Hominidae; genus Homo; species Homo sapiens. The sequence continues at coordinate 111,098,790 of NC_000009.12, forward strand.
AGAGACAAATTACAAACAAGAAGTTGAGAAGCCATTGGAAATTCACTCAAGAGCTCAGGTGACTTCTCAGTTCACATGAGTCTGATTTATCTCTTCGTTTAAGAAGTACCATTTTTAATGATAATTCAGGATGTCAGGCAGAGCCAGATAAGTTGCTTCCCAACTGGAGGCCTCCATTAAGAATCTGCACCAACCATTAAGAATCTGTTCGACCAACTTGAACTCATGCTTGAACCTTGCCTTTCTCTCCACTCTTATCCCAGTGCACCTGTCTGCTGACCAGGACCCTGCAGACCTTGCCCCCATGTTTCCTTTATGAAGGGCACACAGGACAGGTGCCCTATTGTTCCTCATCTAACTCTGATCCTGACTGTCCCAGTTCCACCCCCACCCAGGTAATGACTTCTGAGACATTCAGATACTATTTAGTAGTACTTCTTGGCTCTACATTTTACTGCATGCTCTTTGACACCCTGCGACACCTCCCTGTGTGCTATCCTATGTTCACATCTGCTTAGGTTATCTGATCTAGCTGCCAATCTGAGATAGGACTTTTTCCCTTCATGCTTAGCCTAGTGCTCTATCTGTATTCTCTACAGTTTCTGGCTTCAGATTGGAGGCCCGATTATATACTCTGTCCCAGGGGCAGCAGATGTTTTCAAATGCCTGGGGGCTAACATTTAGCAAGGAATTTGTACGCAAAGTAGGAACGCAAGATGACATCAGCAGAGCCTGGTAAATCAGCCCACTATTGTCTGGAGCACTTAAGGAAATGAAATCCCCGCAGGCTTCCGATTTTCCTTCTTAATTAGCCTCCTCCATTCCCTTAGGCATTTGTTTCCTTAGCAGGATCCTACCCCATAAACTTTCCTTTGCCCCAGCTCACAGGTGTTAAGTAAATACGTGGGAGCAATTACCCATAGCTTCACAGGGCTTTTTTTTTTTTTTTTTTTTTTTTTGTAGTCCACTACAGGGCCCCCGGCCTGCCAGCTTCTGTTAATCCTAATTGGAGCGCTTGTGTCACACTTTCTGCCTAGAGGAGAGGATTTTAGCAGTGCTGCTCTGCCTGCCTGGGGCTCCTGCCTTTAGAGTATTCAAAGAACCTCTATAAATGTGCATTTATTCTTAGCAAGTCTCCCAGAGGACCAGCAGTAGTTTGTTTTACACATGTGAAAGGACTTGTTGTCCCATGATCTCTAGGTGTTCTGAAATGGAGGGGTCAAAGGGCAAACCAAATAAACCCACAACAATATTAATCCCATTGTTGAAACTCGGATTTAGGCAACTCGAAGTCCTGATCGAATGGAGCCAATGTTAAATTTGGAGATAAATGTTACAAATCTCACCACCAGGTTCAAGTTTAAAATCCCACATAAGAAAATAACACCGAAATCTGGTGATTATAAGATCTCGATGTTTCCATCACAACAGCCTTTTGCTCCCTTGAACTTAACATCATGAATGGCTTGATGGCTCTGGCAGGTCTGATCACTGTGTTAATTTTTTTAAAGAAGAAAATGCGGAAAGTTAAGAGAGAAGTGGGGAGAGAGAAGAATCTTTTGACTTCTCTATTAGGAAACCTGAATCTTTATTTCTATAGTCGAATTACGCTTGTGGGTAAAACACTGCTAGTCAAATTTCTGTTAGACATGAAACGCAGTGCTATCACTAAGATGTTTGTTTTATTCAGGTTGGATGAGGCTAAGAATTCATTCATTTGTTTATTCAATATGTACAGGGGTTGAGATGAACATACAATTTATTATCCAGAGACAATTTAAAGAGTATAAGGGGTGCTGTATTCATTCCACCAAGACAACAGACTCATAACAGGACGTCTCTGAACAAAACGAGACGTATGGCCACCTTATTATTGAGCACTTTCTATATACCAGGAAGTATACTGCCTTGTGTAAAAACAGAAAATGCCTGTGGGGTTGGCAAGAGAAGCTGTTCTTCATTTCTAGGTCCAAAATCAGTGTTTAACTCCCACCTGCTCTCAAAAGAGCAAAAGGCTTTGTGAGCCTACTGGTTCTTTCAGGTGAAATAAAGATATGTGCTCAGGTCAATCACTGACTTTTGTGGCTTACAACAATTCTCTCTAAATAGGATCCAGTTTCATCTTCATATTTTTTTGAGAACAGGTTGAATTTTTGAGCAGCACTTTTATATTCAGTTGCATTGATATATGATGACTAGAATAACGAGGCCTAATCTTAATAAAAAAAATTGCTCTCCCTTGAAAATGACAAAACTATCCTCTTACCATTCAAGGGAACATTACACAAGATAGTCAAGCAAGATGAAGTACAAAAAAGTCGTGTGTGTGTGTGTGTGTGTGTGTGTGTGTGTGTATCCCCAGTTTTAGAAAGAATGGAACATACTGGTTAACTCATGTATTCATAGAACAGTATTTATAGTTTAGAAATAAATTCTGCCCACATTACCATAATTGATTCTTACAGCTGGCTTAAGTAGTTCTACTATCCTTATTTTACAGTAGAGAAAACTTACTGCAGCTAGACCAGCTAGACAATAAACAGGCACTTGAAGCTTCTTTTTGTCGTTGTTGTTGTTGAGACAGAGTCTTGCTCTATTGCCCAGGCTGGCGTGGAGTGGTGCGATCTTGGCCACTGCAACCTCCACCTCCCAGGTTCAAGCAATTCTCCTGCCTCAGCTCCTGAGAAAGTGGGATTACAGGTGCACACCACCACGCCCCGCTCATTTTTGTATTTTTAGTAGAGACGGGGTTTCGCCATGTTGGCCAGGCTCATCTTGAACTCCTGACCTCAGATGATCTGCTCGCCTCGGCCTCCCACAGTGCTGGAATTACAATCGTGAGCCACCATGCCCGGCCTGCATTTGAAGCTTCTAACTCTGATTCTGTTGTTCTTCTTGCAGTAAAACAATAGCTTGTTGTAGATGTTTAAGGAATATTTGTAAAGTAAAAATAACCCCCAATACTTCCATCAAATTTAAAACTTTTCAAAGCATTTTCACATTTACTTATTCAATACACCTACAGAGACCACTATATGACATCCACAGACTAGATGCTGGTGGTAAAAAGGTGAATAAAACTATTCCTAGGTATAAGGAACCCAAAATCTAGTGTATGAGACAGACAAGGAAATCAGTCTAGTTGAGTTGATAATGGAAGTGAAGGACACACACAATATGCCACAAGCCACAGAAAAGCATCAAGTTCAGGCTGTGTGGACCAAAGAAGGCATCCCAAGGACATGATGCTTGCAAAAGAAACAGGAGTTTGCCAGAAGGACAAACTGCAGATGAGCTCATTACCTTGAGTCAGGAAACATCAGGCTACATTAAAGCAACAGCAAGTTGCTTCCGAATAGTTGTAGCAAAGGATGTGTTTTAGGATAAGATGCAGGATAAGGAGTGGGGCCTAGGATGGGAGGCTGGACTTTTGGGCTAAGGAGGTTGAATTTATCCTGTAGGTTTGGGGTGCCAACGAAAGCAGCAGTGGGTGGCATAGACAGAGCCATCTGGAGAAGCAAATGCAGAAGCAAATGGAGAAGGCTCAGTGAAAGATGGTTGGGATCTAAACTGAATAGAACGAAGACGAAAGCACAGCTAGAAAATGTGTAAGACACAGAGTCAGCAGGATTTGGTGTCTGGATTGGGGAGATGAGAGGTGGGAAGAAAGCAGGTACAACTCCAAATTTTTCATTTGAGTAACTGGGTGATTAAGAGTTTCATGAACCAACCAGGTGTGGTGCCTCATGCCTATAATCCCAGCGTTTGAGAGGCTGAGGTGGGAGGATTGCTTGAAGCCAGGAGTTCAAAACCAGCCTGACCAACATGGCAGAGTAGTCAGGTGGCAAAACCTACAGGGAACTGGCAATAAGCACCTGAAGCTTAGGAGAAAATTCTAGCAGTAGATAGGTTTGGGAACCATTCATATGTAGGCCTCAGGTGATGCAGAAAAAGAAGGCCATTCATCAAACAGGGGAGCAGACTGGGGAGGGAGAGGAAAAAGATTCCAAACAATAGAAGGTTATTATAGTGGTTTTTCTTTTATTAGAAAGCAAATTTGTTGCAAATACGTATTTTGATCAAATAAAATGTAGCAAAAAACTTTTCCCTCACTTGGTTTTATTGGGAAATACACACATCCCTCCAACATTTTTTCCCTTAAGAAATAGACTGAGTCATATGTAGGGTTAGAGGAAGCCTTTCTTCTGTGATGTGAAGCTGATGAATGTGTGAAGACTTTTAATAGGAAGGGCTGCACTAGGGGACAGGTGGCATAATTCCAGCAGCCCCATAAGACTGACCTTCAAAGTATCCTGCCAGTTCCAACCCACCCTCTGAGATCATACCATTTCATTCAGCCTCTCCATTACTGGTATCTAAACAAACGATCGTTTCAACTTCCACCCACCCATATTCTCATCCAATATCAGATGTAGATGTCCCCATGGCTCTCAATAAAGCCAAAGAATGACTGAAATCTCTATTTAGCCCTGGGAAACAGGCCACGTAATAAGGAAGAGGGAGGTAACTTTCTTAAGTGTCCCACAGTGAAGTCACTTTTGGCTTGGTTCTGATGATATAAATGGCCTGAGTGACTGGATCTTATCATCCCTTCTTCTGACCTTTGTGACCCTGGGCAATGTTAAGGGTTGAATTGTGTTCCCCTCACTCCCAAAATTCCTATGTTGAAGTCCCAACCCCCAGGAGCTCAGCATGTAATTATCATGGGAAATAACATCTTTAAAGAGGTAATTGAGTTAAAATGAGTTCTTTAGGGTGGGCCCTAATCCATTTATTTATAAAAGGAGATTTGGACACAGACATGCATGCCCAGAGGAAAGATCATGGGAGAACACAGCTGGAAGGTGGCCATGTTCAAGCCAAGAAGGGAGGGCTCAGAAGAAATCAAACCTAATGACACCTTGATCTTGGACCTCCGGCATCCAGAACCATGAAAAAATAAATTTCTGTTGTTTTAGCTATCCAGGGTATGATACTTTGTTTTGGCAACCCTAACAAACCAATACAAGCAATTCTTTTTTTTTTTTTTTTTTTTTTTTTTTTTTTTTTTTTTTGAGACAGAGTGTGCTCTATCATCCAGGCTGGAATGCAGTGGCTCAGTCTCGGCTCACTGCAACCTCTGGCTCCCAGATTCAAGCAATTCTGCTGCCTCAGTCTCCCAAGTAGCTGGGATTAAAGATGCCTGCCACTACACCTGGCTGATTTTTGTATTTTTAGTAGAGATAGGGTTTCACCATATTGGCCAGGCTGGTCTTGAACTCCTGACCTCAAGTGATCCACCCGCCTTGGCCTCCCAAAGTGCTGGGATTACTTGCCTGAGCCACTGTGTTTTTTTTGTTTGTTTGTTTGTTTGTTTTTTGAGATAGGGTTTCACTATCACCTAGGCTGGAGTGCAGTGGCACTATCACATCTCACTGTAGCCTCGAGCTCCCAGGCTCAAGCAATCCTCCCACCTCAGCCTCCTGAAAAGCTAGGACCACAGGCATGTACCACCATGCCTGGCTAATTTTTTTAAAATTTTTGTAGAGATGGGGTCTTACTATGTTACCCAGGCTTTTTTCCGCCCCCCAGAGACAGAGTCTCGCTCTGTTGCCCAGGCTGGAGTACAGTGGCACAATCTCAGCTCACTAAAACCTCTGCCTCCTAGTTCAAGCAGTTCTTATGCCTCAGCCACCTGAGTAGCTGGTATTGGAGGCATGCGCCGCCACACTTGGCTAATTTTGGTATTTTCAGCAGAGATGGGGTTTCACCATGTTGACCGGGCTGGTCTCGAACTCCTGACCTCAAGTGATCTGCCAACCTCAGCCTCCCAAAGTGCTGGGATTTCAGGCGTGAGCTACCACACCCGACCTTGTATAGGTAATTCTTAAAGTGGTATAAAAATATGCAACAATAATTCCCCAAGATGAAGTTAAATGAAAACAAAATCAGTCTTCATGTGCATTGTTTTGTAGGGATGGGGGTCTCACTATGTTACCCAGGGTGGTCTCAAACTCCTGGCCTTAAGCAATCCTCCCACTTTGACCTCCCAAAGTGCTGAGATTACTGTGAGACACCACACCTGGCCAAAAAAAAAAAAAAAAAAAAAATCAGTCTTGTTTTGCAATGAAGGGTATTGGATGATGCACAATTGTGTCATGTAAAATGGATTCACTTATTTACAAGTTCTCTAGGTATCCAGCTATCCATGAGAGAAACTGGTGAGTGGTTAATTGATTTTATATCATCTTTGCTACAGAATTCACTGGTGAATAGGGTTCCATGGAATTATATTCATTCTGTGGCTCAGATGAGATTTGGCCCTTTCCCATTGTATCTCAAGATACAGCGGACTGCTTTAGGCAGATTGTATTGAGTTGACTCTGTAGAATTTTTAATATTTGAAACACAAAATTCTAAATATCATCTATTTCAAAAGCAGAAAGAAAAAAATTGTAATATCTCTGCTTGTGTCATTTTAAACTCTGCTTATCTCAATCAATTTGTCACCAAGTCCCATAGATATGACTTTTAAAATAGCCCCCCATCTGTTTCCCTCCACCAATACTGATTGTCACTGCCCCCATTCAAACCGTTATAATTTCTGGCCCATTCTATGATCCACGTAAAAAACCTCTCAGAGGGAATGCAGTACCATGTAATAGTTAAGGAACACAGTTGCTTGAATTAGGGTTCCAGCTCTGCCACTTCTAATTGTGTGACCTCACCCAAGCCTAAGCCTCAAAATCCTCATGAATAAAATTAATAACAGCCCCTCATAGTGCCATTGAAGAATTAAATGAAATAACAAACAGTACTTGGCATAATACATAGTAAAACATTCAGAAAATATTAGGTGCATTTTGTTTTGTTTTGTTTTGAGACAAGGTCTTGCTCTATTACCCAGGCTACGGTACAGTGGCACCACCACGGTTCAGTGCAGCTTCAACCTCCTAGGCTCAAGCAATCCTCCCACTTCAGCCTCCTGAGTAGCTGGGACTACAGGTGTGCACCATGACACCCGGCTAATTTTATTTATCTATCTATTTATTTATTTATTTATTTAGTAGAGATTGGGTTTCCCTATGTTACCCAGGCTGGTCTAAAACTCCTGGGCTCAAGCAATCCACCAGCGTCAGCCTCCCAAAGTTCTGGGATTATAGACATCAGCCACTGTGCCAGCCAAGGTGCATTGTTATTAACATTTTAAAATCCATCACTCTACCATGTTTTACCATGCTCTCTTTTGCATAATTCTACCAGCAAAGATTTTCTCTTGCTTCCCTTTCTTATAATTTATATCATGAAAGCAATAGACATGTTGGATTTTCTTCTTCAGACATCACAGGGTTCTGGCCAAGATTTTAAGGTATTCAGTACGGGGGCCAAACACTTCCCAGTTGAAACTCTGTCCTAACTGACATTTCTCCAGTTCCCCTATTACAACCCATTCTTCCTACTACCCCCACACTCTCAAGTTCTTTTTCTAAAGCACAGAACTCACCTTAACAGCCCTTCAGTGGCCTGTTCTGGTGCATAAGATGAAGCCAAAGGCTTTCACAGAGCCCACAGTGCCTTGGTTAAGCTGACTCTGTCTTCGCCTTCTCATCACCAGCTGTGAGGCCAGCACGTGGCCTAGCGAACAGCAACGTTCCTGGGAAATCCGTGCTGGCTCACAGGCTTGCATCTGCTCCATCAGCATAAGCCTGCTGTGTTAGTTTTCCTAGGACCACTGTAACAAAGAACCACACATTTTCGATGGTGAAAACAACAGAAATTAATTCTCTCAGAGACCTGGGCCCAGAAATCTGAAATCAAAGTGTTGGCCTTGCTCCTTCCAAAAGTTCTAGCGAAGAATCCTTCCTTGCTGCTTCCAGCTCCCTGGTGGCTCCTGGTGTTCCTTGGCTTGTGGCTGCAAAGCTCCAATCTCTGCCTCCAGCTTCACCTGGACTCATTCCCTGTGTTTCTTCTGTGTCCGTGTACCTCAAATTTCCCTTTCTTTTTTCCTTATAATAAGGACACCAGCCATTGGACTTAGGACCTGCCCTAAACCAAGATGATCTCATCTTAAGATCCTTAATTATACCTGCAAAGTCTCTATTTCCAAATAAAGTTATATCCACAGGTACCTGGGGTTAAGACTCGGATGTATCTTCTGGGGGAACACAATTCAACCTGCTACACCTGAAATAGTTGTTTTTTTGTTTTTGTTTTTGAGACAGAGTATCACTCTGTCACCCAGGCCGGACTGTAATGGCGTGATCACAGCTCACTACAGCTTCAACCTCCCAGGTTCAAGCGATTCTCCCACCTCAGCCACCTGAGTAGTTGGGACTTCAGGTGTGTACCAGGCCCGGCTAATTTTTGTATTTCTCGTAGAGTCGGGTTTTCGCCATGTTGCCCAGGCTGGTCTCAAAGTCCTGAGCACAAATGATCTACCCTCCTCGGCCTCCCAAAGTGATGGAATTACAGGCGTGAGTCACTGTGCCTGGCTGTGAAATGGGTTTGCTGTTATCCTTTGATACAGTTCAGAGATCAAAGCTTTGTGGGTGCTGAACGTGACACCTGGTAACAGCCGTTGAGCCAGCCCAGGGTATCATGGGGAGCAAAGTTTTCTGCCAGCTTTCTTGTTTCAGATTCGCTCAGCAATGTTTTTTGTTGGTTTTTGTCCCATGAAAGATTTGTTATTAAGGCAAATTATAGAAAAGAATAAATAATCACATCAATCTCATTACTCTCACATCTTTCTTCCCATATTTAGGTTAGATTTGTTGGGTTTTTTTGTTGTTTTAGTGGGTGAACTTACACTGGATATACAATTTGTATCCTGCTTCTCTCTTACAAACTCAAAATTATTTCCTTTGTATTAATATGCTCACTTTAAATATGTTATCTTAACACATATTAAATGTAGTCTTTACATTTTTCAAAATTATACCTGCACATAACTTAAAGTTAATAAGGCTTGTGACAAAAAGAAAAGTAAATTACAAAACAAAAAACAAAACGACAATCTTTTGTACCATAGCTCGCTCCCATTTCTTGCTACCCAAAGACAACTACTTATTTCAGTGAATTATTTTATTTATTTCCATATATCTCAGTAGCATGTTTATAGCGATATTTCTTGATTTGTCAGTTTTAGACATTATGTATTGGCTGGCTTGCTCCTCTGCGTAGACTACTTCTTTACCTCTTCCCCACTTCCACCATCCCCAAACACATACATGCATGTATGCACACACACATTCCCATGTACACTCACACATACCCATACACACATGCATATGTGTGCTCACTCACACATACAAACACATTCATATACATGTATATACATACACATATATACTCACACACATATATGCACATACACATATACATGCACACACACATCCTATCCCCTGATATTCCTGGCATGTTTAGATATTAATTTTGTTTAGCTCAATAGTCAATATTTACATTGAACCCAGTTGGGCCAGCACTTTTGTTTTCTATGGTATTACTAATTACATTTTTATTTGCTTTGTTTTCTATACATTCATCACAAATGCACCAAGTTCTTCTCCATTGCCTAAATCTCCTTTCAATATATTCTTTCACCCTAATAATTCCTTCTTTTGGAGCTGTCTCCTGGAGCTTGCTGACCTGTCTTCACTTGTTCGGTGGCTCCCTACACCTGCTAAGCGGCTGCCACCCTGGGATCTTCCTTGGCCTCACCCTGAGGATTCCCTTTGCCTCTGCCTTCCGGGGGATCTCCTGTTTCATGGGTCACATGTCTTCTGTTTTGTTTACTCTCTCATTGTGGTGGAACATCTCCTCTCGTAGCTTCCTGACAAAGGATGTTTGGATGGTAAATTCCTAGAGACTCCAAATGTCTGAAAACATCTTCAGTCCATTGCATACTAACGATATTCTGACTGGGAATAGAATTCTAGGTGGAACATTTTTTTTTTTTTTAGTATTTAAAAAAAAGATCCATAGATTTCTAGTCTCCTCTCTTGCTGTTGAGAAATCCAAAATCGTTCTCTGCTAACATCTCCCCACCATCCACCTCTACCTCCAAGCTTATAGGATTTTTCTGTCTGTCTCCAGGGTTTTGTAATTTCATAATGATGTACCAGCCAAGGGCCTGACAGGGAACCAACCATACTCTTAGATGGAATTTCTGGAGACTTTTTAATGAAGGAACTATGTACACAGACCACGATGAAAGGAACCCAAAGGAAGCTAGCAGCACCCTTTGACCTGAAGGTGCGGAGGAAAGAAATATCAGATTCTGGTTGTGAGCTGCTGCTCTGGATCATGGATTGCCCAACAGGAACTGAGCAGCAGCAGTTCTCCTTGCCAGGACTGTGCACAACTTTGTCATAGCCTGCATCATCTGGTTGTGGTGGTTGTGGTGAGAGCAAAATCATATTTATGTCCTCACTTACGTGATCTTCTCCAGTGAGAACTTGGTGCTTGCCAGCTGTGTATTGGTCTCTGGCTTATCAGATCCTCTTCCCTAGATTCTCACAGAATAAATTTTTTTTTTTTTTTTTTTTTTTTTTTTTTTTTTTTTTTTTTTGTGCTGAGGGACAGGGTATGCGTTTTTGTTTTTTGTTTTTGTTTTTTTGAGACGGAGTTTCACTCTTGTTGTCCAGGCTGGAGTGCAATGGCATGATCTCAGCTGACTGCAACCTCTGCTTCCAAGGTTCAAGCAATTCTCCTGCCTCAGCCTCCCGAGTAGCTGGGATTATAGGCTCCCGCCACCATGCCCAGATAATTTTTGTATTTTTAGTAGAGACAGGGTTTCACCATGTTGGCCAGGCTGATCTCGAACTCCTGACCTAGGTGATCCACCCACCTCAGCCTCCCAAAGTGCTGGGATTACAGGTGTGAGCCACCTCGCCTGGCTCATTCTTGCCATTTCTTTCTTCTTCTTTTATTATACTTTAAGTTCTGGGGTACATGTGCAGAACGTGCAGTTTTCTTACGTAGGTATACATGTGCCATGATGGTTTGCTGTACAGAATGGGATAAATGTTTGATGTGGTTACAGGAAGGTGAGATAACTTAGTTGCTGGAACTTGGTGGGAGGAAATAGTTCAGTTAGCCAACAGGGAGGAACTACAGCTCTTGGCCCACTTTTCCAGGGCCCTGTGCAGGTGTCTGTTTGGCAAGAAGTAAACAGACAAGTGGAAGGCCTTAAAGGTAATCCTGCTAAGTAGGACACACATTGGCAGTCCTTGAAGGAAAATATCACTCACTCACAGGTCCCAGGATGGGCCAAGCCCAGTCCTGATAGGGCAGCTGCTGCCTTCTACAGTAGCATCATTGTATGAGCTAGAAAAATGTAGTCCCTTTGTAAAAGGTACTCCCTCTGTAGAGACAATAAAAAAGATGCTCCCTCTGCACAGACCCAGACTGTGGGGGCATGGCTTAGTGAGCAGAGCAGAGCGGAATGCTAACCACCGTTCATTCCCTGGGCCAGACACCTTTTGTCAAATGGACAAACTTTACAACCATGTAAAGCAGCCCTCAGTCCTCATGTAGTGATTCTGACAAATTTTCCATGTATAGACCGTGGCTACAGTAGGGCATCATGACACTGGGGAAAAAGAAAGCTCTATTGTCATCATCCCAGAGCCAGCCCATCCCAGAGCAAAATAACAACAACAAATTTGGGGAAACTAAAATCACAGAAAGATGAATGGTAACCAACTTAGCAGACTCAAGAAAGGTGAATCTTAAGCCAGCAACAGGGAAAAGCCAAAATGCCACCAGAATTATACCATGAATTATATCATGCTCAGATGCAGCCTGTCCCATTTCTCTAGGATGTTCTTTATTTGGAAGCAAGCTTCATCTATGAGCATAATTGCATTGTTCTCCAAGTAAGGCCAACGGAAGCCTGGAAGGGACTCTGCTAGCCATTTCTGTGGCTGTTAGAGCTGACTATGATGGTATAGGGAGCCCGTCCCGCATTTAGCTCCCTTTAATACCTTGGGCAGAGGTAGGATGGAGTAAGGGTGGTTTCATAGGACTAGAAGAAGGATATGGGTTTGAAAACTGTAAATGGGGCTGAAGAAGCTACAAATTTTGGCGTGGAAGAGTTCCAAGGCAAAGTAACCTCTGGCATCCCTTGGTATCCAGGTTTTCAGAAGTGTTGGATCAACAAGCCCATTATACTTCCCAGGAAGCCTGTGGCTGCAGGAACTTGGCAAAACATCAGTCCATGCCTCCTGCTGTTCCTCCTCCCATCCTCCTAGCACCTGAAAGAAAGGTTTTATAAGGATCTCATTTTCCTATTCCTGATAATTTAGCTTATCTAGGAATAAAGAATATCCAGAACAGCAGGTTGTAACTCCAGGTTCTGTGGGCAGCCCCTGTCATGGCGTTGAACTTAACAGCTTGTTGCAGCTCCGTATCAGTACTGGAGAAATTTTCAAGAAGTGAAGTGGAGAAGTGAAGACCTTTACTTTCCCCAATACCTTAGTTGAGGCAGAGTCGACGAGAATCCATTGCATGGTCTATATACCAATTAGAATCCCTGAGACCTGATTTTTCGGAAGGTCCATAGGTAAAAAATGATTTTCATAAGAATACTAAGATATCATGCCTTTTTCACTGCATTGACTTTTGAACTAATGGTACAAAAGCAATATTGGGCAAAACTGCTGGCATAAATCAAGGCAGGACACCAAAATGTACTAAGAGACTAGCAGTCATTGTATTCTTTACTGCCACACATTCACAAGGGGAAAGCCAGTTTCACTTTCAGATGTCCGTGATGAAGCAGCAAAAAGTATTAATTTTATTAAATCTTATTACTTTTTAATATTCTGTATAATGAACTTGGCAGCATGCGTTAAAAAGCATACCAAAGTAACATATTCATTGAAGAAAAACACTTGTGTAATTTTGAGTAGCGAGCTGAACTAGCTTTTTTTTTTCTCATGGAACATGATTTTTTTTAACTTGAAAGAACAACTGAAAGACAAATATTCTTATCCAGATTTGGTTGTTTGACAGGCATCTTTCTTGAAAATTAAAAAAGCAAGACTATCACCTCAAGAAAAACAACTGACAGTGTTTATTGCTAATTACAATATTTGAGCTTTCAAGCAAAAATCACAACTTTGGAAAAATTGTACCTGTACCATTGTACTTAAAGACATTTCTACCTTTAAGTTACTTAAATTGTTTTTCTGAGATTGGTGTTGATATAAATCTTTTTGATGTTTCAATGTTACATAATAAAATGTGTCAACATTTGAAAGATCTACATAACTCAGTGAATCAATACTCTAACATCATGAATGGATAAAAGGTCCATTCAAAGTACAAAATAGACCAATAGGTTGTTCACATAATTGAGTATAAAAGCTCCTTGATACAGTTTCAGATTTCACCTTGCGACTAACCTTTAAGAAACTATCACATGTCATTTGGTATAGTGTCAAAGAAGAATATCTAAAATTTTCTGAAATGGCTATAAAACACTCTCACTTTTCCAACTACTTTTATAAATCTCAGCCTAAACAATGTATCACAGCAGATTGAATACATAAGTAGATGTGAGAATCTAGCTGTCTATAAAGCCAGATATTACATTTGCAAAAACATAACACAATGCATTTCTTCTTTCCAAATTCTTTTGTCTTGGAAAATATAGTTATTTTAAATTAAAATGTTATTCATGTTAAGATATACTAGGTTTAGTATAATTATTTTTAAATGAAGTAATACCCAATTAAAATCTTGTTTTGGAAAATATAGAACCTCAAATTGGGATTTTAAGAATGAGAGGCAAGAGATCACCATGAGATTACAGTGAAATTTTTAAAAATACTCACAGCTCAGTAGAATATGAGGTATTTTAAATTTAATGTACTCTCATCAAATGACTAATTCACCAAGGAGGTTTTAAATGATGATAATTTCAGGCAGGAAGTTTAATAGCGCTGGGGACAGTGGTTTGGGCAATGATAGACCAATGAAGGAGATGATTTTTGGAGAGAGGCCCTGGAAATTTCATCTGTGTAGAGGACACCTATTTGTATCCATCTAATATGCAAATATTCTTTTAGGGATTAATTAATATTCAGTATAAAAAGACAAATTACATATAAAATTTGAGTTTTTACAACTGTGTTGACAATTTTTTTCTTCTGATGTTTTTCTCTGTCTTTCATGGAGCTTGAAAATCAGTAATTCTTTTTCTAATATATTTTCAGTTTTCATGTTTGATTTCAAAACTTGGGTTATTGGACAGGGAGAAGCTTTAAAAAATGATTCTTCTGTTGTTTAATACAATTTTTTTAAAAGCAATCATTTTAGAAACTATTCCTAAAATCATATTTTATCAACAATAATTTCAAACATCTGTTGTACATATCTCAATTTAACTACTAAGAATTTAGCTATTTACTTTCCTTTATGCTTAGGTATTCTGAAATGGTTATAAGATTGCTTTAAACTGTTTCAAACACAATCAGGTATTTGAAAATTAGCGCTTCATGGCCAGGTGCAGTGGCTCACACCTGCAATCCCAGCACTTTGGGAGGCCAAGGCGGGAGGATCACTTGAGCCTGGGAGTTCGAGACTAGCCTGGGCAACATAGCAAAACCTTGTCTCTACAAAAAATACCAAAAAAAAAAAAAAAAAGCCAAATGTGGTGGTACACGCCTGTAGTCCCAACTACTTACGAGGCTGAGGCTAGAGGATCAATTGAGCCCAGGAGGTCGAGGCTGCAGTGAGCTGTAATCATGCCAGTGCACTCTAGCACTCCGGCCTGGGGAAGAGAGAGACCCCATCTCTTAAAAACAAAAGAAAATAAAACAAAACAAAATTAGTGCTTTATGGCTTATGTATAGAGAGTTGGTTATATCTAGCATGAATTCTATAGGTATTTTTAAAGACAAATCAAGACATTTACAGTCCTGTAAATTTTAATATCCCTAAAAGCTTGGAATTGTAGTTATAGCTGCCACTTCACTTCAAAAGAACTGACAAACTAAAAAGAAGAGAGGAAGTCAGGGCTGGGCGCCATCTTGGGGAGACAGTCACAGGGGTTTGGGAAGCTTCAGAAGGCTAATAGCCCAGGGATGTTTCCACTTCCTGAGTTCCATCCTTATCTTTCCTGACTTCCAGGGGCTATAATTTGGAGGCTGCATTCCACAAAAGAATCCTAAACCCCCGTGAAGTAACTGTGAAATGCCATGCCTTAGCATAGAGCTGAGGCCAGGGTAAACATATGGCCCAGGTAAGAATAGAGAAGAATTGTAAACAAGCTTAAATTATGTTTTCCCATCTTAGTTTTATTTTGGTATGTCTATGACACAATATTAGAAACATAGTAAAATTCAACAAAATGTTGAATAAGGGCAAATATGGAATCTATCTAGGAGACTAAAGATATTTGGTTTTATGTGTCTAAACTTGAAAATAAATTGGAAGTTTCCTAGATGCTGTGGGCCACGGCTAATATCCAGTTACTGTCAATCGCTTAGGAAACAGGGGAGTCCATTTTGACAGATTACATTCCATGATTCAGGAAGCTTAATTAGACAAAGGAGAAATGCTCTGCACTAATCTAGTTCATGAACAATTTCTTTAATCACAGAGTCTTTAACTCTATGCCAGGACATTTTATAGTCCTCACGATGCAAAATGCATGAAAGCCTTCTTGGGTTGCCTTTTATTCTATTTCCTTTTTGACTATTAATTTTTCCATACTTGATTAGTTTTAACAAAGAAAATACTTTAACATATATCCGTCTTAAAATATAAAGTAACACAAAAATGTTTTTTTGAAAGTGACCATTTTTCCTCTTTCATTCTATGATCAAAAAAATTGTTTTTCTTTGAATCACTTCAAACACCAGAGCATCTGTTTTAAATATAATGCTTTTGGTAGATTTTCCTCCCTGATTGTTGTAAAGTAATACATCTGCTTATTGGTTCATCTTGAATTCCAGATAAAATGATGTCTGATTCTTTTTAAAATTAAAATATATGAGGAAATGATATATGATTATATTATTCATATTTAGAGTACTATATTTATAGGTATATACTTTTGTGGTAAAACTTCAGGATACTGGCTAGCTCCTGGGAAGGAGGAAAAAGAAAAGATGGACTTCAGCTGTATCAGTAACATTTTATTTCTTTAATAAAAAGAAAAACCTAAAGCACTTATGACATGGTATTAACATCTATTAAATCTAGTGTAGGATGTAGAGGTCATTTGCAACTGCCCCAAGAACAGCCACCAAAACCTTACGAATAAAGCCAGTGTTAAATTTGTATGAACTGTAAAGTATAAAAAATGAGAGAAATGAAGATCAAAAACAAAAGATATCATGGTACAATGGGAAAAGACCTAGCTTTAAATTCCTAGCTATGTTACTTTTTTTTTTTTCCAAGACGGAGTCTCGCTCTGTCACCCAGGCTGGAGTGCAGTGGTGCGGTCTTGGCTAACTGCACCCTCCGCCTCCCAGGTTCACGCCATTCTCTTGCCTCAGCCACCCGAGTAGCAGGGACTACAGGCACCCACCACCACGCCCTGCTAATTTTTTTTTTGTTTTTTTGTATTTTTAGTAGAGTCGGGGTTTCACCGTGTTAGCCAGGATGGTCTCGATCTCATGACCTCGTGATCTGCCCGCCTCAGCCTCCCAAAGTGCTGGGATTACAGGCATGAGCCACCGCGCCCGGCCGCTATGTCACCTTTTAGATACGACTTAGAACAAGCTATTGAATCACTCTGACCCTCAATTTTCCCATTTGTAAAAAGGAATTCAGTAACACATATGTTGCAGATTACGGGGAGTATTATGTATTATACATGTAGAATGTAAAATGATTATCTTGCCCTTGCATAATCTACATAGAATGAGGGTCAACATTATATACAGATTCATCATCAATGATTATCAACAGATAGGTAAAGACATAAAATTCACTTCTACATTGACTTCTAGATCTATTGAAATAAACATTTTTAAAGTTCCAACAAACATATTCATAAGCAAAACACTGTAACAGTAATCAAAGCAGTGAGGTGCTAGTGTGAAAATAGATTATATAATAATGAGTCTGAATACAGAGAAGAGTTCAAATAGAAGATGAAAAATGAAATAAGCTATATATTGAAAGGGGGTAATTGGAGAAAACTTTCCTTTAATTATTATTCATTTTATGAAGGAAAAACAACAGGAAATCAATGGAACTGTGGTAGTCAATGGAACTCAGAGGGGAGGAAAAAAAGGAAAATTAATCATTGCTTTCCCAAGTGATATCTCTTATTAAAGCTCAAACAGAAGTTATTTAAGGTTACACAGCTAGCAAGCGGGAGAACCTCAAAGCTAGGTTTAATTTCATTCTTAAATCTGTACTTTTTCATTATTCTATAAAAATATTGCCTCTCTGGACCTAATTCTGATCAATACAAAGGATTCTTCCCCAATTCAAGGTCACCCCAACAATGTAAGTTACAGGCATAGATCTTTCTTCTTCAGATTGCCCAACTATTAACTGTTGAACCAAAACAGCCACATTCATTTTTAGAAAAAAAAAATCATCAAATCTAATTCATAGAAAGCAATTTTTTTTTTTTTTTTTTTTTTTGGAAACAGAGTTTTACTCTGTCACCCAGGCTAGAGTGTAGTGGTGCAACCTTGGTTCACTGTAACCTCCACCTCCTGGGTTCAAGTGATTCTTCCTCAGCCTCCCGAGTAGCTGGGACTCCAGGCATGTGCTACCACACCCGGCTAATTTTTTGTATTTTTAGCAGAGACGGGGTTTCATCATGTTAGCCAGGATAGTCTCAATCTCCTGACCTCATGATCCACCCACCTTGGCCTCCCAAAGTGCTGGGACTACAGGCGTGAGCCACCGCACCCGGCCTCATAGAAAGCAATTTTCTAACTGCTCCCAGAAATACCTAGAAGGATCCACATTCTATTTCTCTTGAGATTGAATCGAGGGAGCTCTAGTAACATTTATTGAGCATCTGTTATAACTAGATAGTGCACAATTGGCTCTCCATGGTCACAGATTTTGAATCTGTGGACTCAACTGACCATATACAGAAAAGATTTTTTAAAAAAATAAATAATAGTGCAACAATAAAAATAATACAAATAAAAAACGACATAGCATAACAACTATTAACATAGTGTTTACATTTTATTAGGTATTACAAGTAATCTAGGGATCATTTAAGGCACACAAGAGGGGCCAGGTGCTGTGGCTCAGGCCCGTAATCCCAGCACTTTGGGAGGCAGAGGCAGGAGGATCACCTGAGGTCAGGAGGAGTTCAAGACCAGGCTGGCCAACATGGTGAAACCACATATCTACTAAAAATACAAAAATTTTGCTGGGTGTGGTGGCACACAGCTGTAGTCTCAGCTGTTCAGGAGGCTGAGGCACGAGAATCATTTGAACCCAGGAGGCAAAGGTTGCAGGGAGCCGAGTTCACACCACTGCACTCCAGCCTGGGTGATAAAGCAAGCCTCTATCTCAAAAAATAAAAATAAATAAATAATAAAGTACACAAGAGGATATACAGAGGTTATATGCAAATACTATGCCATTTTATATCAAGGACTTGAGCATCCATAGATTTTGGAATCTGCAGCATTCCTGGAACCAATCCCCTCACAATATGACTGTGACTGTATATGTTTTGCCCCTTAGCATTACTCCTTATAACGACCAAGCTCAGACATTTTGTTTTAGAGATGAGGAAACAGAAGTCAAAAAGGAAGTCAATCAGTACATACAGCTATTTGGGAGAAGATTTATACCCAAGTGCTCTGAGGACAGAATACATTCAATAACTTAGTAGCTTTGAGCCATAATTCCTTTCCTAGGGCAGCATCCCAGCAGGGTTTGCAAGGGATTCCTGTCACTCTAGGTTATATTATACTGTTTGACACTTCAAAGCATTTCCTAGTATTAAAACATTGTAGGAAGAGATGATACGTGAATCTCCACCTACTAACATTATGCTCTCCATGCCCCTCAATGACTTGTTAGCTAAAATGCACACAGAGATTAAGTGGTCCAGAAGGCCGAGATGGCCTTTTGTTTATTTGCTTGTTTTTGCTAGAAGGGGTTTATCTTAGTCCATTTTGTGCTGCTGTAACGGAAGACTACAGATGGGTAATTTACAATGAACATAAATTTATTTGGCTCACAGTTCTGGCGGAAAGGAAGTCCAAAATTGAGGGGCTGTTGTCTGATGAGGGCCTTTGCTCTCCATCATCCCATGGTGGAAGATGGAAGGGCAAAATAGGGTGAAAGAAGGAGATGGCTGAATTTGTTCTTTTATAAGGAACTCACTCCCTTGATAATGAACCCACTCCCAAGAGAAAGACACTAATCCATTCATGAGGTGGTACTCCCATGACCCAAACACCTCCTATTAGGCCCCATTTCCCAGCAATACCACATCAGGAATCAAGTTTCCAACACACGAACCATGGAGAACACAGTAAAATCATAGCACAGGTTGTCTCCTCTGAGTCCCTGATGATAGAGAGCAACTACTTCAGCTGAATCACTGCAAACCAGACTCTGCTGGTCAACAGTCTCTATCCAGTGAAAAACATTTCAAATTCCTGGAGAACATGACTATTCCATGAGACACTCAGTATCTAGACCCTGTAAAGACCAAGATTTTAAAACTAATCATCTATGACTAGTATGCCAAGCTGCATATTAAATCCTTGTGGCAACAATTTGACTTCAGAGGGCCAATATGAATGACACCAATTCAGGCCAGTGTATTCAAGGGCAAATAAGAATTTAAGAAATTATGTAAAAATTATGGAAGAAAATGCTTTCCCACCCACCCATTCTTGTTCATAGCTGATTGTTCTATGTTGTAAATGGAGTTTGCATCTCATTCAATTGGAATGTAGTGCCATAAACTTCTAATTTGAATTGAAATCTCTGTAATAAAACAAATACATGCCACAGGACAGACTCAGACAGCAAAAGGGCACCAGTGTCATTTGTTGGTCAGTAACCTCCAATTGCAAGGAGTAATAGCTATATATTGGACAGTTAACATAGTTCACAATAACTAAACTTTATCCTAGCTTTTCTAAAGTATTTCTGTAAAATGATTTTATATTATAATGACATCTGGCTAGCAGTTTCCCATTTAGCTTGTCTACTTCTTACTAAAAAGACTATGAAGACAAAGAAAACAAAAGACAAAAATTAATCACAAACTAAATCAAATAAGTATCTTCTAATTTAAATGATCTGTTTTATTTGCCTAGAAATATGCATTTTTGTCTTCAACCCTACAATTAAAAATGTTTCCAAGATATATTTAATTATGGATTTCTTTTCATTAATTTTGCTCAGGAATATTTTCCTACCTTGCAGCTTTAATTGTTTCGATTTTTCTACTTGTTCTGGGTCTCTTCTGTAGGATAACTGGTTTACAATAAAACCAGAAGAGTCTGTGAGTCTCTTCTACAGCTATCATTTTCTCTTTAATCATTAACCTTTTCTTCAGCATTTTACAAGAACATATCCATTTTGTATTCTACTTTATTGATGAGATTTCCCACAGTCTGAATTTTCTCCTCAAATGTGAATTTTAATTACCATGTTTTAGATTCCTTGTAGCCATTTTTATCTGCTACTTTTTTTTTGAGACAAGGTCTGTATTAGTCCGTTTTCATACTGCTATGAAAAAACACTTGAGACTGGGTAATTTACAAAGAAAAAGAGGTTTAATGGACTCACAGTTCCACATGGCTGGGGAGGCCTCACAATCATGGCAGAAGGTGAAGGAGGAGCAAAGGCACATCTTACATGGTGGCAGGCAAGAGAGCATGTGCTGGGGAACTGCCCTTTATAAAACCATCAGATCTCCTGAGACTTAATCACTATCATGAAAACAGCATGAGAAAAACCTCCCCCCATGGTTCAATTACCTCCCACTGGGTACCTCCCACAACATGTGAGGATTATGGGAGCTACAATTCAAGATGAGATTTGGGTGGGGACACAGCCAAAACATATAATTCTGCCCCTGCCTCCTCCTGAATCTCATGTCCTCACATTTCAAAACCAATCATGCCTTCTCAACAGTTCCCCCAAAATCTTAATTCATTTTAGCATTATCTCAAAAGTCCCTTTTTCCTATCAGCCTGTAAAATCAAAAGCAAGTTAGTTACTTCCTAGATATAATGGGGGCACAGGCACTGAGTAAATACACCCATTCCAAATGGGAGAAATTGGCCAAAACAAAGGGGCTAAAGGCCCCATGCAAGTCTGAAATCTAGCAGGGCAGTCAAATCTTAAAGCTCCAAAATAATCTTCTTTGACTCCATGTCTCACATCCATGTCACGCTGATGAAAGAGGTGGGTTCTCATGGTCTTGATCATTTCCACCCCTGTGGCTTTACAGGGTACAGCCCCAGTCCTGGCTGCTTTCACAGGCTGGCATTGAGTGTCTGTGGCTTTTCCAGGTGCTGGGTGCAAGTTGTCAGTGGCTTTACCATTCTGGGATCTGGAGAAAGTAGCCCTCTTCTCACAGCTCCACTAGGCAGTGCCCCAGTGGGAACTCTGTGTGGGAGCTCCCACCCCACATTTCCCTTCTACGCTTCCCTAGCAGAGGTTCTCCATGAGGGCTCCCCTCCTGCAGCACACCTCTACCTGGACATCCAGGTGTTTCCATACATCCTCTGAAATCTAGGCAGAGGTTCCCAAACCTCGACTCTTGACTTCTGTGCACCCACAGGCTCAATACGACATGGAAGCTGCCAAGGCTTGGGGTTTGCACCCTCTGAAGCCACAGCCCGAACTGTACCTTGGCCCTTTTTAGCCACAGCTGGAGTGGCTGGGATGCTGGGCACCAAGTCCCGAGGCTGCACACAGCAGGGGGGCCCTGGACTGAGCCCAGGAAACCATTTTTCCCCCTAGGCCTCCAGGCCTGTGATGGAAGCAGCTGCCACAAATGTCTCTGACGTGCCCTGGAGATATTTTCCTGATTGTCTTGGTGTTTAACATTTGGCTCCTTGTAACTTATGCAAATTTCTGCAGCTGGCTTGAATTTCTCCTCAGAAAATGGGTTTCTCTTTTCTACTGTATCATCAGGCTACAAATTTTTCAAACTTTTATGTTCTGCTTCCTCTTGAACACTTTGCCACTTAGAAATTTCTTCTGCCAGATACCCTAAATCATGTCTCTCAAGTTCAAACTTCCACAGATCTCTAGGGTAGGGGCAAAATGCCACCACTCTCTTTGCATAGCAAGAGAGACCTTTATTCCAGTTCCCAGAAAGTTCCTCTTGTCCATCTAAGACCACCACAGCCTGGACTTTATTGTCCATGTCACTATCAGCATTTTGGTCAAAGCCATTCAACAAGTCTCTAGGAAGTTCCAAACTTCCCCACATCTTCCTGCTTTCTGAGCCCTCCGAGTCTCTAGGAAGTTCCAAACTTTCCCAGATTTTCCTATCTTCTTCTCAGTACTCCAAACTGTTCTAACCTCTGTCTGTTACCCAGTTCCAAAGTTGCTTCCACATTTTCAGGTATCTTTACAGCAGCAGCCCACTCCTAATACCAATTTCTGTATTAGTCCATTTTCATACTGCTATGAAGAAATACCCAAGACTGAGTAATTTATACAGAAAAAGAGGTTTAATGGGCTCACATTTCCACATGGCTGGGGAAGCTTCACAATCATGGCAGAAGGTGAAGGAGGAGCAAAGACATATCCTACATGGCAGCAGGCAAAATTGTGTGTGTAGGGGACCTGCCCTTTATAAAACCATCAGACCTCATGGACTTATTCACTATCATGAGAGAACAGCACAGGAAAAAAAACCTGCCCCCATGATTCAATTACCTCCCACCAAGTCCCTCCCATGACACATGGGGATTATGGGAGCTACAATTCAGGATGAGACTTAGCTGAGGACACAGCCAAACTGTATCAGGGTCTCACTCTGTTGCCAATGCTGGAGTACAGTAGTGCAATCATGGCTGACTGCAATCTTGAACTGCCGAGTTCAAGTGATCCTCCCACCTCAGCCTCCCGTGTAGCTGGGACAACAAGCTACAACTCCTGAGCTCACTGATCCTCATACCTAGGCCTCCCAAAGTGCCTGGCCTTATCTGATATTTATATATACTCACCTCCCACTAAAATGCCAGCAGATAATCAAACAGGGATTATTTCAAATAATTCCAGCCAAATTGCCTGTCAGAAATGGAGGCAAGAACTTCATACTTCAAGAGATACAAATGCTTAGAAGATGTACTATCCATATATTCTTTCTGGAAAAAAAATGGATTAATATCTCCATTTTATTTTTATGCAAACAGCTAATGAGAGGTAGAAAAGAAGTAAAATAATGGCAGGGGAACATCCTGTTGCATATCCAACTCTCTGGTAATCAAAGAAATAGGTTTAAGGGATACTTTTGAAAATTTTCAAAGCACATACTAAAATTCCAAAATGTTACAAAGGTAAAAGCAAACAAACATAGTCTATACAGCAAAAGATAGAAAACAGAGAGAGGAAAATGGCCAAACAGGAAAACATAGAAAATCTCAGAAGCAAATAAATAAACAAATAAATAAATCTACCATAAGAAATGTAAATTGAATCACCTTCCTTAGGAAATTGAAAAATCCTTCTGATGTATCAGAAAACAAAGCTCCATTTCTATGAAAAAATTTTGAAGCAAGAAATGTATTAAAATGGCTAAAATAAGACTATGAGCAAAGATACAAGCTAATATGAAAAAATAAAGCAAGAGTAATATTAATATCAGATAAATTTGAACTAAATGCAAACAACATGAATTGGGCCTAAGAAGAAAATTCATATTAACAAAAGATCTATTACAAAATGAAAGAATAATATTCATGAGTATTTATATACATTTTAATGAAACATAGAAAGAAATAGACACTGACAATAGCACAACCCTATTAAGAAATATTTGCATTGTTTTGGTTGAACTACTAAAAGCTTTTAACAAGCTATTACTATTGATTGTAGACAATATATGGTGTTTGAGGTACTTTAGAGACATAATTTTCGTGTATATGTGAATGAAAGTTCCTGAAGAATGCTCAGATCAGTGGAAGGGGTGGCCTAGAACAAGCCAACTCTTAAGAGTTCTGAGATAAACAGTGACCAGATATTTTAAAAGCCTAAAGAATTATGTGATATCATAAATAGTTGTGCTGATCTAAAGCATATGCTGCATCCTATAGGAAAATATCCTAATTGTGCAGGATTTTTTCTCCCAGCTCCCTTTAACAAGTCACTCACTGCTTCTATGGTACATGGTACTACTAGTGAATTTCTTAGGCACATGCCCTTTAACATAATTCTTTCACCATTTCTTGGTCAGAAATGTTGTATGGAGTACCATGACAATAAATAGAGCAGTCTATAAAGCCACAGGAATTTGTATGCATGTACTTGAGGATAAATTGTTACCCCTTCTAGAATGACGACGGCAGGTCACCTTGGGAAATGGTGCCATATCAGGACCTTAGCACTGGTCTCATTTATTGGTAGGGTAGACAATCATCAGAGTAAGCAAAATTAGCGTTGGTAAGGGGAAATCCACACTCTAAGCCCACGTATAATTTTCAACCCTGCCAACATGGTCACTTTGTGCATAAATTCATCAAACAAGTCATTGAAGGAAAGAGGCTAGCTGATTTCCACAGAATGGATCATCTTGTCAACCTAAATTCTGAGATCTCCCTCTATAGTAGGTACCATGTGATAAGACACAGATATCTTCGCCCATTTTGGCCATTCTGTAAGGTCCATCCACATATCTCATGTCATCAGTTCTGGACTTTTCATGTCTCATATATGCTGGCTGAACAGTCAGAGTTTATTTCCCATCATTTGGCATGCATATATCTTACTAAGGCATGTAGGCCACTTTTTACATCCTGCTTACCAAATCAAATTAGCATAAGGTCACGTATATAACAAACCAGCATGATGTTCTGTGATATATCAAGATCCCCAAGCTCTGCCAGACTGTAAGATAATAGATATCAGGAGAGTCAGCATAGCACAAAGTCAAGGCAGTGAAGGGATACTATTCTCCCTACCATTGGGAGGCTAAGGCAGGTGGATCACTTGAGGTCAGGAGTTCAAATCCAGCCTGGCCAACATGGGGAAACCCCACCTCTACTAAAAACACACAAAAAAAATTAGCCGGGCATGGTGGCAGATACCACCAGTTACTCAGGAGGCTGAGAAAGGAGAATCACTTGAACCCGGGAAACGCAGGTTGCAGTGAGCTAAGATGGCGCCATTGCACTCCAGCCTGGGTGACAGAGCAATACTCAGTCTAAAAAATAAAAAAATAAAAAATAAATAAATTTGCTAATAATTGTAATTACGCATTAGAATTAGAATTGAACAAAATCCATTTTCCAGGTCAATAGTTTCATCTAAAAATGCCAGGAAATGTGTTAATTTGCTCCAGTAGAACTATCACATTTGCTCTCTGACAGCAACTGCAGTCAGAAATACTGCTGGCAATAACTTCAGTAATCATGATGCCACTGCATGCAGCAGTTACCATATTTTCATCCTCCACCATAACCCCAAGCTGGGAGGTTATTTTCATCAAATAAGAGAATAATCTTGTCCAAGAATTCTTATCCACAGGGTTTGATTATGGGACCAGTTTTGGTTCCTGGTATCAGTCAGAGTTCTGATAATAAATAGAATCCATCTCAGTAGCTAAAATTAAGAATTTCAATTAAAACACTACTTATAAATATATGGGCAGTGTTAATAGATTTTGAGGTACCCAGAGTTAGCATTAACAGGGAGCCATTAGGTCTGAGAGACAAAGGGCGGAAATAGTGTTACTGGAGCCCAGTGAGAAGAGAGTTGCCAGTGGGGAGCTGTATTTATGGACAGTCACAGCTGTTGCTAGAAATGTAGCACTGAAGTGGAAAGGATCAAGGAATAAATATTCTGAGCTTTCTCTCATCTCACCTTCTTATCTCCATCAGCCAAACCTAGTGCGAAGTTGGTAGCAAGGGAGCCTTGGAGATACATCAGGAAGAGGTCACTTTTCCAAGGTAAGTAACAGTGCAGAGAAGGGTAAATAATGAATATGAGGGTGAGGAAGCAAACACATTATAATTAGAACAAAAATGCATGTAGAAATAAGGTTTATGTGGCCCTGCTTTTAGATAGCAAGAACTAAAACAGATGATCTATCCAAATATGGTCTTCATGAAGAAATTTCTACAAATGATTTTCTTTTTTTTTTTTTTTTTTTTTGAGATGGAGTCTCTGTCACTCACGCTGGAGTACAATGGCACGATCTCGGCTCACTGCAACCTCCGCCTCCCGGGTTCAAGAAATTCTCTTGCCTCAGCCTCCCGAGTAGCTGGGACTGCAGGCGCCCGCCAGCACGTCCAGCTAATTTTTGTATTTTTAGTATACACAGGGTTTCACCATGTTGGCCAGGCTGGTCTCAAATTCCTGACCTCAGGTAACCCACCCGCCTTGGCCTCCCAAAGTGCTGGGGTTATAGGCATGAGCCACTGCGCCCAGCCTGCAAATGATTTTTTTTTTTTTTTTTTTTTTTTTTTGCTATGTGTTAGGTACTGTTTTTTTTTTTTATACTTTAATTTCTAGGGTACATGTGCACAACGTGCAGGTTTGTTACATATGTATACATGTGCCATGTTGGTGTGCTGCACCCAGTAACTCGTCATTTACATTAGGTATATCTCCTAATGCTATCCCTCCCCCCTCCCCCCACCCCACAACAGGCCCCAGTGTGTGATGCTCCCCTTCCTGTGTCCAAGTGTTCTCATTGTTCAATTCCCACCTATGAGTGAGAACATGCGGTGTTTGGTTTTTTGTCCTTGCGATAGTTTGCTGAGAATTATGGTTTCCAGCTTCATCCATGTCCCTACAAAGGATATGAACTCATCCTTTTTTATGGCTGCATAGTATTCCATGGTGTATATGTGCCACACTTTCTTAATCCAGTCTATCATTGTCGGACATTTGGGTTGGTTCCAAGTCTTTGCTATTGTGAATAATTCTGCAATAAACATACGTGTGCATGTGTCTTTATAGCGGCATGATTTATAATCCTTTTGGTATATACCCAGTAATGGGATGGCTGGGTCAAATGGTATTTCTAGTTCTAGATCCTGTCTTCCACAATGGTTGAACTAGTTTACAGTCCCACCAACAGTGTAAAAGTGTTCCTATTTCTCCACATCCTCTCCAGCACCTGTTGTTTCCTAACTTTTTAATGATCGCCATTCTTACTGGTGTGAGATGGTATCTCACTGTGGTTTTGATTTGCGTTTCTCTGATGGCCAGTGATGATGAGCATTTTTTCATGTGTCTGTTGGCTGCATAAATGTCTTCTTTTGAGAACTGTCTGTTCATATCCTTTGCCTACTTTTTGATGGGGTTGTTTGTTTTTCTCTAGTCAATTTGTTTGAGTTCTTTGTAGATTCCGGATAGCAGCCCTTTGTCAGATGAGTAGATTGCAAAAATTTTCTCCCATTCTGTAGGTTGCCTGTTCACTCTGATGGTAGTTTCTTTTGCTGTGCAGAAGCTCTTTAATTAGATCCCATTTGTCAATTTTGGCTTTTGTTGCCATTGCTTTTGGCATTTTAGACTGCAAATGATTTTCTACGATGATTTGTAATAGACAACTACTATTTGGTCAACACAACCCAATACCTTTTCTGAGAATTCCATCCTCCTTTACCCATCCATCTATGCAGTCTGAAGAACTAAGTCGGTAAAAGGCAAGATAAAGAATAAAAGCAGATGTGCAGTGAGCATGTGGGAAAAAATGGGGGAAGCACATGGATAGAGCAGTTGCTTCTTAGGCTACCCCAGAAACACAGCGTCATATTGCTCTCGCATTCCTAGAATGAGATTTCCTAAAATCCTTCAAACAAATCCATCCCATTTTCTTAAGCTTAATTAGTTTAGGATCTGTTCTTTAGAATCCTAATAGATCTTCATTATAAATGCATAGTTAGGGTCAACACAACTTTATTCGTTGATATATCTCGTCAATTCAAATTTGTACCAATGTGTCCTTTCTTAATTTTAGGTGGTTCTTTTTGGAAAATGTGAGAAGCTAATGAAAACTAAAAGAAACATGACATATATTGAATAGAGAAGAGCCAAAGAAGAGAAGAGCCAAAAAAAAAAAAAGTTAGAAACCAAGGGGGCACAGTTTTCTACTATAACAGAATAACCCATTACATCTGCGTAGGCAGTTCTAGGAATACACCAACTGCAATATATACATGAAATTCTCTATGGGAGGTAGATAATTTCTTGTAGATTTTTAAAATGGTAGAGTGTTTGACTCACAACCCGTTTGATTTTGCTTTGCCAATGTATTCACACACCAGAAATTAATGGAGGCCTCTTTTCTTCTCAAAACTCCACAAAGACCAGTGACCTTAAAAAAATCTATATATTTACCACTGGTGGAACTGAAATTAAAATGCATATTCTTGGGGAGGCCAGGCACAGTGGCTCACGCCTATAATCCCAGCACTTTGGGAGGACAAGGTGGGTGGATCACTTGAGGTCAGGAATTTAACACCAGCCTGGCCAACGTGGTGAAACCCCCATCTCTATTAAAACTGCAAAAATTAGCCGGGCATGGTGGCAGGCAGGTGGCAGGTGGGAGAATCGCTTGAACCCAAGAGATGGAGGTTGCAGTGAGCCAAGATCCTGCCACTATACTCCAGCCTGGCTGACAGAGTTAGACTCCATCTCAAAAAAAAAAAGAAAAAGAAAAAAGAGACACTTATTTATTAGAATGAATATCCTCAAGAAAATAACATCATTCTAATGTTCTCTCCTAAATCTAAGCTTAGTGCAAGAAAATAAACTTAATTTAATAATTGGCCATATAAATTCAGTTTGGATATATGCCAAGAAACATATTTATTACATTCTGATCCTGCCCCAAGAAAGGTTAAAATGATTTTGCTTGGTTGGTTGTGTTTAGTTAGTGGGAGAATGTTTGCTCTTCTTCTATATTGCTATCATAAAACACACTGATCATTGTCTGTAGCCATTTGGTTTTGCTGTTTATAGTTGAGAGATGTTGCAATATTAAGTAGGGACGTCTCTGTCACAGAAATTATTTGAACCGTAAAT
Source organism: Homo sapiens (assembly GCF_000001405.40). Classification (NCBI taxonomy): domain Eukaryota; kingdom Metazoa; phylum Chordata; class Mammalia; order Primates; family Hominidae; genus Homo; species Homo sapiens. The sequence continues at coordinate 111,127,965 of NC_000009.12, forward strand.
GGTTATTTACAAATAAAGCCAGTTTATTCATCTGTGTTTTGTTTATGTTGCTAATTATCAGAGCTAAATGAATCTTTTCCTTTAGACATTTCCTGAGTCCCAAGTTCCCTTCAGGTAGATTTTAAATACCAGAGAATTTATTTTTCACTAACCACCATGAGCAAATACTTAACCTAATTTCCAAACTATCACTTTGTGATTGTTGTCCCCTTATCATTCCCTAATATCGTAGAATCGACATTAAAAATAAGGAGATTTTAAATTCAGTGGAATAAACACTGAATATTTTCATGGGCTAGACCCTGTGCTAGTCATTTAGGGTGCAAAAATGCATGTAGTTCATGGTATATTTGGAGATGAAAGGAAACTAGGGGATCCATAAATGTTGGCCTCTCTTTTTCATGAAGTCAAGACAGTGTTCAGAGTAGAAGGCAGTGGCGAAGAAAAGCAGACTCAAGTTAAAGGAAAGGCTTAAGAAAAAGAACAAAGTTTAGGATTTGCAATTAAAATAAAGGCGAGCATTAATTGAGTACTATGTGCCAGGGAGTAGAAAAATTGCTCCACATAAATTGCCTTTTTAATTCATAAAACAATCTTTTAATGTAAGTACTATTGTTCTCATTTTAGAGATTAAGAAACTGAGGTTCAGAGAGTTTAAAGGGTTTGCCAAGGTCACACAAGCCTAGTGAATCGTGTCTGTAAAAGCAGTTGACTAGAAAGCAGTAAAGAATTGCTGCATGGCACTATGAATTATACTCAGTTTAACATCTATGAATTTACAGTAACACAAATCTGCAGAACTACACCAATTTTTCTAGCAAGACTTAGCAACACACACACACAAAAAAAAGAATGAAGACAGCTCATTGTTGCATTCATCTGAGATCGATTGGGCTGGCCTGGTGGTTGTGGCTAAAGTGCCATGGTAGCAAAAGAATTGCATGTGCTGAAGAGTCCTGTGAAAATGAATATTAGATTAGGAAGAGGAGATAGTGCCACCAGCTGAGTTCTGATTTATTAGAAAAATTGAGCTGGATTGATAGGCTATAGGATTCAACAAAGACAAAAGCGAGATTGAACAGAGGTCAGGAAGTGAAAAAGATGAAAGAATAACAACTGCTATTCTTGTGTTGTGTAATTGTGTTGTTCAAATTAGACTAAAATTTTTTTTATTCCATGACACAGTCTTAGGAGGTCCTGAGAACATGGGCCCCCCAAATTAGATTTTAAATGTAGAGTTAAGGAAGTTAAAATGGTTGACTCCCACAACTTTCAACTCATCCCAAATGATTACACTAAGCTAAGCATGGTAATCCCAGTCTCACTACTACGGGCTGATTTAGGACTAGGCCAATAATCTGTAAGTCTTGGTGTTATGAGGGAAATTTCGAGGAGCTTCTGGGAAATGTTTTCTTAACTATAGAAAGGAAACATTGGAAAAAATCAGCTCCAATTCTTCATTTGGATGATATAGTGTCTTGTTGCTTTGCCTGAAACTATTGCAGCTATCTTACTACCAATTGAAAGATAAAGCCACTGCAGAGAGGAAGACAGAGCCCAAGGGAGTACTAGAAAAACAAAATCAGAACCCTCATGGATATACCTGAAGCTGCTTTATGTCTGAATTTCTTATTATGTGAGTTATAAACTCCTTTTTATAGTTATACTTTAAGTTCTGGGGTACATGTACAGAATGTGGAGGTTTGTTACATAGGTGTACACATGCCATGGTGGTTTGCTGCACCCATCAACCCATCATCTACATTTTAGGTATTTTTCCTAATGCTATCCCACCCCTTGACAGGCCCCAGTGTGTGATGTTCCCCTCCCTGTGTCCATGTGTTCTCATTGATCACCTCCCCCTTATGAGTGAGAACATGCTGTGTTTGGTTTTCTGTTCTGGTGTTAGTTTGCTGAGAATGATGGTTTCCAGCTTCATCCATGTCCCTGCAAAGGACATGAACTCATCCTTTTTTATGGCTGAATAATATTCCACGGTGTATATGTGCCACATTTTCTTTATCCAGTCTATCATTGATGGTCATTTGGGTTGGTTCCAAGTCTTTGCCATTGTGAACAGTGCCACAATGAACCTTGTTTTTTTGTTTGTTTGTTTGAGACAGGCTCTCACTGTGTCATCCAAGCAGATTGTGCAGTGGTACAATCATGGCCCACTGTAGCCTCAACCTCTTGGGCTCAAGTGATCCTCTCCCTAAACCTCCTGAATAGCTGAGACTACAGGTGCACACAACCATGCCTGGCTAATTTTTGTATTTTTTGTAGAGACAGGGTTTTGCCATGTTGCCCAGACTGGTCTCAAACTCCTGGGCTTAAGCAATTCTCCTGCCTCAGCCTTCCAAAGTGCAAGGATTACAGGTGATGATCCACTGCCCCTGGCCTCCCTTATCTTTTAAGGCAAATTAAACTTTTGTCTGCAGCCAAAGTCATCCTAAATGACTCAAGGATGGTTCAGATAATGAGAGGATATTCCTATAACTGTAACCAGTATGGAGTAAAATCTGAAGATGACAAGCAGAGGATGAGAATTACCTGATCCAAACAGCATGAGTCTTAAGAGAAGGAAGTTTGGATTGGTGAGGTAAGAGGAATGATCAAGGAATAGCAATAGTCCAGGATACTAAGAGCCATTGCTACATATGTAATAATTAAAATAAAAATTTGTTCACTTAATCAACTATTGAATACCTATAAAACATGGGAATTATGCTCTGTGCCGAAGACACATGGTGGGCAAAAAGTAGACATGGTCTCTGCCCTTAATGAAGTTTTGAGTCCAGTAGAGGATATTTACGTTAATCAAATAATCACACAAATATAAAATTACATCAGCTACAACTAAAATTATATCTGCTGCAAACAAGAGGTTTAGATTTCTAGGTTGGGATGGAAAAAAATGCACACAGTGAAAATAATTCCCTCTCATTTCAAATGAATATAAATGTTATATAAAATTATATTAAAATATTTTAAAATATAGAACTTGAGAGAGAGAGAGAAAGAGACAGAGTAAGACATCTCAAGATATGAGAAATAGAAGGAATGTGTTTAGTGGGAGCTAAGGTACGAAGCCCATAGAGGACCCAGATGAGACACAAGTCCTTGGGACAAGGATTTTAGTGCCCTGTGTTGAAGGAAGCTGAAACCATGAGACTCAAATGCTGTACTGAGTCAGAACTGGGTTCACTCTATAAAAGCGAACACTGGGAAGGTGTTATTCGTGGATGAACTGAGAATCTCCACATATTTGCCCAAGTTTATGAATAAAAGTTAAGCATTTGTCCCTGGCTTTAGACCAGAGCCTCTATCTATACCTCACATAATGTGGGGCTCAGATTGCATTACTCCAGTTGACCAAAACTTCATAGTAGGAAGAAGGGAAGTAGGAAGTTTGAAATAGCCATTGTGGAGAATGGCTGAGTCAATGACTATTTTATAGCTGAACTCCTGTGACCTATTGTGTGGCTTCCGCCAGCAGCACTTGGTGTGGACAGATAGGGAAGGAACAGATGAATGAATTCATTTGGAATCAGGGATTTGACAGACCAAACCAAGGTGATGAACAAAACAGAGGTTAAAGAGAATTCTGACTACAGGAAGGAGTGTTTTTGAAATCCTGAGCTCTAGACATTAATCTGGAGACAAAGAAGGAAATGAAGAAAAGAGATGCTAAAAGAGTTATTAGGTTACTGTTATAAAGAGGTTGCTAAAAACTCTGATGGGAGTGTTGAACAAGCTACCGTAAGGAAAGGAGCCTGTGGTTACGGATACCTATATATGAATTAGTAATTTTATAAGTGGATCGATTAGAAGTGCTAGTGATTAGCATGCGAGTACACAGCAGAAGTGGAGAGGAGGAGGCCACGACTGATTAGGAGATCAAGGAGCTCAGAGCTAATGGCACAGAATGGGTCATCAATGTCATCTTCACCCATAGCTAATGTGGAAAGAAGACAGGAATTGAGGTGGAGATTAGACAGGTACCAAGATTTTAGAATGAATCCTAGGGAAATAATTAGGAATGTTGATATGAAATAGCAAGCAATAGGGCAGAATAAAGTTTAATGGAATAAGCCTCAGTGGAGAAGGTTTTTATGAGATGGTGGAGAAATGAAGTGGAAATGGTGAGCTACAAAAGGATATTGGCTCTACTTGCTGGTCCTATGGCAAATAGGATTAGTGAAAGTATATGGGCTAGGCAGGGTGGGTCACGCCTATAATCCCTGCATTTTGGGAGGCTGGGGTGAGGGGATCACTTAAGCCCAGGAGGCAGAGGCTACAGTGAGCCATGGTCACACCGCTGCACTCCAGCCTGAGCAACAGAGCAAAACTCTGATTCAAAAAACAAAAGAAAAAAATAAAAATAAATAAAGTAAACAGCCACAGCTGCTTCTAGTTTTCTTAGGAAAAGCCAGATTTAAAGGCAAGAAAGTAGAGAGAGAGAGAACATGCAGGCAATAGTTGAAAATAAAGGGATAGTTGTCACTGGCTATAGAACAGTAATTCTAGAGGGAATGGTAGTTTGACATGTGAAGGACTATAGAGTGGCTAGTTCAAGAGTAAGGAAGCAGCAAGCGTGATGGGGACTTCACCTATGCTTTGACTGGTTTAAAGGCAACGAGAAGCCCCCCTTTGTTTGTTTGTTTGTTTGTTTGTTTTGAGACAGAGTCTCCCTCTGTCACCCAGGCAGTGGTGCAATCTCGGCTCACTGCAACCTCTGCCTCCCAGGTTCAAGTGATTCTCATGCCTCAGCTTCCCGAGTAGCTGAAATCATAGGCATGCTCCACCACACCTGGCTAATTTTTGTCTTTTTAGTAGAGATGGGGTTTCACCTTGTTGGCCAGGCTGGTCTCAAACTTTTGAATTCAAGTGATCCACTGCCTCGTCCTCCCAAAATGCTGGAGTTACAGGTGTGAACCACCACGCCCAGCCCTCAGTGATCTTTTTGAGGAAGGTAGTCATGGGTCCTAGTAGCTAGTAGAATCAGCTTCCTTGACTGAGCTGATGGAGAATCCAAGATCTGTAGATGAAACTAGCTCTTAGCTATTTATTGAATGAATATTCCCTGCTAAGTATTTATTTAAACCTCACAATAACCTTGTAAGTATAATTATTCTAATTTTACAAATGAGAAAACTGAGACTTAGAGAGACTAAGTTTACGAAGCCAGAGGTTGCCACCAGGGATTTTGAGCTATAATACTCACGAGTTTTGTTTGACCAACATGTTTTCAAAGGACATACATATAACTCAGCAGTTAGAAGAGTTACAGCTAAACCATCTTATTAGTTTTTAATGTCTCCGGATTATTCCTGTGAACATCTAAATTTGCTAGCCTCATTTAAGCTAGATATATCTGGTTGCATATTTTGCATATTCTAAATCAACCATTTAACGAGAAAAGTCAGGTTTCATCTCTGCCATGACAGTGTAACCACCCTAAACAACTCTAAAACTTAACAAAATATATAAGGCAATTGCTATCAGGTACTGGACCACAAGAAATGCAGGATCATAATCCTCAAGAGAGGGAACATACATAGTATGAACTTCACATTTTCCCTGGATTGCTGCCTGGGGGCAATTTCCAGATGACTGGGTAGAAAAGTGAAGCCCAAGCAGAACATAGCAGCCTCACTGAGCTAATGAGGTAGGAGTCAGAGATTGGAGCTGCTGAAGCAGCTGGATTATGGCTTGGGAGATGATGTAGCTGCACAAAGAAGGAGGGGTCAAGAAGTCTGCATGGAGGCATCCAGTGGGTTATTAGCTAAAGACTGAGCTGTATATACACAGGGTGCATCTTCACAGGTCCAGCAAACTATAGCTGATGCAAGACTGAACTGACTGGAGATAAGAGAGTCACATAGGGTTAAGAGATGTTGGGTTTCTAGTCGAGACAGTGTTGAGAGGCCCTGTTGAGAATCCTGGACATTGAGATTCCAGAAATGCCCTAGGGAATAAGGACCATTACTGTAAGTAAAAGCCACACCCTAAGAATAAGGGGAGGAAGCATCAAAAAAATTTTTTTTGGTTTGCTACAACGGCTGAAAATTCCTAAAATCGGTGATAAACCAAACCTACAGCTTCAAAAAGCCTAGAGAACTCACATAGCATAAATTAAAAGAAAATCAAAATCAAGCCTAGGTATATTGCAGTCAAAGTAAAGAGAAATTTTTAAAGGAGCTATAGGAAAAAAAGACATTAAATATAGGAGGCCGGGCGTGGTAGCTCATGCCTGTATCCCAGCACTTTGGGAGGCCAAGGCGGGTGGATCGTTTGAGGTCAGATGTTCAAGATCAGCCTGGCCAACATGGTGAAATCTTGTCTCTACTGAAAAATACAAAAATTAGCCGGGCGTGGTAACGTGGCCTGAAATCCCAGCTACTTGGGAAGCTGAGGCAGGAGAATCACTTGAACCGGCGAGGCAGAGGCTGCAGTGAGCTGAGATTGTTCCACTGCACTCCAGCCTGGGCGACAGAGACTCTGTCCCAAAAAACAGGAAAACAAGGATACAAAAGATGGCTGATCTATCATAAACAGTGGAGATTAAGAGACAAGGGAATGTCATCTTTAAAATGATAAAAAAAATTTCAGCATTTTCTTTAAAAGAAAAAAAAACTACCTGAAAATTATTTAGCTAGTGACTCTATTCTCTAAAAATGAGAATGATATACAGATATTTTCAGATAAAGAATAGCTAGGAGAATTTGTATCCAGCCGACTTGCAATATAAGAAATGCTAAAGGAAGTTATTTAGGCTGAAGAAAATGATATATCAGAGGAAAAGTTGTGTTGATACAAAGGAATAAAAAGCACTGGAAATGGTAAATATTTGAGTAAATGTAAAAGGCTAGCATTTTTTTTTTTTTTTTTTTTTTTTTTTTGAGACTGTCACCCAGGCTGGAGTGCAGTGGCGCGATCTCAGCTCTCTGCAAGCTCCGCCTCCCGGGTTCATGCCATTCTCCTGCCTCAGCCTCTCCAAGTAGCTGTGATATTACAGGCGCCCGCCACCACGCCCAGCTAATTTTTTATATTTTTAGTAGAGATAGGGTTTCACCGTGGTCTCGATCTCCTGACCTCGTGATCCGCCCGCCTCGGCCTCCCAAAGTGCTGGGATTACAAGCGTGAGTCACCGCGCCCAGCTGCATTTTTTGTTCTTAATTTTCGTAAAAGACAACTGACAATTTAAAGCAAAAATCATGGCAATGTGTTGTAGGGTTTATATCATATGTAGAATTTATGACAGTAACACAAAGAATGAAGGTAAATGAAATTATTTCACGAAACAACTCCACTTATAATAGTATAAAAAATAAATACAATACTCAGGAATAATTTTTTTTTTTTTTTTTTTTTTTTGAGACGGAATCTCGCTGTGTCGCCCAGGCTGGAGTGCAGTGGCGCGATCTGGGCTCACTGCAAGCTCCACCTACTGGGTTCATGCCATTCTCCTGCCTCAGCCTCCCAAGTAGCTGGTACTATAGGCGCCCACCACCACGCCCTGCTATTTTTTTGTATTTTTAGTAGAGACGGGGTTTCACCGTGTTAGCCAGGATGGTCTCGATCTCCTGACCCCGTGATCCACCTGCCTCAGCCTCCCAAAGTGCTGGGATTACAGGCGTGAGCCACCGCGCCTGGCCCAGGAATAAATTTAACAAAGAAAGTTCAGGCAGGTTGTGGTAGCTCACGCCTGTAATCCCAGCACTTTGGGAAGCCGAGGCAGGTGAACTGACTGAGGTCAGGAGTTCGAGACCAGCCTGGCCAACATAGTGAAACACCTTCTATACTAAAAACACAAAAAATTAGCCGGACGTGGTGGCTGGCGCCTGTAATCCCAGCTACTCGGGAGGCTGAGGCAGGAGAATGGCTTTGGGAGGCAGAGGCAGTGGTTGCAGTGAGCCGAGATCATGCCATTGCACTCCAGCCTGGGCAACAAGAGTGAAACTCTGTCTGAAAAAAAAGAAAAAAAAGAAAGTTCAAAATTTAACAACTGAAAACTATAGTATATCATTGAAAAAGTAAAAGACCTAAGTAAATAGAATAAATGGAAAGACATTCTGTATTCATGGATTGGAAGACTTAATATTGTTAAGAGGCCTGGGCAACATAGCAAGACCTCATCTCTACTAAAAATAAAAATTAAATATATATATATTTTTAAGAGAGAAATTCTCCATAAATTAATCTATACATTTAATGTAATTCCTATCAAACTCTCAGGTGCCTTTTTCCCCCAAAATTACCATGCTGATCATAAAATTCATGTGATTTAAAGAACCCAGAATAACTGAAACAATTTTACAAAAGAAGTACAAGTTGGGCATGATGACAGATGCCTGTAGTCCCAGCTACTCAGGCGGCTGAGGTGGGAGGATCATTTGAGCCCCCGCAGGAGTTCAAAGTTGCAGTGAGCTATGATTGCACAACTGTGCTCCAGCCTGGGTAACAGAGCAAGAACCCATCCCTAAAAAAATGAACAAACAAAGTACAAAGTTAAAGGACACACACATCAATTTTAACACTTTCTATAAAACTACAGTAATCAAGACAGGATGATACTTTCATACAGATAGACATACAAATCAATGAAATATAATTGAGAATCTAGAAATAAATGCATACACTTATGGTCAATTGATTTCTGGCAAAAACACCAAGACAATTTGATATAAAAGAATAGGCTTTTCAACAAATAGTGCTGAGACAACTGTATATTCACATGAAAAGAAAGAAATGGGACCCTTACCTCACACCATGTCAAAAATTAACTCAAAATGATTAACTATAATGACCTAAATATAAGAGCTAACACTGTAAAACTTAGGAGAAAGCATAGTATAAATCTTTACAGCTTGGATTAAGCAGTGGTTTCTTAGATATGACACCAAAAGCTCAAATAACAAAAGAAAAAAAAGATAAATTGGACTTCTTCACAATTAACTCATGTGCTTTAAAGAATACTATAAGAAAGTGAAAAGACAACCCACAGAATGGGAGAAAATATTGGCAAATCATTTATCTGATAAAGGATTTGCATCCAGAATATATAGAGAATTCTTAAAAGTCAACAAGTAACTCAACTGAAAATGGGCAAAGGATTTGAACAGATATTTCTCCAGAGAAAACACATTAATGTGCTTTCATGTGCAATGAGCACATGAAAACATGTTCAACACTTGTCCAGGTGCAATGGGGCTCAGGCCTGTAATCCCAGCACTTTGGGAGGCTAAGGCAGGCAGGTCACTTGAGGTCAGGTGTTCAAGACCAGCCTGGCCAACATGCTGAAACCCTGTGTCCACTAAAAATACAAAAAAAATTAGCTGGGTGTGATGGTGCATGCCTGTAGTCCCAGCAACTCAGGTGGCCGATGAACAAGAATTGCTTGACCCTGGGAGGTGGGAGGTGGAAGTTGCAGTGAGTCGAGATCATGCTACCGTACTCCAGAAAAAGAAAATCATTAGCTATCAGGAAACACAAATGAGATACCACTTCGTACCCAACAGAATAGCTAAAGTTTTTAAAATAGACAATAAGTGTTGATAAGGATGTGGAAAAATTGGAACCCTTGTACATTGCTGGTAGGATTGTAAAATGGTGCAGCTACTTTAGAAAATAGTTTGGCAGTTCTTCTCTAAACACAGAGTAATCATATGATCCAGCAATTCTGCTCCTAGGTATATACACCAAGAAAACTGAAAACATAGGTTCACATAAAAATTTGTACACATTCTGAATGGCATTTTTGTTAGAAAAAAAAAAACCTGTACACAATGTTCATGCAGAATTTTCATATAGCCCAAAAGTGGATACTATCCAAAGTCCATCAACTGATGAATGGATAAACAAAATGTGATATGCCCAAACAATGGAATATTATTCCACAATAGAAAGGACTGAAGCACTGATAACATGCTTTAACATGGTTTAAAAACATAATGCTAAGTGAGAGAAGCCAAACACAAAAGGCCACATATTGTGTGCTTCCCTTTATATGAAATGTCCAGAATAGGCAAATCCATATAGACAGAAGGTCAGTTAGTATTTGACAGGGGCTTGGAAAAGCAGGAATGAGGAGTGATTGCTAATGGGTGGGGGTTTCTTTGTAGAAATTAAAGTACTAATTTGATAATGATGATGACCATACAACTCTTCAGACTTATTAAAATCCATCCAATCCTACACTTTAAAAGGGTGAATTTAATGGTATTTGAATTATATCTCAATTTTTAAATTTCTGAAGAACTCTATGGAAGGACATAAGGGCTCTTATTTGGGATAGAAAAATTCAGTATTGAAAAGATGTCAACCTTCCCCAAATTAGCCCATAAATTCCATGTAGATCTAATCAAAATCTTAATAGAACTTTTTTTGGCTTAACAAAATGATTCTAAATTTCACTGGAAAAATAAATGTGAAAGAATCGTTTTAAAGTCTGGAAAATATAAAATTTAGGGTGGTAAGGTTATAGACTTAGCTCTCCTGGATATTATATGTGTATTTTGAAATGTTTGAAACATGTTTAAAATCACATTCAGTGAGGTTTTTTTCAATTTTTAATTTTTAAAATAATTCAAGTATACAGTTGGCCCTCTACATCCATTAGTTCCACATCCATAGATTCCAACCAGCCACAGATAAACAAATATTAGGGGGAAAAAAGATGGTTGCATTTGAACTGACCATATTCAAGCCTATTTTCCTTGTCATTATTCCCTAAACAATATAATATTAGCAACTATTTACATAGCATTTATATTATTTTTTTAAATTATACTTTAAGTTTTAGGATACATGTGCACAACGTGCAGGTTTGTTACATATGTATACATGTGCCATGTTGGTGTGCTGCACCCATTAACTCATCATTTAACATTAGGTATATCTCCTAATATATTAAGTATTATAAGTAATCTAAACATGACTTGGCGTATACAAGAGGATGTGCAAAGGTTTTATGCAAATACTACACCATTTTCTATCAGGTACTTGAGTATCCATGGATTTTCATATTCATGAGGGTCCTAGAACCAATCCGCCCCCCACCCCGGATACCCAGGGACAACCATGTGACTTTTATAATTATAAAGCAATAAATCATGAAAAAGCAAATTAAGAAATAAATACTCCAACTATGCTTCTTCTTTTCCAATGCTACTTTACTCTCTTTCAGGCTGAAAATCTCTTGTTTCAATGTATCATCGTATACATGATTTCAAGTCCCTTTTTCAGACTTGTTGGTTTCTCCGAATATAGGTTAATTTATGAATAGCCTCCTAGAGTTTGGCACCTAACCTGAGGCACATTTGATGTGGAATGATTGGCATAAAATAAAGGTCAATTTTCTTGTCATTCTAGTTACTTCATTTATAGTAGTGCATCCTAAAATCATATTAGCCTTTCTGGGTAGCTGATTCATAAAGTTGACTGATACTAACTAAAGCCCTGTGACTTTTTCAATCATTAGTGCTGCTAAAGCCCAAACTTTCTCTATTATCTTGTCTCTTTTGCAGTTGGTATCTGGAATAAAGTGGCCTTACCTTTATTTCTATCAAATTACGTCTTGATTTAGTGATCCCAATCCATTGCATTTGGTGCAATTGTCCAAGATACTCATTAACTCTGCCAGCTCTGTGATATCTGAAAATTTGAAAGGGACGATCTTTAGATCATCATTTAAGTCACTGATGAAAATGATTATTGGGATATCTTGGGGAACACAGACTACAGCATAATATGAAAATCACCATCTACATTGTTAGTTTCCTTCACGTTTCTGGCATCTAGCCCAAAGGTGCGCAGACCTCAATGCATTTAAGGGTCTCCTGGGCAGCTTGTAAATTCCCTAGACTCACCTCTAGAGATTCAAATTCGATAGTCTAGAATAGTGTCCAACAATCGGCAGTTAAAACTAACACCCACTTTTAGATTTGCGTAAGACTGTTTGTTTGCATTGGTCATAAGCGTGACAGAGAAGTCATGTCACAAACCTTGCTGAAGGTGTAGACGTTCATATTCATATTGGGTCTTATAATTTTTTACTGACAGTTTGACAGGATAAATGTATTTGTGCTATCTTAATTTACATTTTATTATCTTCTAGAATGAAATTGAAGACATTCTTATATTTTTCTTGGCCATTGCAAATTCCCTACTGATTCTTTTTTTCTATTTATCAATTGCTTTTATTTCTTTCCTGGTAAATATGTAAGCTATGGCTGATAGTTTTCATGTGTTATAAGGATTACAAATGTTTTTCTCAATTTCTTTGTTTCTCTGTTCTCAGTTTGTCATTTGTATTTTAACCTTTTTACATATTGTCTTTTTCTATAGCAAGTATGTTTCTATTTCTTCTGCAAAAAATCTAACAATTTTTATAATTTGTCATTATTTGAAGTCATGCCTAAAAACTCTTTCTCTGGGATTATGTAAATATTCAATAACATTTTCTTTAGAATACAACCTTCTGTAGTTTTATATCTTTGATATCTTTATATTTTTTGAATTTTATATACCTCTAGAATGCTTTTAAAATATAATTTTTGGAAAATCTGAATCAAGTATGTTAATTGTTGAAATACTAACAATTGAGGAATTGCTTATATGTATCATGAGATGAGACTGGTAAATTATACAGAATATCCATAAGATAGAATTCTATGCGGCAAATGAGATTTTGCCCTAAAAGGATATTTTCTGACATGTAGATATTCACAATTTAATGTTAAGTGAAACAAAGCAGAAATACATACACACATTCCAATTCTGTTAAAAATATTGTATGTATGTGCATAAAAGACAAAAAACTGAACAGGATACGAGACAGGATGGCTGTGATGTATGCAGAAATGTTAGCAGTGTTTGTTACTGTATAGTGGGGTAATGCATGTTTTCATATGTTGCTTACTTTTGACAATAAACATGTTTTAGCAACAAAACACACAAAAAGCTAAAGCTATATACTATGTTGAATTCTAATAACTTGAAGCAAAATAGAAAAATATGGTAAAGTATAAAGTGGGAATTACTTGGTTTTAGATGAACTGCATAATATTTGGAAGTTATTTAGACATTTTTCATTTTCAAACACAACAGGACTATGATCGTGAATCATCAATGCCCAGCCAAGTGAGTAATATAGCTACTTATAAGCACAGGTTTAACTACTACTTCTGTATTATATGCAAATACAAATATGGCTGGGCACAATGGCTCACACCTGTAATCCCAACACTTCGAGAGGCCAAAGCAGGAGGATTTCTTGAGGCCAGGAGTTTGAGACCAGCCTGAGTAATATAGCAAGACCCTGACTCTACAAAAATTAGGAATTCAGCCAGACATGGCAGTGCATACCTGCAGTCCCAGCTACTCAGGAGGCTGAGGCAGGAGGAGCACTTGAGCCCAGGAGGTCAAGGCTACAATGAGCCATGATCATGCCACTGCACTCCAGCTTGAGCGACAGCAAGACCCTGTCTCAATCCATCAATATTTAAAATATAAAATAAAAACTATATAAATACCATCTTTTACTGAAATGATGGATTCAGCATGTTTCCTTAAACTCTTATATTTAAATGACTTATTGTTATTATTACTTAGTAGAGATATAGCCTTGCTTTATTGCCAGGGTGATCTCAAATTCCTGGACACAAGCAATCCTCTTGCCTCACCCTTCCAAAATGTTGGGATTATAGGTGTGAACCACCACACCCAGCCACATTTAAATGTTTATTAATAGTCAACTAAAATGTAATTCTGGAATAAAAGCTCCAACAACATGAAAATTTAGGTGGCTATTGTGTTGGGGGTGTCCCCAAGACTACCCCCAAGGTTTAATGGTTTGCTAGGAGGACTCATAGGACTCAGCATAAACCTATACTCATGGCACAATTTATTATAGCAAAAATATCAAAGCAAAATCAAGGCTAAACCCAGAGGAAATCATGCCCAAGCTTTCAAGAATTATCTCCCATTAGAGTCACACCTGGTGTACTTAGTTCCTCCAGCAGCGAGTAGTGACAATATGTGTGAAATGTTATCTATGAAGGGGGCTCATTAAACTCAGCACCCAAGATTTTTACTGGGGGCTGGTCACAGTGGTTACCTTCTGCCTAGCATGTTCCAAAACTCCAGACTTCCAGAAGAAAAGCATGTGTTCAGCATACACCACGTAGGTTGTATAAACCGTCTAGACACAGCAAGCCACTCTTACCAGTTCTGCAAATGGTGGGAACCTTCCAAAAATTCAAGTTTCCAGACACCAGTCAAGGCCCTACCTTGCGAGCAGGTCTTTCTAATGATAGCAGTCTCAGAACTGTTGTGTTCCTTTCTGTACATACCTGTTCCCTCTTAAGGTACAGTTACCAAATTACCAGATGTGGGAATCATGTACACAAATGTGTTAGATTCATCCATACTCAGTTAAACAACAATAACAAAAAAGTAAATGAATAAAGTTTAACTGAAACTTTAATTTTTTTTTTTTTTTTTTTTTTTTTTGAGACAGCGTCTTGCTCTGTCACCCAGGCTGGAGCGCAGTGGCACAATCACGGCTCACCGCAGCTTCGACCTCCTTGATTCAGGTGATCCTCTCACCGCAGCCTCTAGAGTAGCTTGGACTACAGGAGCTTATCACCATACGTGGCTATTTTTTGTATTTTTTTCTTTTGTAAATAGAGGCAGGGTCTCACTATGTTGCCCAGGCTGGCTTTAAATTCCTGGGCTCAAGTGATCCTCTCACCTCTGCTTCCCCAAGAGCTGGGATTACAGGTGTGAGCCACTGTACCCGGCCATTTACCTTTTGTAGCCCAGAAATAAATCGGTTGATAAGCTACCAATTCAGAAGAGATCACAAATAAAATTACCATGTTCTCCTAGACTTGTCAAATTAATGCACATTCATTATAGAAAATGTGGAAAACCCAGAAAAATATCAAAGAAATAAGATTCACTGGAAGCCCCAAATCATAGATTACCACTGTTAACTTTTTCTATGCATGTTTGTGTATGTATATATGTATATATACTTACATATACACATATATATACACATACATAGAAAATATATACATATATACACACGTAGAAAATATGTTATACACAAATTATATATTAACACAGTTGATGCCACACTCCATATTAGATCTTAGTTACCTTCATTTTGTCCATATCATTAACAATTCTGAGGAAACACTTTTAGTAATGACAAATATTCTAGCTCTGGCTATAATTTCTACAGTTTTCCCCCTTCTGTTGGATGTATAGATTGTTTCCTGCCATTCACATTTTTCCAAACCCTCATAAAAACTTTCTGTGCCTTCCTATTACTCTTAGAATAAGGTCAAAATTTTTAACACAGTCAACAAGACCCCACATCTTTTAAGACCTCCCTCTCTCTACCCCTCCACTTCATTTTTTCCCATTTCTTCTTGACACTGAGCCACCATAGCTGCCTTTGAATTCCTCAAATGTGCCACTGTCTCTCACCTCATGTTTTCCATATGTGTAGGTAGCCCCCTACATTATATATCGCAATGATCACAGTTTTAATTTGTCATATAATTATTTAAAATGCCAATTTTAAAAATGCATGCCTCCTCACGTAGGTGGGAGTTTTAAAGGCAGGGACTATATCTGTCTTGTTCACTGATATACACTCAGTGGTAAATGTCTCTGCAACATAGACACGGCAAAGATAATTGTGGAATTAAAGGATAAATGCATAAATAGGATTCCACCTTTATGTTAATTTTTAAATAATTTAGTATATTTGATAACTTTGTTCACTGGATTTCCAGATTATTATTATTTTCTTTTTATAAACTCCCATTTCCTCCTTATGCCTCCTAATTATCTATAATGGTAAATAATTAAAAACCACTTAATTCTGCACAGGTTTTCCTTAATTCAGGCCTTTTACTTAACTATTTTATTAATTCTGATAATTTTTTGATTTATTCTTTAGAGTTTTCTGGTTACACAACCACAATGTGTGACTTATGATACCTATTTGATCACATATTATTCTCATTTTCACTTTTAGTAGTTATATTTCAATTTTGAATACTTGACTCAATATAGTACTTTGAATCAAGAAATTTCATATTTTTTAGAATTTCCTTAGGATAAGTGTTTTGCTTAATATATTCTTAAAAATCAATCTTTTTATGTATTTTAGTGTCTACTCTTTCAAATTTACGGAGGCTTTGTTATAGATAATTGATGTTACCTACATATTTTTGTTTGTTTTCTTTTTTATTTTTATAGAAACAGACGTTGCAGGATGTTTATTTGTTTTCAAGTTAGGATATTGGGCTAAAAGGTAGTGAGGGGACAATGGATCTTTCCCTTGGCTGGGTCCTGGAAGAACAGAGGGGCCTGGACTCCCTTGAAGGGTGCAAGGTCAAAGACCCACTATTAGGAGATGTGAACCAGTTCCTGCAACTTGCAAACAGAGAGTAAAAAGATAGATTCTCTGGAGGATCCTAGGAATGAGGAATCGGTTTTGGCTTGTGAACTCTGGAAATGTTCATATTTAGTATCCAGGATTTTCTTTTATATGGCAAATCTCCTTTTGTTCTCTTGTATTGTTAGTAGAGTTCGTTTAATTGTTATAGCCTGATCTTAGCTGAGCTCTGAGTATTAATTGATAGGCCCATGTGCATATTTGGAATGAAATTGTATAGGGAGAGTAATCATGGCCTAAGGAAGCCAGTGAAGAAATAATACATTGTTATCCAAAGATCAGAGATGCAGGCCAGAGTGGGGCTGCTGGCCGAAGCACACAGTAAAAACCAGGACTGACCTGGTGACATGGGTATATTCTCCAGGGAGTCTCAGAGACCTTGGGACTGTGGTCAGACATAATGAGGGCATGGATCCTTTCATTTAGAGTTAAAGGGAAGTGCTACTTCTGACAACTGTAGAGGCCAGGAACCTTTGGATTACAAACCAATAAATTCTTGTCACAGGCACTCAAGGAGACAGAATCTACTTTTCCAGATGCTTTTGTGTCTTCCTGCTGCACCGCCTACGATTACTGTTTTAAAGCTCTATTTCTAAATGCATGATATTAATAACTTCTTTTTTGAAAATGCTAAATATAGATGAAGCTACAACAAATGTGGCAACTTTCTACATAGTAATATATACAGAGAGCCACAAAATATTTGTGTAACTCTTCTAATTCTACTTAATGGGAACATTTTAAATTAATAAAAAATATAGAGGAAAGCATGAAAAAAGTAAAAGTAAATATGGGTTAACAAAAATGCCTTAAAACTTTGGAATAATAAACAAAAATATATTAATAGGAATAACACTGATTAATAGTGATAAGGAAAAACATGTTATTTAAACCATTAACACAGTATAAAAGTTTTGGAATCACATAAAAACTTGAAGAGATGAGCAAAACAGGCAGCAACATGAGTGCAAAATAGCCAATAATGTTCTAAGCAATTAAAAGTATTTAATAATTTACAATATTAAAAAGCATGAGGACAATAGTATGTTCTCTGCAAAACACACTCCCATGGCTCAGGGTTCCTGATAGAATGGAGAGGAGCCCACCACTGCACCAGTGGGACATTCTACTATCTTCACTATCTATTTATTACTTAGCCTTCATTAATTGTTCTTTACTATGCACTCTTCACTATTATTCTTATGTAGGTTGAGGGTAGGGCTTACATCTTCCTTAGCAAACAGTAATAGCTCCTAGCAGCAGTTGCCTTTCATACTTGTACACAAGTGCCAACACATGGAAATGTTATGTGAAAAAAAAGTGTCCATCACAGTGCAATTTATACCAGCAGAAAATGCAGATAACCTAAAATGCCCAGGAATAGGAAACAGTTAAACATCCCATCACATGTTAGCTGAGCGACATATTTCGGAACTCTTAGAAAAATCATGATTTTAAAGATGCAACCTGGGAAAATTCTTGATTGAATAGATGTAAAAACAATGTAAAATATACAGAGGTAATAAGCTTATGTCAAATTTATAAAACATATGGAGAGCTAACATAAAATGCTAATGACAGTTGTTACG
This sequence comes from Homo sapiens, assembly GCF_000001405.40. NCBI lineage: Eukaryota > Metazoa > Chordata > Mammalia > Primates > Hominidae > Homo > Homo sapiens. The sequence goes on from NC_000009.12 coordinate 111,146,034, forward strand.
GTGACAGGTTATGAATTTTTCTACTTTTTTTGGTAGGGTGAATTTACTTTCATAAGAAAAATTATGTGTGAAAATATAGATGAAGTCTCTTATTTGCACCCACGGTTTTTTGGGCCATAAACTAAAATCCTCAAGGTAATTAGGGATATGTGGCAGCCAGGTAGCCACAGAGTCCCATTTTCAGCCCTCCCAACAGGTGTTTCTAAAGAGCTCAGAATCCCGAGACCTACATATCATGTTGATTCAGCCATGTGAATGTTTTTAAGGAGGAATACCAAAAAGAGAATAGTCTTGTGGGATACATGAATGATAAACCTCCAGAAGAAAAAGGGCAGTGCCCTAATACTGAGCAACTGCATACATTTTTATTTCCAGGTAAAGATCACCCTTTGAAAAAACTAAGGAGCCTGCCTGTCCATACAGGGCAAGCTTAAAATAGAATTATGTGAAGTGGTCTGGTCATCCTGTGACCTGTGGCAGAAAATAGTAGCAAAGAAAGCGAGAGAAAATATCAGAATCTGAAATTTCACCAATTCATGATAACCACAGACCCTCCTGGACCTTCCCTGGGAAAAAAGGAACAGAGAAAGGGGAGAATATTCTGTCTTCCTCAGATTCCAGCCCATCCCTTTCCAATGTCCAGAGTCTACCATCTGTGAATTTATAACTCCACCCTTTCTTCCTCCCCATTTCCAGTCTTCTCAGTTAAGCCTTCTGTAGCAAATGGATGAGTTAAGACCTGGTGTGTTGTCTCCCTGTTAGTAATTAAAGTGACATGAACAAAATTGCCACGTTTTGATTTCACTTCATGCCCAGAGACATCTGGGGATCTTTATGGGCCAGTAATTTGATACTAAAGGTAGGCTAATCATTTGTGTCCCTTCAAATAGAGATTATTAGGTCTGTGTGTGACCTTTACTTAAAAACGAGGCTAAGTGCTGCTGTACCGGGAGGACCAGGGTCACAATTTTCAGCCTCTTCTGCACTGTCCCTGGACCAGAGACCCATCAACTATGACTCAAGCACGCTTCCTAGAAGACAATTCCATCCATCCAGAGTGCTTATCTAAGCAAACACCCTCCAGCCACCTACAGAACTCTCCCTGACAGTAGTGCTAATTAAGATTTTGTCCATCAGTTACAATCCCAATAATGCTTCAGCACCCCCATGACTAGAGGCCCAGGCAGCTGTCGTGTCGGCTCACTTGTTTCCCCATTACAGGAAGTAAGCTCCCTTGGAAAAAAATCACAGTGGTTAACCTTGGGGGAGGAAGAAACATTGTCTAGGAAAGAGCAAAAGAAACTTTCTGGGCAAAAGTCATGTTCTATATCTTATTTATTATTTTTATTTTATTTTATTTTAATTAATTTATTTATTTATCTCTTTAGAAGCAGAGTCTTGCTCTGTTGCCCAGGCTGGAGTGCAGTGGTGCAATCTCGGCTCACTGCAACCTCCGCCTCCCGGGTTCAAGCGATTCTCCTGCCTCAGCCTCCCAGGTAGCTGGAACTACAGGCACGGGCCACCACACTCGGCTAATTTTTTGTATTTTTAGTAGAGGCGGGGTTTCACCATGTTAGCCAGGATAGTCTTGATCTCCTGACCCTGTGACCCGCCCACCTTAGCCTCCCAAAGTGCTGGGATTACAGGCATGAGCCATTGCACTCAGCCATGTTCTATATCTTAATAGGGGTTTGGGCTACACCAATGGATGCATTTGTTAAAACTGAGGAAATTAACATGAAGATTCGTGCATTTCTTTGTATGTACATTTTACATCAAAAGAAAAAAATTATAAACGAATATTTAACTCTTGATGATACTCATGATACAAAATAGTAACGTTAGTATATTAAGGTCTGCAATTTTCTTTGAATTGCATAAACAAAAAGAGGATGGCTAGTAAGACTGTTAGGTGGATAGAAAGACTGTTAGATGGATAGATATGTGACAACACAAGCATAGTAAAATTTTAATAATACAATGTAGATAATGGGCATAGGGGGTGGTCATCATAGTATTTGTTCAACTTAGTCATATGTTTGAAAATTTTGGATAATAAAATGCTGGAGGGAAAAAGAAATCAACTCACATCCTCAGGCCGAACTCTAAATAAATTAGGCAGTAACTATATTACATTGCTATATTAGCCTCCAGTGACCTCCTCCACTCCTGACCGTTTTAAATATTTGGCGTTACAGCTTCATTCTCTCAAAAACAGAACAGGCTATGTTGTTTCGGTATACTGCTAACACTGTGAACATCACAAGGTTCACCTTCAATTACTTTACCTAATCTGGAGTATGAGAGTATTCGTGAAGATTCTTTGGTTGTGATCAGAAACTGACTCTAACTTAAGCAAATGGGGAATTTATGGGAAAGATGTAGGGGAGCTCACAGGACTCACAGGATTGAAGGAAACGAGGCACAGAACATACAGAAACTAGACTGCTCCAGAGAGTGTAGTGGCAGGAAGTGTAGCATTGCCCCAGGGAGTGATGCGGTCATGAAAGAACGCCAATAATTAACAGACTTTCATCATTCTGCTCATAATCTAAATTTCAGACAGATAATTTCCAACTGGCCTTCCTTGCCCATTAGACTGTATACGATGGAGAAAGATCATTTCCAAATGGAAATTCAGATGCTATTACCAAAAGAAACTGGAATGGATGCTAAACGGCCTAAAATCAAAGCAAAAAATTAAACAAACAAACACTACAAGCATACTCACATTTTTCTGCACACTTAACAAGACACTAAATACCATTTACTTGCTAAATACCACTCAGTTTTTCACTTCCTTCTGCCTCTCTTGTTTTGTAATTCCAACTCTGTCTTGTGACCATCTTAATATTTCAACCAAAATTTCCTGGGTTCTATCTGCTCCCCTTCTCATCCCCAGAATCTAGTATTTCACAAGGAAGCTTAACCTCTCCATATCCACTACCAGCACTGACTTAGAATTTAATACTTCCCTAGTTCACATCCCGGATCCCACACTGGTACATCTCAACCTACATCACTTGGGGTATTTGGATTTATTTTCCAATTGCAAAGTTCTCTGGATATTAGTGAAGATGAGACCTAGGCCCATCTGGTTGTCCAACACATCACAGCAGAACCTGAGCAAGCTCAGGAACCAGCCTGACTCCCCCTAGTGCCACTCTAGAACAGGAGTTTTTAACAAGTGCTCTAGAATGACTGCTTCATAGGAGAGCTGTTACCTAGACGCAGGAGAGAAATGAACATATGTAAAGCAAGGTAAGTCATTTTAAGCAACTGGATTTGAAAGAACTAACTAGTTTATCCAGAATTTTTGAGTAGGGAACAGAGGCTTGGCTCTAGAGCTGCACATTTGGGCCATGTTTATGTGAGTCAGGAGAAAGCCTGGCTCCAAGGCTGACACACTAGCACAGTTGTTGCTGTCACCTTTTGGGGTAATTTGGAGCACACCCAGCAAGAATTGGCCCTGCGGCATGGGAGGCCAGAGGCCAGCTAGAGTTGTTCTTTCCATGAGTACCACACCCCTGGATTTTCAGGGTGTCCTGACACCCCTGGCTCCACTGTGAAAGGGCACACCCATCAGCAGATAGCAACCTACGGGGATCCCATCACCACTTGATTTTCCAAGTTCTGACTTCATTTTCTCCAGGGCATTTTCTCCTCATTTTCCTGGTTGCAGGGGACCGTAGCTGCTTTATTTGGTTATGTTTGGCCCTCAATATGGAATAATAATGGGGTTAAGAGTCTACAGCTGCTTGTTCATATTTAGAAAATGTTTCTTCTAGTTCTGGCTTCATAAATTATTAATTGTCTGAGTTTGGGAAAAATCATTCAAACATCTCTAAATTGTAGTTTCTTCATTCGTAAAAAAAAAAAAAATAACTATCGTATCTACTTCAGATTGCTATGAGAAATGAATGTCATAAATTTTGGCCATTCAACTACAGGCATCTAATGTGTTCCTGATAAAATCACAGAAGTTCTATACATAAAAATATATTTAACTTTTTAAAAATGTTAAGTCTGGTGTTTACCTTCAATCTCTTTAGGATGCCGTAAAAATTTATAAAAGATTAAATGTAATTATTATTAAAAGGATACGTAAGTCTACAGTTTTTAAATAAAGAAAAATTATAAAAATTAAAAATTACCTATAACCTCACCATTGTATGAATTTTGGAAAACTTATTAGCATCAGCAATACATGTTGTTTCGTAAACTATATTTTTGTTTCACAATATGTTGCAAATGTGGACATGTGAAAAACAGTTTGCGAAATGTGAAATATCTTACAAATGTTTCCAATTACTGTCACTTTTACTATCAGTTACTCTTACTATCAGCTCAGCAAAATTTATTAATTTTCTTAGGATAGTGATTAGTTGTAAGATTATATCTCCATTCTTAAAAAGCCATATGGTATTTAAAAGAAAACAAGCCAAAATATACAAAATGCTGAGAGCTAAACAGAGTTTAATGACTCTGAAAAGGACTCACAGATGTGAACTTATTAAAGTACTGTGCTCTAATGAATAGGAGTCTGGGCTTTGGAGTCATATATACTTGATTCGAATCCTAGCTCTGCTTCTCTAAGTCTCTGTTTTTCTGCTTATTAGCAAAACAAAATATAGTTCTTATCCTAAAATTTTTTTAACATTTAAAATACTTACACATAGGGAAAAATAATAAGTAGTACCTATCTTAAAATATTATTACATACAGTCAGTCACAGTAGCTCACACCTGTAATCCCAGCACTTTGGGAGGCCAAGATGAGAAGATCCTTTGAGTCTAGGAGTTCAAGACCAGCCTGGTCAACATGGCAAAACCCCATCTCTGCAAAAAATACAAAAGTTAGCTGGGTGTGGTGATGCATGCCTGTAGTTCCAGCTACTCAGGAGGCTGAAATGGGAGGTTCACTTGAGTCCAGAAGGTCAAGGCTCCAGTGAGCTGTGATCACACCACTATACTCCAGCCTGGGCAACAGAGTGAGACCTTGTCTCAAAATAAAAGAAAAAAAAATACATTATTAATATTAGATCATAAATATTTAAATAATAAAAAATAGGCCTTCAAAAATACTGAAGATGCTATGGTTTTCAAGGTTTTATATATATGATATATATTGATATATAAGTCAGTATATATGATATATATGTCAATATATGATATATGACATTGATATATGATATATGTGATATATATCTATATGTCAATATGTATTATATCATATTTTTATATAATCATATTATGCATTATATTAAATATTTACATATATTTATAATATATTTATAATTATATAAAAATCTATAAACATAAATTTTTACAAATATATAAATTTATATTTAAATATTTACATAATTTATATAATTATAAATATATATCCATGATATATATCACATATATATCATTATATATCATATGTCATATATTATATATATCATTATATATTACATCGATAATATATATGTATAATTATATTATATATTGATATAATATATGGATATATCTATATATTATGTATAATAGATATATTATATCCATACATAATGCATCAGTATATTAAACAGATATATACAAATTATCATAATTTATAAATTATAACGAATTATGATAAATTATCATGACAGTGATAATATGTAAATTTTCAGCTGTTTTATTAAAGGAAAACAAACACAAGAGGCCCTCTACTGGCAACTGTCCATCAGAATGAGCACTCTTCATCCACAAGGGATGGTGGCCAAAAGTACAATAGTATTTTAGGAAGAAACTTGATAGTATGTAGCAAGATTCCTTAAAAACTCATAGTTATTTACCAATAATTTCCATGTTAAGACTATTTTCTTATTTACTTACCTAGAGACAGGGTCTCACTCCATTACCCAGGTTAGAGTGCAGTGGCACGATCTCAGCTCACTGCAGCCTCAATCTCCTGGGCTCAAGTGACCCTCCCACCTCAGCCTCCTGAGTAGCTGGGACCACAAGTGCATGCAACCATGCCCAGCTAATTTTTGTATTCTTTGTAGAGACAGGGTTTTACCATGTTGCCCAGGCTGGTCTCAAACTCCTGGGCTCAAGCAATCCACCTACCTTGGCCTCCCAAAGTGCTGGGATTACACTTTGGGAGCCACCATGCCCAGTCTCTATGACTATTTTCTAACAAAATTTAAATTATAGAATTTTTTATTAAAAATTAAAAATTTATAATTTTCATAATAATTGGTTATTATATCTTCTGTTAGTGAGAAAAATAATTTAAATATCTGACAACAGGGGAATAACTAAAAAAACTGTCCATTCTGTGTAATATAATAATTAAAATATACTTAAAGTAAATGATAACATTAAAAATGTTTGTGTTATAATGTATTAAAATGCACATTTAAGAATATTTCATGGACCTCATGTTATTCTGTTTTCTCATGCTTAAACAAGATGTTCATTCAGACTTTATTTTTGCCTACAATCAGAATATGTAGCTTATTTTCATTCTTCTTCCATTTATTTCCATCCTGATTAAATCTCTATCTCAGAAAGACTAATGCACAGAGACTTTTAGTGTAACTCCAGGCCTCAGACTATAATAGAAAATTCGGTGCAGTCTAAAGATTTATTTTGTTCAGATATACTACCATGGAAGCCTTCCCTGTACCCTCAATATTCTTTTTCTTTCCTGACATGTAACTTCTTTACCTGAAGCAAACACTATGCAACTGTAGTAGTAAGAGGAGGAGGAGAAAGGAGGAGGTAGAGGAGGAAGAAGGAGGCAGAGGAGGAGGAAGGAGGCGGAGGAGGAGGGAGGAGGAGGAAGAGGAAGGAGGAGGAGGAGGAAGTAGGAAGAGAAAGAAGGAGGTGGAGGTGGAGGAGGAGGGAGGAGGAGGAGGAAGGAGGAGGAGGAGGAAGGAGGAGGAAGCAGGAGGAGGAGGAAGGAGGAGGAGGAGGAAGGAGGAGGAGGAAGGAGGAGGAGGAAGGAGGAGGAGGAGGAAGGAGGAGGAAGAAGGAAAGGAAAGGAAAAAGGAAAGAGAGAAAGAAATCTGAGTATCTGATGGGGAATAAAAGTTTGAGAGGGAGGAAAGCATATTTGACACTCTTACAAAAGAATTCACATATATGAGGTCAGGAGGGAAACTGACCTTTTTCTGGCCAGTAAATCTTTTGTTTTTCAGAGTTAAGGCCAGATAGTGGAAAATCAAAATATCTCTCTGCTTTATTTTCCAGCTTGCAGTACTCAATGGCATTAGTAAGGAAGTCTGTATAGGTTATAATCTTTTAGTTTCAATCCAGCCTCTGTGTCATTGCATCTGGTAGAAGTTAGTTCTATTTTCTGAAACATGCTCTCCTATTATCCATAGTTTGCATGATATTTATTAATTTAGTTTTATCTGGTTTTAGGGTCCTTATCTAGTTTTCTATACCATTAAAACTCCAATGGAATACTAGGAAAGGATATATCACACACTGAGTTTTAAAAGCAAATTTGGTAGCACCAACTCTAAGTAAGCATTGTTAAAATAAACAGTTGCCATGATCTGGGAGTGTTTAAAACATTTTGACCTCAGATTACTGCTCTAAATTAGTTGCTGAGAGTATCTGATTGTAAATAGGTTTTTATATTTCTTTGAAAATTCAAAGCATATCACTTTGTTTAATTATATAATTTCTTTTCATAAAAACCTGTTTGCAGTTCTGCTACTCATATTCATTTCTCCATTTGTCTTCCACTAGACAGATGGTCCCAAGGAGAACTTAATTGAGATGATTGGAGAAGCAGGTAATGTAAAAAGAGAAAAATAATTTTGTTTTTCTTGTGGGTTTAAAATGATGACACCAGCTGAGTTTGATTAATTTGCTTCAAGGACAAAAAGTTCATTGAAAACAGCAGAGATGGCTTCTGGGTGTAGACAAATGGAAATGGCAGCCAACAATGCATTAATACAATTTCAGGTTTATTTACCTACAGAAAGCTCAGAGGTTGGGAACTGCATGCAAAACTGCAAGCCACCAAAAACACCACAGAAAAATGAAACAATGACAGCAGCACACCAAGCGGTTTTCATTAAATATAAAACCATGAGTGCAATTTAATTGGGATTTCCTTCCAGGGCCAGCAATGAGGCCTCTTCCCCTGTCACAGCTGTGTCTTGCTGTGGCTTATGTGTGAACAGCTACATGCTGAGGGTCTTGCAGGCACACTTTACATCAAAGCTTTAAGTCAAGCTACTCCAGTGACTTTAAAGCAATTTAAATAAACACCCATCAGGGGAAAGAGGAAAAGCTGTGGTTGAGAAAAATGCAGTGTTTGGAACAATGAGAAGGGGCAGATATTACAGAGAACCACCTCATCCATCCCACATGACAGGGCCAGGGATGTGACTTTCCCAAGTTTCTCAGAACCAGGCTGTGGTGAACACAGCAATGCATGACCCAGGTCACCTTTCAAGAAAGGACTTGCTGCCCAGCTATGGGGAATGTGGTCATTGGTGAGCCTCCAGCTGACACCTCCTTCAGGGTCAGCCTCAGCTGCCTAGAGTTGCTTTGCCCAAGGTCTTACCCTTCTCAGGGAAACCTCAGATTGGCCATTCAATGACCAAGGAAGAGGGGAGTATAAAGGCTCAGCCATTAGTGTACACAGTATCATTCCGGGTATCACAATAAAATAAAACATAGAAAAATGTATGAAGTTGAGAAATAAAAGTAGAGATTAACTACTACCAGGTGACAGAATTAATACATGAAGCACATTCTATAAAATCCTGTACACTAGATAGCAGTAGGCTACAAATTTGAGCTTAATAAGAGTTGTGGCCAGGCATGGTGGCTCACGTCTGCAATCCCAGCACTTTGGGAGGCTGAGGTGAGTGAATCACTTCACGTCAGGAGTTCAAGACCAGCCTCGCCAACATGATGAAACCCCATCTCTACTAAAAATACAAAAACTAGCCAGGCGTGATGGTGCAAGCCTGTAGTCCCAGCTACTCAGGAGTCAGAGGCAGGAGAATTGCTTGAACCTGGGAGGCAGAGGTTGCAGTGAGTTGAGATTGTGCCACTGCACTCTAGCCTGGGCGACAGAGCAAGACTTGATCTCACAAAAAGAAAGAAAAAAAGAATTGTGCCCTCTGGATTAGTAATGAATGAATAAATGCGTGATTGCATGAAATATGTAATGACTACAAAGATTATTGAGGAATGTAACAATATTTGAAGATATTGAAAAGACCAATCCATGTTGTAAAGAAAATCTTGCAAATATTCTTCCCAAAATAATCTACACATTTAATGCAATTCTAATAAAAATTCCAAAGGGTTTAGGAAACTGACAAAACCATTCTGAAATTCACCTGAAAGCAAAACAGACAGTAATAGCGATAATTTTTTTTTTCTTTTTGATCAGGTAATCTCTTGAGCCAGAGTAGGCTCAGAGACTCCTGCTCTAATATCTTGAACAACAAGAATAAGCAGGGAGAATTGCATTAACAGATTCTAAAATATAATGAAACAATATTAAGAACCATATGAGATATAAACAGAGAAGGCAGATGATACAATCATACTAAATGATGAGACAGAAACAGACCCAAGGACACATTAGAATTTAATACAAAACAATCATTTACTGCTTCTCATGATTCCAAAATTTTGGTAGGGCTCAGAATAGACAGTTTATTTCTACCTTACATTGTGTTGACTACAGCAGTGCAACTGTGGCTGGAAGTTTCCAGATGGCTTTTTTTTTTTTGGACAGGGTCTTGCTCTGTTACCCAGCCTGGAGTGTAGTGTTGCTATCATAGCTCACTGCAGCCTCAAACTTTTGCCTTCAAGTGGTCCTTCTGCCTCAGCCTCCCAAAGTGCTGGGATTACGGGTGTGAGCCACAGCGCCCAGCCTCCAACTTGTTTTATGATGCTTATATAACATTGATTCCAAAAACATACTCAAGTACTGTGAGAAAAATAAGCCAGATTTATTTTAAAACATAAATTTAAAAGTACCTACATCAATTATGATTAAATTGAACCAGCAACGTATAAAATAAATAATGCATTGAGTCCAATTTCAGATGGGTTCACACCAGAAAACCTAATTAGTATAATCCGACTACTTTAGCAAAAGAAAAGAAATGAATATTTCAATGGATGGGGAAAATTTATTTTTTATTATTCAAAAATAATTCACAATTTTAAAGAACTCTTAGCAAATAAAAATTAAAATGAACTTTCTTAACCTGATAAGCAGAATCTAATGAAAACTTACAACAATCACCCCAAATGGCAAGAAGTTAGATCATTCCCTTTGAAGACAGGAACGTGACAAAGATACCCACTATCAGTAATTCAATTCAACACTGTACTGACCCCAGCCAGAAGGGTAAGGAAAGAAGAAAAGATAACTGGCATGCAGGTTGTAGAGAAAGAAACAAAACAATAATTATTTTCTGATAGTTTTTTTCCATCTAGAAACTCCAAGAAACTCTTCAAATAAATGATCAGAGAAAACAATACAGTTTAGGAAGATAGTTGGATAAAAGGTCACTATATAAAGTTAATTACATTCCCATACATTAATAATTCAATGAAATTGGTATGGATCATTCAAAAAATAACATAAAAGTTAGCTATTACGAATTACAAATAAAACACATCTTAGTCCCTAATACATTCTTATGAATTAATATTAATTTTTTTTTTTTTTTGAGACGGAGTTTTGCTCTGTCGCCCAGGCTGGAGTGCAGTGGTGTGATCTCGACTCACTGCAAGCTCTCCCTCCCGGGTTCAAGCCATCCTCCTGCCTCAGCCTCCCGAGTAGCTGGGACTACAGGTGCCCGCCACCACACCTGGCTAATTTTTCTGTATTTTTAGTAGAGACGGGGTTTCACCATGTTAGCCAGGATGGTCTCGATCTCCTGACCTCGTGATCCACCCGCCTTGGCCTCCCAAAGTGCTATTAATATTTTTAATGAAACTAGAAATTATAGGTGAATGGAAAGAGATTTTCTAAGTGTAAAAGCCATAGAAGGAGTCATAAAGCAGATGATCGACAAATCAGATTGCTTAAAATATGTTAAATGATACTAAAAAATCATTAACACTTAAGTGACAAACTAGAAAAATAGCCATAAATAAGACAAAAGGTTAATACCTTTAATATACAAAGCACAGTTATATGGTCATCCCTGGTATATGCGGGGGGGATTGGTTCCAGGACTGCCCCACACCCAAGCCCATGCATACTCAAGTCCCACAGTCAGCCTGTGGAACCTGCATGTATAAAAAGTCAGCACTCCATACTCAGGTTTTGCATCTGTGAATGCTATATTTTTGATCTGTACATTTGTTGAAAAAAATTTGCATATAAGTAGACCCTTGAAGTTTAAATCTGTGTTGTTCAAAGGTCAACTGTAAATCTTAAAATCCACTGGAAAACACTAATGCTCCAATAGAAATGTTAGCAAAGAAATATGAGCAAGTAAATTCAGGCAAGAAAATATTACTAATAAACATGTAAATAAAATTTAGCCTCACCATAAAACAATTGCTTATTAAAATAGCAGTGATATGTTACTTTTCAAAATAGAAAATGACAACCAAGAAAAGGTGATTTGTGTGTTATGAGATGGGTCCTTTTATACACTGCTGTTAGAAGTTGAAGTTGCATAACCACTCTCCAGACAATATTTAGCACAATTTAACAGTATATATTACTTGACCCAGTAATTCTATATCTATTTATATATCCTGAAGAAATAAGTGTGTGTGTGCGTGTGTGCGTATGTGTGTATGTTTGTACAAAGTGCTCCATGACACTAAACTATAGAAACACTAGATGTGCAACAAATGTGAAATTATAACTTACCAATAATGATTTCAAATTTTAACATGTTTGGGAATTCTTCTTCAGGGAGAATTTTGCGCAGAAGCCCAGTATAAAAATTAGTCAAATGTGGACTCTGAAAAGTCCAAGGGGATCCTGGAGCCAGTTGACTCAATTACTGCACTCCCAGTTCCTGCTTCCCCAAAGCCTTTGGTAGCCCCCAAGACTCTCATCTCTATGAATCCTCAAGACAACATGGGAAACTGAAAAAAACACAGCTATATAATATTATAAAACTATTGAAATCATATCCTGAAAATTTGTAATCTTGAGAGAAAAAGTTCAAGATATCACATAAAAATTAATATACAAAATTACATTCTGTATGATTCCAACTAGATAAATATATGTATGTAAATATCCAGTGACTCTTTTTGTTTGGGTCTTTATAGTCATCTGTATTTTTCTACTAAGACTATGTATTCTCTTCATAATTAGGGGGAAATGGGAAATCACAAACAAACATGTAGTTTCCACTCAGGCCCATTAGATCAGGATAGAATTATTATATGCATCTGTAGAAAAAAAAATCTTGGAATTTTAAAGAAAATTTTATTAGAAACAGCTAAAATGCTCTCCAATAATCTACCTCTGGGACATTTATCTTCAGCATTATTCAGGCACATCTGAAATCAATTACAGCCGCCCCAACTGGCTTCAGGAACCTCTGTGTGCCTCCAGCCATCCCCACAGCAAACTGCCTCATCTGTGGTCAAAATAGAAACTTCTCAGTTGCCTTGATTGACCTAGAAATGTTTTATGTAATTTGCCCTTATGTGAAAGGGAAACATGTGTTAGAAAATAAATCTTTTTTAAACTTTGTCTTATTAAAGTGGTGCCAAGAAATATTCTCCATCATTTAGACACCAGAAGAAAAATAACAAATAACAAATAAATGGAATCTCCAAAATAAAGTCAAAGAAAAATCACTGCTAGCCAGTCTCTAGAGATACAAAGTGAAGGGTGATTTGATTTTTAATCTTTGAATACCAGAAAGAGGCCATCTATAAGAACTGTATATACAGAAATAACAGGTAGAACTTATATTTTTCCTTCCTTCTTTCATTCGGTAAACATTTACCTAAAAATCTATAATATGAAGATATTATACTAGGGACCTGAAATAGAAACTCATGCACAATGAGGGTAAGTATAAAAGCAGAAATGTAAAGAAATAATTAGTTTATTTAAGAGTGTTATGATAAAGATGTGTGTAAGATGTTCCAGAAAGTCAAAAGGGAAATCCAGTAATTTCTTTCCCAGGAATGAAGGAACAGGGGAAAGAAACTGAGAAGCATGAATGGGAGGAGGGGATGGAGGCAGAAATATCCAGTGCTTCCCAGAGGCAATGACGATATGATAATCCTTCATAAAAGGCAGAAAAATAGGGTAAGTATGTTCCATAAAAAGAAACTGATCAAGTTTTACATTGATGATCACGCATCTCAAATGGGCCCTTAGAGCCTCCTGGCAATTCAACTGTATTTTTTCAGTTCATTCACTCAATGTCTAAGATGACCAGTTTGTGCCTTTTTTCTCTCCTCACCTAGCCTATGTTGGCCTGGCACAGTAGCTCGTCTCTATAATCCCAGCACTTTGGGAGGCTGAAGTGGAAGGATCACTTGAGGCTAGGAGTTTGAGACCAGCCTGAGCAACATAGCAAAACCCTGTCTCTACAAAAAAAATTAAAAATTAGCCAAGTATAGTGGTGCATACCTGTAGTCCGAGCTACTTGGGGGGCTGAGGGCAAGAGGATCACTTGAGCTGAGGAGTTCGAGGCTGCAGTGCAATGATTGGGCCACTGCTCTCCAGCCTGACCAACAGAGCAAGACATTGTCTCCTAAAAAACAAAAATAAAGAAAAAATATCCCATGCATCCGCCCTGTGTTCTCTTTCAGATGATAATCCCGCTTCCTTTTTCACTGAGAAAACAGAAGCAATCAGAATAGGCATTGACATACACCAGCTACCACATCTACTGATATATTGGTATGTGTGCCTTGTTCTTAGCAGTCTGGGGCTATGAATGACCTGTTAGCCTCTGAGCTGAGGCCACACCCTTCACTTGTGCAGTCAATCTCATCCATCTTGCCAACTCAACAACAACACTGCTTCAACAATTGTTCCCTCTCTCTCCTGCATCTTCAATTCCCTGTCTCTGCTCAGTCATTCATACCAGCATACAAAAATGCTAGAAGGTCAAACAAAACCCTCATTTACCCCAGATACCATAACACATCTCTGCCTTTCTTTACTACAAAACTTCTATAAAAGCTTGCCTATCCATGGTGGCGCCAATTCTGCTCTTCCCACCCTCTCTTGGATGCATTCCTACCAGGCTTTCCTCCCAACCACTCTGCTGAAGCAGCTTTCATAAACATCTTCAGTTCATCTCAACCACTTACACTCTATCCCACACACCTCCTGCACTACCACCATTTGACACCTGTACATTTACTTGCTCGTTTGTTGTCAACTAACTAGGCTGTACACTCCATGCACTCTATCCCGAGAGCCCAGAATGCTCTTCGGTACACAACAGGTACCCAATAAATATTTTTTAAATGGGTTTTAGCTTGTGATCATTTACTGTATCAATTACCTCTGTGTAAACAATGCTAAAAATCTTTATCGTACATATTATTCTATATTCTTGACTTCCTGTACTTCCAAAAAAAAATTTTGATAGGCCCAAAATATTCATGTTGGGGTTTTGCTTGAAGTTACATTAAATATATAAATTAACCCGATGAGGACTGATAACATATTGGATCATCCTATCAGAAACAATGTATATATGATTTAACATTTTTTAAAGGCTGCAATTGCTGCCATTAATTTCCATAGGTAAAGATCATCTGGGAAATATTTAAACATTTTTTTTGAAACAAAGAGCAACAAAAGGTAACTCAAGTTTTCAATATCTGTTCACTTAATTCTGATCATGCAACTATCAAGTTGGGGAAAAGAAATACAAACTCAGATACTGGGCTTTAAAATAACGTGCCCCAAAGTCCATGCTATGACCTGGGCCTCTGATGGGTGTGATTGAAAGAGATAGTAGTATCATCAGTAAAGTAAGGCCTACAACAGATTAAAAAAAAAAGATTTGGGATGGAGAGTATGAAATTGTTTAATATTTTGCAAAATAAGCATAACATTAGAAATTGCCTGCTTACTCAGAGGTGAGTAATCTGGCAGTCTCGGATATCTACTACACAATCCAGAATGAGAAATGGAACAACCACAGTCTCCAAATGACCTAAACAGATGTCACAAAGCCCCAGCTTACCGAGGCAGAGTTTAGCAGCTTCTCTCAGAGCCACATGTTTAGGGTGAGGTATTCCAGCAACAGAGAGTAGAAGCAACCAACTATGAGGATGGTACTAGAGAGAGCACACCCCCACACATATACGCACACAATTTCCAAAGGCCTTTGCAAGAACTCAAATGACCTGGTCTAGTCAGCCTTAGCACAGCTCTTCACACCTCAGTAGCTTTTTACACATCAGCAGTGACTCTACAATGCAACAGAATACAGAGTAGCACCAGTCAATTTCATTCAGAACAAAGATCTGAGGTTGTGAAGATAAGAAGAAGTTATATTCAGCATCTTCTTTTTAAGAAGGCAGACAGATAACTCATATAGTCTAGAAAGATATCCATAAAATCTGGCCACAAGTATTTAAAACTGGCATTTGAGAAGGTAAAATTTCTGGGTAAATATCTGTTAAATAAAATATCTCAATCCCCAATCATGCTGGATAAATGGGACACTAGTGTGCTTCTCTAAAAGATAAAAAAGAATCAATAATGGACTTAATTTTTAAATGCTTGACTCATGCCAAATGTATTTGAGAGGTAATACATACTACAACTCCAGCATCATGAAAGTAACATCTGATGTCAGCAATCTAATGCAAGCTTGTATTCACTGGTCCGGAAGATGGGAGATCGCTTACTTTATTAGTTCTGTGATCTTTTAAAGAAAGAAAACAGTTTTGTGAGTAACTAAATTTGCTTTTTCCGTGTTAGAGACTGGTTTTTCTAAGATTAGCAGTGTAATATTCTCAAAACTGGAAATAAACTAGCAGTACCCAATGAAATTACAATAATCAGGCTATTAATTCTGCAGACCAGAAAGAGAAAGAAATGAGAGCTTAATATTAAAAATTTCAAATTTTTTCCACCCTTATTAGCACTTCTCTTCTCAGATTTCCTTGCTGGCATTACCAATAGTATAATATATTGGATCTTGTTTTTGTCACACACGTGAGGATTTATTTAACTTGAAAGTCCTTCCCAGCTCACGTGGATTGGAACCATAACTAAACACCTTGTCACGTGTTTCTCATTGTGGACAGGCATACACAGCTTTGCAAAGAATAATTATTATTCCAGTGTAGAGATTTTTCCCAGACTTTCAAAAGATAGACTATAGATCTTGAGACACTAAAAAACTTGTTTATGATTTTTAATCAGCAAAAGAATGTATTCACACTTAAGACATGGAAAACAGCTCCTTCTCTGGAAAACAAGAAAAGCATTTGAAAACCAATTTCATTTTTTCTTTGAGCTATATTAAGGTCTATGGTTTTAAAAAGTATGATACAAAAAAAATCCTTTTTTTCTGTACTCAGTAGTCTAAGTATCATAGACATTTTTGCTTTTCGGAGGAATCAAAAGTGTTTCTCTGATGTCATCAGGACCATCACTCTGGCTAAATCTTTTAAAAGTTCCTATGACATCCAAACATATGAAACTCAAGGCAATATATCAAAAGAGGTAAGACTGTAGGCTTAATTCTTCTGATCTATGAGTTATATATGAGCAAAAAGATGAGTTTGAATTCTCCCTTGTACCTACTATCCTAGTGACCTTGAGCTGTTAACTGCTATGCACCTGTCTGCTCATCTGTAAAATGAGGTAAAAGTGTAATCTCTTTCATAGGATTACTGAAAGAATTAAATGAGATAATGCACGTAAACCACCTAGCATAGAGTAAATGTTCAAACATTGTTATCAATGATTAGGAGTGTGACTGTGATTGAGATCCCAGGAAGTAACATAGCTCACTATGAATGCATCTGATTTCTCTTGCTAGCACCACTTACCCGCCTAGCACATAGTCACACAGTATTTCCTTCTAAAATATTTTATAACATCCTGACAAAAGGATGAATTTTAACCTAGATCGATGTTCTTTAATGACCAGAAATGTAATGGTTCCTCTCTATTCTCTTTGATCTAACCTCATTTCTTTCCAATATTCAGAATCAACAAGAGGAGGAAAGAATGAGAACCCTTGGTCATGAACAGGAGAATGTTTTTGACGATTTGGAAACTGGGGAGTATGAGACTTCCTCTTGGGAGAGTTGAAATAGGGGTAACATAAAGTGCCATATGAAGAACATTCAGCCTAAGTGAGAAGAAACAAATCCCGATTTATGTCAATCATTGGCATATAATATTAAGGCCAGTCTAGCAGCTACTTTTTACCCTTACAACATGTCATTGTGCCTTGAGCTTTTTCCATCTCTTTAAGGCAGACTCCTTTCATGTGCTAGCTGTACTTAAAAAGCAGCAGTGAACAGAAAGCAAAATTAACCCAGTATATTACAAACCAAGAAATGATGACAAGAAGGTAACAGCTATACTGCTGGAAGACTGGAAAGGCATCTTCAGGTAAGTTCAGTGGATCCTGAACTACTCTGTAGCCTTCATCCAAATCCTGTCCAAAAAGGAAGCTTCAGTACCTTCTGTTTTCATATCAGGCTTGATAAGTGTGTTTTGTCAATTATAATCAAAGGCTGGCCTTGACATTAGAAAATGTTATTTTTCAAACCAAAAAGAACCTGCAAAGCCCGTTCTTTGTTGTACTTCCTCATCCTCCATAATTATGCCCTTTCACCTCCGTTTTTTTTCTTTTTTCTTCTTCTCCTTTTACTGCAGGATTTATAAAATCTCTGAAACTTGTTGTTTGCAGATGTAGGTCCCAAGTGCCCTGTCATTTACTTCCTGTCCAAGCACTGAGCAGATGGAATTACACAAGTTCGGCTGTATGAAACCACCCTCTAATGCCTTCGTTAAACTCCAGGATTTTAGAGTCTGTCCAGTTTCTGGCAGGGACCTTTCCAAACTTCCACCCCCAAAGCTGTAAATTACTACCTCATTAAACTCAATTGTAAATGATTAGGTGTCTGGAATGTACTTTCCTCTCCCTGCAGCCTCCTTGGAGAAATTACTACATTGCAGGCCTCCCTACTTAACTCAACACATTAGTCAAGCAATGCAGGGTTTGAGTAGCTCACTCAGGAGGAGGTTTTATTTTTGTTAGGGTATTAAAACTCTATTATCATTTAGTTCCAAAAGCGGAAGATTTGTGATCTTCCACTTCCCATTGAGCAATCAGTCTTTTAGCAAGAGAAAGCTGTAATCAACAGGACTTTTTCAAGAATTCAGTTTTCCTCCTGCCACACAGGCAGTTGGAACTACAGAACTTTTGTTTTTTCTGAACATCAGTGAGATGATTTAACATTTTTTAAAGGCTGCAATTGCTGCCGTTAATTTCCATAGGTAAAGATCATCTGGGAAATATTTAAACGTTTTTTTGAAACAAAGAGCAACAAAAGGTAACTCAAGTTTTCAATACCTGTTCACCTAATTCTGATTTTTCGATGAAGTTTAATAAAAAAAAAAAAACTTGAAGAATCTGGAAAGGTCATGGGGAAAGGGTTGGAGAGAGAGAAAGGAGAGGAGGGGCTGTCACATTAAATAAATAATCTAGCCTAAGTTCCCAGCCTAGCTGCCATCATTTTAGCAGAAAAGGTAAAACTAATATTCCCCGAGGGACAAAAGCTCAGAAGGTCAGTTCTCTTTCTTATGCAGGCTTTTACCTCTTTATTTAATTCACTGGCTTAGAGTCTTAAGATTTTCATAATGCTTATTTTTGGGCTTCTCTTGCCACTTGTTTCACTATAGATTGACTAGAGTCAATTAGTTGTGCTTCACTGTGTCTCTGGAATATAGGTAAAGATAGTGACTTGCGTGGAGAAAGAAAATGAGGGCTATGAGCAAAATGGTTTTGCTATGATCAAACAAGTAGTAGCAGTACAGTAAGTGTTGAAGTAGAGAGTTCTCACCATCTTTGAAGAAGATTTTCAGAAAGATACAAGGGAATGGAGCATCATTAATTCCTAACTCAGCCTATGAATTTGTTGGTGGGTATTGCAGATGATCATTAAAGAGATTCCTTTATATCTGGGCATGGAAGATAAGGAATGGACTAATAGCTTAGGTATCCATTTTTCTACATTCATTGTATGTGGAACAAGAAATAGTTCAGATGAACATTGCTTGCCAGGGTGCTCTTTAAATGGGATCATTGGGTATAACTATAATTGGGTTAATTGGAATAAGGTATAACTTTGTCTTGGTTCCTGGCCTTGTACCTTGGAATAGATGGGATTTTAGGAAAGAGGTAAAGAAGCTGTTTCCCCAAGGAAACAAAGGCGAATGGTATTACCCAGGTGATAAGGTGTGATACGGAGAAGGGAGAGTACAGGCTCCTCCTTTGTGCCGACAACACAGCACAGCTTTGATTTGGTGAAAACTGATGGAATTGCAGTATCTCTCAGGCAACCTGAGGGTCTGCGGATTTGGAAAATCTTTTAGCATTGTCATCAGTGTTGTCATGGTAGATACCAGGTGCACTGATGCTCAGGAGACTTCATCAATGTCAGACTTTCAGAAGGGTAGGCAGGATGGAAGAATGTGAGCTAAAGAAAAGACACCAAACAACCAAAGATGACTTGGTTATTTGAAAGATTCAAAAATACTTCATTGTAGGCAATTCATTCCTTGACTAAGTTTTAATTCATGTTAAATTTATCACTTAAAAGCCTATTAGAGAGTAGCACCAGCAGAATGGCAGACTAGAAGGTGCCAATCTTCATCTCCCCCACAAAAACAACTAATAACCATATACCAATGAAATTGTGGAGAGAGCTCGGGAGTACAGCAAAGAGGTAGCAGAAACTCAGTGAAGCACAAACACCAAAGATGGCTGTGTAGAAAACACCTTGCTTGCACTACTCCATTCTTCAGTTGGGATCAGCTCAGAGCCAGAAGGGATTTCTTCCAAGGGGAAAAGGTAAGCAGGAGGATCCCAGTGGCCCTCATCACCACGCAGACACCTGCACGCTTCAACACCCTGCAGTTTTTGCCAGTGCTGAGCCCAACTAAGGGAGCCAATGCTGTGCCCCGCCCCTGATTGCCTGGGTAGCCATAGTACCTCTCCATTTCTGGGGTCTTGCTGTTATTTCACCTTACCACCTAAAGCCTGGGACACCCAGCACCCCACTATCCCTGGGCCCAAGTTGCTGGAGAGCAACTCCATCTCTCTGGACTCAAGTCACTGCTGGACCCCACCCCATGGGACCTGCATTACTGCTGTGCCCCACCATTCTGGGGTCTTACTGCCACAGCCCCCCAACCCACGCCCACTCCCAGGGCCTGAGATACTAAAATACCCTGCTTTCCCAGGAACTAGAGTCTTTGCTGTACTACCCCATGCCCTGGGACCTAAGTCATCACAGCAGCACTTTATCCCTGGGGCCATACCACTGCTGCACCCTGCCCCCACAGTCTAAGCTTATTGCTATATCCCCTCTCTCTGGGCTTGAGATGCACACCCCAAAGTCCTAGACCCCAGCTCTGTAGGTGATCTGCATAAGCTCATGCCTCTGTGAGTGCACCATTATCCCAAGACCCAGGTGCCACACCTGTTCTGAGCACCTGTTCCCTGGCCTGAAACCACTGCAGCTTCCTGAAGCCCACACCAGACCCAGCATCAAGAGGGAATCCCTCAGATAGGACTCCCTCCTGTGAGGAATGGGAAAAGAGAAGGACCACAACAACCTTCCCCTTGGGGACTCCAACAGCCTACACTGTTATTGCTGCCATTACAAACACCTGCAGCCTTGGCCATCGAGGCCCTCATAGTCTTTGTCAATGCTGACCTCAACGGGGAGAGATACATGGAGACTACACCTGCACACCCTCTGGAAACAAAGCTGCCACACCCCCACCCAGCTTGCAGTCTTGCACTTAGCTGCAGATGAAAATCTATTCCCACCAAAGCCAGTCTGTAAAGTTTGGAAGAGGCGACTGCTCTATCAAATATGCAGACACCAATGCAAGGCTATAAGAAACACTTGAAAGAAAGAAAGAAAGAAAGAAAGAAAGAAAGAAAGAAAGAAAGAAAGAAAGAAAGAAAAGAAAGAAAGAAAGGAGGAAAAAAGAAAGAAAGAAAGGAAGAAAGGAAGAAAGAAAGAAAGAAAGAAGAAAGGAAGGAAGGAAGGAAGGAAGAAAATGTCACCAAAGGAACACAGTAACAACCCCCAAGAAATCAAGATCTACAAATTGCCTGAAAGAAATTTAAATAACTATTTTGAAGAAGTTCAGCAAGATATAAGAGAACTCAAATAGATAACTCAATGAAGTCAGGAAAAAAATACGTAAACAAAACTAAAAATTCAACAAAGAGATAGAAATCATTTAAAAAGTTGCCAGGCAGAAATCCTGGAGCTGAAGAATACAATGAATGTAATCAGAAATGCAATAGAGAACTTCAACCGCAGACTAAAGCAAGCAGAAGAAACTGGGAACTTGAAGACAGATATTTTGAGATTATCCAGTCAGAGGAGATAAAAGAATGAAAAAGATGAAAAGAAATGAAGAAAGCCTATGGGACTTATGGGACACTATTAAACAAATCAATACATGCATTATGAGATTCTAAAATATAGAAGAGAGAGAGAAGAAGAGAAAGCTTGAAGAAACGATGGCTGAGTTAGAATGGCAATCGTTAAAAAGTCAGGAAACAACAGATGCTGGAGAGGATGTGAAGAAATAGGAACACTTTTACACTGTTGGTGGGAGTGTAAATTAGTTCAACCATTATGGAAGACAGTGTGGCAATTCCTCAGTAATCTAGAACCAGAAATTCCATTTGACCCAGCAATCCCATTACTGGGTATATAACCAAAGGATTATAAATCATTCTACTATAAAGACACATGCACACGTACGTTTATTGCAGCACTGTTCACAACAGCAAAGACTTGGAACCAACCCAAATGCCCATCAATGATAGACTGGATAAAGAAAATGTGGCACATATACACCATGGAATACTATGCAGCCATAAAAAAGGATAAGTTCATATCCTTTGCAGGGACATGGATGAAGCTGGAAACCAACATTCTCAGCAAACTAACACAAGAACAGAAAACCAAACACCGCATGTTCTCACTCAAAGGTGGGAGTTGAATAATGAGAAAACATGGACAAAGGGAGGGCAACATCACACACTGGGGCCTGTCATGGAGTGGAGGGCTAGGGAAGGGATAACACTAGGAGAAATACCTAATGTAGATGACGGGTTGATGGGTGCAGCAACCCATCATGGCACATGCATACCTATGTAACAAACCTGCACATTCTGCACATGTATCCCTGAACTTAAAGTATAATAAATTTAAAAAGAAAAAAAGAAACAATGGCTGAAAATTGCCCAAATGTTGGGAGAGATATGAAAATCCCGATCTATGAAGCCCCAAAATCCCTATCTATGAAGCCCCAAAATCCCTAAATAGATTCAGTCCAAAAAGATCTTCACCAAGACACATTATAATAAACTTTTCCAAAGCCCATGTCAAAGAGAGAATTTTGAAAGCAGCAAGACAAGCAACATGTCACATACAAGGGAATGTCAAGAACTATATCTGCCAAAGCTGTCTTTCAGAAATGAAGGAGGAATAAAGACTTTCCCAGAAAAGCAAATGCTGAGGAAGTTCATCACCATTGACTTGCCTTAGAAAAAATGCTAGAGAGTTCTTCAAGTGAAAATGAAAGAAGGCCAGGAGCGGCACACTTTGGGAGGCTGAGGTGGGCAGATCACTTGAGGTCAGGAGTTCAAGACCAGCCCAGTCATCATGGGAAAACCTCATCTCTACTAAAACACAAAAATTAGCCAGGCGTGGTGGTACATGTTTGTAATCCCAGCTACTCGGGAGGTTGAGGCCGGAGAATTACTTGAACCTGGGATGCAGAGGTTTCAGTGAGCTGAGATTACACCATTGCACTCCAGCCTGGGCAACAGAGCAAGACTCCATCTCAAAAAAAAAAAAATGAAAGGACACTAATTACTAACATAAAAAGACATAAAAGTATAAAATTCACTCATAAAAGTAAACGTATAAATGCAGAATACTATAATACAATAATGGTGGTGTTTAAATCACTTATAACTTTGTATAAAGGTCAAAAGACAAAAGTATTACAAATAATGATACACTATTTCCTTAATGGAAAAAATATGTTAATTGTGATATTAAAAACATAAAATGGGGATGGAGCAAAAATGTAAAATTTTTTTATCCATTGAAGGTAAGTTGTTATATGTAGGTCAAAGGATACAAAGACATAGAAGAATGCGTCTAAGTCTAGAGATATATTGCATTATTAATACAATATTGTATTGCATATTAATAATGTTGTGTTGTATCTTGGAAATTTGTTAAGAGAGTAGATTTTAGATACTCTTAGCACAGAAAAAGAGTAACTGAGATGATGGAGATGTTCAGTGGGTTGACCGTAGCAACGATTTCACTGTATATATCAAAACATTGTTTTGTACACCTAAAATATACAGAATAAAAAAGAGCCTATGAGAATATTAAGGAGTTCCCTCTCACCTCAGGAGGAGAACAAAAAAAAAATGGTATAAGAGGCAGCTTTGATTACTAATGATGTAAATTTAAAAATATATGTAAGCCATTGATATGTCTTTGTGAATTACCTGTTAAAGCATTTTTCTATTTGCTTTTTTCTTGTTGATTGATAAGAGCTTTTTATATATTCAGGGTGATAACACTTGTGTATCATTTATTTTGCAAATATACCTACTTTGAAGTTGGACTTTTAAATTTGTTTCTAACAATTTTGAGACAGAAAAATTCTATTTTTAGTCTCCTTTATCATTTTTTTCTTAATTTTATGCTTAGAAATATTTTACTAATGCTGTAAGCAGAGTTGGTTTCTGTTTTTTATTTTTTGCATCTCTTGGTATGTTCTCTTGTATTTTTAAAATACTTTCTCTTGCAGCTTCATTTTTCAAATTAACTCCTATACGATCTCTTTTTGGCATATTGGGTGAGGAAAGGCTCTAACTTTTTTTAAATAAATAGGTATTTTATATCTCTTAAATACACATTACTCTACAAATTTTGGGAGGAAATCATCTTTATCACAAGCCAAAACCTATTTTTTGAGTTTCTATTCTATTTTACCAAACTACATTGGTCTACTCCGTGCAATACTACAGTGTGAAATTATAGTATGCTCTAAAATTCTGTGATGCAAACATCACCTTGCAATTCCTTTTCTCCCCGACAAGTTAATTGCAGAGTTTTACTTCAAGTAAAGTCAGACGTAGAATGTTGACAGACTATTGCTCTCACCAAAACAATAGAAAAAATGAAGTAAAATTAATATTTTTAACACACTGAAGGACTATGAATGCAAGGAATTAAAGACTTCCAAAGAGGTGCAGGCCCTTCTTGGGTGAACAGAGACCATGAACTGCTTTCCTTCTGGGAGCATTTGCTGAATTCAGGCAGAAAGAATCTGCTGGGGGTATGAAAAAAAACAGTTAAACTTTTAACAGCCATGTGAGCTGGCACAATGAAATAGAACCTTAGAAACCCCAAATGCAGAGATAGCAGAGTCTTCCTGCCACCAATTCTCATAGACTTTTGCTCAGTGTCTTGCAGAAGCATTTGGGAAGCTGGCGGCAAGACTGAAAAGTGATTAGAGAGCCAAAGTCTACAAGAAGGAAAGGCCTATTATATACATAGATAAGATTTCACACTCAAGAAATCTTGAAAACAAAGGCAATTTGAAACTAGATCTCCAAATCAGCCCCAATCCTGTTAAATTCCTTATTGGATCAAAGCAAAAAGCCTCCCATTTTCATTCTAGCTGCCTGATTAGAAGAAAAGATATGCCCTTTCTGGAAGAAATAATATTTACTTCAGTCTCTATGGTTTTTATTTATTTTTATTATTTTTTTCTTTTTTGAAAATGGAATGCTTCGCAAACTTGCATCATTCTTGCACAGACGCCATGCTAATCTTCTTAGGATATGTTCTGCCAAAGCGAGCACGAGTCTCCTTGGTTTTTAAACACAATAAAAAGTTACAACTCAAGGCAAAAATAAGGAAAATGTAACTTTTGTGCAAAAGAAAAATAAAATCTATATGATGAGAATTACAGATAACCCAAAAATGACTGTAAAATCACTACTAAAAGTGTCTCTTAAAATTAGAGCAAAAAATAGATCTAATGGATGAAAAACTTGATAATTTCAAAAAGTGTCTCTTAAAATCAGAGCAAAAAATAGATCTAAAGGATGAAAAACTTGATAATTTCAACAGAGACATGGAAGTACTAATGAGATAGGTATTCTAAAATATTTTAAATTAATGCATATGTTAATTAGCATGATTTAACCATTCCACAATGTATATATGTATCAAAATATCATGTTTGTGCACCATAAATATACACAACATTTGTCAAATAAAAATAATTTTAAGTAATATTTAAAATTAGACATTCATTAAATGGACAATACCAGGCTAGAAGGACAGCAGAAGAAACGCTGAGTGAACTTAAAGACAGATCAATAGAAATAGAAATTAGAACAGAGGAAAAAGAACATTAAAAATAACTGAGAGGGAGAGAGTTATGAGATAAGACCTGTAATTAACAATCTTCAAAGAGACACACAAGCCAAAACAAAACAAATAAAAAATTCTGCCAAGCATTTAAGAAATACCAGTTCTACACAAACTTTCAGAAAATAGGAAGAACACATTTCGACTCATTCTATATGGCTCACATAACCATCATACCAAACTATGACAAGGCTATTTTTAAAAAAGAAAAATTATAGACCAATATTCCTCATTAACACAGATATAAAAATCCTATGCAAAATAATTGAACCCAGTAATATATTTGAAGGATAATATATCCTAAACAAGTCTAGCCATTCAATGAATGCAAAGTTGGCATAACATTTAAAATCAGTCAGTTTAATTCATGTCAAATGATTCAGAAAAATAAACCACAAAATGTTATCATTGGATAGAGAAAAATTATTTCATAAAATTCAACACTGTTTTACTTAAAAGGATACTCTTAACATGGTAGGTATAAGGAAGAACTTAATCTATAAAGGTTATCTACTAAAACAGTAGTACAGCTAATAGGAAATTCAATGTAAATATTCACTATTATTGTTTCTATTGACTGTTGTACTGATGGTTCTACCCATTGAAATAAGGCAAGAAAAATAAATAACAGTTCTAAGCATTGGAAAGGAAGAAGTAACACTCTGTATTTCACACAGTTATGTGCATGGAAATTCCAAAGAAATCTATAAATAAACTGACAGATTTATTGACAAGAAATAACATGTGAATTTTAGCAACACTGCTGGTTATAAGGTTAACAAACAAAAATCAAGAGTATTTCTGAACACTAGCTGCAGCAATTGGGAATAAATTTTTTTAAACATTACGTACAAGAGCATCAAGGGGGAAATCTAGTGAAAATTATGCAAAACCTCTTAACTAAAAATGATAAAACATCACTTAATAAAATTAAATAAGATCTAAATAAATCTTATTTAATTTTATCAAAATTAAATAAGATTTAATTTTATCTTATTTATAATAATAAATTATATTATTGTAATTTATTATCATGCTCATGAACTGGAAGACTCAATATTGTTAATTTGCCAGTCCTCTCCATATTGCTCTAAAAATTCGACATATTCCCAGTCTAAATATCAGCAGGTTTTTATTAGGAAAGATATACAAGATGATTATAAGGTTGATATGGAGATACAAATGACCTGATATAACCAAGAAATTCAAGAACAGCAATGCTGGAGAACTTACAGTACCAGGTTTCAGTAGTTACTACAAAATTACAAAAAACAAGGCAATTGCTATATTGTTGTTAAAGCTAGACAAATAGATCAATGGAACAGACTAGAGAAATAGACCCACACAAATATGAGCCTTTGATTTCTGACAAAAGCACTGTAAACTATAAAACATGACTGAATAAAATTAAGAGCTAAACAAATGGAGAGATTATCATGTTTATAAACTGGAACTTAATTTTTAATATATGGTGCTGGAACAACCAGACATCTTTCCCCCACCAAAGTTAATCTTTATCCATTTTTTACATCATACACAAAAATTAATTCAAGGAAGTATCAGAGATTTAAATGTGAAGACTAAAATTGTAAAGCGTCGGTAGGAAAACATGAGAATATCTTTGCAACCCTGGGGATGACGGATGATTTATTGGGCAATATACAAAAAGGACTAACTTTAAAAGAAAATAGACTGAATCAAAAATGATACTGCTCATCAGAAAGCCACTTCTCATCAATAAAGCCAACAGGCAAGTCACACACTGGGGTAAAATATTTACAATACATATGCCTAACAAAAAAAGATCTGTGCCCAACATACATATTTTTAAATACCTACGAATCAATAAGGAGAAGACAAGACAACTAAAACAAGCAAAAGACTCCATCTGTCACTTCACAAGGCAAAATGTTTGAATAGAAAGTAAACAAATAAAAAGATATTCAATGTCATTATTCACCAGGAAAATGAAAATTAAAATGATGAGATACAACTTCACACAACCAAAAAGACTAAAGTTAAAAGACCAGCAATGGAAGTGCTGATGAGGATATAGAGCAACTGGGTTTCATATCCAATGATGGGAGAGCGGAAAGAAAAATGGTAAAATCACTTTGGAAAGATGTTTGCCAGTTTCTGATCAAGTAAACATTCATCTATCCTACGACCCAGAAATTTCACTCCTACGTATATACCTAAGAGACATGAAAGTATATAGCCACAAAAAGACGTACTCAAGAATGTTTATGGCAGCTTTATTTCCAAAAGTCCAAAATTGGAAATAACACAATGTACATCAAGAGAAAAATGAATCAGCAAGTTATGGAGTCATACCATGCACTGCTATATAGCGATAAGAAAGAGCAAATGATTGATACACACAGCTACATGGGTGATTGTCAAAAAGAGACATGAAAGAGTATTATTATAGGCTTCCATTTTTATGCAATTCAATACCAGGCAAAACTAATTTATGGTGATAAAAGTCATAATGATCTCTGTGTTGGGGCTGTTGATTAGGAGGGAACACAAGGGAACTTTCTAGGAGTGTGAAAATGTTTTATATCTTGTGTGGTAATCACAAGGGATATATACATTCATAAAAATTCACTGAGCTGTAAAATCAAGATTTGTACATTTTACTCTATCAATTACCTCAATGTAAACAATGCTAAAAATCTTTATTGTACGTATTATTCTATATTCTTGACTTCCTGTACTTCCAAAAAAATTTTGATAGGCCCAAAATATTCATGTTGGGGTTTTGCTTGAAGTTGCACTAAATATATAAATTAACCCGAGGATTGATAACATATTGGATCATCCTATTAGAAACATATACTATGTCTCCATTTATTCATTTTTATTTGAGTCTGTCTCTCATTGTTTTTTTTTCCTTAGCTAATCTAGAATTGGTATTGCAGACATTTTAATTATATATTTTTCCATTATACTTACCAATGTTGTTTTCATATAGAGGAAAATAATATTGTTATTTCTATTATTTTCCTTCTAGGATTTTGTGTTGTCATTTTTGCTTACATTCAAAATATCACTGAGAAATGGTAATACTATTACCTTGTTCTTGGCTAGAACTGTCAAAAAAACTACCTTTAAAAAGTAACGAAAACCAATGTTCCTGTCCTCTTTATGCGCTTGATAAACATGCCTTTAGCATTTACCATTACATATGATGTTAGTGTTATGAGACAGCACTGTTTGCTACCATATTAGTTTTCCTTGTTTTGTCATGTTTGGATATACAAATTTGCATCTCTAAGTATTAAAAAATACTTATAGAGCTTATACCTGTAATACCAGCATTTTGGGAGGCCAAGGTAGGTGGATCACTTGAGGCCAGGAGTTCGAGACTAGCCTGACCAACATGGCAAAACACCGTCTCTCCTAAATACTAAATACAAAAATTGGCTGGGCGTGGTGGCACTTGCCTGTAGTCCCAGCTACAGGCTGAGGCATGAGAATTGCTTGAGCCTGGGAGGCAGAGGTTGCAGTGAGCAGAGATTGTGCCACTGCACACCAGCCTGGGCAACAGCAACACTCTGTCTCAGAAAAAAAAAAAAGTATAGAAAATGCATCTCCAGAATTTATAAAAATGTTCAAATATTTTTTTCCTTTGATCTAGTGATGCCATGATACATTGTGCTAATAGTGTTTCTACTATTATTTCATATTCTTAAATATCATTTTTCTTTTAACATAGTTCTACATTTGATTTGTAAAATATTGAAGTAGTTTTTTGCCTTTATATAGTAAACACATAGTTTTATTCTTGTCTTTCATAAACATTTTAGGTAGTTTTTTTGCCAAGTCATTGGAACCATGGAATTTTTTTCCTATAGTAAGCATTTTAGCAAGTTTTGCCTCAGTGATCATAAATGTAGAGTTTTAATTTTGTCTGTTTTGTCAGATTTGGCTATCAGTGTTATGCTAGCATTGTATAATAAATTAGGAAACTTTCTTTCCTCTTGTAGACTCTGGAATATTTCATGTGCCATGGCAAATGCCAGTTATCAGAAGGTTTGAAGAAAACTCATAAAATTGACTCAGGTATCCATCTTGGAGAAAATTATTTTGCAATGTTTTGTTTTCACCCTATATATTTAACTTTATTGGCAGTTTCTCTGTTTTGTCTTAATTTCTGTTTCTATCTTTAATTTTTTTCTCTTGCTTTCCTTAGTTTAATTTGAATATTTTCTAACCCCTTGATGAGCGTTAGCTTATTTTCATTCTTCCTTATTTAATAAAAAATGCACCAACAGAATACATTCTGGATATTTAGTTTCCAGCATATAAGATCTGAGATCCAATATCCTCATCATTTTTCAATAATCTCAAATTTGAGTTTTTTCCTACTTAACTCAAGAAAAGAGGCATATTTGTTAGAAATCCTGTTTGGCTGCTATAAATGAGAGATCCTAAACAATAGCGGCTAAAATGAGGTATATGTATGTCCATGCAGACAGTCTAGGGCTGAGGGTGCTTGGTCTTTTTCTTCTTTGCTATACTCCTAGTTTCCACAATATGCAGTTTCCCACCACGATTTCAGATCACTCTTGTAGGTCCTAGCATCATAACCACATTCTATCCCACAGAAGAAGCATAAGGAGGAAGAAAAGGATTTGCAAAGTGTAAGTTGCAAACATCACTGCGACCCACCATGTTGACCAGAATTTGATTGCATGTCCACATCTAGAATCCAGAATCAAGGGATCCTGGGAAATGTACTCTTTCACTGGTTGACCATGGGCCCAATTAAAAATTCTATTATTATATAAAATGACAGCACAGATAAGCAGAGAACTATCAGTATCTGCACAGAGAGTTTTAAAAATATTTTCCATTAGCTGTTTTATTTTAAATTTTTGTTTTGTTTGTTTTTTCTTAGAGACAGGGATTTGCTCTGTTGCCTAGACTGGAGCATAGTGGCATGATCTTGGCTCTCTGCAGCCTCAAATTCCTGTGCTCAATCAATCTTCACGCCTCAGCCTCCTGAGTAACTAGGACTACAGGCACATGCCACCACGTCCAGCTCATTTTTTTGTTTTTGTTTTGAGAGGGAACCTCGCTGCAACGACCAGACTGGAGTGCAATGGCGTGATCACGGCTTACTGCAACCTCTGCCTGCTGAGTTTAAGCAATTCTCCTGCCTCAGCTGGGACTACAGGTGCCCACCACCACACCTGGCTAATTTCTGTATTTTTAGTAGAGACAGGGTTTCACCATATTGGCCAGGCTGGTCTCAAACTCCCAACCTCAAGTGATCTGCCTGCCTCAGTCTCCCAAAGTGCTGGGATTACAGGCATGAGCCACTGCACCTGGCCTAAATTTTTTTAAATTTCTAATATTTTTTCCAGTAAAACAATGGAATCTGAATTATTTCTATTTTTAAATTTATTAACTATTTTTATAGCTTAATAAGCGATTATATATTTTGTTTTTTGTTGTTTTTGAGACGGAGTTTCGCTCTTGTCCCCCAGGCTGGAGTGCAATGGCGGGATCTCAGCTCACTGCAACCTCCGCCTCCCAGGTTCAAGCAATTCTCCTGCCTCAGCCTCCTGAGTAGCTGGGATTACAGACACACGCCATTATGCTCAGCTAATTTTTTATTTTTAGTAGAGATGGGCTTTCACCATTTTGGCCAGGCTGGTCTTGAACTCCTGACCTCAAGTGATCTGCCCACCTCAGCCTCCCAAAGTGCTAGGATTATAGGCATGAGCCACCGTGCCTGACCAATGATTATATATTTTGAAAATATCCTTAGATATTAAGAAAGAATATGTTTATTTTGTGGAGTTGTAAGTTTCATATGTATTTATAACTCTGCTTTTCCATCTGGCTTCTCCCTGTCTATTCATACCTAAAGCACTTTATCTGTCAGTTACACTTCCAGGATGAACCATCCTATTTTCCTTTTACTCATTTTCCAGTTTTCTACAACTCTTCTATGAATAGACGCTTACATCTGGCAAAGGGGTAGACAATGACAGCTTCACATATCTTATTGTCACCATTCTGTAGAAATGTAACTTATTTTAGAAATGGCTAGTTTTCTATTTTCCACTGATATTAAGTACCTTGCACAAATGTACCTCTTTGATAAAGAATTAGGGACTATAGTTATTAAAATAATATTAAAAATAATGTAATATATTTCAAATTGTAGTTTCACTATAAATTAGTCTTTAAAATTTTTAACTACGTTTTCACATAATTTGGATATTTTTGGATTAAGATTTTAGAAATTACTGTATATTGTAGCCAAAATTCTTAAACAGCCTTTCTATATTTTCTAGTGGGAAGGACAAGCCTTATTCCATTTTTGTGGCATATTGTCACTATTTTTAATTTTTAAAAATTATGTCACTATTTTATAAATTTTCAAAATTGTCACTTTTATAAATTTAAAATTATGTTACTATTTTGTAAATTTTTAAAATTGTACAAATTGTTCTGTAACTCCTGTCACAATTTCACATCTGTGCCTAAGAAATTATGTAAATTAAGCAATGCTGTTTAACAAACACAAAGTTTTTTTTATTTTATGAAATATAACCTCTTATATGTAGGGCAAAACTAAAAAGTTAAAAAAGTTATAGACCGGCAGCTGGTGAAGAAATACACTAGAAACTCTGCCGAGTTAAAAAATTATAGAAGCTGAAGTCTGACTCATAAGATGTGTTTTCCCAATGTCAGGTTAATAATTTTGTGTGTCTGGCACTGTGGTTTAACTGTAAAAACAATGGAACTCCATCAAGTTGGGATTGTGTGGGGGAAGGCAAGAAGAAAGCAGTGAGGGGTAAGGAGGATATGATTTTAACATCTGAAACTCAACTCTATAATGAGAAACAGGGGAGACATGATGTCATACTGTAGAAGGTTGCTCCACTGTATTTTTTTTTTTTCCAGGCTGGCTTGACCTGAGGTTTTCAACAAAGTCCAGATGGAATTGAGGGAGAAACGTGTGTGTGTGTGTGTGCGTGTGTGCGTGAGTGTGTGTGTGTGTGTAGGATTTAAAGCAGGGGGTTTCTCACTCATGAATTTAACATGCTTGGATTTAATGCAGACCAAACACGGCCACCTCATTATTCCCTCCTCCTCGCTTCCTTACCCCAAACCTTTTAACCTCCCTCCGAATCGACAGGATGCCATCTGGTCTGGTTAGTCTCCTGATCACTAACTGAAGGAGGTTCTTTAATTCTTACTGATGAGGAAGTCATTTATCATTTTTTCATCAACTCTAAGACTCAGGTTTGGCTTTCTGTTTTTGTTTTATTTTCATATTTTAATCTCTGAAATTTCGATGGGTCTTACAATCAAGCATGCATTATAGTTTAATTGGCAAAGCTTTCTTGTTTTATTCTTCATCTGCTATTTTTGTATTTTCCTTATTGGAACATAAAATAATGCTGCATTCACTATCAATGTTGCCCTAGAATTTATGAAATATGATAGCTCTAATGATGGTGACTGATGAGGCAGATGGGTTTTATTTGCTTTGTTTTGCTTTATTTGGTTTTTATTCTGGAGTGACCTCTCAATTTAAGAAGAAACCTAAAAAGAAAGTCACCTAGGAGCTGATCTCTGTTCTGTGAAAGTTCACCTGTGTGGTTCCTCTTGATTATGCAAATATAAAAGCAGTAGTCACTTTTCACCTAGAAGAAAGGTTGCCCCTCCTCTGCAAAGCTTTATGAAGAGAATGTA
The DNA here is from genome assembly GCF_000001405.40 of Homo sapiens. Classification (NCBI taxonomy): domain Eukaryota; kingdom Metazoa; phylum Chordata; class Mammalia; order Primates; family Hominidae; genus Homo; species Homo sapiens. The sequence continues at coordinate 111,179,426 of NC_000009.12, forward strand.
TCACCCTGCATAAGAAGCTCAGGTTTTTCAAAGAGGAAAGAATGAATAATCCAGACCCTATTCCCTCAAAATCCAAGGTTAGGGAACTACAGGGCAAGAGATGCTGAAAGAAAATGATAGTAAGCACACCAAAGAGAAATTGAAAAAATAATAATGATAATTGGCTTTTCTTATGTAGGTGCCACAAACTCAAGGCAAGCCTAATTTTAAGGGGGAAAGACTGAGATAGGAAGCCCTGCAGACTTAGCCACTCTGGCATAGTATTAGAAGGACAATGACCTGAATAGAACATCTGGTAGACCAACCAGGAACCATTGCAGTGCTGGCAGGAATCCAGACCATCCACAGCGTTTTCTCAACCGCAAGCTGAGCAGAACAAGCTTTACCATAGCAATAAGACACAAAAAGCAGTAGCGCCAGTGGATTGACTCAAACTGCCAGTCCTCAGTCTCCACCTGGCTTGGAAGTAAGACCGACACCCGCTAAACTGAGTACACCTCTGCATTCATGGAAAATTAATTGAAAATCAAGACACTTGTCAACCTTTTTGTTTCCAGCTGCTAGAGCAGACCACATGGCTAACAATGACTAAGTACCTGTTACAAATCAGGCATCATAGAAGAAACTTTTAAAATGTTCCCAATAATCAATGAGAAGTTGTGATTATTCTAGGCAAACAGAGTCACAAGAGAAAGAGAAAAAAAAAAAAAAGCTGTTGTCCAGAGACATAAAGCTATTAAGCGGTAGATTGAATATTCAAGCCCAGGACAACCTGACTTGAAAAGTCATGTTCTTTTCACTAAATTATTTTGGCCGCCACTGAAGAGACAAGAAATCTCATGGGGAGACATTAGCAGATCAAGTTACTCAGAGATCATCCACAATACTTAACTGGTTGTTTTATGTCTGGATTAGATAATACAACCCATGTTTACAATATTAAGAAGAAATATGAGATGGGCCCAGAACCAGCCATCAATTCCAGTGATGCACAAGCCTCCATATTTCCTTGGGTTCACTGTGAACTGGTTAATGCAAAGCTTGACAAATTTAAGACATCCTGAAAGTCCCTGATGAGGAGTTTTCTGGATAACCAAAGATGACCTCGATTCTCACTTCTCTTGTGGAGCCACTGAACTCACTGTAGAGAGGCCTTGAAAATGTCTCTCAAAGTCTCTTTCCGCATGTAAATAAAGAAAGCTGGAGGGGTTTGTCACTGATCTAAAATCCACATACTAAATGATCTTGCTGGAGCACCTCTAGAACCTAGTGGACTCTGCACTCCTAAAGGCAAAGGGATGACTAACACCATTGTATTATTTTAAAAACATCCTTTCTCTGTTATATGATGAATTGTGGAATAAAGGCAAATTTATATGAGTAAAAGACAAATATTTGTTTCATAATATTGTTTCCCCAGAAGGTGAGAAGCACTGTTACCAATTCAAATTACTATGTTTCCAGTCACAGCTATTAAAAAATCATAATTAGTGCCACACATGGAAATAGTTTCATCTTAAGTCCCTCTTCTTTTATGTAACATTACATCATGAGTTTCCTTCTAACCATTACACATTTCCACAACATGCCAAGGCTGTAATTTTGGGTATGCGCCATTAGGGATGCTAATCATGGACTAGAAAGGAATAAAAGAATATAGGGCCTGCCTGCTAATACGTTCATGGGGGAAAAGGTAGCCAATGTCAGTGTCCCAGATGAAAGCATGCTTGAGAGGCAATGGCAACCTACATCAATACATCAAAAGGCAGGAGTGGAAAACAAGCAAAAACTTAGAAAACATCTGCCCCAAACATTAGGGAATATGGGTTAAACTGTTACGGATTCAAACATCTATAGAGATTTACTGAGATAATGATACCCAGAGGAAGGGTGACCTTTATAAACAGGGTGATTATAGAATTTACCATTCAAACTGGGACATTATCGATAATTGCACTGGGAAAATTAGAAACCAGGGTATTCCCAAGGAAACTGAGACAAACAATTGTCTTATTTATATTTTATAGGTAATTAAGAAGATATGAAGTGGAAGAGTTCCTAAGGGCTCCCAGACAGTTTGGCTATTAATGCATTGGCAACAATTTTTGTACCATATTGTAAACTAATGGTAGGATCGAGAATCCCTGTTCTTACCCTGTTTCACTGCTTTCACCGTTAAATATTATGCTGCTCAAAGTTGGAAGCAATGTTTCAATATTATTTTAAAAATGCAAAAAACAAGAATGGTCAAGCAGCGTTCATGAGGCAGAAACTAGAAGGTTCCTCAGGGCAGTGGTGTAAGAGTGTCCTAATGCATTCAGTGGAGACTGTACATTATGTAAGATATATTAATTATACCGTATTCCTAAGGTCCTAGAACTGTTTCAGTTGTGCATTCATCCTAGTGCATCACTGTGATTCTAGGATTTCCCTTAAGCCCTTTTTTCATTCTCTGCCACAGTAATGATAAATGGAAGGTCAGATTTTGGTGCCATGGATAAATGAGGAGTGGCGAAAAATGGGGTAGATTTGCATGGAGAAAGGCACCAGGAATCCAGTGGTTGGAGGAGTAGCAACCTCCACCACAACTCCGCAGGGATGCAGGTAGCACATCTCCATTTGCCTGAATGAGCAAGGAATGTATCTGTAGCAGGAACACAAGCTGATCCTCTGCTATAGATGGACTTCACAGACCTGAGCTAGTTAGTGTATGCATCTGAACAATCCTTGGCTCAGTAATGATATCCAGAAGATCCTCCTATTACTTCGACACTGTACACATTAAAGTCTTTTTCTGCTTCAACCAGCCACAGTCCATTTCTGTTGCATACAACCAATTCCTTTAATGGATAAAACCATTCAGAAGTAGCTTGCCCTTCCTTCCCCCCATTCTTCTTATGGTGTAATGATTGTGTAAGTCCCAAATACCTATATTAAATCCCTTCGTGGGGGAAGTGGGGATGGTTAATGGGTACTGAAAAAAAAAAAGAATAAGACCTACTATTCAATAGCACAATATGGTGACTATAGTTAATAATTGTATATTTTAAAGTAACTTAAAGAGTGTAATTGGATTGTTTGTGACTCAAAGGATAAATACTTGAGGAGATGGATACCCCATTCTCCATGATGTGCTTACTTCACACTGCATGTTTGTATCAAAACATCTCATATACCTTATAAACATACATAACTACTATGTGTACCCACGAAAAATTTAAAAAATAATTTTAAATTTTATTTTTCTCCATAAATTATTGGGGTATAAGTGGTTTTTGGTAACATAAGTTCTTCAGTGGCGATTTGTGAAATTTTGGTGTACTCATCACCTGAGCAATACACTGTACCATATTTGTTGTTTACTATCCCTAGTGCCCCTCCCATGCTTCTCCCTGAGTCCCCAAAGTCCACTGTATCATTCCTATGCCTTTGAGTCCTCATAGCTTAGCTCCCACACATCAGTGTACATACGATGTTTGTTTTTTTCATTCCTGAGTTACTTCACTTAGACTAATAGTCTCCAATCTCATCCAGGTCACTGCAAATGCTGTTAATTCATTCCTTTTTATAGTTGAGTAGTACTCCATTGTGCATATATATATATACACACACACACACACCACGGTTTCTTTATCCACTTATTGATTGATGGGCATTTGGATTGGTTCCACGATTTTGCAATTGGGAATTGTGCTGCTATAAAAATGCATGTGCAAGTATCTTTTTCATGTAATGACTTCTTTTCCTCTAGGTAGATACCCAGCAGTGGGATTGCTGGATCAAATGGTATTTCTACTTACCGTTCTTTAAGGAATCTCCACATTGTTTTCCATAGTGGCTGTACTAGTTTACATTCCCACCAGCAGTGTAGAAGTGTTCCCTCTTCACTGCATCCACGCCAACATCTACTGGGTTTTTTTTTTATTTTTATTTTTTATTATGGCCATTCTTGCAGGAGTAAGGTGGTATGGCATTGTGGTTTCGACTTGCATTTCCCTGATCATTATTGATATTTAGCATTTTTTATATGTTTGTTGGCCATTTGTATGTCTTCTTTTGCAAATTGTCTATCCATGTCCTTAGCCCACTTTTTGATGGGATTGTTTTTTTCTTACTGATTTGTTTAAGTTCATTGTAGACTCTGGATATTAGTCCATTGTCAGATGCATAGATTGTGAAGATTTTCTCCCACTCTGTGGGTTGTCTGTTTACTCATTGTTCCTTTTGCCGTGCAAAAGCTCTTTAGTTTAATTAAGTCCCAACTATTTATCTTTGCTTCTATTGCAGTTGCTTTTGGGTTCTTGGTCATGAAATCCTTGCCTAAGCCAATGTCTAGAAGGGCTTTTCCAATGTTATCTTCTAGGATTTTTATAGTTTCAGGTCTTAAAGTCCTTAATCTATCTTGAGTTGATTTTTGTATAAGGTGAGAGATGAGCATCCAGTTTCAATCTCCTGCATGTGGCTAGCCAATTATCCCAGCACCATGTGTTGAAAAGAGTGTCCTTTCCCCCACTTTGTTTTTGTTTACTTTGTCAAAGATCAGTTGGCTGTATTTGGGTTTATTTCTGGATTCTCTGTTCTGTTCCATTGGTCTATGTGCCTATTTTTATACTAGTACCATGCTGTTTTGGTGACTATGGCCTTATAGTATAGTTTGAAATCAAGTAGTGTGATGCCTCCAGATTTGTTCTTTTTGCTTAGTATTGCTTTGGCTATGTGGGCTCTTTTTTGGTTCCATATGAATTTTAGAATTGTTTTCTCTAGTTCTGTGAAGAATGATGGTGGTATTTTGATGGGGATTGCATTGAATTTGTAGATTCCTTTTGCCAGTATGTTCATTTTCACAATATTGATTCTACCCATCCATGAGCATGGGATGTGTTTCCATTTGTTTGTGTCATCTATGATTTCTTTCAGCAGTGTTTTGTAGTTTTCCTTGTAGAGGTCTTTCAGTTCCTTGGTTAGGTATATTCCTAAGTGTTTTTTTTTTCAGCTTTTGTTAAAGGGGTTGAGTTCTTGATTTGATTCTCCACTTCGTTGCTGTTGGTGTATAGAAGAGCTACTGATTTGTGTACATTAATCTTGTATCCAGAAACTTTGCTGAATTCTTTTATCAATTCTAGGAGCTTTCTGGAGGAGTCTTTAGGGTTTTCAAGGTAAACGATCATATTGTCAGCAAACAGTGACAGTTTGACTTCCTCTTTACCAATTTGGATGCCCTTTCTTTCTCTTGTCTGATTGCTCTGGCTAGGACTTCCAGTACCATGTTGAAGAGCAGTGACGAGAGTGGGCATCCTTGTCTTGTTCCAGTTCTCAGGGGGAATGCTTTCAACATTTCCCCATTCAGTATTATGTTGTCTGTGGGTTTGTCATAGATGGCTTTTATTACATTAGGTATGTCCCTCGTATGCAGATTTTGCTGAGAGTTCTAATCATAAAAGGATGTTGGATTTTGTCAAATGCTTTTTCTGCATCTATTTAGATGACCGTGTGATTTTTGTTTTTAATTCTGTTTGTGTGGTGTATCACATTTATTGACTTGCATATGTTAAACCATCCCTGTATCCCTGGTATGAAACCCACTTGATCATGGTGTATTATCTTTTTGATATGTGTTGGATTCAGTTAGCAAGTATTTTGTCACGGATTTTAGCATCTATGTTCCTCACGGATATCAGTCTGTAGTTTGCTTTTTTTGGTTGTGTCCTTTCCTGGTTTTGGTACTAAGGTGATGCTGGCTTCATAGAATGAATTGGGGAAGGGGTTCCTTCTTTATCTTGTGGAATAGTGTCAAAAGGATTGGTACTAATTCTTTGAATGTCTGGTAGAATTCTGCTGTGAATCCGTCTGGTCCTGGAGTTTTTTTTGTTGGTAATTTTTAAATTGCCATTTCAATCTTGTTGCCTGTTATTGGTCTGTTCAGGGTATCTAATTCTTCCTAATTTAAGCTAGGAGGGTTGTATTTTTCCAGGATTTTATCCATTTCTTCTAGGTTTTCTAGTTTATGTACATAAAGGTGTTCATAGTAGCCTTGAATGATCTTTTGTATTCCAGTGGTGTCAGTTGTAACATCTCCTGTTGCATTTCTCAGTGAGATTATTTGGATAACCTGGTACTGGGGGTTGTCTGCATAGAGCCCTGTGATATGAACCATCTATGGGTCTCTCAGCAGTGGATAACAGCACCTGTTCCGATGGAGGTTGCAGGGGGGTGCAATGGACCCTGTGAGGGTTCTTAGCTTTGGTCACTTAATGCTCTATTTTTGTGTTGGTTTGCCTTCTGCTGGGAGGTGGTGCTTTCCAGGGAGCATCAGCTTGGTAGCATGGAGAGGAACCAGCGGTGGGCGGGGCCCTAGCACTCCCAAGATTATATGCCCTATGTCTTCAGCTACCAGGGAAGGTAGGACAGAAAATTTTTAAGTAAATAAATCCTTATACCCAGAACACAGAGTGGTTTTCTATTTTTCATATAGTTCCTATTGTACTTCATCTGTAAAAAAGTTATCTGGAAAGTTACTCTAAACTTGCAGTAATCGTTATACTTTGGAAGGTTTAGACAGGAATAGAAATGAGGGTAGTCCAAGGATACTTGTCTTTATAATGTTCTGATTTTTAATACAAGTATATTACTATGTTATATGTGCAATAAAAATTCATTTGAAAGGAAAAATAATACAATTATAACATCTGACATAGACCTAGTACTGGTATTTATTCAAGAAATTCTTGCTAGGAGGAGTAAAAGAATATTCACATAATTTCATACTGCTATTTTATAGACAAAAGAGATGACACTGCAAATATTGATGGCACAGCACCACTATGCAATGGTGTGGAATGTTAGGTGTCAGATTTTATGTATTGTTCAAACTTGGGCAATAGATATAAAGGAAGTTCAGTGGTAGAAGGGAAGTAAAGCATATGAATACATGGTCACACTACTTTTGGAAGGCTGTGTGCATTGAGAACCATTAGTTGTAATCAACAGAATAAATTACAGTTGACTTAAATAAGAACTTTATTAAAATTGCTGAGAAGTTTAGAGGAACAGGTCTAGGAAATGGGCAGGCAGTAGGGAAAGTGATACCAGACAAGGTGATACGAGAGCTCCAATTTGGAAGACTGCTGCCACCACCAAAAAAAGAGGCTAAATGACTTGACCAAGATCCTGCAGCTAGGAAATGGTAGAACTGGAATTTGAACCTGGACAATCTGATTCCAGACTCTTTTCCATGACTGTATCCTACCTAAGACATGTGAAATCTGTGAAAACTATTGTGCCAAGAGTCATTGTGTAAATGACTGCTTCGTTAGCTCTTGCCAGCATTTTTATGACATTCCGTGTTTAATCTGAATGCTGTCTGATCTATTGGTTCTCTAATGTCTCGTCATCCATAGTACATGATGGAGACATAGACCAGAACAATGTTCTTTACTACAGCTTGTATAATCTAATAATACACTAATGGAAGGGAGAATACACATGAATACAACAGCATTCACTGGCAGTAAACATTGATGAGAAGTCTAGGGCACAAGATGGGAATATAGGTATATTTGTCACAAAAAATAAAGGAGAAAAAAACTTGAATGACTTGATAATCCATTTAATGAGGTAATTAGATAAGTTAATGTTTTAAATCAACCACACTCTAAAATTATCCTTTTCTAAGTAGTATTTTGTGCCAGTCATCTCTCCCCCTCCTTTTATTTATTTTTTGTGTGTGAGACAGGGTCTCACTCTGTCACCCAGGCTTGAGTGCAATGGTGCGATCTCGGCTTACTGCAGCCTCAATCTCCCAGGCTCAAGCAACCTTCCACCTCAGCCTCCCAAGTGGCTAGGACTACAGGAACACACCACCATGCCTGGCTAATTTTTGTATTTTTTTAAATAAAGACTGGGTTTCACCATGTTACCCAGGCTGATCTCAATCTCCTGGGCTCAAGCAGTCCTCCCATCTCTGCCTCTCAAAGTATCTCCCTTTCTCTTCTTAGTAGCATTATTTTCAAGTAAAATACATGGTTCTTAAGGTCTATGGGGTATTTCAAATTCCTTGGTAACTCAGCTCTCTAGAAGCTGAATAGTACAAATTCTATTTCATCTTATTAAAGTAAAATTCCAGTGGTCTACCAGCTTTTTCTGTGACTAATAAAGCTTTCTGGCTGAGCATTAATGGCCTTTATAAAAAACAGAGACCAGGAACATGATGACCCAAACTAAACAGTGTGCACACACTTATTAAGCAAGATGGAACCCAAAATATGTTTGACGGCAAAGACTAACCCCATTTGTTATATATACTCTAGCAATACATGAGCCTAAAACATCTTCTTGAACAATTTTCAGTGAGAGTTGTAAGAGTCATAATAACTTTCACCAGCCAAATCTGTTGTTTAGGTATGCCAGATTAAATATTTATTAAGGTAGAAGTATTCACTCCCCTTGTATGTGTGTATACACACACACATATAATATATATATATATGAGACAGAGTGCCTGATGATGTATGGAGCACATACATCTAAGTAATTTATACCCTTTCACATTTCTGAACAATAATGGGAAAAAGAGACTATTTTATACAGTTTTAGAACTGTCTAAAAATTTCCCTTAGTGTCAAAATTTTCTGAAAATTCATTATACCATTGATAATTTAGACAGAGTAAAATTTCACAGAAACTGTGACAGCACCCAAAATGTTTGCAATTAAGTATAATTATCACAGTACACTGTGTGTCTGTAAATTGTGGTAGGGAGATCACCCTTGATATTAGGTCAGGACTATTTGGTAATACTGAGGCAACACGACACAGAGAAAGAACAGAGCATTTGGAAAGAGACAGACCTGGACTGGAAAACATATGGTCAAAAATGCTCAGCTGGCCGCGGTGGCTCATGCCTGCAATCCCAGCACTTTGGGAGGCCGAGGTGGGTGGATCACCTGAGGTCCGGAGTTCAAGACCAGCCTAGTCAACATGGCAAAACCCCATCTCTACTAAAAATACAAAAATCAGCCGGGAGTGGTGGTGTGCGCCTGTAGTCCCAGCTACTTGGGAGGCTGAGGCAGGAGAATCACTTGAACGCAGTAGGCGGAGGTTGCAGTGAGCCGAGATCGCACCACTGCACTCCAGCCTGGGCAACGGAGTGAGACTCTGAAATAGGAAAAAAAAAAAAAAAAGAGAGAGAGAGAGAATGCTCATATGTTCATCTATAAGCCCCAAACTATCTATTGTCTACAGAGATAGAAACGCTTCCTTCCTTACTTCCTCAAGGATACTATTTCAAAATGAATGAAAAGTTTAAATGGCTATGAGCTGTTTCAAACCAAGAGTGCAGCGTAGACATCAAATTACCAGTTCTTCTCTTTATTCTTGGCACAGAGATAAATATGATAATGTTTACCCAGGATACTGGGTGAATAATTAGCTTAAAAATATACAGGAAGTATTCAATGTAGGCAACCCGGCTTGGAAATTCTGAGTATTATTAATTTTTGAAGTTTTATATTATTTTAATCTTAGTGATTTAGCTACTTTTGTTAGAGCAGAAATTCATTTCATATATTATTATTTATGTCCTCCAAATTCCAAAAAGGATGTTAGGAGGCTTAAAATGATATTAAAAGACAGATTAATCAAACCATTGTGAGGATGTGGTAGAATGAGTAATTATGTGAGAAAACTCCATTGAGAAAATACACTTCAACTAAATATAAGACTTAGGTATTTCCACCAAGGAAAGAAAAATACAAGGTTTTGGCATAAAATGGCATCTGCTTGGTGCTTATCATTAATCATCAGAGAAATGCAAATCAAAACTACAGTGAGGTATCATCTCTGCTCAGTTAAAATTACTTTTATCCACAAGACAGGCAACAACAAACGCTGGCAAGGTTGTGGAATAAAAAGAACCTTCATACACTGTTGGTGGGAACGTGAATTAGTACAACCACTAAGGAGGACAGTTTGGAGGTTCCTTAAAAAACTAAAAATAGAGCTACTGTATGATCCAGCAATCTCACTGCTAGTATATGGTCAAAAGAAAAGAAATCAGTATATCAAAGAGATATCTGCACTCCCATGTTTATTGCAGCACTATTTGCAGTAGCCAAGATTTGGAAGCAACCTAGACATCCATCAACAGATGAATGGATAAAGAAAATGTGGTACCTGTACACAATGGAGTACTATTCAACCACAAAAAGCATGAGATTTTGTCATTTACAATAATATGGATGTAACTGTAAGTCATTTTGTTAGGTGAAATAAGCCAGGCACAGAAAGACAAACTTCACATGTTCTCACTTATTTGTGGGAGCTAAAAATTAAAACAAATTAACTCATGGAGATAGAAAGTAGAATGATGGTTACCAGAGGCTGGGAAGGGTAGTGGGAAGTTGGGGGAAAGTGGGGATGGTTAGTGGGTACAAAAAAATAGAATCAATAAGACCTAGTATTTAATAGCACAACAGGGTGACTATAGTCAATAGTTGTACATTTTAAAATAACTGAAAGAGTATAATTGGACTGTAACACAAAGAATAAATGCTTGAAGCAATGGATACCCTATTTACCCTGATGTGATTATTACACATTGTACGCCTGTGTCAAAATATCCCTTATACCCCATATATATACCTACTATGTGCCCATAAAAATTAAATAATGTAATTAAAATTTTTTAAAAACATAGTTTAACATTTTTAAATTAGTATCTGCTTAGCAACTTCTACAACAACCTTTCCTGAAAACATACTAACATACTGATGAAGATTTGGAAAACTATGAAACCATTAATAAGATTAATAGATACTATAATGGAAATATATGGAAGGCAATTAATTTCCATTGACTAAAATGCCAATGGAGTTTGATTGAGAAAAAATAATTCAGGCATTCTCAAGCTTCATCATATGAAACAAAGGGCAATGCTGAGTTGAAAGACAACAGGAGATACACTTCATCCTTCACTCTCTCACTCTGGCTCCATAGGAGAGACAGATACCAAAGGCAGAAATAGGAGGAGCCTTGATAAGAACATACAATGCAGGCTGTGATGTTGCACATGCTCTTCAGAGAACAGAGCTAAGAGAAAAAGCATACCTCATTCCAGCAGAATGTGCTCATTAAATGTGTAGAGTACAGTGAAATATTGGCTAAGTGGCACCCAGTGAGACAATGCAAAGACTCAAGGATAATCCACTCATCTTGACTGATGATAAACACCAGGTCTAAATAGCTCTTTCCATTTTTGTAAAAGAAGAAAAAATATTTTTGCTTCAACTTTTTAATTTTGTTTAAATTTAATTTTTTAATTTAAAAGTTAAAAATGTTTTTAAACAGAAGAAAAACAATATTAAGTGGGTTCTATGGAAACATAATGCATCACAAGGAAAAGATAATACACCCTGATGACTAGAAGCGACTTACTTATTCTTACAAATATTTGGTGGAGGCCAGGCACAATGGCTCACGTCTGTAATCCCAACACTTTGGGAGGCTAAAGTGGAAGGATTGCTTGAGGCCAGGAGTTTGAGACCAGCCTGAGCAATGTAGCAAGACCCAGTTTCTACAAAAAGAAAAAAAAAATTAGCCAAACGTGGTGGCACATGCCTGTACTCCTAGTTACTCAGGAGGCTGAGGCAGGAGGATGACTTGAGCCCAGAAGTTTGAGGTTACAGTGAGCTATGATTACACCACTGCATTCCAGCCTGGGCCACAGAGTGAGAACTTGTTTCAAAAAAAAAATGGTGGGAAGCAAAGGAAATTTTTAGAAAACTTGGCATCCTTAATAGGATGCCAGAAGACAGAGCAAATACAAAGAGAGAGAATAGAAACAACTTAGTTCAACAAAATTTGATGCAAAGACAATACTTAGAGATGAATAGGAGGCCAGGTGAGGTATAGAAGAACAAAAAGGAAACTAGCATTGAAAGATAATTAAAATCTACAATGGAGTCAGTTAAGAAAGGAAAGTATATGGCAAAGAAACAAATGTAGAAAATAACCTGAAGAGCCATCCTAAAATGTAGCTGTAAAGACACAGACTGGAAAACTATATGATTTTATAAATATAGAGAAATTAGATAAAAATCCAGTCAAAACATTAGGGAAAGGCCAACTAAATCAGAATAATTTAGAAGTTACAACTTTTCTGAGCTAAAATATATAAAGATTAGATTATGCATATCAAAGGTGATTAGCATATTCTAGGTAAAATTATCAAAAAGAGAGCCATGCCAAAATTTCTGAATTACAAAGATCAAGAAAATATCCTATAAGTCTTCAGAGTTAGAGGGATGTTACCTACTGTACTAGGGTTTTCAAGAGAAACAGAACCAATAGGAGGGATACATATGATATAGATACATATATAATTAATTATGGGAATCAATTCATGTAATTATGGAAGCCAAAAGTCCTACAATCTGCTGCCTGCAAGCTGGAGAACCAGGGAAGCCAGTGGTGTAATTCATTCTGAATCCAAAGGCCTGAGAACTAGGAGAACCAATGGAAAAGAGTCTGAAGGCCTGAGGGGGTTGGGAGGGAAGAGGAAAAAAAAGGAAGGGTAGAGTAAGGAAGGGGAGTGGATGCTGGTGGTATAAGTCTCAGAGTCTGAAGAACCAAGCAGCAGCTCTGATGTCCCAGCCTTTTTATCTTATTCCAGACCTCAACAGATTGGATGATACCCCTCAAGGCTGAGAAGGGTAGATCTTTACTTAGTCTATCAATTCAATTCAGTCTCTTCCAGAAGCATCCTCACAGATACCCAGAAAAAAATATTTTCCCAGCTATCTGGGTATCCCTTAGCCCAGTAAAGTTGACATATAAAATTAACTACCACACCAACAAAGAAATACCCTGTACCCCCATAAAAAGACATTGTGTGACCTCAAAACCCTCTCCAATAAAAAATGCAAAAAACTAATAGAGAAAAGTCTATAGGATTTCCTAGGGGAAAAGCTGTGACATGAGATTATCTCTAAATGAATAGTTATTCCTGTGTGAAAGAAAAAAATAATCATTCCAGACATACAAAAATTCAGAAAATACAGAATCCAAGTGTCTTTTTTATCTTAGAGTAATTTTTTCCTTTTTAATTATAAAATGTATAACAAATTATTAAAAGAATATTCAAATAATAGAAAAAAGTTACAATCACCCATATATCTCTGGGTTATCTATCCAAAGATAACTTTCCAGTTTCATTTAACAATCTGCCACAAAGTTGTTGTCTTCTATGCCATTGAAAATTCTCCTACAGTGTAATTGGTAAGGTAGGAATTAGATACTGGTTTATTTTAATATGGAAAATAATAAACTGTGAATGTTCCACCATTTATTTAACCATTCTCTGTGACCAATTGTCAGTTGGGCTCACCCTTAGATCAGCACTGGGGAAGTCCAGTGCTTCCTCCCAAGATCTTGCATATTCCTAAGGGATTTAAATTCTTATGGTTATTTCTGACTTTGGGCTCTTGCTTTCCACTGAGTTTATTTTGAATACAATTGTTTTGGCCTGCTGTATCTGATCCTACCACTCTCCGCTTAAAAGCTTTTAATAAAATAATTTTCCATTGCCCTTGTAATTAAGTATAAACTGCTCAGCTCGACTTACAAGTCTTGCCTATGTGTCTAGCCTCATCTCCAGGCACTGCCCCCATCTCACCTGCTCTCCTCCTTTCCCCTGTACTCCAATAATATGAACAACTTTTCAAATGAGTCAAACTCTATCTTAACCTCCAGACTTTTGGCAAGTTGTTAAAGTACATATATACTAATATATTTCTAGGCACTTTGCTAAAAACCTAACAGGTCTGGTCCAGAACAAACAGATCAGTGAAACAGAATATGCAGCCAGAAAACAGATTCTAGTACATATGGGAATGTAATGTGTTATACAGAGGTGTCACATGACACTGAAAATGTGGTAAACATTCTAACAAATGTTGAGATCACTAGCTTCCACTGGAGCAAAAAAATTTTAAGACTGATAAAGTTTGATCCTTACCTAATAATAGTATGCATGAAAATTAACAAGATGTAGTTTAAAAGTGGAGGTGAGACCATTACAAATTGGAATTACTTACTAGTAATCAGTTATTTAATTGATTTTGAGGTATAAAAGGAATTTCTAAGCATAGAAATGATGAAAAAATCCTCAAAGGAAATTTAGAAACTTTGATACATTAAGGAAAAACTACAAATAAATGGGGTAATATATTTTCAATTGTAATGAATTTTTTTTTTTTTTTTTTTTGAGGCAGGGTCTCACTCTGTTATGCAGGCTGGAGTGCAGTGGTACAATCACAGCTCACTGCAGCCTGCACCTTCCTGGGCTCAGGTGATCCTCTGGGCTCAGGTGATCCTCCTACCTCAGGCTCCTGAGTAGCTTGGACTGCTCACCATGCCCAGCTAATTTTTTAATTTTTTGTAGAGACGGGGGCTTTACCACATTGTCCAAGCTGGTCTTGAACTCCTGGGCTCAAGCAATCCCCCTGCTTTAGCCTCGCAAAGTACAGTTGTAATGAATTCTTTCTATTTTGGGGAGTTCCAAACTCACTCAGAAAAAAGGTCTAACTCCATATATCCTCCAGCTCTCTGGCCTTATCTCCTGCTACCCTTACAACACCCCCTACCCCAACTTACTTGACTCATGGTCACATGGACTCCTTTTCTCTTTTCAACCCATCCTACATGCTCCCACCTCAAGCAAGGCCTTTGCCCTTGCTGCCCTTTCCTTGGGGTTTTCTTTTTCCCCAGTTACTTGCACACCTTACTTCCACATTTCTGTATTCGTTTCCTATTGCTGCTGTAATAAATTACCAAGAGTGTAGTAGCTTAAAACAACATCAATTTATGATCTTGCAGTTCCAGACGCCAGAAGCCCTAAAATCAAGGTGAGAGCAGCGTTGTGTTCTTCCTGGAGGCTGTAGGGGAGAATCTGTTTCCACGCCTTTTTCAGCTTCTGGAGGCTATCTGCATTCTTTGGTTCATGGTCCCTTCCTCCATTGTCAAATCACCAGCATAGCATCTTCAAATCTCTCTGACTCTGCTTCCGATGTCACGTCTCCTTTTGTGACTCTGACCCTTCTGCCTCACTTTTATAAGGAGCCTTGTGAATACATTGGGACTATCTTCTTGGGACAATCCAGGATAATCTTCCCATCTCAAAACCATTAACCTGGCTAAGCACGGTAGCTCACACCTGTAATCCCAGCACTTTCGGAGGCTGAGGTGGGTGAATTACCTGAGGTCAGGGGTTCAAGACTAGCCTGACCAACATGGTGAAACCCTGTCTCCACTAAAAATACAAACAAAATTAGCTGGGCATGGTTGCAGGCACCTGTAATCCCAGCTACTCAAGAGGCTGAGGCAGGAGAATTGCTTGAACCCAGGAGGCAGAGGTTGCAGTGAGCCGAGATCGTGCCACTGCACTCCAGCCAGGGTCAGAACGTGACTCCGTCTTGAAACAAAACAAACAAACAAAAAACAAAACCATTCACTTAATTGCATCTGCAAAGTCCCTTTTGCACATAAGGTAACATATGCACAGGTTTTAAAGATTAGGACATGCAAATTTTTAGAAGGGAGCATTATTCTCTCTACTACAATTTCCTTCAGATCTAACTCAAACATTATCAAAAATTGAGGACAGACCTATATAAAATTAGGAACAGCTTCTACTCCCATCCCCACCCCTATCTTTCTCACTTTATTCTTCTCCATATCCATTAATACTAGTTAATTCATGCAAACTACCTTAGGTCAGGGACTTTGTGTTGTTTACTCATATATTTATTTCCATAGCTAGAACAGTGGGAAGCACATGGTGCTCAATGAATGCCTGTTGAATAAGTGAATAAGAAAAAATAAAACGAGTTTTGTTTTGGGGGTTAGGGGAAGAAAAATATCAGAATAAGTTGTCTCATGCAGTAAGATAAATTAAAAACGAAGAAAGGAAGAAAGAAAGGATTGCCTCCCCTTAAATAGGTGTCAAACTGTGAACATGTTCTGTTATTGGTTCATGAAATTTTCCCTAAATCGTGCATTACATTTTCTTTAAATTTGGGGCAGAACAATATAAGTCACAGTAATGGAAGCAAGATGTGAAAAGTCTACACATCTGTTAGGAAAAATCCTACTCCCCCCATGCCCCTGTTGCCTCTATGGTAATCCAAGGGAAGGTAAGTCTAAGTAAAATAAAAAAGGGAGAAGGGAAAAGGAACTTTGAGCCCTTGTGGCCAGTTCACAACAAAAGTCTGTTACGCCATGGTTTGTAGCCTGTTATTCAGCAGGAAAAAATCTTGGAAAAACAAGCATCTTGTTCTGGGAATGTCAGGGAGAAGGAAAACAATTCAAAATCCAATCAGTGTCTTTGAGCGAAACACAGATTCTTTTATTCTGCTAGTTTGGACAACAGTTCCTCATGCAGATTTTACAGAGCTAGAGGTTGTCGGAATCATGAGAAAGTCTAGGAAAAGCCTGAATCACACAAGCTTATAAGATTTGGGGCCGCTGCAGGATTGTGGAGCTTCACCAAGGGAGAGGATGGGAGGGCGGAGTGATATATGAAATGGAAAACTGCATTCTGGCAAAGGATGTGCCTGCTCTGAAATTCTCATAGCAGGATGACACTTGAAACCTTTGTTTCTACTTTTCCTTAAAGTGCATGAGGCCACACAATTGTTCCAGTCACTCTTACTGTATAAAAATCATTCCACAACTTAGAGGTATAAACTACAATTCATCTATTTTGTTCCCAGTTTTGAGGGTCAGGAACTGGGTGAGGCAGTGCTGAGCAGCTCTCATTCGCAGTCTCTCATGCAGTTACATTCAGATGTCCACTGAGGCTGCAGTAATCTAAAGGCTTGCCAGGCTAGATGTCCAAGGTGGAGCAAATCATATAGCCAGTCATTGCTGCTAACCATTAGCCAAGCACTCAACTGCCTACATGCACCCTCTCCAGCATGGTGCTTTGAGAGAAGTCAGACTTTGAACATGGTGGCTGGCTTCTCCCAGTGAGAATTTCAAGAGATAAACTCAGAAGCCACATGGCCTTGACTGACCCTGGAAGTGAAACAACATCATTTCTGCTGCATTCTGTTCATTACAAGCACATCACTAAGGTAGAGCGATCCAAGACTATAAGCAGCTGTGGTCCGCAGCATTCACAGAGAGGAATGAAAAGGGGTGAGTGAATTCAGCACCTTCAACCAAAACTATGTCCAGGTTCTCGCATTGGGACTAACTAGGCAAACAACCCCTGGAGAATGAAGAAAAGCCGGGGGGTGGGGAGGTGACAGCCCACCTGAGAATGGCATAGAGCCAAAGGAACCCCACTCCCAGCCAAGAGAAGTGATGAATGATTGTGTGACTCTTCCTGGAAAACTGCACTTCTCCCATGGATCTTTGCAACCCACAGATGAGGAGATCCCCTCGTGAGCCCATGCCACCAGGACCTTGGGTCCAATACACAGAGCTGTGTGGAGTCTTGGCAGAGCAGCCACTCAGTCACACACAGAGACCCAGGAGTTTTATATACTCTGGTCCCAGGATCCCCAGAAAGGTGGGAAATCCATCTGTACGTATCCCTAGAAAGGGGGCTGAATCCAGGGAGCCAAGCAATGTCATTCTGCAGGCCCCACTTCCACAGCACCTCACAAGTTAAGACTGACTGGTTTGGAATTCCAGCCAGCCAATGGCAACAGGCTGGAATCTGCAGGACACAGGTCTGAGTTTCTACCATGTCTGTGGTTCAGTAGACTCAGCCATTCCAGCTTGCTGGCTTTGGAGAATACAAAGGGTCTGGGCCAGAAAAGGTTCCCCACAACACAGCACAGGTGCCTTGCCAGATTGTGGCCAGACTGCTTCTTTAAGCAGGACCCCTTTCCATTTATCCTCACTGGGAGGACATCAGCATGGGGGCTTCTGCCACTCCAGCCAGGATTCTACAGATAGAGCTCTGGTCTCTCCCTGGGACAGAGCTCCCAGGGGGAGGGGCAACCACCATCTCTGTGGTTCAGTTGACTCAGCTGTTTCAGCCTGCTGGCTTTGGAGAATACAGACAGTGCAGACAAGGAAAGGTCCCCCACAATGCAGCACACCTGCTCTGCCAAATAGCAGCCAGACTGCTTCTTTAAGCAGTTCTCTGATCCCATTCCTCCTGACTGGGTGAGACCTCCCAACAAGGGTCTCCAGCCACCTCCTACAGGTCAGTACCCCCCTGGGTGGAGCTTCCAGAGGAAGGAGTTGGCTGCCATCTTCACTATTTCACAGGCTTCACTGGTGATACCTTCAGGTACAGGAAAAACCAAGGGAACTAGTGTCTGGACTGTACACCCAGCAAACCACAGCAGCCCTACAGTAGGGTGGCCTGACTGTTAGAAGAAGAACAAACCAACAGAAAACAACAACAACAACATTAAAAAAAAAAAAAACCACCAAAACCCCATTCAAAGGTCAGCAGCCTCAAAGATCGAAGGTAGATAGGTCCACAAAGATAAGAATCAACGCAAAAATGCTGAAAACTCAAAGAGCCAGAGTTGCCTCTTCTCTGCCAAATGGCTACAACGCCTCTCCAGCAAAGGCATGGAACTGGGCTGAGGCTAACATGGCTGAATTGAGAGAAGTAGCCTTCATAAGGTGGGTAATAACGAACTGTACTGAGCTAAAGGAGTATGTTGTAACCCAATACAAAGAAGCTAATAATCATCATGAAACAATACAGGCACTGATAGCCAGAATAGCCAGTTTAGAGAGAAACATAACCAACCTGACGGAGCCAAAAAACACAACATGAGAACTTCACAATGAATCACCACTATCAATAGCAGAATAGACCAAGCAGAGGAAAGAATCTCAGAGCATGAAGACTATCTTTCTGAAATAAGGTAGGTAGACAAGAATAAAGAAAAAAGAGTCAAAAGAAATGAACAAAACCTCCAAGAATTATGGGACTATGTAAAGAGATTGAACATACAACTGATTGGGGTACCTGAAAGAGACATGGAGAACGGAACCAAGGTGGAAAACATACTTCAGGATATCACCCAGGAGAACTTCCCCAACCTAGCAAGACAGGCCAACATTCAAATTCAGGAAATCCAGAGAACCCCATAACATATTGCATGAGAAGATCAGCCCCAAGACACAGAGTCATCAGATTCTCCAAGTTTGAAATGAAGGAAGAAATGTTTTTTGGTTTTTTTTTTTTTGAGACAGAGTCTCACTCTGTTGCCCAGGCTGGAGTGCAGTGGTGTGATCTCTGCTCACTGCAAGCTCTGCCTCCTGGGTTCACACCATTCTCTTGGCTCAGCCTCCTGAGTAGCTGGGACTACAGGCACCCGCCACCACGCTCAGCTAATTTTTTGTATTTTTAGTAGAGACGGGGTTTCACCATGTTAGCCAGGATGGTCTCGATCTCCCAACCTCGTGATCCACCTGCCTCAGCCTCCCAAAGGAAGAAATGTTAATGGCAGCCAGAGAGAAAGTCCAGGTTACCTACAAAGGGAAACCCAACAGACTAACAGCAGACTTCTCAGTGAAAACCCTACAAGCTAGAAGAGATTGGGGGCCAATTATTCAACATTCTTAAAGAAAAGAACTTCCAACCCAGAATTTCATGTCTGGCAAAACTAAGCTTCATAAGCAAAAAAGAAATAAGATCCTTTCCAGACAAGCAAATGCTTAGGGAATTTGTCACCACCAGGCATGCCTTGCAAGAGCTCCTGAAAGAAGCACTAAATATGGAAAGGAAAAACTATTACCAGCCACTACAAAAACACACTAAAGCACACAGACTAGTGGCACTATGAAGCAACCACATAAACAAGTTCACAAAATAACCAGCTAACATCATGACAGGATCAAATTCATACATATCAATATTAACCTTAAATGTAAATGGGCTAAATGTCCCCAATTAAAAGACACAAAATGGCAAGCTGGATAAAGAGCTAAGACCCATTGGTATGCTGTCTCCAAAAGACCCATCTCACGTGCAAAGACAAACACAGGCTCAAAATAAAGGGATGAAGGAAAATTTACCATGCAAATGGAAAACAGAAAAAAGCAGGAGTTTCAATCCTAGTTTCTGACAAAATAAATTTTAAACCAACAAAGATCGAGAAAGAAAAAGAAGGTCATTACATAACGGTAAAGGGTTCAATTCAACAAGAAGAGCTAACTCTCCTAAATATATATGTACCCAATACAGGATCACCCAGATTTATAAAGCAAGTTCTTAGAGACCTACAAAGATACTTAGACTCCCATACAATAATAGTGGGAGACTAACACCCCACTGACAATATTAGACAGATCATCAAGACAGAAAATTAACAAAGATATTCAGGACCTGAACTCAGCTCTGGACCAAGTGAACCTACAGATATCTACAGAACTCTCCACCCAAAAACCACAGAATATACATTCTTCTCATTGCTACACAGCACTTACTCTAAAAGTCATCACATAATTGGAAGTAAAACACTCTTCAAAATGGATAAATTCCTCGACACATACACTCACCCAAGACTAAACCAGGAAGAAGTTGAATCTCTGAATAGACCAATAACAGGATCTGAAATTGTGGCAATAATCAATAGCTTACCAACCAAAAAGAGTCCAGGACCAGATGGATTCACAGCTGAATTCTACCAGAGGTACAAGGAGGAACTGGTACCATTCCTTCTGAAACTATTCCAATCAATAGAAAAAGAGGGAATCCTCCCTAACTCATTTTATGAGGCCAGCATCATCCTGATACCAAAGCCGGGCAGAGACACAACCAAAAAAGAAAATTTTAGACCAATATCCTTGATGAACATTGATGCAAAAATCCTCAATAAAATACTGGCAAACCAAATCCAGCAGCACATCAAAATGCTTATCCACCATGATCAAGTGGGCTTCATCCCTGGGATGCAAGGCTGGTTCAATATATGCAAATCAATAAATCTAATCCAGCATATAAACAGAACCAAAGACAAAAACCACATGATTATCTCAATAGATGCAGAAAAAGCCTTTGACAAAATTCAACAACACTTCATGCTAAAAACTCTCAATAAATTAGGTATTGATGGGACGTATTTCAAAATAATAAGAGCTATCTATGACAAACCCACAGCCAATATCAGACTGAATGGGCAAAAACTGGAAGCATTCCCTTTGAAAACTGGCACAAGACAGGGATGCCCTCTCTCACCACTCCTATTCAACATAGTGTTGGAAGTTCTGGCCAGGGCAATTAGGCAGGAGAAGGAAATAAAGGGTATTCAATTAGGAAAAGAGGAAGTCAAATTGTCCCTGTTTGCAGATGACATGATTGTATATCTAGAAAACCCCATTGTCTCAGCCCAAAATCTCCTTAAGCTGATAAGCAACTTCAGCAAAGTCTCAGGATACAAAATCAATGTACAAAAATCATAAGCATTCTTATACACCAACAACAGACAAACAGAGAGCCAAATCATGAGTGAACTCCCATTCACAATTGCTTCAAAGAGAATAAAATACCTAGCAATCCAACTTACAAGGGATGTGAAGGACCTCTTCAAGGAGAACTACAAACCACTGCTCAAGGAAATAAAAGAGGATACAAACAAATGGAAGAACATTCCATGCTCATGGGTAGGAAGAATCAATATCGTGAAAATGGCCATACTGCCCAAGGTAATTTACAGATTTAATGCCATCCCCATCAAGCTACCAATGACTTTCTTCACAGAATTGGAAAAAACTACTTTAAAGTTCATATGGAACCAAAAAAGAGCCCGCATCGCCAAGTCAATCCTAAGCCAAAAGAACAAAGCTGGAGGCATCACACTACCTGACTTCAAACTATACTACAAGGCTACAGTAACCAAAACAGCATGGTACTGGTACCAAAATAGAGATATAGATCAATGGAACAGAACGGAGCCCTCAGAAATAACGCCACATATCTACAACTATCTGATCTTTGACAAACCTGAGAAAAACAAGCAATGGGGAAAGGATTCCCTATTTAATAAATGGTGCTGGGAAAACTGGCTAGCCATATGTAGAAAGCTGAAACTGGATCCCTTCCTTACACCTTATACAAAAATTTATTCAAGATGGATTAAAGACTTAAATGTTAGACCTAAAACCATAAAAACCCTAGAAGAAAACCTAGGCATTACCATTCAGGACATAGGCATGGGCAAGGACTTCCTGTCTAAAACACCAAAAGCAATGGCAACAAAAGCCAAAATTGACAAATGGGATCTAATTAAACTCAAGAGCTTCTGCACAGCAAAAGAAACTACCATCAGAGTGAACAGGCAACCTACAAAATGGGAGAAAATTTTCGCAACCTACTCATCTGACAAAGGGCTGATATCCAGAATCTACAAGGAACTCAAACAAATTTACAAGAAAAAAACAAACAACCCCATCAAAAAGTGGGTGAAGGACATGAACAGATACTTCTCAAAAGAAGACATTTATGCAGCCAAAAAACACATGAAAAAATGCTCACCATCACTGGCCATCAGAGAAATGCAAATCAAAACCACAATGAGATACCATCTCACACCAGTTAGAATGGCGATCATTAAAAAGTCAGGAAACAACAGGTGCTGGAGAGGATGTGGAGAAATAGGAACACTTTTACACTGTTGGTGGGACTGGAAACTAGTTCAACCATTGTGGAAGTCAGTGTGGCGATTCCTCAGGGATCTAGAACTGGAAATACCATTTGACCCAGCCATCCCATTACTGGGTATATACCCAAAGTACTATAAATCATGCTGCTATAAAGACACATGCACAAGTATGTTTATTGTGGCACTAATCACAATAGCAAAGACTTGGAACCAACCCAAATGTCCAACAATGATAGACTGGATTAAGAAAATGTGGCACATATACACCAGGGAATACTATGCAGCCATAAAAAATGATGAGTTCATGTCCTTTGTAGGGACATGGATGAAATTGGAAAACATCATTCTCAGTACACTATCGCAAGAACAAAAAACCAAACACCACATATTCTCACTCATATGTGGGAATTGAACAATGAGAACACATGGACACAGGAAGGGGAATATCACATTGGGGACTGTTGTGGGGTGGGGGGAGGGGGGAGGGATAGCATTGGGAGATATACCTAATGCTAGATGACGAGTTAGTGGGTGCAGTGCACCAGCATGGCACATGTATACATATGTAACTAACCTGCACAATGTGCACATGTACCCTAAAACTTAAAGTATAATAAAAAAATTTAAAAAAAAAAAATAAATAAAAATAAAAAAATAAAAACACTCTTCAGCAAATGCAAAAGAACTGAAGTATAACAGTCTCTTAGACCACAACATAATCAAATTAGAACTCAAGATTAAGAAATTCCACTCAAAACCACACAACTACATGGAAATTGAACAACCTGCTCCTGAATGATTCTTGGGTAAATAATGAAACAAAGGAAGAAATCAAGAAGTTCTTTGAAACTAATGAGAACACAGGGACAACACACCAGAATCTCTGGGATGCAGCTAAAGCAGTGTTAAGAGGGAAATTTATAGCACTAAACGGCCACATCAGAAAGTTAGAAAGATCTCAAGTTAACAACCTAACATTTCAACTAAAAGAACTAGAGAACTAAGTGCAAACAAACCTCAAAGCTAGCAGAAGACAAGACTTAACCAAGATCAGTGGTGAAATGAAGAGAGAGACATAAAAAACCCTTCAAAAAAATCAACGAATCTAGGAGCTGGCTTTTGAAAAAATTAATAAAATAGACCACTAGCTAGGCTAATAAAGAAGAAAAGAGAGAAGAATCAAGTAAACACAATCAAAAACGACAAGGAGGATATCACCACTGACCCCATGGAAACACAATCATCAGAGAATACTATAAACACCTGTATGCACATAAACTAGAAAATCTAAAAGAAGTAGGTAAATTCCTGGACACATACACCCTCTCCCCAGACTGAACCAGGAAGAAATTCAATGCCTCAATAGCCAAGCAATAGTTCTGAAATTGAGGCAGTAATAAATAGCCTACCAACAACAACAACAACAAAAACCGAGGACCAGAGGAATTCACAGCTGAATTCCACCAGAGGGACAAAGAAAAGCTGATGCCATTTCTACTGAGACTATTCCAAACAACTGAAAAGGAGGGACTCCTCCCTAACTCTTTCTGTGAGGCCAGCATCATCTTGATACCCAAACCTGGCAGAGATGTAACAAAAGAGGATAACTTGAGGCCAATATCCCTGATGAACGTCAATGCAAAAATCCTCAACAAAATACTGGCAAACTGAATCCATCAGCACAGCAAAAAGCTTATCCACCACAATCAAGTTGGCTTCATCCCCAGGATGCAAGGTTAGTTCAACATATGCAAATCAATAAATGTGATTCATTACATAAACAGGACTGAAGACAAAAACAATACGATTATCTTAATAGATGCAGAAAAAGCCTTCAATAAAATTCAACATCCCTTCAGGTTAAAAACTCTCAATAAACTAGATATTGAAGGATGATACCTCAAAATAATAAGAGTCATATATGGCAAACCCATAGCCAACATCATACTGAAAAGCCGAAAGCATTCCCCTTGAAAACTGGCACAAGACAAGGATGCCCTCCCTCACCACTCCTATTCAACGTAGTATTGGAAGTTCTGGCCAGGGCAATCAGGCAAGAGAAAAAAATAAACAGTATTCAAACAAGAAGAGAGGAAGTCAAATTATCTGTTTTGCACATGCCATGAGCCTATATCTGGAAAACCCCATCATCTCAACCCAAAAGCTTAAGCTGATAAGCAACTTCAGGAAATTCTCAGGACACAAAATCAATGTGCAAAATGGCTAGCATTCCTATACATCAACAATAGGGAAGCAGAGAACCAAATCATGAATGAATTCCCATTCACAATTGCTACAAAAAAAGAATAAAATAGCTAGGTATACAGCTAACAAGGGAAGTGAAGGACCTCTTCAAAAAGAACTACAAACCACCGCTCAAAGAAGTTGGAGAGGACACACACACACACACAAAATGGAGAAACATTCCATACTCATGGACAGGAAGAATCAATATTGTCAGAATGGCCATACTGCCCAAAGTAATTTATACATTCAATGCCATTCCCAGTAAACAACCATTGACATTCTTCACAAAGTTAGAAAAAACTATTTTACAATTCATATGGAACGAAAAATGAGACTGAAGAGCCAAGACAATCCTCAGCAAAAAGAACAACACTGAAGGCATCATGCTACCTGACTTCAAACTATACTACAAGGCTACAGTAACCAAAACAGCGTGGTACTGGTACAAGAACAGATGCACAGATCAATGGAACAGAATACAGAACTCAGAAATAAGACCACATACCTACAATCATCTGACCTTAGAAAAACCTGGGGGAGAGCTGACTAGCCATATGCAGAAAATTGACACTGGACCCCTCCCTTACACCATATACAAAAATCAACTCAAAGGCCAGGTGCATTGGCTCACACCTGTAATCCCAGCACTTTGGGAGGCCAAGGCAGGCAGATCACCTTAGGTCAGGAATTCAAGACCAACCTGGCCAACATGGTGAAACCCCATCTCTACTAAAAATACAAAAATTAGCCAGGCATGGTAGTGCACTCCTGTAGTCCCAGCTACTTGGGAGGCTGAGGCAGGAGAATCACTTGAACCTGGGAGGCAGACATTGCAGTGAGCCAAGATCATGCCATTGCTCTCCAGCCCAGGCAACAGAGTGAGACTCCATCTCAAAAAAAAAAAAAAAAATCAACTCAAGATGTATTAAAGACTTAAATGTAAAACCCAAAACTTATAAACCCTAGAAGAAAATCTAGGCCATATCATTCAGGACATAGGCATGAGCAAAGATTTCATGACAAAAATGCCAAAACCAATTGTAACAAGAGCAAAAATTTAAAAATGGGATATAATTAAACTGAAGAGTTTCTGCAGAGCAGAAACTCTAACATGAGAGTGAACAAACAACCTGCAGAATGAGAGAACTTTTTTGAAATCTATCCATCTGACAAAGGTCTAATATCCAGGGTCTGCAAGGAACTTAAATTTACAAAAAAGAAAAAAAAAACCATTAAAAGGTGGGCAAAGGACATGAACAGACACTTTTCAAAATAAGACACATGCAACCAACAAACATATGAAAAAAAGCTCAACATCACTGATCATTAGAGAAGTGCAAATCAAAACCACAATGAGATACCATTTTATGACAGTCAGAATGGCTATTATTAAAAAGTCAAAAAACAACAGATGCTGGTGAGGTTGTGGAGAAAAAGGAATGCTTTTACATCATTGGTGGGAGTGTAAATTAGTTTAACCATTGTGGAAGACAGTGTGGCAATTCCTCAAAGACCTAGAGGCAGAAATACTATTCGACCCAGCAATCCATTACTGGGTATATACCCCCCAAAATAGAAATCATTCTATTATAAAGATACATGCATGTGTATGTTCATTGCAGCACTATTCACAAAAACAAAGACATGGAATCAACTAAATGCCCATTAATGATAGACAAGATAAAGGAAATGTGGTACATATACACCATAGAATACTATGCAGCCATAAAAAGGAACGAGATTATGTCCTTTGTAGGGACATGGATGGAGTTGGAAGCCGTTATCCTCAGCAAACTAATGCAGGAACAGAAAAGCAAATACTCCATGTTCTCATTCATGTGTGGGAGCACAATGATGAGAACCCATGGACATATGGGGAGAACACCATACACTGGGGTCTTTCAGAATAGGGAGGGAAGGGAGAGCATCAGAAAAAATAGCTAATGGATGCAGGACTTAATACCTAGGTGATGGGCTGATCTGTGCAGCAAACCACCATGGCACACATTTGCCTTTATAACAAACCTGCACATCCTGCACATGTACCCCTGAACCTAAAATAAAAGTTGAAGAAAAAAAATCACTAGGGTAAGCCCAGATTCAAAGGGAAGGGAATATTGACCCTGCCTCTCAATGGGAGGATTGTCAAAGAATCACAGAGGCCTTTTTAAACCATTGTAATTGTACTATCTAGCCTTGCACCATGTTAGACTAAATAACATACAGCAGAAATAACAAAAAACTATAACAAAAACTATAAACCTGAAGAACTCCTGGTTTTTCTACCTTTTTTTCATCTTCTTTCTCCTTCTTTTTCAGGATATATACCCCTCATCTTTTCATTGAATTATGGCCATTCCACTACCTATGTAAAACAAAAATTTCACCAAAATAGCAACTGAATTAATTGGTTAAGTCTTTCTTTAACTTTAACTTTCATCTTAGGTTGGTCCTTATTATATTTGGTATATACTTATTAAGCATATATTACCTGCTGGGTAGCATGCTACTTAAGTAGTTAGAATTATTGGTCATTGGGGTAGAAAAAAGGAAGGAGGGCAGAATTTATTTCAGTTCACCATGCTTCAAATCCAAAATATTGTTCTTTTTGGCATACAAACTTTAAATTCCAAGATATATTTAATTCTGCCATTCAAATATCAAGAATTATCTTTCTGATACATCTCTTTACTTTGTCTCTAAGGAAATACAGTTTAAAATATTCCACTATCCTCTCAGTGGAAAACTTGCTTTATTTATATTTTTAGTATAGGTTCATTCTCAATATTTGGAACCTTTAAGAAGTTTTTTCAAATATTTACTTAAAAATAAATTGTAGCTAAAAACATCAGATACCCTCCAAAGTCCTGTGAGTCTCTAGGTCCTCGAGATGATTTGAAAAGCAAGAACAATGAATTGCATGATCCAAGTCTGAGAAAAACACCCCAGGTGTATCTCGTCAACAAGAGAGTCGGCATAAGAAAACCACATTACAACACCAGCTTTCTGTGTAAGGCTCCAATGCAGTATACACAGTACGGCCCCAATACTACAAAGAAATGAGATGAAAAGCCTACCTTAGCAAAATGTTTAATATAATTTTAAGAGATTGTTGTTGGGTTTCTAGAACCTACTCACCAGATCAGGACGACCTGCTTGGGAGCTTGTGTTGATGAGAATAGAACTAAGGGTCTACTCATTTTGGGGGTGGGAGGGTTCTTAAATGTATGCTAATATTTTTAAGTTGACCTCTTTATTTCAGGATTAAGTTTTCAGGTTTGACAAAGAAAAACAAAACCTTTCCATTTCCAATTCAAAATGTGTGTTGAAATACACATCCTATTACAGTGTACTCTGAGGAAGTATTTATTAAATGCCAATCTATCTACCAGTTTTATCAGAAATCATCCGGAAACTGTTAAAACAATAGAGTCCTGAGACTTTAGAGATTCTGGTTCAGTAGATTCTGAAGGCTTTTTAAAAAAAACAATGAGAAATATTTTAAAATCTTTAGCTGATTCTAATGAGCATCCAGGTTTGAGTCTCTACTGTAAGGAATAATTCACATCATTTCATTTGTACTGGAATTTTTATCTATATTAAATTGACTGAAATAAGAAAAATGTTGACTAGAACTTATTGATCTTTTGGATATGGTACTATTTTTGTAGTAACAGGTCCAGACTTACATTAATTGAAGTTAGGAGAGTGGAAATTAAATGTTGATTTTCTTTTCTTCTTTCCAACTTTTATTTTAGATTCAAGGGATACATGTGCAGGTTTGTTATGTGGGTCAATTGTGTGTTGCGGCATTTTGGTGTACAATTTTGTCACCCAGGTAATCAGCATAATACCCAATAGGTTATTTCAGTACTTCTAAGGGATTAAAATACACTTGGCATTTCATTTATCTCCAGGCATCTCTTACTGTATGTTGAGGGAAAAAAGCCTGGGACAGATGAAGCAAGATTTAAAAAAATAATATCTGGACGTGTCTTCACATAACAGGTGCTCAATAAATATTACAGGGATGGATGAATGATTAAATAAATGAATGAATAAATGAATAATACCCAAACTAGGTAGTCATTAACAGGAATAAAAAGCATTCCTCTTCCTACATGTTATGTATGTCAAACTCTCAACTGAAAAAATATATATTTGTCATAGGGAGGCACAGAATCCACAGCATTGGCTCCTATAACCTGGGGTCTCTCCAGAAAAAGATTCCTAGCATGTGTCCCAAGAGGAAGGAGCCACAGAAGGATCCCAGAACTTTCATTTTTCCAACTTCTTACTAACGCAGTATTTCCATAAATCTGGAAAGTCTTTAGGAGACCCACAGCTGCTCTGATTTCAAATAAAGCTGAGGAATAGTAGCCCACCTCTATGCAATCGTAGCTTTCAAAAAATTCTCAAAACTTGAGACTTTGAAATTTGGTGTTTCAGAGTTTAGTGGCCCCAGAGCAATGCAGATCATTCCCTAAAATCTCACGACCCACGAGGGGTCTGCAGGCTCAACAATAATGATAATGAAATAGCTATTGTGATGAATATTAAGCATTTTCTAACACATGCTAAGTGCTTTACATATATTATTAGCTTGCTTTATCTCGCAAGAACACCATACATTCTGATAATCCTTTTTTCTCATTGTTATTATTAGTTTACCAAAAAAGAAAGTGAGACTTTGGGAGAAGTTGAGGCTTTTTAGAGAAATTGAATCAATATTACAATATTACAGTGACCATACATAATCCTTTACTTAAATTTAACAATTTTTTTCATATTTTTTCACATGTGATTTACTGTCTTCCTCTCCCTCTCCCTATCTTTATAGGAGTCTGCTCTGTGTTTGAGTAGAAAAGGGTAGAGAAGCGGGAGCAAGGGACACACACACACATACATACCACACAACACACACATACACACACACTCCATGCATACCACACAACACACACACACACCACACACACACACAATTTTACTGACCCATTTGAAGGCAATTTGCAGACTTCATACCATGTCACCCGTAACATTTCAACACATATCTTTTTAAAATAAGGAAATTCTCCTACAAACCGTGATACCACTGTCATAACTAACAAAATTAACAAAACTTCCATAATATCATCAAATACACAGTTCATATACAAACTTCCATAATGTTTGTGGGGTGTTTTTAACAGCAGTTTAACAGATTTCACAGATAAATAGATATTTAAACAGAAGATTAGTAACTGTTTGGGTCAGTGAATAATTGTAACTAGAACTGAATGTGTTTACATATGTTCTGAGACAGAAAAAAAAATAGAATTCTTGAAGGAAACCATTCCACAGGATGTACCCACTCTGAACATCAGAATTTTCACTCCAATCCTTAAGCAGGGTCCGCCAGGGCCAGGTACTCATCTATAATAATTCCTGGGAAGTTATTCACCCCTAGAATTGTATGAAGCTAGCAGTGACAGAAAGGGTAAACAACGTGTGGCTCACTCTGTCTTCTGTGCTCCAAAATTTCAAGCATTTAGAGAGAACTTTAAAAAGGAGTTGACCAATGAGAATGGACACATGGTAGGGAACAACACACACTGGGGGCTGTCACAGTGGGTGGGGTGGGCCCACAGGGAGGAAGAGCATCAGGAAGAATAGCTAATGAATGCTGGGCTTAATACCCAAGTGATGGATTGATAGGTGCAGCAAACCACCATGGCACACATTTACCTATGTAACAAACCTGCACATCCTGCACATGTACCCTGGAACTTAAAAGTTGAAGGAAAAAAGAGGTTGGGGCATAAATTAAATATTTGGAAATAACAGGCAGAAGGTTGTGGGGCTTTCCCCATGCTGCCCCCACCCAATGCCAGAATGATGTTTCCCTGGATTTTAGACCAAAAGAATGAAGGGGTTCTGCATGGAGCTAACCTCTAAAGTGGGAGCCAGAAGCAGCAGAGAGAACCATGAGGTGCCCAACATAGCAATTAAGCAGTAGTCTTCTGGATGGGGGAGGCTACGTGAACAGAAACAAGGGCTTTCAGCACTGGCCTGGATGGTCCGAAGACCAAGGAACAGGTGGGCTTCTCACCAATACTCTAGCACAATGCAAGCCCTCTCAAACTGCAGCACAACCCCATGGAATTGAACAACTCAAAGAAACTAAAAATAAAATTTCCACCTGGCAGACATGACAGGTCTATACATAGACGTTTATTTAAGTAATGAAAAATAAAGTATTGCTCTTCTTCATTCCTTTTTCCCTTCCTTTCCAATACCATAATCTCTGCCTGGATGGCCACATTGCTTCCTCCTCTTCTATGTCTCTCTCTAATCTTTTTTCCTCTCTTATCAGAACACTTGTGAAAGCATTTGGAACCCACCTGAATAACCCAGGATAATATATTCATCTGAAGATCCTTAGTCATATATGCAAAGACCCTTTTTCCTTATAAGGCAATGTTTACAGCTTCCAGACATTGAGATCTGACATTTTAGGGGCCATTAGTCTGCCTATCACACCCACTAAAATATTTGGAAATTGTGTAGCATCAGGACAGCAAATTTCTCTTAAGTGTTGCAGATTTTAAAAGATATTTGTTCTACATGTCCAAGTTTTTATAACTTTGTGTCCAAATAAATAAGGATATTTTGAATAGTTCAGTTGTAGTCTGAGACTATTTACTATACATAGTCTACTTGTACCTAGTTATATATACAAACTATAAAGTAGTTTGGGTTATTGGCTCAAGAACACATAGCTGCTTTCAACCTGGGGATATTGCTGTTCACTTGCTATCTTGGAAGGCAAGATTTTTCTACTGGTTCTGTCCCACAATTTGAAGGTATGTCCCCCACCTCCCCAATCTCTTCCATCTCTTTTTAAAATTGGCTTTACTGAGGTACAATTTACAATAAAATTCATATAGTTTAAATGTAAAGTTCAATTAATTTTGACAAACGTATTCAGCCATGTCATCACTAACCCAATCAAGATATAGAAAATTTCCATTACCCCAGAATGTTCCTGTGTGCTCCTTCCCAGCTTAATTTGGGAATATTACAAATAAAACTGACACGAATATTTATGTTAAAGTTTTTTTGGACTATCTTTTTCTCTTGGATATATACCTAGACATGGAATTGCCAGTTCATAGAGTACATGTATTTTTAATCCATCCTCTCTTTGGCTCCTTGGTCTAATCCATTATTCTAGGACATTGTGATTTCACTTTCTACATTTTACTCGGTAATAAATTGATAATAATCTTTAACCAGTTTGACTATCTCTTCCTTTCTTCCTTGGTATGGCAAGAAACAGTTAATCTTTTTAACCAGTTTGACTAACGGTTCCCATCTTCCTTTCTATGTCCCACTCTAGACTTTGTTCCATTTGTTCTATGCTAGGATATTTACTTCTCACTTCATGGAACATACTGCTAATTCTTAGCAGTTATTTCTGCAATTATTTGACGTTAATCGAAGACTTTGCTTCCCTTCAAAATTCACTATGCAATGCAGGAGAGGGGTGTGTGATACTGCAGCTCCCAGTGTCTCCATCCTAAACTGACTGTCAATAGCCTTTTTTCATAGGCAACTCTGTTCTTTCTAACCCAATGATCCTTTGTGGCAATTGAAAAAATGAATCAAGATGCTACTTTGGATTCCTCATTATGTGCCTCCAAGATAGCAGGATACTTCTTCTGTAACCCTATTCTCGATTTACTGGAAGTATGCTACTGATATTGCCATTTTATTGCTTCCTATCTAGTTCTATGCAGGGTGCAATTAACTATATCAATTTGAGCTGTTTCTGTTTAATTCCATCGATAATGATCTGATGATATTCACATATTATGAAGGATTACTTGCCAAAAGAAAATACATGTGAAAAAAAACCTAAACGTGTTTGAACCAAGCCTGACTCATGTTCCAAATTTGTATGTTAAGCATGAACCTTCTCCATACACCACTGAGATTGTCAACATTATCAGAACATCCTAGGATTAAGATATACAGCAATGGCCTAATTAAAAGGCAATCAGCATAAGACGGCTCTATGATAGAGGTAAGTCTGCCAGGCTTTTCATAAACAGACCTAATTGCTTTACCTGATTATATTTCCTTCTTCAGAATTAAATTTTTAAGAAAAAATATGAAAATCTTTAATAATACCCTGAAGATTTAATTCTCCAGCAGCCTTTATATTTAAGGAACAACAATTTTATATTTATAATATATTGTTTCACAAAGTGGTTTGCAATGATGCCTAAACTGTTTAGATTGCTTTGGGCACATTAAGTTGTCATTAAAAAAAAAAAAAGATTAGCTGAACATTCTCACAGTAACTCAGTGACTCCCTGATTCTGTGTGTTGTGGGCTTACAATAGTTTCTCTTTTTATTTATTCTTTTAATTTCAATAGCTTTTGGTTTGGGCTACAAGTGGTTTTTGGCTACATGGATGAATTCTGTAGTGGTGAATTCTGAGATTTCACTGCACTTATCACCTAAGCAACGTACACTGCACCCAATATGTAGCCTTTTATCCCTCATCTTCCTCCCACCCTCCTCCTCAAGTCCTCAAAGTCCATTATATCACTCTGCATATCTGCATCCTCAGAGCTTAGCTGTCACTCATAAATGAGAACATATAGTATTTGGTTTTCCATTCCCGAATTACTTCACTTAGAATAATGGCCTCCAGCATCATCCGACTTGCTGCAAAAGACATTATTTCATTCCTTTTCATGTCTAAGTAGTATTCCTTTTTTATACATACCACATTTTCTTTATCCACTCATTGGTCAGTGGGCAGTTAGGTTGACTCCGTTATCTTTACAATTGTGAATTGCGCTGCTATAAACGTGTGTGTGCCTGTGTCTTTTTCATATAATGACTTCTTTTTCTTTGGATAGATACCCTGTAGTGGGATTGTTGGAGTGAATGGTAGATCTACTTTTAAGGAATCGCCACACTGTTTCCCTTAGAGGTTGTACTAATTTACATTCCCATTAGCAGTGTAAAAGTGTTTCCTTTTCGCCACATCCACGCCCACATCTATCGTTTTTTGACTTTTTAACTATGGCCATTCTTTCAGGAGTAAGGTGATATCTCATTGTGGTTTTGATTTGCACTTCCCTGATGATTAGTGATGTTGAGCATTTTTTCATGTTTGTTAGTCATTTTTCTATATCTTCTCTTGAAAAATGTCTATTCATATCCTTCACCCAATTTTTGATGGGATTTCTTTCTGATTGGTTTGAGTTCCTTGTAAATTCTGGATACTAACCCTTTGTCAGATACATAGTTTGCAATTGTTTTCTCCCATTCTGTGGGTTGTCTGTTTACTCTGCCAATTATTTCTTTTGCTGTGCAGATGATTTTTAGTTTAATTAGGTCCCATTTGTTTTTATTTTTGTTGCATTTGCTTTTGGGGTCTTGGTCATGAATTCTTTGCATAAGCTAATGTCCAGAATACTTTTTCTAATGTTATTTCATAGAATTTTTATGGTTTCAGGGCTAAGATTTAAATCTTTGATCCATCTTGAATTGGTTTTTGTATATTGTGAGAGATGGCAATCCCGTTTTATTCTTCTACATGTGGCTTGCCAGTTTTCCCAGCACCATTTATTGAATAGGGTGTCCTTTCCCCAGTTTATGTATGTTTTGTTGAAGATCAGTTGGCTCTTTAAGTATTTGACTTTATTTCTGTGTTCTTTCTTCTCTTCCATTGGTCTAAGTGCCTGTTTTTATACCAGTACCATGCTGTTTTGGTAACTATAGCCTTGTAGTATGATTTGAAGTCATCATGTGATACCTCCAGATTCGTTCTTTTTGCTTAGGATTACTTTGGTTATTCGGGCTCTTTTTTTGTTCCATATGAATTTTAGGATTGTTTTCTGTGTGAAAAATCATGGTATTTTGATGGGAATTGCATTGAATCTGTAGATTGCTTTGGCAGTATGGTCATTTTTACAATATTGGTTCTTCCCATCCATAAGCATAAGATGTATTTCCATTTGTTTGTGTCATCTATGATTTCTTTCAGCAGTGTTTTGTAGTTTTCCTTATAGGGGTCTTTTACCTCCTTGGTTAGGGTTTTGTTTTCATTTTGTTTTTCTGCTATTGTAAAGGGAATTGAATTCTTGATTTGATTCTTGGCTCAGTTGTTGTTGATACATAGCAGTGCTGATTTGTGTACATTAATTTTGTTATCTGAGACTTTACTAAATTCATTTATCAAATTTAAGAGTCTTTTGGGTGAGTCTTTAGGGTTTTCTAAGTATAAGATCATATCATTGGTGAACAGCACTAGTTTGACCTCCTTTTTTCCGATTTGGATGCCCTTTATTTCTTTCTCTTGCCTGATTGCTCTGCATAGGAATTCCAGCACTATGTTGAATAGAAGTGGTGAAAGTGGGCATCCTTGTCTTGTTCCAGTTCTCAGGGGAAATGCTTTCAAGTTGTCACCATTCAGTATG
The DNA here is from genome assembly GCF_000001405.40 of Homo sapiens. Lineage (NCBI taxonomy): Eukaryota > Metazoa > Chordata > Mammalia > Primates > Hominidae > Homo > Homo sapiens. Next base: position 111,214,786 of record NC_000009.12, read on the forward strand.
ATATTGGCTGTGGGTTTGTCACATATGGCTTTTATTTTTTTGAAGTAAGTCCCTTCTATGCCTAGTTTATTGAGGGTTTTTATCAGGAAGGGATGCTGGATATTATCAAATGCTTTTTCTGCATCCATTGAGATGATCAATTGTTTTTGTTTTTAATTCTGTTTATATGATGTATCACATTTATTAACTTGTATATGTTAAGCCACTCTTGCATCCCTGGGATGAAACCCACTTGATCAGGATGTATTATCTTTTTGATGTGCTGTTGGATTCAGTTGGCCAGCATTTTGTTGAGGATTTTCATGCCTATGTTCATTAGAGATATTGGTCTGTAGTTTTCTTTTTGTGTTATATCCTTTCCTGGTTTTGGTATTAGGGTGATACTGGCTTCATAGAATGAATTAGGGAGGATTCCCTCTTTCTCAATCTTTTGGAACAGTTTTAGTAGGATTGGTACCAATTATTCCTTGAATGTTTGGTAGAATTCAGCTGTGAATCCATCTGGTCCTGGGCTTTTTTTGTTGTTACAGATAAATTTTTAAAAAATTAAACTGCTAAGTTATTTCACTTAGGATAGTCATTTTTTATAAATCAGCCATTCAGTCTCACTGCTTGTTATTGATCTGTTCAGGGTTTTCTTGTTTTTGTTTTTTGAGATAGGACCTTGCTCTGTCACCTAAGCTGGAGTGCAATGGCGCAAACTCGGCTCACTGCAACCTCCACATCCCGGGCTCAAATGATCCTCCTGCCTCAGCCTCCCAAGTAGCTGGGACTACAGACATGTGCCACCATGCCTGGCTAATTTATATATATATACACACACACACACACACACACACACACACACACATATATTTTAGAGGCGGGGTTTCACCATGTTGCCCAGGCTGGTCTTAAACTCCTAGTCTCAAGGGATCCACTCACCTTGGCCTCCCAAAGTGCTGGGATTACAGGCATGAACCTCCATACCCAGCCTTCTATTTCTTCCTGATTTAATCTAAGAGGCTTGTATATTTCCAGGAATTTATCCATTTCCTCTAGGCTTTTTAGTTTGTGCACATAAAGGTGTTCATAGTAGTCTTGAATAATCTTTCGTACCTCTGTGGTATCAGTTGTAATGCCTCCAGTTTCATTTCTAATTAAGCTTATTTAGATCTTCTCTCTTCTTTGGTTAATCTTGCTAATGATCTATCAATTTTGTTTATCTTTTCAAAGAACCAGCTTTTTGTTTAATTTTTTATTTCAGTTTCATTTAGCTCTTCTCTGATCCTGGTTATTTCTTTTCTTCTGCTAGGTTTGAATTCAATTGTTCTTGTTTCTCTAATTCCTTGAGGTGTTATGTTAGGTTGTCAATTTGTGCTCTTCAGATTTTTTGATGTAGGCATTTAATGCTATGAACTTTCCTCTTAGCACTGCTTTTGATGTATTCCAGAGGTTTTAATAACTTGTATCACTATTATTCATTTCAAAGAATTTTTTAATTTCCATCTTGATTTCATTAACTTCAAAATCATTCAGGAGCAAATTATTTAATTTCTATGTATTTGCATAGTTTTGAGAGCTCCTTTTGGAATTGATTTCTAATTTTATTCCACTGTGGTCTGAGAAGATACCTGATATGATTTTGATTTTCTTAAATTTATTGAGATTACAATGGCTTCTTTTGCACTGCCACTGTTAATTTGCTTCCAATGAACTCTGCACAACATGATGAATATTCACATATAGGATGCAGAAGGCCATCTTGCCCTCTAAACCCCATTATGTGAACACCTACTATTACTTAAATATTTGTTTAACATCACAATGAAAGCACGGACAACAAAAATGTGGCATAACAGACCACCAGCCTAAGATAGGACCATACACTGGATCTGGATAAATAAGCACAACCAAAACATATGTCTGTGACCTTACAAGATAAACTGCTGGAGCCTCAATTCTGCGTCTTCCCATCTCCTCTTCCCCAGCTATTTTGACTTCCAGCAAAATTCCTGGATGACTCCAGAAGTCTCTCTGCTGTGACCAAAGACCATCTTATAGGCCATCTCATCCATCGCTGCTGTTTCTCCTTGCCCCTGTTAGTTACCCCCTCTGCTCTGCAGTCCTGGTGTCAGTAGAAGCAGAAAGCAGTGAAGCATTTCCAACCATCCCAGAAATGGGGTGCATTATTCTTTCTCAGAAATTCAGAGATCTCAGAAGCATCCACATGTAACTGCTCATTAACAGCTTTTTCTTATTTCTATTTCCTATAACACAGCAAATCAGAAACGTCTAAAGAAAAGGGTAAATTTTATGTACTATTTCAAAACTAAAAAATAACCAATTATGTAATAAGTGAAAAAAAAAATTGAAGCAGAAATGGAAAAATGATTTGAGCTCACAGGATAAATCTTGATATATGTTGCAGTGGTTGACTTGCTAATTCTTCTTCTTGCTCAATGTCACTGGATGAAGAATTGTAACACGGCAAACTTTCAAAGATGAAATTCAAATACCTGGTAATTTGAGGTTTCGTTGGGGTTTTTTACTGTAATTAATTTTAGGAAAAATTCATCTTTGGCATGCAATGATCTGGGAATAATTTCAGTGAAAAGTAAGGATGCCTTTTATTGGTATTGGGTTTTAAAGATTACAACAAGCTATAATTTACATTATCTTATTTGATTCTCAAAATGACTGAAGTGGAAAGGAAAGTTATACTATGTTCTCCATTTTACAGGTGAGGAAACTGAGGCTCAAAAATCTGACCAGGTGTGGTGGCACTCACCTATAATACCAGCACTTTGGGAGGCCGAGGCATGAAGATTGCTTGAGCCTTGGAGTTCAAGACCAGCCTGGGCAATACAGCAAGACCCCATGACTACAATTTTTTTTTTAATTAGCTAGGTATAGTGGCACCTTCCTGTGGTCCCAGCTACTCACAAGGCTGAGGTGGGAAGATTGCTTGAGACCAGGAGGTTGAAGCCACTGTGAGCCATGAACACGCCATTGCACTCCAGGCTGGGCGACAGACTGAGAACTTGTCCAAAAATAAAAATTAAAAAAATCATAAGGCTCCTAACCAAGATCTTACAAAAAGTAAGTAATGATATTTGGTCTTGATCTCAGTGCAGTGTATTTTCCATTATACCCTAATGACTTTTTATACCCCCAGCTTTCTGGAAAAGTTAAGGAGCTCCTATTTTAAACATTGAAAATGAAACTGGCTTTTCCAGATACCTAAAGGTTATTTGTGTGGCAGTTAGGTTTTTTGCTATTCACATACCAATATCTGGCTACACAACTGCAGTATCGTTGGTGTGGCTTCACTGGCATGCTCACAGAATAGTCCTGCCCTCTTGCACTGTGGACACATCTTCCCTATCTTACCACCTCATTGATAATGCCCAACCTTATAAACATAAGCAGGAAACATTCCCTTCTTGTTTGAGTTGATCATTAGGCAAAGGACCAACTTGAAGAGGCCATTGCAGAAGTGAAATTTCCATACTATACAGTTGTGAGTTGTTTAAATATTCAGGGGGAAAATGGTCAGGGGTGGAAACTGGTCAAGGAAGAGAAAGACACACAACTGTGAATAACTGAACAGATCTGCATTCATAAATCCAAATTTGTCAATGGGAAATTATCGAAATGGTCTTTTGTGTGTGTGTGTGTGTGTGTGTGTGTGTGTGTGTGTGATGGAGTCTCGCTCTGTCGCCCAGGCTGGAGTGCAGTGGCGCAATCTCTGCTCACTGCAAGCTCCGCCTCTCAGGTTCATGCCATTCTCCTGCCTCAGCCACCCAAGTAGCTGGGACTACAGGTGCCCGCCACCATGCCCAGCTAATTTTTTTTTTTTTGTATTTTTAGTAGAGACGGGGTTTCACCATGTTAGCCAGGATGGTCTTGATCTCCTGACCTCGTGATCCACCAGCCTCAGCCTCCCAAAGTGCTGGGATTACAGGTGTGAGCCACTGAGCCCGGCCTGAAATGGTCTTAAGATGTTTGGTCAGGTTAGTGTGTTCACAAACTTTATTCCGTCTCATTAAAATGACATACTTGTGAAAATTTTGGAAAATATAGAAAAATAGCAATCACATGCACAAATAACCAGTTTCACGGTAACTACTTAAGAGTTTGTTGTGTTCCCTTCAGTATTTTTCTTATGCAACATACTTCTTTTATGTAGTTGACAGTTCTGCAGTGCTTCTTATTGACTGATCCTGGGAAAGTTACTTAACCTCTGAGAACCCAAGAGCATCTGCTTATACTTCTAGTGTCAATACACATTCATTGGCAGCTTTTTATTATTTCTATTTCCTAGGATATGGCAAATCAGAAATTTCAACAGCCTAAAGGAAAAATTTTCACACTCTTTCAAAATTAAATAATTCACAAATAAAGAAAAAAAGATACAGAAATAAAAAACAAAGCATCACTTTCCTTATCTAAAAACTACGGGAAATAATAGGACCAACCATATGGGATGGTTGTAAGGATTCATGAGAAAATGCCTATCAATTGCTTAACCCAGGGTCTGTCAGAGAATAAGCACTCAAATAGCTATTATGTTATTTTATATATATATATATATATATATACATATATATATATGTGTATATATATATATACATATATATATGTGTGTGTATATATATATACACATATATATATGTGTGTATATATATATATGATTTTATACTAATTGGTCAGTTAACAAGTTATTCATTTTATTTTGTATCACACTTTATTCAAAAGAGGATTTCAAAGTGAAATGAATGTAGAGAGTAAAGAGGATTTTTTTAATCAGTAAGAAAATGAAGGTGTAGTATGAGAAAACTAGGGTGGGTGGGAAAAGAAGATAAACCAAAGTATGAAAAAAATAAGATGACATTAAGAAAAGTTAACTAAACAAAATGTAAGCCATAAAGTGCAATTCACATTGATAAGAATGGGCCACAGTTTTGGCTCTAATATGCTTTTCAGCTAATGCAAAGACAATGATATAACTCTAAATGCCTATGAAATGAAAATAAAGCAGTTGCTCAATAAATCACTCATCCATTCCTGGCAATGGAACCTAAGAGATGTGTTTATTTTTGTTAAGACTATGCTGAGATACAATGGCAGTGTATACAACAACTTCACTATAATTAACAATGGGGTTATAAGAAAGAATTTTCTCCTATTTAAAACTTCATAATCTTTATTATAGAAAAAGAGGAAATAGAATTTAAAAAGAAAAATGGGAGGAAAAATCTCTAGGTTATCAGTTAGATAGCAATGATATCCAGAAATAACCACTGTTAATAACATGGTATATTTCCTTCCAAACTATTTTCTATGTATATATGCACATGTAAATAATTATGTTTACTTACAAATATTGGATCATTTATACAGACAGCTTTGTACATTGCCTTTTGCTCTTAATGTATTCAGAACTCTTTATGTTAATATTTAAATATCTATACCATGATTTTGATGGCTACATAATATTTCATAATATAGGTATGTCTTAATGTATTCAACCAAACTTTTTAAATGTCAGATTTAGATTGTTTCCAAATTTCTTCTATTCCAAATTTCTTCTATTACAAATAAATATTGTGAATATTTCCTTAAGAAAGCCAGGCACGGTGGCATGTACCTGTAGTCCCAGCTACTGGGCATCCTGAGACAAGAGAATAATTTGACTCCAGGGGTTCAAGGCTAGCCTGGGCAACAGGCCAACATAGTGAGAGGAAGGAAGGGAGGAAGAGAGGAAGGAAAGAAGGAAGGCCGACCCAAATTGAAGAACATTCTAGAAAATAACTGCCTTTACTTTCGAAAAAAGTCAAGAGTAAAAACATCAGGAAAAAAATGAAAAATTGCTCCAGATTAAAGAAGACTAAAGAGACTGACTGGTAAATAGTTTTATAAAACATTATTGGAGTAATTGACAAAATTGGAATATGGACTGTGGAGCAGATTTATGAATGAGTACAATGTTATATTTCTTGGTTTTGTTGTTTGGTTGGTTTTTTGTTTTGTTTTGGTTTTGAGACAGTCTCACTCTGTCACTGAGGCTGGAGTGCAGTGGTGCAATCTCAGCTCACTGCAACCTCCACCTCCCAGGTTCAAGTGATTCTCATGCCTTGGCCTCCTGAGTAGCTGGGACTAGAGGCATGTGCCACCACGCAGGGCTAATTTTGGTATTTTTAGTAGAGACGGGGTTTCACCATGTTGGCCAGGCTGCTCTGGAACTCCTGATCTCAAGTGATCTGCCCACCTTGGCCTCCTAAAGTGTTGGGATTACAGGTGTGAGCCACCGCACCTGGCCTATATTTCTTCATTTTGATAATTGTTCCGTAAATGAATGTCCTTACTCTTGGGAAATATATACTGAAGTATTTCAAGTTAAAGAAGTGCAATATCTGCAACTTACTCTCAAGTGGTTCAAAAAAAATTTGTGTACACACATGTACACACACCACAGAGAGAATCAGAGAGAATGATAAAGCAAGTAGGGCAAAATTTAAAATATTGGTGAATCTGAGTAAAGTGGGTAAGGGAGTTCTTTGTACTACTCTTGCAACTATTTTTAAGTTTGAAATGATATCAAAATTTAAAAAATTACTCCCAAGCAACCACTAAGAAAGCTATGCAAAGTGGTATAGACAAACAAATCTACTATAAATAAATTAAGATGACATTCCAAATAATCTTCAAGTAACCCACAGGAAGACATAAAAAGAAAGAGAGGGTGGAGAGAGAAAGAGAGGGAAACAGAGGAATGAGAAGTAGAGGAAGCAAACCAACAAAAAAATAAATAAAAATACAGACTTAAGCCCTATCAATAATTACCTTAAATGTAAATAATCTAAATATACCAATTAAAAGACCATGATTGGCACATTGGATTAAAAAACATGAACCATTAATATGCTGCCTATAAGAAACTCACTTCAAATATATCACCATAGGTAAGTTGAAAGTAAAAGAATGGTAAAAGTTACATCATGCAAACATTAATCCAAAAGATACCCCTCCAAAAAAGTCGATTGGTGTTTACAGCAAAAACAACAAAGTACTTTTACAACATTTGCAGAGGTAAAACATATGACAGCAACACCACAAAGGAAGAGAAAAAGTCACTTGTGTGCCAAAGAGCCTCCAGCGGATAAAAGTCAGTCCTTAGAAACTCCTTCAAATCCCCGTGCAATCTGTCCTTGTTACCACTCTCACTTCCTTCCCAACTATTCTCCCTTTTGTTGACTGTGTGCTAATCACGTTAACCTATAGGCTGTTCCTAGAACATCCTGGAAAAGCTCCCACTAAAGCACCTGAACACAGCTGGCTCCCTCTGCTCAGAAGGCTCTTACACCCAGAGGACCAAAAGCTAACTCACTCCTTAATGAGCATCATCCCAACAAATCTCTCTACACACACTCTCATCCTGCCCCCCCTCTCATTGCCTTACTCGATTTTTTGTAGCACCTATCACCTTTTAATATTCTATAAGTTCCTTCCTTATTGAGTTTATTACTTATAGCTGGACTATAAATTCCAAGAGAGCATGACTTTTGTTTCTTTTCTTCATAAATGTATCCCAAGTCCATAGAATAGTGGCTGGTATATAACAGTTATTTAAATGTTAATTTGTCAAAGGAATGGAAGAATATTTGTTAGAAGGAGGAGAAAGAGAAAGATGTTCATGATACAGTAGAAATATTATTCTGAGAACCCAGAGCACCAAAAGAGAAGGCCTGACTGCGATCAGCTGTTCAGATTCATTTTAGCCTTTTCTATAGAGGAATATATGGATGAAAAGCATACCTTAAGAATCTCAATATAACAGACATTAAGACAGTGAAAGGTGAGAAATCTCAAGTGTTTCTCCACCCCAAAGATAAGTCCATTTTTCAAAAAGGAAACTGAGTAAGGGAAATGGCACAAACAATTCTGTATCAATCACATTCCAACTGTATATCATATGTTTAGAGTCACCTTGACAGAAGAATATCATGTTTGCACAAAGCACTTAGACGTGTGTTTGTCATTTTTATTCCTTTTTTAAAAAACTCATTGCACACAAAATTCTAAAGCAAAGGGATTTGCAGATCATCCATTAGAGATAAGAAATACCCAGCTGTTGTTTGTTCATTTTCAACTAGTGGACATCTCTAGGCATAGATGTCACCCAGACTAGTAATGTAAATAGGTCATTTAAACAAGGAATTCAAGTAGAAAATTGAAATCATTGAACTACCATTAATGCACACATGAGCCTCAATCAGAAACAAAGAGGAAATAGGCACCTACCATCAAAGCTGACAGTACAGAACACATTAAGCTAGCATGTCCTTCAAGCCTGCTGGCATCCTCCCAAATGAAAATGTGGGCAACCTTTAAGAACTAGCTCACATAAATGTCTTCTTTTGAGAAATATCTGTTCATATCCTTCGCCCACTTTTTGATGGGGTTGTTTTTTTCTTGTAAATTTGTTTGAGTTCATTGTAGATTCTGGATATTAGCCCTTTGTCAGATGAGTAGGTTGCAAAAATTTTCTCCCATTCTGTAGGTTGCCTGTTCACTCTGATGGTGGTTTCTTTTGCTGTGCAGAATCTCTTTAGTTTAATTAGATCCCATTTGTCAATTTCGGCTTTTGTTGCCATTGCTTTTGGTGTTTTAGACATGAAGTCCTTGCCCATGCCTATGTCCTGAATGGTATTGCCTAGGTTTTCTTCTAGGGTTTTTATGGTTTTAGGTCTACCATGTAAGTCTTTAATCCATCTTGAATTAATTTTTGTATAAGGTGTAAGGAAGGGATCCAGTTTCAGCTTTCTACATATGGCTAGCCAGTTTTCCCAGCACCATTTATTAAACAGGGAATTGTTTCCCCATTGCTTGTTTTGTCAGGTTTGTCAAAGATCAGATAGTTGTAGATATTTGGCATTATTTCCGAGGGCTCTGTTCTGTTATGTAGCCAAAAAACACATGAAAAAATGCTCATCATCACTGGCCATCAGAGAAATGCAAATCAAAACCACAATGAGATATCATCTCACACCAGTTAGAATGGCAATCATTAAAAAGTCAGGAAACAACAGGTGCTGGAGAGGATGTGGAGAAATAGGAACACTTTTACACTGTTGGTGGGACTGTAAACTAGTTCAACCATTGTGGAAGTCGGTGTGGCGATTCCTCAGGGATCTAGAACTAGAAATACCATTTGACCCAGCCATCCCATTACTGGATATACAGCCAAAGGATTGTAAATCATGCTGCTATAAAGACACATGCACAAGTATGTTTATTGCGGCACTATTCACAATAGCAAAGACTTGGAACCAACCCAAATGTCCAACAATGATAGACTGGATTAAGAAATTGTGGCACATGTACACCATGGAATACTATGCAGCCATAAAAAATGATGAGTCCATGTCCTTTGTAGGGACATGGATGAAGCTGGAAACCATCATTCTCAGCAAACTATCGCAAGGACAAAAAACCAAACACCGCGTGTTCTCACTCATAGGTGGAAATTGAACAATGAGAACACATGGACACAGAAAGGAGAACATCACACACCAGGGAATGTTGTGGGGTGGGGAGATGGGGGAGGGATAGAATTGGGATATATACCTAATGCTAAATGACGAGTTGATGGGTGCAGCACACCAACATGGTACATGTATACATATGTAACAAACCTGCACATTGTGCACATGTACCCTAAAACTTAAAGTATAATAATAATAAAAAAGAAAGAACTAGCTCACAATGCTACCTACTTCATGAAGACACAATTCCCACAAATGAATGAAATATTAGCCTCTATAATGCCCCTAGCACTAATATCAAGTTATGGCACTTTTACTTCCCTGGTATCATAGCTATGAGTACTCACCATTGTTGACATCATGAGGCCAGGAATCCTGTGCTTTTAATCTTTTTATCTCCTTTGCAACTCACAAATATGTCTAACAAATCCTAATTGAATCAAATCAAATGTTTCCAAAATAATTTCTCACTCCAGTAGACTAGGGAAGGTCTTTTTATATAGTAAGTATTTGCTGAATTGGTTTGAATGGAATCTCAAGCAGATTCATATTTCTGGAAACTTTTGTTCTATTAGTTCTGAGTTCAGGTGAGCCACTGAGTACGGTCCGTAACTATTGCTTGCCATTCTTTTATTTAAACTAACCAAACATTCACTCTTTTGCCATATTGACTTCTGGTATAAAATTGCATATGACCTGAATGATTGCCTGAATCACTAAAACGTTTGGTTCATTGCTTTGACCATGGCTAAAACAGTCCCTGGCACCTAGTAGGTATTTAGTAATAATTGTTCAATGAAATTGTTCAAACAACCAGGCAAAAACAGCTTTCTGACAATAGACTATGGAAGCTGCATACTTACGATTCCAGGGGTAGATCATTTCCAAAGATGACCTCAAACAATTCCTACAATCCCTGTAGGCACATGTCTCTGCACATCAAAAGACAGAGTCTGTTTCCTTTTGCCTTGCATCTGAGCTGGTCTTGTAACTTGCTTTGACCAATGGAATGCATGGAAGTGATATTCTGGGACTTTTGCACCCAGATCTTAAAAGACTTGTAGCTTCTGCTTCCCCATTTTTGAGATTCATTGAATGATAAGAAACTATGGGAAAGGAGAAGCCCAGCCGATAGGCCCAAAGCCATCCCAGCCATTCCAGCAAAGATTGCCAACGGACAAGCAAAACAATCTGAGATGTTCCAACCCCAGATGAGTTCTTAGCTAAATACAACTATGTAACTGCAGCCAACACATAGAATAAAGTTAGCCATCCCATCAATTTCTCTCTGCTCAGTTGCAGGATCATGAGTAAATAACTGGTTTTGTTGTTATAAACCACTAAATTTTGGGGTGGTTTGTTATGCATGATAGATAACTGAAACAGTCCTTATAGTTTCTATTCTATCCTTCCTGTATATATGTATTAAGAACATTGTGAAATATACCCAAAGGATTATAAGTCACACTGCTATAAAGACACATGCACACGTATGTTTATTGAGGCACTGTTCACAATAGCAAAGACTTGGAACCAACCCAAATGTCCAACAATGATAGACTGGATTAAGAAAATGTGGCACATATACACCATGGAATACTATGCAGCCATAAAAAAGGATGAGTTCATGTCCTTTGTAGGGACATGGATGAAGCTGGAAACCATCATTCTCAGCAAACTACCGCAAGGACAAAAAACCAAACACCGCATGTTCTCACTCATAGGTGGGAATTGAACAATGAGAACACTTGGACACAGGAAGGAGAACATCACACACCGGGGCCTGTTGTGGGGTGGGGGCAGGGGGGAGGGATAGCATTAGGAGATATACCTAATGTAAATGACGAGTTAATGGGTGCAGCACACCAACATGGCACATGTATGCATATGTAACAAACCTACACGTTGTGCACATGTACCCTAGAACTTAAAGTATAATAAAAAAAAATTGTGAAGTGATTATTACTTAATGTGTGTTTCTGGGTGCTGATATTTTTGATACGCTTTTTTGGGTTTTGTTTTTAGCTTTTTTATTTAGCTGTTTGCTTAAAAAGTACTTTATGGGCCGGGAGCGGTGGCTTACGCCTGTAATCCCAGCACTTTGGGAGGCCGAGGCGGGCAGATCACAAGGTCAGGAGATCGAGACCATCCTACCTAACATGGTGAAACCCCATCTCTACTAAAAATACAAAGAATTAGCCAGTCGCGGTGGTGGGCGCCTGTAGTCCCAGCTACTCAGGAGGCTGAGTCAAGAGAATGGCCTGAACCCGGGAGGCAGAGTTTGCAGTGAGCCGAGATGGCACCACTGCACTCCAGCCTGGGCGATAGAGCGAGACTCTGTCTCAAAAAAAAAAAAAAAAAAAAAAGTACTTTATGGTGCTTCTTTTCTATAACCTTTTAAAAATAGTTTATCAACATAAAAAGAATGCTTATAAAATATGTATAAAGACTAAAGCAAATGCCTATGAAAATAAAATTTTAATACCTGCATACTCACCATCCAGTTTAGTAGAACATTACATTATATTTGAAGTTATCTGTGTAGTCCTCTCATGACCCAGCACCTTTCCTAAATTTCTGCTTTATCCTTCTCTTTTCTTTGGAAATTTCCCCAAATATTATGTAACCAAATATAAAATTACATGGCTTATGATTATGAATAAATAGAAATATGTTTTCTAGAACCTGATTTATTAAAAATTGTGTGCCTGAATTTTATTCATGTTTTTGTGCAAAGTTAGAGTGCATTCCATTTTTACTGCTATATTGTATTTCATTTTATTAACATACCACAGTTAACCATGTTACTGTTGTTGAGCACTTCAGTTTCTAGATTTTGCTTATTACAAAAACTGCTACTATAAATATTCTTATACACGGCTTCCACTGCTAGAATATCTAGTATATATTCAGAGGTAGATGAATATATTCAACTTGACTGGATAATGCCAAATTGTTTTATAATATTGTGATATAAACTCATGCTACCATCAGCGATGTATATAGCACCCATTGTTCTATATCCTCATCAACACTTGATATTGTCAGACATTTAAATTATTTTCACTGTGGAGACTATGAAAGGGTATCTTATAGTGTTTTAATTTTTTATTTATCAAATAACTAAAGAAGTTGAAGATTTCATGTGTTTATTGGCTAATTCTCTTCTGCGGGATGCCATTCAAGACTTTTGTTTTTTATTGGGATATTTTTCTTATTATTCTGTAGACTTTTATTCTATGTTCTGGTTACAATTATTTTGACAGTTTTATGTGTTGCAAATAATTTCCTCCAGGTTTGTCTTTTCACTTTCTTTACAGTGTCCCTTGGTAAACGTAAGTTCTTAATTGTAGTATAGCTACAATTTATTAATTATTTATCTTACAATTGGTATGTGTGTCTCCTTTAAGAAACTTATTCCAAATTCATAAAGATAATTTCCTTTAAAGGTGTATAGTTCTACCTTTCATAAATTTTTACACATGTGGAATCTGTTGGGAGAAGATATGATAGAAATAGGAATATAATTTGATCTTTTTACAATATGAGTAACCAGTTTTTGTAGCTTGATTTATTGTAGTCTATCTTCAATACAAACTCTGTTAAAAGTCAAATTTATATATATATATCTGGTTGTGGTTTTGAAGTTTTCTGTTGTTTCATTTGTCTGTGTGTCTCTGCCTTTGCAGATATCAGACTACTATACTATAGCTTTAAAATAATTCTTGCTACCTAGTAAGGAAATCTACCTCCCTTGTTCTTCAGGGATGAGTAGGCTATTAATTTTTGCTTTTCCATGTAAATTTTAGGCCCATATTAGCAAGTTCTGTAAAAATAAATGAAGTTGGTATTTTGACTTAAATTAAATCAAATCTACAGGTCAATTTATGGAGCACTGCAATTTTTATGATTTGCAGACTTCTCATCCATGGACATGGTATAGACTTTAATGTTACTTTAATATTATAATTTTGTCCTTAAAAAGTCTCACAAATGTTTGTCACATTTATTCCTAGGTAATTTAGAATTGCCTTAACTGTAGGTGGCAGGAATATAGCAATATAATTGATTTGTGTATACTGATTTTTATGTCAAGCAAACTTACTAAATTTCTTTATTAATTCTATCTATAAATTACTTTGAAATTTCAATGATGACATTATTAGCTAATAATAATGGTTTTGTTTATTCTCTTCAAATCCCTTATGCCTTTTTTTTTCCCTTTTTCTGCCAAATTGATCTGGCAAGGATTCTTATGTCAATGTTAAACAGAAGACATTCTTGGAATCTTCTTCCTCGTAAAGATGTTTTCTATGTTTAACCACTAGAGATAATACCTGCCCTATGTTCTTTGAAGTTAACTTTCTTTAGATTAAGCTAATTTTTTATTAGTTTGCACATCATGAATGAATGTTCAATTTTATAAAAATTATTTTTATCTACACTTTTGAAATTATCTTTCCCTTAATTTGTCAATATAATTAACTATGGTAAATGAAAGTTCTAATATTAGAATCATTAAAGTAACCTCACATTTCTGGGATGAGTCCAAGTTGGTCATGATAAATTAGTTATTTTGTACAATATTCAGTTTGATTAAAGAATTTTGTACCTATAATTGTGTGAGATCATCTGTAATTTTTCATTCTTTTAGTATCCTTGCAAAAGTGTTGGTACTCATATCTATTAGCTTTTTATTCACTACATGTTACTAGAAAATGAAATTTAAACAGCGCTTTTAAAACAGATAACACCATCTATATGATTAACTCAAAAGATGTTTAAAACCTATACAGAGAAAATTATACTTTTTAAAGAGCCATTAATAAAAATCTCTAAAAAATTGAGAGACATATCATGTTATGAATTTGAAAACTCAAAATTGTAAAGGTATAAATTACCCCAAGTAGATTAGACAGACTCATTGCAATCCCAGTCAAAATCCAGCAGGTTTCCTTTTGAGGAATTTGGTCTTCTGAATTTATAGAAATGCAGAGACCTCAGAATACCCAAAATATTCTTGATAAAATTGGAAGGACTTGCTTCACCAGCTATCAAGACATTATAAACATATAATAATTCAGATAGTGTGGTATTTGCTCAGGGATAGACAAGTAGACCAATGCAACACAATACAGAAAGCAGGACAGACTTATACATAATAGATAACTTAAATGACAGAATAACACTGTTGATCATAAGGGAAAGGACAGACTGCTCAAAATATGGTGCTGGGACCATTTTTCCCATATGGAGAGAAATGAAATTGGTTCTTTCCTATGTACACAAAAATTAGTTCCATGTAAATTGAAAACCTAAGTAAGAAAGGCAAAACTATGATGTTTTTAAAACATAGGAAAATATCTTTACTGATCCAGGGTAGGTGAAGATCTCTTAAACATAAAAAAGAATAAACCCTCAAGGAAAAATACAACCATGTTAAAATTAAGAACTTTTCCCATACTTCAGCAATATTTGCAATAATATTACCAAGCAAGTACTAAATATATAAAGAATGCCTACAGTATCTCATGCCTGTAATCCCAGCACTTTGGGAAGCTGAGACTAGAGGACTGCTTGAGGCCAGGAGTTTGAGATCAGCCTGGGCAACATGGTGAGACCCTGTCTCTACAAGAAGTAAAAATATTAGCCAGGCATGGTGGCATGTGCCTGTAGTCCCAGTTCCTCAGGAGACAGAGGTGGGAGGATCACTTGAGCCCAGGAGGTTGAAGCTGCAGTGAGCTATGATTACACCACTGCATGACAGCCTGAGCAACAGAGTGAGACCCTGTCTCAAACAAAAAAAGAACATCTATATATCAACAAGAATAACAGACAACCTATAGAAAAAGTCAAAAGTTTCAAATAAGTGCTTCACAAAGGATGAAATTCAAATAGATAATAAACATATGAGAAAATTTTATACCTCATAGGTAATGAGAAAAAGATAAATTAAAAATACCAACAGTTATCATTTCAGAACCAACTCATTGGCACACATTGAACTCTGACACTAGCATGCATTGTAGAAAATGGAACATTAGGAAATCTCATACACCACTGGGTAGAATTTGCAGTTGTAATTTGCCATTACTTTAATGGCAAAAAACGCAATTACGTTTGCACCAACCTAATAGTATAAGCTACATTGGAAATGTGATTAGCATTACCTATCAATCTGAAAATAGGTATAGCCCAGGTGGGAGAACTGGGGAGATGTTGGTCAAAGGACACAAAATT
Organism: Homo sapiens; assembly: GCF_000001405.40. Classification (NCBI taxonomy): domain Eukaryota; kingdom Metazoa; phylum Chordata; class Mammalia; order Primates; family Hominidae; genus Homo; species Homo sapiens. The sequence continues at coordinate 111,230,556 of NC_000009.12, forward strand.
TCAGTTAGACAGGTGGAATAGGTTCAAGAGCTCTATTGTACACCATTGTGACTACAATTAATAATAATGTTACATATTTGAAAATTGTTAAGGGTAGATTTTAAGTGTTCTCACCATAAAAAAATGATAAATGTGAGATGATGCAAATGTTAAATAGGTTGATGTAGCTATTCCACATATATACATATATCAAAACATGTTGTAAATCATAAGCAGGTACAATTTTTACCGTCAATTTAAATAGGCATAACTTATAGCAAGTCGGCCTCTAGAGCCTCATTTACACATACAATAGGAAATATGCTACCATTGCCTCAAATTGGAATCAACTCAAATATCTGTCATTCATAAAGTAGACAAATTATGCCATATTTTTACAATAGAATATCATATCACAATGAACATGAGCAACAGTAGATACCCACACATCATAGGTGAGTCACAAGCATCATGTTGGGTGAAAAAAGCCAGACACAAAATACTACATATGGTATGAATCCTTCCATATAAACTTCAAAAACAGGCAAAAGTTGAATACTGTTTAGAAATACATAAGCAGAAAAGCATAAAGAAAAGCAAAAAGTAATTATCTCAACAGTCAGGACATAAGATTCTTAAAGGGAGAAGATAAAAGTTACCCGCATGGAAGGGCATCATAGGGAAGTGTTCTATGTTGAAATGCGTGTGGTTTCACTACTGCTGTATGCTTTATGCACTTTCCTACAGTTATCTAAAATATGAAAATATTAATTGATTTTTGTTTTAAAGCAAATATTAAATACTTTGAAAGACAACATAATAGAGAGGTTAAAATGAGGCTCTGAAATCTAACAAACCTGGATTCCAATCGCAAGTCCATTACTCAATCTTGTGACCTTGTGATGCTTAATTGCTCTATAAGCCAGTGGCTCTAACCTTCACTGTACTTTGTAATCACCTGGGGAGCTTTAAAAACTATAAAAACTGGCCAGGTATGGTGGCTCATGCCTAAAATCCCAGCACTTTGGGAGGCCGAGGCGGGCAGATCACCTGAGGTCTGGAGTTCGAGACCAGCCTGACTAACATGGATAAACCCCGTCTCTACTAAAAATACAAAATTAGCCGGGCATGGTGGCACATGCCTGTAATCCCAGCTACTCCAGAGGCTGAGGCAGGAGAATGGCTTGAACCCGGGAGGCAGAGGTTGCTGTGAGCTGAGATCGCACCATTGCACTCCATCCTGGGCAACAAGAGTGAAACTCCGTCTCAAAAAGACAAAAAACAAAAACTACAAAAACCCAGTGCCACCTCCAGAGGTTCTGATTTAATTGATCCAGGTGAATGATGGCCTGAGCACTGATAATTGTGCAAGCTCCCAGGAGATTCTAATGGGCAGCCATGGTTGTGAACCACTGCTGTAAGCCCTAGTTTCCTCATCTGTAAAACTGCGATGATGATGATGATGATGATGATGATGATGATACCTTGTTAGAGAGTTGTTATAAGGATGAAAGATGATAGTGTGTGCTTAGGATAGTGTCTGGTACTCAAGGAAGTTTCACTCTTACTGTTAAACTGCTCACCTTGCAAACAAGTTTTGCAGTTTGATTGCAACTGTTATTAAAGAATCATAAGAAATAGATGGTACTTTTAAGAAATCAGATTTGATGACAACCTGGATGCAAAAGAATAAAAGACAAGAATACTAGTTGGTATACTCAGGGAGAAAACAAAGAAAAGGAAGCAGACTAGTCTTTTGACTATCAGCTATCTAGACCAGGAGTTCCCCACCCCTGGGGCCATGGACTGGTACAGGTCCATGGCCTATTAGGAACCAGGCCACACAGCAGGTGCTGAGCTGCAGGCAAGCAAGTGAGCATTACCGCCTGAGCTCCACCTTCTGTCAGATCAGGGACAGCATTAGACTCTCACAGGAGCACAAACCCTATTGTGAACTGTGCATGCGAGGGATCTAGGCTGTGCACTCCTTGCAAGAATCTGACTAATACCTGATGATCTGAGGTGGAACAGTTTCATCCCTAAACCATCCCCACCAATTCCATCCATGGAAAAATCCTCTTCCATGAAACCAGTCCCGGGGGGCCAAAAAGGTTGGGGACTGCTCATCTAGACACAATCTCTCACTTACACTCTCTTGTAATTTTCTGAGTTTATAGGAGTAATTTAAAAACCAGCAAATGACTTGGCTTTATATCTTCTGGCCTTACTGTGGGTGGAATCTTGGAAATGCTAGTGACTTATAATGTTCTCTTTGTTTAAAGATTTTGTTTTCTAACCGAGGAAATAATTAAGTTTGAATTCTCTCATCCCCCTTTATGATGTTCTAAACAGCTGGTGTTTTTGTTTGTTTGGGGGCATGCTAATTTTTGCTCAGACTCCCTGTGGATGTAGTATTTGTTTATTCTCATGAGCAGTGGGTTTGTGATATTCTAAACCAATCAGTAATCATTGCATTAGCAAACTTCCTTTATGTAGACAAAATTAAAATTTTGCTTCTTAATCTCACACATCAAAAAATCTTTCTCTAATTCAATTGAGTTGGCCAGTTCCAAGTCCTAAAAAATAGTGCTAAATATCTGGAATTCAGGACTGGCTGCTGTGGCTCACACCTGTAATCGCAGCACTCTAGGAGGCCGAGACAGAACTTGAGGCCAGGAGTTGGAACTGCAGTGAGCTATGATCACACCACTGCACTCACACCACTGTTTTGTTGATTAGGTTAATATTCGTCCCTTAAACCATCATTTAGCAAATGAACACTGAAGTAGAATATCCACCAAAGGCAAAACATAAAAATTAAAAAAAAATTAAAAAAAGAGATCCCTTAAACGAGGGAGGAAGTTATGAAGTGATGAGAAAGAGCTGAGGGAATTTGTTGACTGGCCCAGCCCTCAGCTAGATTCAATCCAGTCCACCTGTTGAATGCCAAGAAAAATAAGTGCATTTTGCAGAGGCTGAGATCTCCAGCTCTCTCCTCTGACCTCCCTCCTTTCTGACCCTTTGACCTCCCCTGCAGGAGCCGCTCTGAGCAACTGTGCCCAGCACCTGGGAGGCGAAAGAACCCTGCAGAAGCCAACAAATCAACATTCCACCAGGAATTTTGTGCTGGATAATTCAACCAATTCAGCTGTTATCCTGGCCACACCCTCGGTCTGGGCTTCCATCCAAACTTCGTCCTTCTTCACTGTTGAAAACCAGAAGCCACAGCCCCCAGCCCTGTCTTCTAGCTCCCCACCCAGGCCCCCCTCTCTCTCTCTGAGCCTCTCCACTGTGCCTGGTAAAACCCCAATTCTATAAGGAACAAACTTCCTTTGGTCTACAAATATTTCCTTGAGAATTCCCCCAACATTAATAAAAAAATCTTCCGGCCAGGCGCTGTGGCTCACACCTGTAATTCCAGCGCTTTGAAAGGCCAAGTGGGGAGGATCATTTGAGCCCCAACAGTTCAAGACCAGCCTCGGCAACATAGTGAGACCCTGTCTCTACAAAAAATACAAAAATTAGCCAAGTATGGTGGTGCATGCCTGTGATCCCAGTTCCTTGGAAGGCTGAGTGGGGAGAGTCACTTGAGCCTGTGAGGTCAAGCCTGCAGTAAGAGGAGATCGCACCACAGCACTTCAGCCTGGGCAACAGAGTGAGACCCTATCAGGGAAAATAGAAATGAACTACTTAGCTTTCTTCCAAAACCTGCAATTCATGAGGAATAATCATCCTCTTAATCAGCAGGGCACCAACATTTGGAGTGAACACGACCTTCTCCCATTTGCCTTCCACATACCATCTGTTGCCAGACCTTGACAATTCTAACTCTAGGGACTTTGTGCAAGGGAATGGGGCCTAAATGGGCCCATGCTCAATTATTAATCATTCTAAAATTTTTTTTAGTTTGTATTATGAAAAGTTTCAAACATACATTATATAGAGACTAGCAAAGCAAAAATCCCAAGTACCCCCCAGCTCTTCTCAACATTTTACAATACTGTATTTGATTCCATTTCCTTTCAGAATTTTTTTAAAATAAACACAAAAAGGTTGAATGACTCTCCCCAGGTCCACATCACATACTCCACACAGTGTCTAAGACACAGAACATAAAAAGAATTATTTGCTCAATAGTACTTGGTATAAATGTATGAGCCTCCCTGAGTCCCAATCCCTTCTTTCCCTATGTCCTCCTTTTTGTATGTATTTCTATCTGCATTAGTTGTCTCTCTCAACATTTTTTTCTTTATACACCTGTGCATGTCCATCTATTTCCCTTTTATTATCTTTCTCTCCATAAGATTTCTTTCCTTTAATAACTACAGCCATGTGTCGCTTACCCATGAAGATATGTTCAGAGAAATGTGTTGCTAGGCACCGATGAAAGTTGTGTGGACATCATCAAGTGTACTCCCACAAACCTAGATGGCATAGCCCACTACACATATGGGATATATGGTAGAGTCTTTTGCTCCTAGGCTACAAACCTGTACAGCATGTTACTGTAATGAACACTGTAAGCGTTTGTAACACAATGGTATTTGTGCATTTAAACTTCTGTAAACGTAGAAGAAATACAACAAAAAATAGATGGTATAAATGATTTAAAATGGTTTGTCTAGGGTACTTACCATGAATAAAGCTCGCAGGGCTGGAAGTTGCTCTGGGTGACTGAGTGAGTGAATGTGAGGGCTCAGGACGTTACTGCACACTGCTGCAGACTTTATGAACATTGTACCCTTAGGCTATATTACATTTATTTAATTTTTTTCTTCAATAATTACCCTTAGCTTACTGTAACATTTTTTACTTTAAGCTTTTTAATATTTTTCAATTCTTGTAATAACACAGCTTAAAACACTTTGTATAGTTGTACAAAAATATTTCTTTGTTCTATAAGCTTTCTTCTATTTTTAACTTTTTTTTTTAACTGTTAAAACTTTTTTCATAACTACCAAGACACAAATACAAACATTAGCCTAGGCATACATGTTAAGATGGCTACAATGTCACTAGGCAATAGGGATTTTCAGTTCTGTTATAATCTTATGGGACCACCATAGTATACATGGACCATCATTAACCACAACGTCATGCAGCACATGACTGCATTTCATAAGCACCTGCTATGTGCCAGATGCTGTTCTAGACCCCTAAGAAACATATCTGTCAACCTTTTTCTCTATGTAGCTTTCTCTTTGCTGATACCTCCTATTTTCTGACCATCTTTCAATCTGAACTTATTTCCCTTTTTCTTTTATCATCTCCACCCCTTCCCACACTTCCCTGTCTAAACTGACTATAAAAGAAAATAGAAGCATCATATCATGTATAATTGTGCTTTTGCATGAGAACGAGTTCTCCATAGCTTAACTTTTAAAAGCAGGTTAACGAATAATTTCCTATTGGGTAATATTCAGATTTTTGACCCAGCTCTCAAGTCTGAAAAGAAGCTTTTATTTCTCACCAGGTACCCTGGATCCCGAGCATACCTGAATTGTCTCCATCCTACAAATTTACTTCCAGGCTTTTTCTTACGCTGTTTCTTGTTAGATGGGATGTTCTCAAACTGGATGTGTCAAGATTCTTCAGAGACTTGGCTGCCTCTGTCCCCACTTTCTCACCCATGTCACCAGCATTTAGCAAATGCCTAGTGCACAGAAAGTGCTCAAAAAATGTTTATTGTATTTTTTAAAACATAATAAAAACTAAGTTACTCATTACTTGGTGCACCACGTTTTCTGTTAGGTGATAGACCACCATAGAAATAAATCCAACTCAAATTGAAAGGCTAAAATGGAAAAAGAGGAGGTAAAAAGAATAGACAAGGAAGAATTCACAACAATTGTCACCCTGAGAAGGAATGAGAAATTCTGAGATCCTTCCTTGTCAGGGGGTTAAAGAACTGTCAGAGATGGGGTAGAAGCAACTGCAAATAGTTGGCCTCCTTATTAATCCTTCAGGGGAAGAAAACCTGTTCTAAGTACAAGGACTAACAGCTGCAGTTCTACCAGCACATTCCACAGAAGTTACAAGGAAACTGATGAGAATTCAAATACTCTGTGATAACAGTGGGACGAAGCTTCCAAAGGAAAACACTAGGAAAAAAGATTTGCAGACTTTTCTCCCTTAGAAAAGTGAAGAATTAAACCGCATGTATCTGGAAGACCCCAGTGAACCAGGGGTTAAAGAAGATGGTATTAAATGCCCATATGAAGGTTTACACAAAGGGGCATAGCAGCAATGTTAAATAACAAAGAAGTTAAAAATAATCATAGCTACCAACAATATACTGTGTTTTTCAAAACAGCTAGATGAGAGGATTTGAGATGTTTCCAACATATAGAAATGATAAATACTTCAAGTGATGGATACTCTGAATATCGTGACTTAATCATTACTCATTCTACACATGTAATGAAACATCATCTGTATGCCCTAAATATGTACAAATGTTATGTATCAAATAATAATAATTTCCTCTCTCTAGACCCCTCCCAGGTCCAAACTGGTGTACAACACTTCAGTGAGCTAATTTATCTACACCAAGAGATAAAGTCCTTGATGTTCAACACCCTTAGGGATTTAGTAATTAAGCTCATTTAGAAGATAAGTACTAGCTGTCTGAGAAGAAAGGCATTCCTGGCAAAGCAAGGTTGTAGACTCCTGGAGCAGGTGGATCTTCATGAGGCCCAAATAGACCACATTCTTAGAAAATGACCGTATTTGCAACACCTGCCTGCAATGAAATCACCTTGGGTGCTTGTTAAAAATTCAGATTTCAGAATTCAGAAATTTAGATTTCTGGATCCCAACTATTTTCTTTTAATTGAAGGTTTACATACAAAGGAATAGCTCAGTGTTAAATAACTAGGAATTTTTTTAAAAACAAACAAACAAAACAAAACAACTCTCCTGTTTTAGGCATTATCCAAATCCAAACTGATTTGCAACACTTTTATGAGAGCTAAGGTAAGGGCTCCTGGGGGTCAAACGCATTTCAGCAAATCTTCCTGATGAAGCAGAGGCTTAGAGGTCCAGAGACCACACTGCATGTATCAGCCACAAACCTCTCATGGGGCCAAAAGCTACCTGTTCTGAGGTTTCCTGTTCTGGGAACATCCTCCCTTGACCACAGGCCTGAGAAACTGCAGGACAGAAACTCCTCCTATATGCTTCAGAGCCTCCTTTTCTTTGCTCTTGCATAGACCTGCACACTGGGCTTGTACTTCTAACAGCTGCTGACATTTATCACATTATCCTATTTAATTTTCTCTTTCAGCAGATTTATGTACTTTATTTTATTGTTTCATTATTCTATGCTCTTGCTAATGCTTTTCTTGCTAAGTGTGTGTGTGTGTGTATATATATACACACACACACACACACACACACACACACACACACATATATTTATTTATTTTTTGAGATGGAGTTTCGCTCTTGTTGCCCAGGCTGGAGTGCAATGGCTTGATCTTGGCTAACTGCCACCTCTGCCTCCTGGGTTCAAGTGATTCTCCAGCCTCAGCCTCCCTAGTAGCTGGGATTACAGGCACCCGCCACCACGCCCAGCTAATTTTGTGTATTTTTAGTAGACACAGCGTTGCACTATGTTGGCCAGACTGGTCTCAAACCCCTGACCTCAGGTGATCCACCTGCCTCGGCCTCCCAAAGTGCTGGGATTACAGGTGTGAGCCACTGTGCCTGGCCGCTAGGTATATTTTTAAAATAATTCATCATCTTGCTTTTTGAAATTTAGTGATAAAGCAAGGATAGCAAAATGTTAATTGTAACATCTAGGTGGTTTGTTTGTTTGTTTATTGGGAGAGACAAGGTCTCACTATCTTCCCCAGGCTGGTCTCCAACTCCTGGGCTCGAGCAATCCTCCCTTCTCTATCTCCCAAAGCGCTGGGATTATAGGCATGAGCCACCACACCAGGCCTGGCAAATTTATTTTTAATTCCTGTGTTCACCATACAGTTGTTAAACTTTCTGTATGTTTGAAGCTTCTTATAATAAAATATTGGGAGTAGGGGATTCCAAAAGTATGAAAAGGGATAGAGTGAAAAGTAAACTCCACTCCTTCTTTCACTTACTTAAGTCTGGTTCTCAGAAGATAATCACTATTAACAGTTTCTTCTGTATCCTCCCAGAAGTTGTCTGTACTTATATAAGCACATATTTTTTTCTACCCAATGGCATATATCACATAACATTAAGTGCATAAGAGCAAACCTGAAACTTGCTTTCAGTTATCAACACATCAGGAAAGTCTTTTCAAATCAGTATGTAGTATACAGAAATCAGTCTCATTTTTTAGTTATTATATGAAATTTCATTTTATGAAATACAATTGGCTGTCTGTTTCCTTGTGTTCTGCACCCATGGATTCAACCAATTTTGGATCAAAAATTTTTCAGGGAAAAGAATGGATTGTACCTGTAGTGAATATGTGCAGACTTTTTTTCTTCATCACTATTCCCTAAATAATACAACTATTTACACAGCATTTACATTGTATTGGGTATTACAAGTAATCTAAAGGTGATTTAAAGCATACAGGACGATGTGTGTGGGTTGTGTGCAAATACTACACCATTTTATATAAAGGACTTGAATTTTCTTGGATTTTGGTATCCTCAAGAGGTCCAAGAACTGATCCCCCACGGGCACCGAGGGATGATTGTACATTATTCAATCAGTGCCATGTTGAGACAGACTATGCAAGTTGTTTCTAGTTAGTTTTGCTGACACTTACGTATGCACAAATGTTACAGTCAACATCCTTATACTACTATCTTTTTATATTTATCCAATTTTTTAAATTATACTTTAGGTTCTAGGGTACATGTGCACAACGTGCAGGTTTTTACATAGGTATACACGTGCCATGTTGGTTTGCTGCACCCATGAACTCGTCATTTACATTAGGTATTTCTCCTAATGCTACCCCTCTCCCAGGCCTCCACCCCGCGACAGGCCCCGGTGTCCAATTATTTTTATAGAATACATTGTTAGAAGTTAAAATACTGGGTCAAAATTTACATTGAAATGTTTGAAAATATGAAATGACTCCTAAAAAGTCACACCAATTTATATTTTATGCCTGGTTTTCTACATCTTCAAATATATTTTGTATTTTCAAACTTTTTAATCTTTACCAATATGCTAAGTAGAAAAAATGAACTCTAATTTTAATTTTATTTCTTGCCAGTTGATGATCTTTACCTCAATTATGTTGATGTTTTCAACTGGTTTTGGTGGATTTATTTAAAAGCTCTTTGTGTATCAAAGAGATTAATTTGCTGTATATGTAACAAAAAGACACTGCCAATTGGTCTTTCACTTTTTATCTAATTTATAGCATTTTTTGCATTACAGAAGTTGAGAGTAAGTTTTTACAACAAAAACAGTTTTTCATGATTTACAAACAATAAGTTACCATTACAATGAATTGGAACAATACATAAAATTATATAGAAAAAATCATCTGAAAACCAACTAGAAATAATCATTAATATTTTGGTGACCATTTTCTCTTGCACTACTTTTTGCCCCTAAACACATATTGACATATTTTAAAAATTCAAAAAATGAGACATTATCATCTTTACTTTTTTTTTTTTTTTAATTGGAGTAAGGGCCTCCACTCTGTTGCCCTGGCTGGAGTACAGTGGCTCAATCATAGCTCACTGCAGCTTCAGACTTCTAGGCTCAAGGGATCCTCTTATTTCAGCCTCCTTTCTACTACTGACTGTAGTCCTAGTCAAGCAGCACTAGGTGAGCACCACCACACCCAGCCAATTTTTTTCTTTTGTGTTGTAGAGACAGGTTCTCACCAGGTTGCGCAGGCTAATTTCTAACCTCTGTCTCCCAAAGCACTGAGAATACAGGTATGAACCACTGCACCCAGCTCACATGAACATTTTCAATGCAGTACTTTCTTTTCTTCAGTTCCCCAGATAGGCTTTGTTTTCGTTTGTTTGCTTATTTTGCTGACACTCAAAAATTATAAAGTAATAAAATCATAATCAAATACAAACATACAGGTATATGTACATACCTAGCAGGAGTTTAAGCCACTGATTGTTTTATAAAATTTATGAATGTTTTACATATTCTTCTCTGCATCTTACTTTTCCACTGAAAAATACCAAGAGGTTATCTAACTTTTGGGTTAATGTATCCTTTCTAACATTTTTGGCTTTCTATTTCATTAATATTAAGTGTTATCTCTTTTTTTTTTTTTTTTTCTGAGACAGGGTCTCACTGTGTTGCCCAGCATGGAGTGCAGTGGTGCAATCATGGCTCACTGCAGCCTCAACCTCCCCAGTTCAGGTGATCCCCCAACCTCAGCCTCCCGAGTACCTGGGACAACAAGTGTGAGCGCCATTACACCTGGCTAAGTTTTGCATTCTTTTGTAGAGACAGAGTCTCGTCATATTGCCAAGGCTGGTGTTGAACTCCTGGGCTCAAGCGATCAACTGCCTTGGCCTCCCGAAGTGCTGGGATTACAGGCATGAGCCACAGCACCCGGCTCAACTGTTATCTTATCCCTAAATTGACATGCAGTCTTAAATAATAAAATGCTAGAGGCAACCACAGACAGATAGATATCTCTCCCTATTTTTCCTGAAATGTCTGAGACTTAGTGCCCTTGTAAGGCTAGATTCTTTTGGACTTCTTTCCAATGTTGGCAAGTGAAGACTTTGAACAAATTTGATTTCTTTAGGTTTTTATCTCAATTAACATAGAACAATTTACTCTAGCTAAAATCACAATTAAGATAGGTTTTGGCTGGAGGTCTAAACCAGACTTTCTCAACTTCTCATTAAAATATCTAGAAAGAGACAAATGCTAATGACAACAATGAATATCACATCTGAGAGACAACTTTTTTCCCAAATTAGGGAAGAATGTTCCTAAATTATAAGATTCATAAAGCTAAAATGAGAATTATAAACAAGGGCTCATGCTGACATATGATTTGCTGCTTTAAAAAGGAAGAATACCATCTTGAAAACCTGTAAGTAGAGATTTCACTACTTCCTCCATTGCTTACCCCTTTCTCAGAGACCCTGGGTTTAAACCAATCAGAAAACTAAGTAGCCTTCCATACATTGTGTGGCTATTGCTTTCTAAAGAATCCAAAAATTAATTTCTTCCCCTTCCCTTCCTCTTCATCTTTCTCATGCAACTTACATTCAAAGTTAAACAATTACAGACATCAAAAAGGGTGGAATTTAGAGTCAGTTATGCAGGACATTTGGGGAGGTGTAGTCCCAACAAGGAAAATACCACAGGACAAAAGAGAAATAGAAAGAGTGCTGCAAATCCTGCATGCAGAATATTGTCCCTCTTTATGTTTATCCATTTAGTTCTTGATACCAAATGGAAAAAGAGGCCAGGCGTGGTGGCTCACTCCTGTAATCCCAGCATTTTGGGAGGCTGAGACGGGCAGATCACGAGGTCAGGAGATCGAGACCATCCTGGCTAACATGGTGAAACCCCGTCTCTACTAAAAATACAAAAAAATTAGCCGGGCGTGGTGGCGGGCACCTGTAGTCCCAGCTACTCAGGAGGCTGAGGCAAGAGAATGGCGTGAACCTGGGAGGCAGAGCTTGCAGTGAACCGAGATCGCACCACTGCACTCCAGCCTGAACGACAGAGCGAGACTCCATCTCAAAAAAAAAAAAAAAAAAAAAGGAAAAAGAAAGAGTTGGTGGAAGCAGGAACACATACCTCGATCCAGCAGAGCCCCAGGAAATGAATACTGTAAAAACATGGGAAGTTAGTCTAGTATGTACACATCTTAGCCAGTCCTCTAGCTAATTATCAGAAGGGATCTCAACTGATCCTAAGTTTTTAAATAAACAATCTGTTGATAGAGCTTTCTGCTGGAAACTAAGGCTATGAAATGAATTTATGTGTATTATATTAAATATTAAATTGGGGTACAATTATGGGGAGATACTAAGTTGGCATTTGGTGATGTCATGACCAAGATGACCAATGATGTTCTGATTCTGTTCTCAACCATTCAAGTTCTCTGTGAATTCACTGATGACAGAGTTTCTCCAACCCCATTACTGGGTATATACCCAGAGGAATATCAATCATTCTATCATGAAGACACATGCACATGCATGTTCATTACAGCACTATTCACAATAGCAAAGTCTTGGAATCAACCTACCCATCAATGGTAAACTGGCTAAAGAAAATGCGGTACATATACACCATGGAATACTACACTGCCATAAAAAACAGGATCATGTCCTTTGCAGCAACGTAGATGGAGCTGGAAGCCATTAACCTAAGCAAACTAACACATGAACAGAAAACCAGATGTCACATGTTCTCACTTACAAGTGGAAGTTAAACATTGAGTACACCTGGAAACAAGGGAGCAACAGACACTGGGGCTTACCTGAGGAAGGAGGGTGGGAGGAGGGTGAGGATCAAAATACTACCTATCGGGTATTATTCTTATTACCTGGGTGACAAAATAATTTGTACACCAAACCCCTGTGACATGGAATTTACCTATATAGCAAACCTGCACATGTACCCCTGAACCTGAAATAAAGGTTTAAGAAAAAGCGTTACTGTTGACATTTGGACTGAATAACTCTCTGCTGTGAGGACTGCCCTGTGCATTGCAGTATTTTGAGCAGTGTCCCTGGCTTCTACCTGCTAGATGCCAGTAGCATCCTTCCAGTGGTAAAAACCAAAAGTGTCTTCGAACGTTACCAAATATTCCCTTGGGTTCGGGGAGACAAAATCACCCCTGGTTGAAAACAACTATCTTAGGGAGATAAGTGTAGATAATAGGCGAAGCTGAATAAAGCAGCATTTCATTACAGTTTAGGGGTTTGGCCTCAAAATCCAAGGTAACTTGCCAAAGAATAGGATGCAGCACATGGGAGACTCCTTTTCCTATATGAAATAGACCTTTAAGTAATACTTCCCCACCCCCAAACCCAAATCTGAGTCTCAGATAAAAGCATTGCTTCCAGAATCAGAGGAAAAGAATCAATCGCTTCTTTTTTTCCCAATGCCTGAATTGAACCTCTCCTGGGACAGTCTACAAGACTGAGTAATCTAGCAACTGGATACAGGGATATTTACAGTAGCTATGTCTGCAGTAGCAAAAGATTAGAAACAAAAGGAATGCCCATCTCACGGAAATGTTTGAACAAAGCATCACAAATCCATACCGTGGAATATTATACAGCCTTTAAAAAGGACACAGTGAACAACACTGGTTGACTTGGAGGGTATGCCAATGATACATCATCAAGAGAGAAAAGAAGTGTGAAGGCACAGAGAAGAGTACATAATGTTACCCCATTTTTAAAAAATAAAAAGACATATATGTGATTATTTGAGCATAGAGAAACAAATAAAAGATTACACACTAGTTGGTTAATATAAATTATAGTTAGGAAGAGTTTTGTGGAAAGCGAAAAAAAAAATTAAAACTAAGGCCAGGCGTGGTGGCTCACGCCTGTAATCCCAGCACTTTGGGAGGCCGAGGTGGGCGGATCATGAGGTCAGGAGATCGAGACCATCCTGGCTAACACAGTGAAACCCCATCTCTACTGAAAATACAAAAAAATTAGCCGGGCGTGGTGGCGGGCGCCTGTACTCCCAGTTACTCGGGAGGCTGAGGCAGGAGAATGGCGTGAACCCGAGAGGCGGAGCTTGCAGTGAGCCGATCGCGCCACTGCACTCCAGCCTGGGTGACAGAGCAAGACTCCATCTCAAAAAAATATATAAATAAATAAAATTAAATTAAAATGCTGTTTGGAAAACATATCCATAATTAGACCAAATGGATAAGAATGGCATTCATATGGAAGAAGAGAAAGTCAGAAATTCATAGAAAATGAAACATGTCCCTTAAACATATGAAAATATGCTCTACATCACTCTTAGTAAGAAAAAAGTGAGCAAAAATACAGCCAGCCTTCCATATCCGTGGGTTCCACATGAGCAGATTCAACCAACCATGGATCAAAAACATTCAAGAAATAAAACAATAAAAAATAACAATACAGCAGTACAAATTTACAACAATATAGTATAACAACTATTCACATAGATTTTACATTGCATTCGGTATTATAATTAATCTAGAGATGATTTAAAGTATACAGGAGGATGTGCATAGGTTATTTGCAAATACTATGCCATTTTATATAAGATACTTGAGCAACTGAGGATTTTGGTATCCACGGATGTCCTGGAGTCAATCCCCTGCACATACTGTGGGATGACTGTTCACTGAATTACAATTTCAGATTAGCAAAAATCTAAAAGTTTGACAATACCTTTGGTGACAAGATATTGAAAAATAAGCACTCTTATTCATTTGATCATGAGAGTACAAAATGCAAATACCATTTTTGGAGGAGACTTTGGCAATTTCTCACAAAACAACATATTCATTCACTAGCAATCCCTTACCTGGGAATTCACCCTAAAGAGATATCTTCATGCTTTGCTCAAGGTTATTCAGTGCAACACTATTTGCCTGGAATCAATGCATACACCCATCAAGAGGGGACTGATTAACCTCTAGGATAGCCACACACCACACACCAGAGAACTATGCAGTCACAATGTTGAAAGATACACAAGAAACTATTAAAAATGGATACTGGCCGGACGCGGTGGCTCACGCCTGTAATCCCAGCACTTTGGGAGGCCAAGGCGGGCGGATCACGAGGTCAAGAGATCGAGACCACCCTGGCTAACCTGGTGAAACCCCGTCTCTACTAAAGAATACAAAAAATTAGCTGGGTGTGGTAGCGGGCGCCTGTGGTCCCAGCTACTCAGGAGGCTGAGGCAGGAGAATGGTGTGAACCTGGAAGGCGGAGCTTGCAGTGAGCAGAGATCGTGCCACTGCACCACTCCAGCATGGGCGACAGAGCAAGACTCTGTCTCAAAAAAAAAAAAAAAAAAAAAAAAAAAAAAGGATACCTATGGGAGTATGAGATCAAGAAGATAGGAATGAAAGTAAGATTTCTCCAAGTATACCTTTTTATATAGCTTCAAATTTTGAACCATGTAAATGATTTAAACATGTTCAAAAATTAAATAAAAAAGAAAAAATTGTTTTGCTTGTACTCAAACAGAAACAGGTGAACCTGTCAAATTGGCTACATCATCACATAAAGAATTATTTCCAAAACTTTTAAGCATAGTACGCTGACTGCATATTCTTAGAGAAGTCTATTGAAAGAACAAAAATATAGTAGGTTTGTTGTAGTAATAGTATATCTATTTTAATTTTAAACCCATTTGATATATATTGTAGTAGAAAACAAGTAAATATACTACTATTAAGAACAAAGACATCAGCCAAGCGTGGTGGCTCACACCTATAATCCCAGCACTTTGGGAGGCCAAGGCAGGCAGATCACTTGATGTCAGGAGATCGTGACCAGCCTGGCCAACATGGTGAAACCCTGACTCTACTAAAAAAAACTACAAAAATTAGCCGGGTGTAGTGGCACACACCTGTAGTCCCAGCTACTCAGGAGGCTGAGGCAGAAGAATCGTTTGAAATAAGGAGGTGGAGGCTGCAATGAGCTGAGATTGCACCACTGTACTCCAACCTGGATGACAGAGCAAGACTCAATCTCAAAAAAAAAGAACAAAGACATATAGTATAAGAACAACAGAGACAAGTAAACAAAGACAATAGGACAATAGCCAATAATGAAAATTTGATTTGGAAATATTAATGTAACCTCATGATTTTTAAAAAATATATATTTTCTAGATCTATACACTAAAAGATCCTGGAAGCAGATGATACAGCAAAATCAAGGAGTATACTTAACACCTAAATTTTGGTTTCTAAATATTATTCTATACTAAAAAGAGCTAGGGTTCCTTGGAATGACTAATACGAGGTCTGGAATAGGGAAAACGCAGGGGCATTCTCAAAGCAAGGGCATTCTCAAAGCAAAGGCATTCTCAAAGGCCAGTGGGGCATGTCAGTCACGCACAGAGCTAGTTTGAAGGGGCTCACGTTTGCCATTTTGGGACAGTATGGGTGTCATAATACACAACAACAGTAACTGAACTAATATGTACAATAAAACCCATGTTTGGATAATGGTGTCAGAAAGAGAAGAAGGAAAAGAGAGTGAGAAGAGGAGAGAGAGACACAGACTCTTTTTTTTTTTAAGAGGAGTCGCAGCTAATAACTGTAAAAGGGGTGAGACAGAATTAGAAAATCACCATTTTCAACTCTTAGTGTAATAATGCTCATGTTAGCATCAATGAATGCTAAAATCCATTAGATGAAAGATTCTTGGAAAACAGGATATTGGCATGGCACCAAATACCATCCCACACATTGTGTATTAATTGCAGTAGAAAACATGTACCTTTATAATGGAGATATCTAGCATTCACAACCTTAACCAAGTAAAAAAACCAAAGTTGGCATCACTAGTGTTGTATTAATAACAACATGGTTGGTATACCTCCTGGTGGGATGTAATATGAAAATCACAGAATCACCTTTGACATATCTCTGACAAAAAAAGTTTAATTATAAGGAAATAGACAACCCCAGAAGCAGACCATTCTGCAGGACAACTGCCTAGAACTGAAAAGTCAGTGTCCCTGGGAAACAATATTTAGAACAAGGGACTAAAGAGATCTAATAATCAATGTGATGATGAATCTTGATTGGATCCTAGTTTAAAAATATTTTGAGGGAAAATTTTGATACACTTGATTACAAACTGGATCATAGAGAATACTGTATTATGAAATTACTATGAATTTTCCTAGGTGTGACAATATTATTGTGGTAACTTAGGAGAACATCTCCTTCTTAGGAGATGCATGCTGAAGTACTTAAAGGTGAAATGTCACATTATCTGAAACTTAGGTTCAAATGCTTGAGCAAAAAATAAACATAGATCTATAGCTAAAGCAAGCAGCAAAAGGTTAACAATGATTGAATCTAGATGGAAAGTATCTGTTACACTGTGTTACTCTCTGAAATTTTCTGTATGATTGAACACTTTTGTCATAAAAAGTATCAGATACACAAAAAAGAAATCAAAATAGCAATTACTAGTATACCCCACAACCCCACTGGTTTTAGTTACCTGAGGTCAATCATGGTTTGAAAATATTAAATGGAAAATTCCAGAAATAAACACATAATAAGTTTTAAATTGCACACTGTTTGGAGTAGCACGATGACATCTTGCACCATCCCACTCTGTCCCACCCAGGACATGAATCATCCCTTTATCACGAGTATCCACACTGTCTACACTACATGCTCGCTAGTGACTTATTAGTTGTCTCAGTTATCCATTCTACTGTCATGGTATCCAGTGCTCATGTTCAAGGAATCCTTACTTTACTAAATAATGGCCCCAAAGCACAAGCATAGTGACAATGGCAATTCTGATACACCAAAGAGAAGCTGTGAGGTGCTTCCCTTAAGCAAAAAGGTGAAAGTTTTCAAGTTAGTAAGGAAATAAAAAACATTGTATATTGAGGTTGCTAAAATCTACCATAAGAACAAGATTTTATCAGTGAAATTGTGAAGAAAAAAGAAATTCATGCTAGTTTTGCTGTTGCACCTCAAACTGCAAAAGTCCACAGTGCATGATAAGTGCTTCGTGAAGATGGAAAAGGCATTAAATCTGTGGGTGGAAGACCTAAACATGTTTCTATTAACAGCGATTGGGTTCAGTACTATCCATGGTTTCAGGCATCTGCTAAGGGTCTTGGAACATATCCCCTGCGAATAAGGGAGGACTACTCTACTGATTTTTTGGAAAATAATATGAGAGGAAACCAAAGCTGTGCTCAGAAGCAAATTAGTCTACTTTTATACTTGCCCTTTTTTAGAAAACATAAATGAAAATATGTTTCCTTTCTTAACATATACTTTAACCAAAGTGTATTTGAAATAGACCTTTAGAAGAATTTATAACAAAATCTTCTCAATGATTATGAAGAAATTTAAATCTTCACTCTGCTTCTGTGATCCACCGGTGCATGACCTTCTCATGGTAGGACGAACAAAAACAGCACTAGGCTTCCATATGCCTACTGAAGGTTTCATGTTCTCTCTCTACTTAAGCTCATATAAATGCTTTAGGATTTCTCTTTGTAAGGTGAGTACACTGGAGAATATTGGCACAATTCTCCACGAACAGGATAAAAATGAGGCTGAAACCATAATTAATAAATTGATCTAGAAATCATTCAGAAATGATGGGAAGAGAAATTAAGAGTACAAGACAGAGAAACAGCTGTTGTATGTACTCTTGTTGCTGCTTATTGTAAAGATTATGGATATTTAGAATAAAATTACTTTGAGAAACAAACCATACAGGACTTTCATCCAGATCATTTCTGTCTAATAACTGTCTCATACCATGTTTGGGAGAAATAAGTGATTCAAATGAGAAACAGAAATACAGTCATGTGCCACAACAATGTTTTGTTCAAAGATGGACCACATATATGGTGGTGGTCCCACAAGACTACAATGCTAATTTTGACTGCACTTTTTCTATATTTAGATATGTTTAGATACATAAATACTTACCTTTGTGTTACTACGGCCTACTGTATTCAGTACAGTAACATGCTGTACCAGTTTGTAGCCTAGGAGCAATAGGCTATACCATTTAGTCTAGGTGTATAGTAAGCTATATGATCTAGGTTGGTGTAATGTTGACCTAAAGAAAGAAATGGAGGCAAAATTAATATAGAGAGTTTATTTGGCCCAAGGTCGAGGACCACAGCCTGGGACACACTTCCAAGTTGCCTTGGGGAGTGCTCCCTTCAGCCTTTGCTACAAGCAGGGTTTTTTGTTTGTTTGATTTTGTTTTTTGAGACAGAGTCTCGATCTGTCACCCAGGCTGGAGTGCAATGGCACGATCTCAGCTCACTGCAACCTATGTCTCCCAGGTTCAAGTGATTCTCCTGCCTCAGCCTCCTGAGTAGCTGCTGGGATTACAGGCGTAATCCACCACACCTGGCTAATTTTTGTATTTTTAGTAGAGACAGGGTTTTGCCATGTTGGCAAGCAGGTTTTTTAAAGGCAAAAGGGTTAAGAAGTGGGCTGAGAGAAAGGTGTTTTACAGGAATTCTCCCTGGTTTACAGAAATAACATGGGTTAGTGATTGGCTGTACATCGTTGAACCACAGGGTATAAATTACGGTGTCCAACATATTGCATTTTACGGCTCCTTGGAGTAAGTTAGTCCAGAGCCCACATAAGAGGTGGCTTCAGGAGGTTATAATTTTGCTCAAGGGGGAGTAAGACGTGACTGCTATTGCATTTCAGTGCTTCTCTGGGCCTGATCACTAAAGGGGGTTTACATTCCTAGATTAAAAGTTTTTTTCTTTCTCAGAAAGTACACTCTATGATGTTAGCACAACAGCAAAATCACCTAACAACACATTTCTCAGAACGTAACCCCATCATTAAGCAACACACGACTGTAAGTGAACAGAACATACAACGTAAGAAGTTTTTCTAATGAGAAAAATTATGATAAAAATAACAGCAACAATTAATGGAGTCATTTGTTCAATCACCTCACAAATGAAGATAAAGTGGTCAATAGGCATGTTTTCTGAACTAAAAGAGAATGTAATCTAACCAATCAAATATAGAAGGCAGAGTTAGCATTAGACTGTGAATATTTGGGAATCAGATAAGGGCTTAACTAACTTCTACATGTCGTTGAGCTGCAGGAATGTTCAAGGTGAACTAATATTTTCTTTAAAAAATAATAATGAGGCCAGGCGTGGTGGCCCACACCTGTAATCCCAGCACCTTGGGAGGCCGAGGCGATCAGATCACTTGAAGTCAAGAGTTTGAGACCAGCCTGGCCAATATGGTGAAACCATGTTTCTACCAAAAATATAAAAAATTAGCCAGGTGGGGTGGCAGGCGCCTCTAATCCCAGCTACTCGGGAGGCTTAGGCAGGAGAATTGCTTGAACCCAGGAGGTAGAGGTTGCAGTGAGCTGAGATTGTGCCACTGCACTCCCGCCTGGGTGACAGAGTGAGACTCTATCTCAAAAAATAGTAATAATAATAATGTATGTGAGCAAAGGATTGTCTACAAGGCTGTTTATTGCAGCAGTATTTATAATAATTTATATATATAATATGTATGTGTTTCTCATATATATATATGAAATAACTTAAATGTTGGAATCATCCATATAATGGAATAACATGCATCCACTGGAAAAGTGTACTGTAGCTTTGTTGCCTAAAAAAGGCCAAGGTTGCAGTGAGCCAAGATCACGCCATTGCACTTCCGTCAAAAAAAAAAAAGCAGTTCACAAAATAGTACGTACTTATATATAATGCTTTGCAATTTGCAAACTACATCCTGCCATGTGATACTTCCAACAACTCTGTGAAGTATTCTACTATCATCGTTCTGTGGATGATAAAACTGGAGTCAGGAATCAAGTGATTCATCTGAATTCACATAGCCGGTAAATGTGAGATCCAAGGCTTGTACTTAGAGCTTCTAATCTTAAATCACCTGACCTTTTCACTTTATCACATTGCCTAAGGGGGAAAGCAAGAGTACATAATACTGTACTCACAGGGAACGATGTTTCCATAAGTAGGTGGATAAAATGTCTTTTGAATTACAATTGTAGTAGTATACATCCCCAAATTATCATTTATCCCCATGTTCAAATTTCAACATAATTATAACGTACACATTTTACTGCATATTTACTAGGCACATTCCAAATCTCTCTAACATGTTACAGAAGAAGTACTCGGTAGGGTATGTCTGGTGACTCACATCATAATGAATCAAAATTCACTCAAAATGCCATTTTTAGAGTAAGGATATTATTTCTTGTGAAATGATATCTTTAATTATATCTATCGATGACTAATCTAAAAGCCCTACCTTGAAACTGTTTCTACATTGTTAGAATTGCACTTTCTCCTTCTGTCAATTCAATTTTATTTTCAACGAAAAGTCAAGCAGGAACACTTGCTGCTAAATGTCCCATTAGCATTCTCTGACCTTCTCCACAGTTGTGCTGCAGCTGTGAACCTGCTGTGGCCATTGAGATGCAAAAAGGAAATGGAAAAATCCACTTAATGTTCTGGAGTGGTCCAAAATGCCAAGGAGCAGTCAGAGCATAGAGGGAAAGGATGGAAAAAAAAAAAAAGACACTGCTGGACTATTAGAAATAAGAAAAGCAAGGTACTGAAGATCTGGAGCCACAAAAACATCTTTATCTAAAAAACAAGGACATTTCTGGGTAATTCTGTGACATACATATATATATGTATATATATTCATATATATATACATATATATATGTATATATATTCATATATATATACATATATATATGTATATATATTCATATATATATACATATATATATGTATATATATTCATATATATATACATATATATATGTATATATATTCATATATATATACATATATATATAAATTCTGGGTAATTCTGTGACATACACACACACACACACACACACACACACACACACAAATCACCCCTCCCTAAAATAGACGACAATTTTTTTAAAAAAAAAAAAGCACAATTATTCAACAAAAATAATCCATGTAAAATCCAGGGGAATGTTTCAACCTTAACAACTATTAAACCCACATATCACTGTTCCTGAAATAATTGCGCAGTGTGATGGCATAAAATGGAAGAAATTTGGAGGGAAACATTATATCCCTTAATTTGGAGGGACAGAGATTTAGAGATGGGAGCTAAGGGAAAAAATGAGAAACATCCACTTGGAGCCATTCTCCTCCTCCTGTTATTTTCCCTCTGTCTAGAAACAATATCCTGGGCCCTGAGTGTGAATATGATTTGGCTGTGTTCCCACCCAAACCTCATCTTGAATTGTAGCTCCCACGATTCCCATGTATCCTGGGAGGGACCCAGTGGAAGGTAATTGAATCATGGGGGCGGGTCTTTCCTGTGCTGTCTTTCCTGTGCTGTTCTTGTGATAGTGAATAAGTCTCACAAGATCTGATGGTTTTATATAGGGGAGTTTCCCTGCACAAACTCTCTTGTCTGCCACCATGTGAGACGTGCCTTTCACCTTCCACCATGATTGTGAGGCCTCCTCAGCCACATGGAACTGTGAGTCCTTTAAACCTCTTTTTCTTATAAATTACACAGTCTTGGGCATGTCTTTATCGGCAGCGTGAAAACAGACTAATAAAGTAGCCATATCCTATCATTGTTTTTTCCTTTTACAAACAGGTGTTGGGAACTAAGAAGGTGGTGGACAAGAGAATTTAGCTGACCCACTTCCTTCCCCAACCCATTTCTTTCTTGCTTGCCTCTCTGCCATGAAGTCTGTAAAAGATTCAATTTCCCTGCCTCCTGTCAGCTGTCATGGCCATGAGGCATATTCCCAGACAAAGAAACATAAGCAGAATCTCTTGATGCTGCCTCTTTTCCTTAGCCTTCCTCTCACTATTACATGCACAGCCTGGAGGTACAGCAGACATCACTGAAAATGGTAAGGCAGGAAGGCAGAAAGGTCCTGGATTTGATGGTATCATCAAGTCACTCCACTGGTCCTGGACTGACCACCCCTGGACTTACTTAAGCTACGGTAGCGCCATTTTTAATTACTTGAAATTGAACACAATTCTAATACAATAAAATATCTCCTAGGATTCAAACCATTGTTCACTTGAACACCAACATTAGAAGAACAATGACAAAAAAGAGGCAGGAAGAGCTGGTAGGGGACTCTTGCAATAAAGAGTTAGATACGCTCAGATATGAGATAAGGCAGTAACAATGGGGATGAAATAAAGGAGTCAGACTTAAGATATTTGGCAAAACTGGGCCTAACTTTCATCTATTCCTCCCAAACCCCATAGAAATTAAAAAAAGGAACACGGGAGAAAACCTGAATCCATGCTAAAAATTGAGAAAGGATTCTTTTGTATGGGTTCTGAATGATTCTGATGAAACCAGATGGAAAGATAATGCCTAGAGACAACACTGATGAGCCTCTAATGAAAAAAAAGTAAGTGGACAACATCCTGGCATACCCCTGGTAACCTTCACAAATGTAAAGGAGCAAGGACTGGGATGGGGCAGCAGGGAATAAAAGAGAAGCACTCCTTAGAATTATACCAGTATCTCTGGGTAGTGCTACAGACTGAATGTTTATGTGTCCCCAAAATTCAAATGTTGAACCTAATTCACAACATGATGGGATTCGGAGGTAGGGCCTTTGGGTAGCGACTGGGTTCTGAGGGTGGAGCCCTCATGAATGGGAGCAGTGCCCTTGTAAAAAAAGGCCCCAGAGAGATCCCACGCCCCTTCCATTATGTGATGACACAGCAAGAAGGTGCTGTCTATGAGCCAGGAAGTAGGTCCTCATCAGACACTGAATCCACAGAACCTTGATCTTGGACTTCACAGCCTCCAAAACTGTGAAAAATGAATTTCTGCTTTTTAGAAGCCACTCAGTCTATGGTACTTTGTTATAGCCTCCCAAACTGATGGAGATAGCAACAATCAAAAGCAACTATTTCAGGAGATTTCAAGTATTGTGGTGTTGTTCTGCCAAGAAGGAAGCAGGCAGTGTGGTAAGACTTCTGTGAAACAACAGCACTTCTCCCCAGTGAGGCAAGGCTTTCAAGGCAGTGGGCAGCAGAACAAGACTGGAGGACAGACAGAGCCATGCCGCATGGATTGCTGGGCACAAATAATTAGCACCAAGTACAACAGCTTCAGGGAAAGAGGAAGATAAATAAACACCAAGTTCTTGCCCATGTAACAGCCTAGGATCATGGTCCTTCACTCACTTCAATGTGCTGGAAATATACATATACAACAATTAGTCCTCCAGCTTAAAACCTGAAAAGAAAAATTTAATAGTGATTAGGTGTATAGGGAGTAGATCCAAGGATAATTCAGCCACCTTGTTTGTGGATGAACAGGTAAACACTAAGGACAAATAGATCTCTCTTTATTCAAGAAGATATAAGTAGAAGGAAAAAAACAGCTTATGAAAATATTCTATGGAAGAAGCATATGCATTTGAAAAATATTTGTTATAGGAAGAAAAACTTCAGGTGAATTTCTTTTGCTTTCCACAAATTTGAGAAAATATGGACTCATTAAAACTATAGATTCAAAGGCAGAGGCTACAAAATAGGCAGAAATTTAAAAATAAATCTGAATTTGATACAGAAGGAATGTTGGGAAATAAATAGTGCAAGAGAAGGCAAAATTTCATTGGAAGTAGTCAAGACCAAATATATAATGTAGAAAAAAAAATCAGTAATATGGAGGACAAACTTTGGAAGGTTTCTCAGACTACAGAGAAAAAGATCAAGAAGATGAAATGTCAAGAAAGGTAATGATATGGTTTGGTTTTGTGTCCCCACCCAAATCTCATCTTGAATTGTAATCCCATAATCCCCACCTGTCGCAGGAGGGACCCAGTGGGAGGTAACTGAATCATGGAGGTGGTTCCTCTCATATTATTCTTGTGATAGTAAGTTCTCACGAGATCTGATGGTTTTACACCCCCTTCACTCGGTTCTCATTTTTCTTTCTCCTGGGGCCATGTGAATGATGTGTTGCTTCCCCTTCTGCCATGATTGTAAGTTTCCTGAGGCCTCCCAAGCCATGCAGAACTGTAAGTCAATTAAACCTCTTTTCTTCATAAATTACCCAGTCTCAGGTATTTCTTCATAGCAGCATGGGAACAAACTAAACAGGTGATAAATATAGATTACTGGTTTTAAGAAGTTCAACATTTGGAGAAAAGGACAAATAGAACAAAAGCAGTATTCAGAGAAATAATAGAAAAAAACAACTTTTATGATTCTGATTTTACCAATTCAGGCAAATCTGCTGAGAAAATATCTCATTTTAGCCATAATCTGCAGATGTTTTAAAATTTCATCAGGGGAAGAATTCTACAACTATTCAAAGGGGGAAAAGTAGATTTATTACTACTTGCTATGGTTTAAATGTTTATGTGCCCCCAAAATTCATATACTGAAATTCTAACTCCCAGGGTCATGGTATTAGGAAACCAGGCCTTTGGGAGGTGATTAGGTCATGAGGGCAGAGTCTTCATGGTTGGGATTAGTGCCTTTATAAGACAGACCCCAGAAAACCAGCTCATCCCTTCTACCACATGAAGACAGAGCAAGAAAGCACCATCTATGAATCATGAAATGAGCCCTCACTAGACATCTACTAATCTGCCGGCACCTTGATCTCAGGCTTCCCAGCCATTAGAACTGTGAGAAATAAATTTCTGTTGTTTATAAGTCATCTGGTCTGTGGTATTTTATTATAGCAGCCCAAATGGACTAAGACACTACTGGTCAAAATCCTTCAGCATGCCAGGCCTGGTAGCACATACTTGTAGTCCCAGCTATTCAGGAGGCTGGAGTGGAAGCAATTGCTTGAGCCTGGAAGTTCAAGGCCAGCCTGGGCAACACAGCAAGACCCTATCTCTAAAAGAATTTTTTTTTTTTGGTACACCTTCTCACTCTGCCACCTAGGCTGGAGTGCAGTGGTGTGGTCATAGCTCACTGCAGTCTTGACCTCCCTGGGCTAAGGTGATCCTCATACCTCAATTTCTTGAGTAACTGGGACTACATGCACACACCACCACACCCAAGTAATTTTTGTATTTTTTGTAGAGACGGGTTTTGCTATGTTGCCCAGGCTGGTCTCAAACCCCTGAACTCAAGTGATCTGCCTGCCTCAGCCTCCCAAAGTGTGAGGATTACAGGCATGAGCCACTGAACCCAGCCTAAAATGATTTTTTTATTTTTAATTAAAAAAAAACCCTTCAGCTGCAAGTGAAAGAAACTCAACTCAAATTAGCTTAAGAAATGTTTTGATTCATGTAATCTGGGAAGTCTAGGATGAATTTTGCTTCAGAGTCAACTGAATCGAGGCTTCAAATGATACCTTCAGGGCTGTCTTTCTCTTTCCACTTCTCAGTTCTGTGTGCCTCTGCTTACCTTCATATTCATGTTCATATTCTCCCTCTCTCTATTGCTTTCACTCTTGCTCTCTCCCCATCCTCTCTCTCTCAACATAGCAATCAGTAACCCCAGACTCCCATTCCCTCAATTATCAAACCCACCAGAAATAACTATTTCTCCCAACTCCTTGTATTAGCCCCAGGGAAGATTCTGGCTGGCCCCGGCTGACTCAGGTTCCATCCAAGAAGCAGTCAGTATCTCTAGTGATTGCAGTGCTTTGATTGATCAGCCTGCATTAAGTACACACCCTGTGGGAGTGCAGGGTGGGGTGGGGGCCCGCATGGCATCATTATTGACAGGTCAACGGGACCATGTAGATTTTCCCTAAGGAACCAGAAGAACTGGGTAGGGAAAAAAAATAAAACTACCACAGTCCACTAGAGTACAAAGAAAGTTCAGTCTGGCCCCAGATACTAGTCCACAATAAGTGCTGTGCAGCAATGCTTTTCTGAGTTTTTTGGGGAAAAGACAGTAAAAAGAAATCTGTGTACAGGCAACACAATTTATATGTTTTTATAATTTTATATGATGCTGGGAAATTTATAAAGAAAAGAGGTTCATTTCACAATACTTGTGAAAGTAACAGAAAAGCATTCTCAGGTATGCAAAGGCCCCAAAATTACCTTTCCTGGAAAAAAAAAATTACTCGAAGAAGAACTCCAAATAAATAAGAGATGGTAAAAATAGACAACTAGTGAACAATAATTGTGGGTATAAACCCAGCAAAATATAACCAAAACCTCACTTGTTTCTCACTCTTAAACATTTTCAGTTTAGAGAAAGTAGATCCAGAATAAGGCCAAAGAACAAGCATAGAACAAGGAAGACAGAGAGCAGGATGAATAGTTCATGGCAAACAGTAAGCTATTAGGATATAAGATTTAAGGACGTGATGGCTCATGCTTGTAGTCCCAGCGACTCTGGAGGCTGCAGCAGGAGGATCACAAGATCCCAGGTGTTCCTGGGCAACATAGCAAGAATGAATCTCTAAAAATAAAATAAAATAAATAAGATTTAAGAGATTGCTACTTTTGGTATGATGATGAAGCTAAGGTATAACCCTGAAAGTGGGTGGTTGAGAGTCATTCAAGTTTAAAATGTCAAGGAACTGTGAGGATAGGGTCTTGGGATATTGTCCCATGAATATGGTATTTGCTCAGATGATACAAGGAGTCTGGATGGAGAGAAGACTGAGCCAAGTACCAGAGTAGTCCATGAATATGGTCATAGGACTCACAGTCATGGATGACATGCATGATCTGAACTTAGAAAACGGTTTACCTGGATAAAATGAATTTCACAAGAAGGTCATTTTCCCATGCAACTGGAAGAGCAATGGGTTGTGAATGCAATGGAATCAGGGAGGATGTTGATCTGAGTAGTAGCTGAGACTGCGGTGAAGGAGCAGCCTCTTGAGAAGGCTACAGAGGAAGGGGTCGCTGCTCGAATGAGAGCATCATTTCAGTTAAGGCAGGAGGTGGAAGGATCGTTCAGAAAAGACATAAAAGATAACAGAGTTTGTTTAGCATGGAGTGCCAAAGAGCACAGAGGAATCACTTGGAAAGGGGAGAGTAGTGTGGATTTGCGTCAAGGAAGAGGACTATAGCATAATACAAGAATGCAAGCAAGTATGGGAATGATTAGGTGACAAGAAGGGCTTGCATTTGAGGGTAGCCAGGGTTGGAAAGGATGAAAAGCTGGTAGGATTAGAACTCTGCTATCAGTGTGTTGTTGGGCAGGCTGACAATAAAGAGCTTGCTGAGGTCAGCAGGTTTGTCTCCCATTCCTTCCCCCAGCTGTTACCTGCAGTAAAAGATTACTAGCCTAGGACAGAGCATGCCCATTAGAGCTGGCAGTAGCAATACAGAGCTCTCTTGTTTTCATGTCCTAATCCAAAGGTCATTATTCAGCCTTAGAATAGGGAGCCAGTCCTGTTCTCAATCTTGATGTTTTTCCTCACTCCTGCCAATCATATTTTTCATTTTTCAAGAGGAAGCCTTTTGAGAGGTTGTGTTGATCCCTTGTATTCTCCCATAGTGACCAGCAAACAACCACCAGGCTCTGGCTCCAGCTTCACCACACAGCCCCAGTTCTCAAAACACTGAGAGTTTCCTATGCCAGGGGTTTCACGTTCCTGTACAAAGTAATTTTCATTCATAGAGCTCATTCAGAGTTGATATATCTCACACAGTCTACTTTATTTTGCTGAAAGGACTCTCATACTGCATTTTATTTTTTTAAACACTAAAACTTTATCAGATAAAATATTTCATTGAGAAAGCACAATTTCAAAGTAGACAATTTTCTGTACTGTTATGTACTATTTAGAAAATCCAAAGGATTGTAAACACCATACACATATCATTAAACTTGGAAAACCAAGAATGTCAAAAAGATTGTTCAGCACAACACTCAAGTGTTGGCAAGGATGTGGAGAAATTACAACTGTCATACACTGCTGGTAGGAATGTAAAGAGATACAGTCACTTTAGAAACAGTTTGGTAGTTTCTTAACACAGAATTACCATATGACCCAGCAGTTCCACTCCTAGGCATATACACAAGAGAAACTTGTACACAAATGTTCATAGCAACATTATTCATAATAGGCAAAAACAGAAACAACCCTAATGTCCGTCAACTGATGCTAGATAAATAAAATGTGATCAATCCATATAGTGGAATATTATTTGGCAATAAAAAGTAATGAAGTACTGATACCTGCTACAAGGTGAATGAACTTTGAAAACATTATGAAGTGAAAGAAACCAGACACAAAAGACCACTTATCATGTGATTCTCTTTATATCAAATGTCCAGACATTAAAAAAAATCTATAGGCAAATCTCCAGAATAACAAATGCATCTATTGTACACTTTAAATGGGTGAATTTTAGGAAATATTAATTATATCTCAAAAAAAATTTTAAGTATCAGAAATGAATTCTATAAGTATTGTATCATAGGTCTAGCATATGGTAGAAATCTGTTTTAGTTAGTTTGTGTTGCTATAAAAGGAATACCTGAGGCTGGGACATTTATAAAGAAAAGAGGTTTATTTGGCTCATAGCTCCACAGGCTGTGCAAGAAGCACAGCGCTGACGTCTGCATCTGGTGAGGGCCTCAGGCTGCTTCCATTCACAGCAGAAGGGGAAGGGGAGCTGGTGTGCAGAGATCACCTGCTGAGAGAGGAGGCAAGAGCGAGGAGGAAGATGCCAAGCTCTTTCTAACAACCAGCTTCTAAGGGAACTTTCTCCGGACCTAATAGAGCAAGAACTCATTTATTACCTTGAGGAGGGCACTGAGTCATTCATGAGAGATCCACCCCCACGACCCAAACACCTCCCACCAGGGCCTGCCTCCAACATTAGGAATCAAATTTCAACGTAAGACTTCATGGGGCCAAGCAAACCATATCCAAATCATAGCAGCAACCAATAAATGTTTTCCGAATGAAAAAATGAAGGAATTAATGGATTTATATTGGCAAGAGTTACAAACTATGCCTTAGTAAACTTCAGTGAAACATCATTATTTTTACTATGAATTTGAAACGGATGACAACTGAGGCAGACACAAAGTTGATTTTTGCATAAGCAATATCAATACCTCTGGATGTACCAAACAATTCAGACAAAAAAGCCCTTGGAATGTTTATTTTGTGTTCAACCATCTCGGCCACCAGTAAATAATATTCCCCTATAGAGATACCTAGCATGACAATGTGAAAAATTAGTGAAAATCACTGACTTCTATCTTCAGAATTCGTTAAAATCACTTCACATTTACTATTCAGATCTATGCACCTCTCATTATTCCTAGTTCATCAACCTCTATTGATCTCAAAGCTGGGCTCAAAGCGAGGCTTTAAGCTTCTAAATCTAGCCTCATGCCTGCTTTTTGTTTTTATGACCAATCTTGGACATGCATCTTGGTCTCAAATAAAGCACTGTCCCTCAGAGTTTAGCCTCTGGCCTCATACACAACAGCTATGAAAAAGAGATATTACACCCCACACTAGTCTCCCCTACAGGACAGTGTGATCAAGCATTATTCCAGAAAGGAACTCCCTCCCAAGGCTTTAACCTCATTATTCCAGAAAGCAACCCCCTCCCAAGGCTTTAACCTCATTATTCCAGAAAGCAACTCCTTCCCAAGGCTTTAACCTCATTATTCCAGAAAGCAACTCCCTCCCAAGGTTTCAACCTATCACTGTGCATGAAGATAGCAGGTGAGGTAGCACCTTCAAATTCCTACATGCAAGGATTAGACAAATCGAAGACAGAGGAAGTGCAATATTTCAGAAACCCTGTAGATCTAAACTCATCATAGAAATTATACCCCAAGAATAAAAAGAAAATTTATCAGTTCTTCTCCAACTTAACATTGATGACAGTCATCTATCCCATCTGCCTATTCCATGAATGTCAACATACAAGCAACTAGAATCAGAAGCTCAATTCTTGAAGAAGGCTATCCTATACTTAATGCTAGCTACCTACCTACATAATATTGGACGTGAAATGCTTTCATGAACTACTGCTTCTAGGGAGATGTTTAATAGAGTTATGCTGGAAGTATCACTGTGTTGTAGAATCAGATGATTAATTTACTTTTGGCATCCAAAAAGGGGGTGAATTGCTACCAAAAGAAACAGCATAAAAATCTTCCCCCTTTTAACCCTAGAGTAAAATTTATGAAACCAGTCTGCACATTAGAATCACTAGGGAGCTTTAAAAATATATTGATGCTCAAGTCTCACTCCCAGAGATTCTGATTAGTCTTGGACGGGACCTGGGCGTCTGTATGTTTTAAAACCTCCCCTGGCCAGGCACAGTAGCTCATGCCTGTAATCCCAACACTTTGTGAGGCTGAAGTGGGTGGATCACCACAGGTCGGGAGTTCAAGACCAGCCTGGGCAACATGGTGAAACCCCGTCTCTATTAAAAATACAAAAATTAGCCAGGCATGGTGGCATGAGCCTGTAATCCCAGCTACTCAGGAGGCTAAGGCACGAGAATCCCTTGAATGCAGGAGGTGGAGGTTGCAGTGAGCCAAGATTGCACCATTGCACTCCAGCCTAGGCAACAGAGTGAGACTCCTTCTCAAAAAAAATTAATAATAAGTAAATAAATAAATTTTAAAAACCGCCCCCAGGTGATTCTAATGGCCAGGCAGTGTTCAGAAATGCTGCCATAGAGTATTGGAGAACAAAGAACCAGAAGAGAGAATTAAAAACAAGATGGGGCAGTCTGGTAATGGAATCTTAGACCCAACAAACAGGCTGGTGACTACCCCAGTGTTAACATCAAGCATATGGTGAACATGTTACTGGACAAATTGTAGTGCATCAAAATTCTATACTGAAAGTGAACTTAGAGCATTTGTAGATACAAAGACTAAGAACTGTGTACAAATCCTGATAAGGCCACAATGTGAAATAAGCAAGGGACATTCTAATGCAAACATGGAGAAACGCAGGGAAAGCAAAGCCAGGCTGGATAAGAACCAAAACTATTTGACTTTTCAGAGTTATCATCACATATTGGGTGGGGCGTGATGGCTCACGCCTGTAATCCCAGCACTTTGGAAGGCCAAGTGAGGCGGATCACTTGAGGCCAGGAGTTCAAGACCAGGCTGGCCAACATAGTGAAATGCCGTCTCTACTAAAAATACAAAAATTAGCTGGGAGCTAATTCAGGAGACTGAGGAAGGAAAATCACTTGAACCCAGGAGGTGGAGATCGCAGTGAGCTGAGATCACGTCACTGCACTCCAGCCCAGGGGACAGAGCAAGATTCCATCTCAAAAAAAAAAAAAGATTTGTCTTCAAATACTGAGGAGGAACTTGAACTGGTATCAGAATCCCACATAATAATATTTTATTCTGCAGGATCTGGATTTTATGAAAAAATAATATTTTACACATATTTATGTGTGGATGTGTTTGATTAGAAACATTAGTTCTTATTTCAGAGTATGGATTCTGAAGTTTTGTAGTCATCCTCCAAAAGTCCCATAAAAATTATTATATATAAGTAGTTGGACTCTGCTTGACTCTTTGAACCAAGACTTGATGCTCAAATGGACAAAACAAATAAGAACTCTATTTTAATAAAGTTTTACTCTGTCTATGGCACTCTGTTAAATTACACTCACTGAAGGCATCTTGCAAGATCCCTTCAAGTCTTGCTCTAGCAAATGCAGGCTGCAGACTTTAAGCCTTGAGATCATCAAGTCCTTGGTTTCTCTGCTTTTTAAAATGCTTTCAAAGTTCTTTGGTACGATTTCAGTAATATCAAGATAAAATACTAGTTTTATCTAAAATGGCTGGGAAAGCTCATCTTAAGTAAAGAGACTTCATAACCTCTTTTCCATAATTCCTAAAACATGGCTTGAGGTTGCTCAGTGAAACAAGACTTTTGTTTTAATATTTTACAGCCAAGAGGTATTAGAAAATTGAGAAGATTCTGAGTACAGTCATTTTATTTTAAAATGCTTTGGGGTTCAGAGAGAGAACAAGACCAAGTTGGCACTCTTCAAGGCAAAAGAAACCTTTTGCTTCCAAAAGAGGGGTGAGTCCAGTAAGAAAAGACAATGCTTCTCTTGTACTAAAACCTGCCACAGAGGAAGCACACTCGGGGGTCACTTCTCACACTTTCCTGCCCGATCAACTTTCAAAGGAGAGACAGAAAACAGAGGGGTTGCAGAAATTGTACACCATAGTGTGCTGGAAGACCTCATCCGTCGGATAGCAGCGCGCACATTCCTGACTGTGTCATAAAGACACTAGACTTTCTGCTATTTTTGCCGTAGCTTCCCCCAATCTACTGTTTGCCCCACCTGTGTTTAGTTATGACTTTTTAAAAATTAACTTTTAACATCTTGTAATATTTCCCTAGTAACAAACATGTTCCTTTGTTCCTTTCAGATATCTTTATTTTTTTCTGAGCTTAGAAAGTCATCTATACTTCAGAGTTTTAATACATATTCACTATGTTTTCTTGTGTGGTTGATTTATACTCAGTAGATTTATTTATTATTATTACTAATATTCATCTTACTTTTGGTAGGCATGAATCTAATTTTTTAAGTTACCAACTATTAATAAATGCCATATTTTAAATATTTTTATTACAAAAGAACTACTCATAAACATTGAAACCATACAGTTTATGAAGAAAATATTACTAATATCTCTCCACTGTTCTTCTGTTCCCATTATCTTGAAGCAAACACTATCACCCACAAAGTATGTATTTTTCCACATCTGTATGAGTTACAAATATATACATATGTGTGTGTATACATATATAGGTTTTTCTAATAAAAATAGTGTTTTGTATGCTCAAATTTGCCCAAGAAAATGCCCCAAAACTCACTATAACAAGATCTAACTAACTGTTTCCTCTTGTTGTCACTTGTTCAACCCTTAATCTCATTAAGATTAACACTTACCTCCCCACTGTCAAATCCAATGGCCACTTTTCAGTCTTTACCTCATTTTAGCATCTCACATGTAGCACCTTACAACCCAAGCCCAGCCTTCTTTTCCTAAGTCATTTAACTCTCTTGCCACACTACCTCTTCTCATTCTCATTATTTCCCCACTTTCTCTTTGATTCTCCTTCTTCATCACTTTATACTCTCACTGACATACCTGATCATTGCCCACGATACTCAAGATGAGGAAAAAGAATAAAATATGATGTTTCTGACCTACTTTTTAGAAGGTGAGGAACATGAAAGGCATTTCATTGTCTTGGATCTTAAGGTAGTTATGTAAGCGATACCACTAGCTGTTTTAGAATAGTACTGTGGACTAAAATGCCAAGTCCAAATGAGAAACAGTTCAAATATCATGTGTGTGAAAGGAAGCTCCAAATAGCTCAAAACATCAGTGGATAATTTATGCTTTTTTTTTTTACTTTTATTTTAAGTTCAGGGGTACATGTACAGATTTGTTACATAGGTAAACCTGTGTCATGGCGACTTGTTGTACAAATTATTTCATCACCCAGGTATTAAGCCTGGTACCCACTGGTTATTTTTCCTGGTCCTCTTCCTCCTCCCACCCAATACCCTCCAAAAGGCCCCAGTGTGTGCTGTTCCCCTGTATGTGTCCATGTATTATCATCATTTAGCTCCAACTTATAAGTGAGAACCCACGCAAGAACTAATGACAAGTTGCCTCACAGCTACTTTGTCTTCACTGAATTCAATAATCATTTGGTGAAGGTCTATTATGTCCTGAATTCTCACCAGAAGGCTAGAAAACGAGGGGGTCAAATGTGACTTGCACCTTGAGGGATAAGAAGGGCATTGCTGAATATATTAGTCTGTTTTCATGCTGCTGATGAAGACATACCTGAGACTGTGTAATTTATAATGAAAAAGAGAAAAAGACTCACAGTTCCATGTGGCTGGAGAGGCCTCACAATCATGGAAGAAGGCTAAAGACATGTCTTACATGGCAGCAGACAAGACAGAATGAGAGAGAGGCAAAAGCAGAAACCCCTTATAAAATCATCAGATCTCATGAGACTTATTCACTGCCACAAGAACAGTATGGGGGAAGCTGCCCCCATGATTCAATATCTCCCACCAGGTCCCTACCACAACATGTGAGAATTATGGGAGCTACAATTAAAGATGGAATTTAGGTGGGAATACAGAGCCAGACCATATCATTCTGCCCCTGGTCCCTCCCAAATCTCATGTCCTCACGTTTCAAAACCAATCATGCCTTCCCAGCACTCCCCCAAAGTCTTAACTCATTTCAGCATTAACTCAAAAGACCACAGTCCAAAGTGTCATCAGAGACAAGGCAAGTCCCCTCTGCCTATGAGCCTGTAAAATCAAAAGCAAGTTAGTTACTTCCTAGATACAATGGAGGTACAGGCATTGGATAAATACACCCATTGCAAAAGAAAGAAATTGGTCAAAATGAACTAAAATCCCCATGCAAGTCTGAAATTCAGCAGGGCAGTCAAATCTTAAAGCTCCAAAATGACCTCCTTAGACTCCATGTCTCATATCCACAGCATGCTGATGCAACACGGGTTCCCATGGTCTTGGGCAGCTCCACCCCTGTGGCTTTGCAGGGTACAGCCTCCCTCCCAGATGCTTTCATGGGCTGGCATTGAGTGTCTGCAGCTTTTGCAGGTGCATGGTGCAAGCTGTCACTGGATCTACCATTCTGAGATCTGGAAGATGATGGCCCTCTTCTCACAGCTCCACTAGACAGCACCCCAGTGGGGACTTTGTGTGGGGGCTTCAACCCCACATTTCCTTTCTGAACTTCCCTAGCAGAGGTTCTCCATAAGGGCTCCACCCCTGCAGCAAACTTGCACCTGGACAGCCAGGTGTTTCCATACATCCTCTGAAACCTAGGTGGAGGTTCCCAAACCTCAATTCGTGACTCTGTGCACCCACAGGCTCAACATCTTGTGAAAGCTGCCAAGGCCTGGGGCTTGAATTCTCTGAAGCCGCAGCCCAACCTGTACCTTGGCCTCTTTTAGCCAAGGCTGGAGTGGCTGGGATGCAGGGCACCAAATCCCTAGGCTGCACACAGCAGGGGGGGCCCTAGGCCCAGCCCACGAAACCGTTTATTCCTCCTAGGCCTCTAGGCCTGTGATGGGAGGGGCTGCCACAAAGGTCTCTGACATGCCCTGGAGACATTTTCCGCATTGTCTTGGGGATTAACATTTGGCTTCTCCCATGCAAATTTCTGCAGCTGGCTTGAATTTCTCCTCAGAAAATGGGTTTTTCTTTTCTATCTCATCTTCAAGCTGTGAATTTCCAAACTTTTATGTGCTCTGTTTCCCTTTTAAAACTGAATGCTTTTAATAGTGCCCAAGTCACATCTCGAATGCTTTGCTGCTTAGAAATTTCTTCTGCCAGATACCCTAAATCATCTCCCTCAAGTTTGAAGCCCCTCTAGGGCAGGGGTAAAATGCTGCCAGTCTTTTTGCTGAAACATAGCAAGAGTCACCTTTACTCCAGTTCCCAAAAAGTTCCTCATCTCCATCTGAGACCACCTCAGCATGGATTTCATTGTCCATATCATTATCAGCATTTTGGTCAAAGCCATTCAACAAGTCTCTAGGAAATTAACTTTCCCACATTTTCCTGTCGTCTTCTGAGCCCTCCAAACTGTTTCAACCTCTGCCTGTTACCCAGTTCCAAAATTGCATCCACATTTTTGGGTATCTTTACAGCAGCACCCCACTCTACCAGTACCAATTTGCTGTACTAGTCCATTTTCATGCTGCTGATAAAGACATACCCAAGACTGGGTAATTTATAAAGAAAAAGAGGTTTAATGGATTCACAGTTCCACATGGCTGGGGAGGCCTCACAATCATGAAAGAAGGCAAAAGCATGACTTACATGGCAACAGACAAGAGAAAATGAGAGAGAAACAATAATGGAAACCCCTTATAAAACCATCGGATCTCATGAGACTTATTCACTACCATGAGAAAAGTATGGAGGAAGCCACCCCCATGATTCAATTATCTCCCACTGGGCCCCTCCCACAACACGTGAGAATTATGAGAGTTACAATTCAAGATGGGATTTGGGTGGGGACACAGAGCCAAACCATATCACCAGGTGAGTGCATTGGGAGAATGTCTCAGTTATCATACAAATGAAGGAGACCCCAGATTTGTATTTCCACTGTGATCTCTCTGTTACCAATGGCCAGCTGGGCATCTGCACTGGATGTCTCATGTTTTCAATTCTAGGTTTGCCCCACGAAACTTTCTCTAATCTGTCATGCCTATCCCAGTTGATAGTCCCTCCAAACAAGCTGTTGCAACAGCCAGAAACCTTCAAGTATCTTTGTCACTTAAACTTTCTAACCTTTTGTACCAAGTACCATTGACTTGGCCACTAACATTTGTCCTCTCTTAAGTATTCCACAGCCAGAGTCTTAGTTTGAGACCATCTCATGTTATTATCTGAATGATTGCAGATCAGCCTGTTGCCAGTCTCTTCTATCTCCAAACCATCCTCTATGACACTACACAAATGAATTTTCTAAAATGGCAAATCTCCTTGTGTTAGCCCTCTCATCAGGCCATTCACTGAGTCCTCTTTCCTATAGGACATACGTGAACTCCTCGTCAGATAATACAGTCTGGTTTCAATGAGCTCTTTAGACTAATCTCCAGTCACTTCTCTTGTGCAAACTGTATTCTAACAACACAAGCTGCACCCAGCTTGTCGAACAAGTCATTATGTTCTCAATCCACTTTCTTTGTCTTTTCTCCCCACTCAAAAAAAAAAAAAAAAAAAAAAAAAAAAAAACAGAAAACAGGAATACTTAAAATTTATTGAGTATAAGCTATGTGTCTTGCCTTTGTTACCCTTTTAATCTTCATAAAATCCCTGTAAGGTAAGCACTATCACTATTTTTTACAGATGAGGAAACTTGCTTCTCAAAGACATTCTTCCAATTTACTCACCCAGTAAAGCCCTTCTTATCCCTCAAGGTACAACTCACATTTTATCATCTAGTTCTATAGCATTCCAGTTAGAATTCAAAACATAATAGACATTCAACAAATGATTATTAAATTTAATAAAGACAAAGTAGCTGTAAAGCAACTTGACATTTGTTCTTGCATGAAATTAAGAGTGAATTTATCCACTGAAGTTTTGAGCAATGTAGAGTTTTCTCCCCTACACGTGATATTTGAAGAGTTTCTTATTTGGACTTGGCATTTGTGTCCACAGTACTATTCTAAAACAGCTAGTCATATTGCTTACATAACTACCTCAAGATCCAGAGACAATGGAATACTTTTTATGATCACCACCTTCTGAGAAGTAGGTCAGAAACACCATATTTTACAGTTTTTCCTCGAGTATAAAGATAACCATTACTTCCCATTGCCCCAAAATGTCCCTTGTGAAGAGGAAGAGCATGGCTAAACTGGCTTGTACTCCCAGCGTTACAGAAGCATGAGACTGGCTCTACCTTTTACCATTGCATACTTAAGCTTGGGCAAAGAAGACTCCTGGCCTTCTCTAGCCATCTTCCTTCTCACAAATCAAGACCTTTCTGGAGCCAAGGGTATATGCTCACCCTCAACCTGCTTCTCTCCCTCTAGACCAGGCTTCTTGTACCTGGACCCCAAAATTCTCTGCCAAAGTGTCCCTGAGCTCACTTCTAGAGCCAGAGAATGCCTCTTCCCTAGGCCCTGTCTCTTGAGAACAGAACACACCAATGACAAGAACATCCTTAGGCCCAGGGAATGGCCAATAGAGAGCCATTTGTGGGGATGCGAATGGGGATTGTAAATATGGGATAGAGTTTCCACACACATGCATGTGAGACCTCTCATTGTATAAGACAGACCTAGAGTGAGAAGAGAAGGCAGAGCCAGAATATGAACTGCAAGACAGGTTCTCCCTGCTGCTATGTTCAGAAGCAAAACTTGCAGAAGTCCAAGACCCCTGACCTTCCAAGTCATTATGAAGATATATTAGTCAAGGTAGGTGGATAGAAGGTATTTTATTAGCTTGAAGTATCACTTGTGAATATTTAGACAGCATAGCATGTGGGCACTCACTTGTAGCCTTGCACTGGGCTCCACCAATTTTAGAAGTGGGCCTGAACTTACACCTACAGAGAACTGTACTGGTAGAGCAGGTCTTTGGTGCACCCAACAGAGAAAGCAAGGAGAGGCAATATCAGGAGTCAGGCAGGCAAAGGGGGAAGAGTAGTGAGAGTTTCTGCACACACATGGCATATCCAGGAATTAGCTCTTAGATAAAACAGATGAGAAAAATAAATTCTGAGCGTAGAGCTAAGTTTTGAGCCTTAACTAGAGATGGCATGAGGAAGCAGCCATGCAGAGTCCTAAGAAAGAAGTCTGGGCCAGCATCCAGGAGAACACGCCAAGCAGGAAGAAATAGACAGGAAGCCAATTCCACACCAGGCATCATTTTCGGACTCTGGGAGTGCCACTCATGATGCTTACAATGTGAATGGTGCCCTGGGGTTAGTACAATGCTGCAGCAAGGCAGCAAGGCTAGCAACAATAATTCCATGTTTCTACAAATATAGGATGACCCTGCAAGTGACAGCAATGTCAGCTATTCCTCTTGTGCTTGTGTCACCTGAATATCAATGAACAGGGTCTGCAGTGTA
Source organism: Homo sapiens (assembly GCF_000001405.40). NCBI lineage: Eukaryota > Metazoa > Chordata > Mammalia > Primates > Hominidae > Homo > Homo sapiens. Next base: position 111,269,784 of record NC_000009.12, read on the forward strand.
AGATTCTAGCGATGGAAGTCTCCAGAGGTGGTGGGAGCTGTTGACTGGGCCCATGCTGAAATAACATTGCATCAACCACTTGTAAATGCCAAATTCCACAATGGTAGGAAGGCCAACTGAGTAAAAGCTGACTGGGTATTCTGTCTAGTCTGTTACATGTCCCAAGAGAAATGAAGCAGGGGACATCCTTTCTAAGTCATGCTCAAAATCAAGAAACACAGATAAGTCAATGCCCAGTTCTGTCTAAAGACAGAAAATTTTCCAGTCAGAATATATATGCTAACAAAAAAATCCTTGGACAATCTCTCAGGAATTCCAATGTATCACAGAATGTATGTTAGTGAAGCTAAGTGTAGTCAAAGGATTGATTCTGGAATCACAAATCCAGGTTCCTGATAGTAAGCAACAGAAACTAACAAAAGCTAGTGTAAGCAAAAATGATGATGATGATGATGATGATGATGATGATGATGATGATGATGATGGAATGCTTTGGAGGAGCTCTCTGAATTGAAGGGAAGTCTAGTAAATTAGTCTTGGAAAAGACAAACCCTATAAACACACCAAGGGATCTCATTTAGAAAAAATCTTAGGAAACTAGAAGGGTGGATAAGTTTCAATGATTCTCAGTACTTTTTTCTCTATATACAGGAGTCATATTTCAGAGAAAAAAAAGCATTCAACTGGCCTAGTCAAGACTATTCATATACGTAGTGTATAGGAATTAGGGAAAACAGGATACCTTGACTAACACTCCTACAAAACTGCATCAAATAGGGAAAGTAAAATTCCCCTCCAAAAGAAGGTGAAATGGACACAAGGCAGCCAAAAATTAGTAAAGGTCATTGCAGCTACTTATTACATTTGTGAATTTAGGTAAACCATTTACCCACTTGGATTTTCTGCTAAAATGTGACATCATAGGTCAGAGATCTTTGTCTCACTTTCTCATTGATGTATCCCAATTGCCTCAGGTGAAACCTGACACATGGAGGATGCTTCATGAATACTTGTTGAAAGAATGACTCTCTCCAAGACTCTTCCCACAGTTAAAATGGAGATGTCTTGTAGAGTCCACAAAATGTCTAGTACATTGCTATAACATAGTAGCTGCTCAAAAAATTCTGATTATAGTTACTGTTTTTATTAGGATAAATAGTACTAGAATAATTTGCTATAAACAACGTAGAAAAATTCCAGTGTTAATATATCCAAGTTACTCTATGGAATCCCAACACAAAACAAAAGTTATTCATTATGAATTCAATGAAGCCTGTTACCAAATCCTGGGACAAAGTAAATGATTTGACCGATGATGTAGTCATATGAACAGAAATGAAAAAGTGAATTTAAAAAGACTCGCATTGGTGCCACACTTAGACTACCAGACTCCCTGAAACTGCATGTCCTCAGGGAGTCTGGCAGTCTAAGAGTGGCACTAAGTGTCATTAGTGCCAGACCCAAAATATAATAACCTGATTATCTCTGGGCTTTCAATAATGATGTCATTCTTTTCTTTCATTCTTAGTTGATTTAATTTTCCTTACTACATAGCAGATATTCCAATAATTTTCATAAGTCTCTGCAAGACCCCATTTCCACCTAGACTCCAAATCATATTCCCCCTGCTTTTTCCTGGGCATTATTTCAGCAATCATCTCTTCTTTACTGGGTCTTCAATCCCCAACACACCCCCACCGTTTCAAGTTTCCCTTTTCTCAGACTACAAAACAGCTCACTATTCCCTTTCCTAAAACTACTTTTATGACATTTATTCTCCTTCAATTACTGTATCTTTTCTGCCTTTGCTTTCATTGACAATCTGCTTTGCAAGTTCTCTACACTCAGTCTCCTCTTCCCACTCACTCTTCAGCTCATTGAAACTGTCTCCTGCCCCCTCCACCCTTTTGAAGCTTTTGAGACAGAAGTAGGCCCTGCTGAGTGCTAGATCCAGGTCTGCTACTTCCATGGCCCCCACCCCAGTCCCCTCTTCAGTATCTGAGCATTCAATTCTAGTTGTATTTTCTGGCTTGTTCTCTCGGCAAATATACATTGAGTACCTATTAGTCACCATCCTGGGTACCAGAAATATAAAAGTGAATAAGATCTAAATGCAAAAATGATCTAAACGCAACAGTGATCTAAATGGAATGTGGTATCCTGGCTTGAATTCTAGAATAGTGAAAGGATATTTGTGGAAAATCTGGCGAAATCTGGATAAAGTCTGTAGTTTAATTAATAGCATTGTACTAATGTAACTTCTTAGTTTTAACAAATGTACCCTGGTTATGTAAAATGATAATGTTAGGGGATGCTGGGTGAAGGATATATGAGAATTTTCTATAATATCTTTGCAACTTTTCCATAAATCTAAAATTATTCCAAATTGTAAAAGTCTTAAAAATTGAGTAAGGTATGTTCCCTGCCATCAGTGAGCTCACAGTGATACACAATCTTGGGATAAATGAGGCAAATTGTGGGAGAAAAACTATGAACTACCGATTCTTCCATCGAAAATGAATGCAATCTGCCTTTTTTCCCCATCATGAGTTGTACAATTTTGTATGCATCTATGTACCACACTGTAAATATTTCATGAGGACAGGACAGAGGAGTATCTAAAGGTGAATTTTTTCACAGTTCTAAATAATACATTTTGAGGCTTTGGGAGGTCTCAGATTGATCGAAGCCAACCCTAGCTAAATCACTCCACTTTCTAAGACGTTGAATTTAAACATATTACTTACATACTTTCTTTGTTCTTTTCAAGGCAAATAGTTTAATGTTTGAGGGAGTAGTAGGCCAAATAGAGGTGATTTTTGTTGTTGTTGTTGTTGTTGTTGTTTAGCCTTCTTATTGTCTGGCTGCCAGGGTTCCTGGAAATGGGATTTTTAACGAGCTTTTTTTTTTTTCTGGAGAAGACTTTGATGTGGTTGAAAATTTATTCTCTCTCGAGCGTAGGCAGGGCACCAATTAACCCACACAGAGTGCCCTTGCTGTCCTCCCAGCTTGGAGTTTATTACACTTACCATGTAGTGTATAACACTATTATCCCATCTCCTTTGTGCTTCCCTCCTGTGGACTCAAAGCAATTTCTTAAGCAGCTTTCTGCTGTCTCTCTCCGTCTTTTAAATATCTCCATTTTGCTTTTTTCCATAAATAATCTTCTGATTGCAATGGGGCTGGAAGAGAGAGGAAAGGTGAAATAGGAGAGCTGCTTCTTCAACCAGCTGATTGAGCCAGGAATAATGGTGGTTTTAATCACTTCAAAATCCATTTATGCAGAACCTACAACATGATAGACATAAGGGTACAGAGATGAATAAATAAGAAATGGGACTAAGGACTTGCAATTTTATGGTGGAAAGTGTCACATACCTAAGTACAGAACAAGGCAGAGAGAAATGAAGGCTACAATTATTTCCCCGGTATTTTTTTAAGTGACAGTTACATTAAAGAATTGTTTTTGTACTACAATGACATTGCTCTTGGTTAAATGGAAATAAAGCAACTCTGTGACTCTAAGACCTTCAGTTTGATGGTCGGAAAAAGAACTAAGAAAGTTAAAGAAAAGTAATTTAAATATGAAAGTTGGAAGCATCAGGCCAAAATGTGCAGGGTCTCAAGTTGCCAGCATTCTGTTCTCCACTACTGCTCCAGTGGGCTGACTCAACATCTCTCTTCCTTCTCCATTTAGGGTTTCAGATTTTTCTTTTTAATAGAGACAAGGTCTTGCTTTGTCGCCCAGACTGGAGTGCAGTGGTGTGATCATAGCTCACTGCTGCTTACGCTCCGGAGCTCAACCTCCTGCCTCACGCTTCCCAGTAAATGGGACTACAGGTGCACACCAACAAGCCCAGCTAATTTTTTAGTTTTTTGTAGAGATGATGGTCTCACTATGCGGCCTAGGCTGGGCTGGCTTCAAGTGATCCTCCTGCCTCAGCCTCCCAAAGCATTGGGATTACAGGAATGAGCCACTATGCTTGGAGAGGAAATTAAAAAAAAATTTTTTTTCATTAAAAAGTTCAGTTCTGGCTGGGCACGGTGGCTGCTCACGCCTCTAATCCCAGCACTTTGGGAGGCCGAGGTGGGCAGATCACCCGAGGTCAGAACTTCGAGACCAGCCTTGCCAACATGGTAAGGCCCTGTCTCTACTAAAAATACAAAAATTAGCCAGGCTTGGTAACATGTGCCTGTAATCTCAGCTACTCAGGAGGCTGAGGCAGGAGAATCGTTTCAACCCAAGAGGCAGAGGTTGCAGTGAGCCAAGATCACGCCACTGCACTCCAGCCTGAGTGACAGAGCAAGACTCCATCTCAAAAAAAAAAAAAGTTCAGTTCTCCCTTTGGGAGGCCAAGGAGGGAGTATTGCTTGAGTTCAGAAGTTTGAGACCAGCCTAGGGAACATAGGAAGAACCCCATCTCTACAAAAAATTAAAAAGTAGCCAGTCATGGTGGCACACAACTGTTGTCCCAGCTACTCAGGAGGCTGAGATGGGAAGATGGTTTGAACCCAGGAGGTCAAGTCTGCAGTGAGCCATGATCATGCCACGGCACTCCAGCCTGGGTGACAGAGCGAGACCCTGTCTCAAAAAAAAAAAAATTTTATATATATATATATATATATATATATATATATATATATATATATATATAGTTAAAGAAGTTCAGACCTTCATGACATGGCAATACCTATCTGCAAGGGAGGCTAGTAGGTGGAGTCTGTAGCTGAGCAGTCACCTGGTCTTCTGCAATTCCTATCACTAATAGGAAGGTGGAGAGAATGGATACTTAGGGAGAATTGGCAATCTCTGCTGGGGGGGGCGGGGCCGAAGAATGAAGAGTGTTAATGCCCTGAATTGAAATTTTTTTGTTTGGTTTAGACTCTTTCCTGGTTTCTAAGCCTACATATTCAGATACATACAGGACATTTCCACTTGGATATCCAACAGGCACTTGAAACAGCATGCATGGTGATTGTCCTCTAGATTCCGTTAATCTCCCCTGATTCCTTTAATAATGGAACACCAGAATTTTCAATGGTACATAGCCGCCCAAGTGAAAACATTTTCTGGCCTCTCTTACATCTAGCTATGGTGTTTGGATTAAGATTGATCAACAAATGTGAGCAGAGTGAATGTAAGCAGAAATGATGAGCTCAGCCTCTGAATCACTCCCCCAAAGAAAAGGTGTGTGTGCAGTGTGTCCATGATGGCCAGGGCTGGAGCAATTATCCCAGATCTTGATATGAAAACCACATGTTGTGAATGACAGAAAAAAAGGGTAGAAGGAGCCTAGGTCTCCAAAAGTTTTGAGCTGCCTGAGCCACCTATTCTGACATTTAAAGAACTGAAAGATAAACTTTATCTTTCTTTAAGCAATTGTATTTGGAGGTGTCTATCATAACACCTCAACCAGGAACCCTAACTACCTCTCCAGTGCCTCTAAGTATATGACCACAAAAGTTTCTGAGTTTCCTGAGCCAGAACAAATAAGTCATCCCTGACTTCCTTTCTCTTCTTCATGTCCAATACCAAACATGCCCATTTCTGTCCATTTTACCTCCTAAATATTTTAGTCCATCTTTGTTCTAATCCTAACTAATAATGCCTGGGTCCTGCTTCTCTTGCTTGGACATGTTTATAGCTGCTCTTTCCACCTCTAGCCTTGTCTACCGTCAATCCATTCTTCCAAGGCACAAATAGAATCACACCTCCCTCTGTCTGAAATCCCTCAATGATTCCCCATTCTCTACAGGATCAAATCCAAGCTCTTTAGCAAGACACTCAAAGCTCTTCATGATGTGGCCCCTGTTCAGCCAGCTGATCTCTCATTATGGCCCCGACATACCACACTACTTTCTATATCAGCGCTTTTGCATATACTATTGCCTCTGCCTGAAAATCTCTGTACTTCCCTGTCTTCATTAAAAAAAAAAAAAGTTTTCTTCTTTAAAACCTAGCCAGATACTGGCTGCAATGTGCTGCTTTTTCATTTTGTGCATGATTGAATTGTTATATTTCTCACATTCAGCAATACATTGCTCCTTTATATCCTGTAAGTTCATTGAAAGCCCAGACTGGAGTGCAGTGGTGCGATCTCGGCTCACTGCCACCTCCGCCACCCAGGTTCAAGCAATCCTCCTGCCTCAGCCTCCCAAGTAGCTGGGATTACAGGTGCGTGTCACCATGCCTGGCTAATTTTTGTATTTTTAGTAGAGGCGGGGTTTCGCCATGTTGGCCATGCTGTTTTTTGTTTTGTTTTGTTTTGTTTTGTTTTGTTTTGTTTTGTTTGAGGCAGGTTATTACTCTGTCACCCAGGCTGGAGTACAACGGCGTGAACTCAGCTCCCTGCAACCTCTGCCTCCTGGGCTCCAGCGATCCTCCCACCTCAGCCTCCCGAGTAGTTGGGACCATAGGCACGCGGCACCATGCCCAGCTAATTTTTTGTGTTTTTAGTAGAGACAGGATCTCACTATGTTGCCCAGGCTGGTCTCAAACTCCTGAGCTCAAGTGATCTGCCCACCTCGGCCTCCCAAAGTGCTGGGATTACAGGCATGAGCCACCACACCTGGCCATGAATCTTATTCATTTCTGAATAGCAAGTTGTGAGATTCAATATGAAATAGATTGATAGATGAACGGATGAATGGAAGAATGGGTGAAAACACTAAATGAAAGAAGATTAGAAAACAGATTGAAAATACAGTGTACCACCAGACCTGGCAGTAGCAGCTATCTCAGGCTACCTTATGAGTAGCTTACTCTGAAACTCAGCTATCTAAAAGCAACCTTCAGCATCATCTAAAACGCATTTCCAGCTACCAACTGAACAGGGAACTTGGGACTATGTTCGTGCTTTCTCCTGAAAACAAAACAAAACAAAAAAAGGAACTTGGGAAACATAGATTACGAACGCAACTATGATTATTTTTTAAATTTCTAGAACGATTGCCTTGGTTATATTTTGTCTGTCTCCCTACAACAGGAAAACTCAAAGCTATAAGGACATATTTGCTTCCTTTCAGCACACACATAAAAAAGACAATAAGATCTGAAAATACAAAACCTCATGCTGAGGAAAATCTGAAGGCTATTCAACCCCAAAAGAGAAAGTAGGCAGCGGCAAGTAAGAATACAGGCTGAGTCCCTGGGGATTTGAAAGGACGATCAAAGGTCCCCTTAAGAAGCTCTTCTTGTCCTTAATCAAGAGTTCCCAGAGTTTTCTGAAGAGAGCTTTAAACACATTGAAGTCCACCTGCTCTTTTTGCAAATTCAGAATTGCAAATTAAACAGTTATCTAAGTTTATATAACTATCCAGTAGCAGAACTAAGACTATATTGTCAAAACACATAGAAACAAATGGACTCTGTGAAAACCATCCTGGAAATTACCAAACTAGTTCAGAAAAGAAAAAAAAAATGTGTAAGGATTTTACATAATAATATAGTCTATTCAAAGTTCACAATATGCAACACAGATATCCTTCAAAACCTTATGTCAAGGGTCAGGGGAGGACTGGTGGTTTCAGTGGAATAGCATTGGAACATGCTCAATCTAAATTCAGATGGGTTTGGGCATGACTGGATGTTTGATGGAATCGCCCATGCAGGGCTATTTACTAGAAAAGTGAGAAGCTTTTTTGCTAAAAACCCATCATAAGGAAAGGAAACATGTGGCATGCATGCTTAGGCGAAGCACACTGGTAAGGACCAGAAGGAAGGTGTCATTTTCAGTACAGCGTTGTGTTTGCAGCTCAGATTTTTCTCCAGCACGATCCCTTTCCCCTAAGGATCTGTGCTGGAGCCCTGTGGATATAAATTGTAAACAGAAAAGGACTGGATTTAGACATCTATGAGGACACTAAAACACAAGGCAGAATTGTTCTTTAAAGAATTTAGTCTGTATAATGAAGTGTGGGTCAAAGGAACCAGAGAGAGGGCAAAAGGTATTTTCTGTAAGCAGCAAGCTGGCTTTAGGGGTAGGGAAGGAGGACTCAAGGGAGAACATCTCTCACAGGACCTAGGGATTCAAGGACTTGAGAAATGAGCCAGACCAGCCTCCTCCCAGCATAGAGAAGGACCACTTAAAAAACATACTGTGTTCATAGCCTATAATCAATTTTTATGTTTTTCTTTTCTCTTTAAAAGTCTGTCATTCGCAATTTTTCACATGCTTTATAGTCTTCATGATTTTTCACCCACTTCACAATAGCCCATTAAATGACTATGCTGAGATTTGCTTAACCATCCCCCAAATTTAAGCATTTACGTTGCTTCAAATGTTGTAAAGAACATATATCTTCAATAGCCTTTCCCTGAATCAATGCATTCTAAATTCCTGGGAGGAGTTGGATATTGAGTCAAAGTCAATAAACAATTTTCATTCTCAATAAATATAATCAAATCAGCTTTCTATGATGATTTTTTTCCTTCAAAATGTGCTCTTACCAAAAATAATAAAAAAAATCATTTTCATTACTTTTTCTTCAAATTTGGGGTATTGTCATTTTAAGAATTTCAACTTCTATCTTACAATTTTTCTTCTTTTCTTTGTTATTTCATTAAGTGGGGAGTGGCATCTTATTGCTTCCTTTCCCTTGATTTCCAATGGAGATTTTTTTTTTCACATTTACTTAACTTCATTATCTTTTGAAATTATCTTATTTCCTTTGCTCCTTAAAATTCTGTTGAACTCTGCCCTCTAATAATTTTTCATAGGCTTTAGAAAACTCTAAATACAATCTTTAGACTTTGTGCCCAAGTACAAAAGGAATCATAGATGCAGATTATAAATGAATGTAAAATAATATCTATATAAACAATGCATAAAATAAGTTACAGTTTTTATAATTTTATACTATCTTGTTGGACAAAGGGGGTTGATTACTGATGTAATCAATTGTTGATGCTTACTAATATGATGTATATTTCTGAAAAGATGGCAAAAGATGTAAGAACCTAAAAAATATTATGTATAGATTTTATACGAATGTATACACATAAAAGTACAACTCATGAATAAAAAACACATGTCCTCATAATAATAGTTACCATTAAAGAGTAGCTGCTAGGTGCCTGGAACTTTATTTAACAAATTTTTCTTTTTTTTTTTTTGTGAGACAGAGTCTTGCTCAGTCACCCAGGCTGAAGTGCAGTGACACTATCTCGGCTCACTGCAGCCTCAACCTCCTGGACTCAGGTAATTCTCCCACCTCAGTCTCCCAACTAGTCAGGACTGTAGGGACGTGCCACCATGCCCAGCTATTTTTTTTTTTAATATCTTTTGCAGAGAAAGCATTTTGCCCTGTAGCCCAGGCTGGTCTCAAAGTCCTGGGCTCAAGCGATCCTTTTGTCTCAGCTTCCCAAAGTGTTGGGATTACAGGTGTGAGTCACTGCACCTGGCCACAGATTTCTTATTCTTATAACAAGGTCGATTTTATGAATAAGGAAACTGAGGTTCAAGGTCACACTTGCTAGCAAATGCTACAGCAACAATTCAAACCCTGATCAGTATGATTTCAAAGTCATAAGCTTCCCATGATGCTCTTCTTCACCACTGAGTTGCAAGGTAAGTCATACAAAAGAGTTAAAAGGCCATAAAACTCCTATTTCCTGCTCAAGTCTTTTATTCAGAATTTACGTTCTGTGATGTGTAATTTTATGGCTTTTTTTTTTAAAAAAAAAAAAAGAATTCTATGCTAGCTTGGGAACACATGCAGTCAAATGAGATTCTAATTAGACAAATACCACAGAAATACTAAGACCCCAAAATTGTACATTTTGTTTCTACCTATCAAAGTATGCCCTAGATATTTTTGTTTCATTCAAAACAAGTAGAAATTCCCCTTTCAGATAAATAACACCGACCAGAGACTGTTAGGATGTGCTCTTTCTCCCAAGTGAGAGAGAGAAAAATCTGCCTAAAGCCTTCTAGGATTCACCATGTTTGCATAATACCATGACCTCTGTTATCTAAATATTGACATTTTACCCTTTTATGGGATTTTTACATATTCTAGATTGAATGTAATAATTAAAAACATAAACATCCTTTACAATTGGAAAGTGATTTCTCTGCTTTCCAGTTTTAAGGAAAATCTCATAGAATTAATATTATGCAACAGATAGTTCCTGCTTTAGTAGCTTAGGATATAAAACAAAGTCACTTATTTTTGAATCCTTCATCTCTCTTTAAAGCATGCCTTTTATTCTTCCTCCTTCAACACACCACTATCACATCCAAGATAAGTCCACCAACCCCAAGAATTGACTGTTCAATTCAAAGCTTCATTCCTGGTTACAAATGCCTTTTAGAGAGAGAAAAAAAAAATAACTTTTATTTTAGGTTCAGGGGTACATGTGCAAGTTTGTTATATAAATAAACTCATGTCACAGAGGTTTTTTGTACAGATTATTTTGTCACCCAGATGCTAAGCCTAGTACCCAATAGTTATTTTTTCTGATCCTCTCCCTCCTCCCACCCTCCACCCTCAAGGTGGCCCCAGCGCCTGTTGTTCCCGTCTTTGTGTCCATGTGTTGTCATCATTTAGCTCCCACTTATAAGTAAGAACATGCAGTATTTGATTTTCTGTTCCTGTGTTAGTTTGCTAAGGATAATGGCCAAAGGAACAAAACAGAAAGCCCAGAAATAAGGACATACATCTACAACCATCTGATCTTTGACAAAGCTGATAAAAACAAGCAATGAGGAAAGGACTCCCTATTCAATAAATGGTACTGGGATAACTGGCTAGCCATATGCAGAAGATTGGACCTCTTCCTTACCCCATATACGAAAATCAACTCAAGATGGATTAAAGACTTAAATGTATAACCCAAAACTATAAAAACCCTGGAAGACAATCCAGGCAATACCATTCTGGACATAGGAACAGGCAAAGAGTTCATGACAAAGATGCCAAAAGTAATTGCAACAAAAGCAAAAATTGACAAATGGGATTTAATCAAACAAAAGAGCTTCTGCACAGCAAAAGAAACAGAGAAAACAGACAACCTACAGAATGGGAGAAAATATTTGCAAACTATGCATCTGATAAAGGTCTAGTATCCAGCATCTATCAGGAATTTAAACAAATTTATAAGAAAAAAACAAGCAACCCCATTAAAAAGTGGACAAAGGACACAAAACAGACACTTCCAAAGAAGATATAGATGTGGCCAACAAGCATATGAAAAAAAGCTCAATATCACTCATCATTAGAGAAATGCAAATCAAAACCACAAGGAGATACCATCTCACACCAGCCAGAATGGCTATTATTAACAAGTCAAAAAATAACAAATGCTGACAAGGTTGTGGAGAAAAGAGAACACTTATGCACCATTGGTGGGAGCGTAAATCAATTCAACCATTATGGAAAGCAGTGTGGTGATTCCTCAAAGAGCTAGAAACAGAACTACCATTCGATCCAGCAATCCCATTACTGGATGTATAAAAGGAAAAGAAATTGTTATATCATAAAGATGCATGTATGCATATGTTCATTGTGTCACTATTCACAATAGCAAAGACGTGGAATTAACCTAAATGTCCATCAAAGGTAGACTGGATAAAGAAAATGTGGTACATATACACCATGAAATACTAGGCAGCCATAAAAAAGAGTGAGATCATGTCCTTTGCAGGAACATGGACGGAGCCAGAGAGAAAATTTTGTCTACCAGATGGCCCCATACCCTACTGCCTCTCGGGCTGACACTGCCACATAAGGTCACTAGTGAAGCCCAGGTGGTTCGGTAACTTAGGTATGATCCAGCTTTTTTTCCTGATAAATTTATGGCAAAATGGGCCCACACTTCTATCAAAATCTTGCAACCCATCAGCATTTTTTTTTTTAAGACAGAGTCACACTCTGTTGCCCAAGCTGGAGTACAGTGGCTCAATCTCGGCTCACTGCAACCTCCGCCTCCCAGGTTCAAGTGAGCCTACTGCCTCAGCACCCCCTAGTAGCTGGGATTACAGGCACATGCCACCATGCCTGGCTAATTTTTGTATTTTTAGTAGAGACGAGGTTTCGCTATGTTGGCCGGGCTGGTCTGGAACTCCTGACCTCAGGTGATCTACACGTCTCGGCCTCCCAAAGTGCTGGGATTACAGACATGAGCCACTGCGCCCAGCCAACCCATTAGTTTTGTGATAACTGTGCTCCACTTCCAGGCATAGACCCCTTAGTTCAGGCTTTTCTACCAATGGCAACAGATGTCATCTGAAGTTTATTCACCCAAGTAGTACAGAACCCAAGGCTAAAAGATAAGCAATACGTGTAGGCAGATTGTGAGTACCTGGACATCATTAACCAATAATTTACCACTTGTGCAACTGTTGACTTTATTGGGCAAAAAATAAAAGAGGAAACACAGCCACATGCTTGGATGTGGTCCATATCATTTGGGTTCACAGATTCTTAGAACTCTCAACCAATAGCTCAGACTCAACCCTGTGCCTTACTTATTTTGACCTTATACGCACCTGCAAGCATCATTTTCCCCAGGAAACACTCAGCACAAGGATGACTGGATTCAAGGAAGTTTCAGATCTCAGCACCTACTATCTAGGATTTATTCATTCTCTCTCTCTCTCTCTCCCTCTGTCTCTCTCTCTTTCCCTCCCTCCCCTCTCCCCCATAGAGCCTGCAATCAGAATATATAATTTCTTCTCACTCTCCAGATCTACCCCCTCTTTCTAGCTTCTGTATGGCTTTTTTTTCATGAAGTATCCAAACATGTTAAAATTGAAAAAGTTTCTTTCAGAATCTGTTTTATATCAAATGAAATTAATTGTGATGAATTGTAAATACGGCAATGAGCAGATAAATTCTTATTGTCCTTAAGTCCATCCTGAGAATAGGTCCAAGAGTTTAAGATGTGATGAGACAAAACATGCTTTCAGACATGAGAATTTCAAAACTGTACAAGAAGATAATAAAAACTGTGAATGTATATTAAAGTTATATACTTTAACCACGGCAATATACATATACTCCGGCCCACTGTTCATGGTAAGAACTTGAATGAGCATTATCAGAGCTCTTCAAGGAATTGTCCCTCACATTAAAAAAAAAAATGCTGTCTCCATAACAAGAAATAAAAATTAGTACCGCCAAAAAGAGGACTTGGAACAGATGTAAGCTCTAGAAAGTTCAGAAAGTGACTACCAAGGGACATTGATTTTTTATTTTTAAAAAATGCACAAGCGTCAGAAATGTTTGGCAACATATGAATGAAAATCAGCCTGCATAACTTTAATTGGGTACTGGAAATTTTTCCATGTGTTGCCAACAAAAACAGATGGAGAGTATCATTTCAAAGAAAGAGGTAATGAAACTTCCCTTGAAGGAATTGCTTAAGAAAAATGGTAACACTTGATGGCAGAGTAAGCTTTAAGAGCACACATCATGTGACATGTAAACAGAAGAAACACAAAAGCAAAGACATAGAGTAAACTAGCTCACTTCATTCCTAATGCATATCAATCTGTTACCTGGGAGCACCAGCTCCTCACCTAGCCACCATCTGGTCATCAGGTATCTCATGACATTACCATTTAGAAGGAGAGAATGACCTGGCCATCTGCCTTATCTGAGGTCTATTCACCCAAGTGATGGAGAATCCCAAATAAAAGGTAAGCAACACGTGTAGGCAGATTGTGAGAATCTGGACATCACGAACCTAATAATTTGCCTGGCCAGGTGCAGATCCCAGCACTTTGGGAGGCCAAGGTGGGTGGATCACCTGAGGTCAGGAGTTCAAGACCAGCCTGACCAACATGGTGAAACCCATTCTCTACTAAAATACACACACACACACACACACACACACACACACACAAATTAGCCAGGTGTGGTGGTGGGCACCTGTAATCCCAGCTACTCAAGAGGCGAGGCTGGGAGAATTGCTTGAACCCAGTAGGTGGAGGGTGCAGTGAGCCGAGATCATGCCACTGCACTCCAGCCTGGGTGACAGAGTGAGACTCCATCTCAAAAAAAAAAAAAAAAAAAACCCACTGGATTTATTAAAATAAAACTCCAATGGCAAGAAGATTCTTATGACTCATGGGTAAGGGGAATTTTCTCATTCCAGTAAACGAATTTCTGAAACATATCCACAGCTGTTGTAGAGCCATAATTAAGACTGGAAATTAGGGAGTTCAATTTGAGATGATAACCTATCATTAATCATTCAAAATAAATAAATACTCCAAACAAAACACATCTTTGTGTGGCATTTTAGAATAGGTAGGATAACAAATGTTACTGACTCCCTATCATCTTGACCAACAACTCAAAGAATTCAATCACTCTTTCCCACATCGATGCCCCGTTTCATGTGGTTTTCCCTTGTCCACTGTCAGCAATATCGCTGATTCTATTCCTCCATTTTATCCTTAATCTGCTAGCGTCACTTCCAACACTGAAAGCCATTTGATCAATCTGTGTTTGTTCCATTATTGAACAGTTGAAAACTCATTCTAACTCTAGGCCATCAAACTGGGAAAACTAGCTCTAACCTGGTTTTGCTTCTACCTGCCTATATGGCCTTGAGTGAGTTACAACACTTCCTGGGTTGTCAATTTTGTCGTTGTTAAAGTAAAGGGTAGGACTAGATAACTCTAAGACCCCCGTCCAGTGATCACATTCTTATTCTAAATCTCATAGCAGTATTAAAGTGTTTCCAGCTCTTAAAGCACTTTCACCACATGCATCATTGAATTTGGCCCTTATACAGCCCTATCGGGTTGGTAAGGTGGGAATTACTAGCCTCATTGTAGAATGAGGAAGATGGGGCTCAGCATTAAATAAGCTTACTGTACCACACCTCTTCTCGGTAGCAGGTCTTCTGAGTCCTCCATGCCTTTTCCACTTCACTCTTCCATAACAGACAGGTAAGATGAATGGAAGCTCACAATGGGCAGGCTTGATGGACGAGGACAGCCAGGGCTGTGGCTAACGACTGAGTTTTGTTGGCTGTCTGCCTTCAGCTGGCCTTTTTCTTGATGAATGTCTGAATGAGGTGCACTGGTAGAATTCTGAGGAGGCACAAGGAAGGGGATGAGGAGCTTCAGGCAAATGGTGGGAAAGAGAAAGTGAAAAGGGAAGAAATAGAGCAGCTGCTATGTGGAGTGAAACTAACTTTACGGAAGAAAGATGCTTACAGAGGACTTTTAGGGAGTTTTGTTCTAACGTATGCACTGAAACCCTTCCCCCATCTTCACAAGAAAACAATAGTAAGGATCATCATTTTTTAAATGTTTTTGAGTTAGACTTTTGTATTTTGCATTGATTTTTAGATGTATGGATTTCTCCGATGAGTTCCAACATTTGGGTTATAATAAAAAGAAAAACACATTTACACTATTACCATTACCAACGAGCCAAAATTAGGCAAAGCAAAAAGTACATACTCCCCCTGCTCCCTCTCTTAACCCCCGCCCCGCCAAACACACACTTACTGAAAGGATTTGTGAGTCATTATTGTGACCTAACAAATGTAATGCTTTTCTCATATTTTTACTGTAGAAACAGCAAATTACAGACCCATTGACTGGCCAGTATACCTGGGAGACACTGTTCGGTATAGATTGTGATAGATCAAATAGGAAGATATAAAAATGCCCTTCCATCTGACCCCAACTGAGTGCTGAACCTGCAGGTGCAGGTGCTGAAACTGGTCCCCATTATCTGAATGTTAAGGATTCATCTGGAATGTGAGAAAGCTCCAATGTCCTAAAAACAAATCTGCAGCATAAAACTAAGGAGAGGATTTGAATTTTCTGACCTAAATAAGTCTCCTTCAATCCCAAAATGTCTCCCAAAAGACAATATTTCCCAATCTGAGAAATTTGAGATTGTGGAGGGCTGCAAGTTGTCTGCAAATCAATATGGTATACACATTCTTTTCAACTAATAGGTACCTAAAATACAACACCTTTCCTACTGAGGTGGGAATAAAAAAATGACATTCCAAACTTGAAAAGCTTGTAAATTTACTGGCATATGAAGAAACACAGTTAAGTCTCGCTTAGTGTCATGTCAAAGTAAAGAAACTTTTTTGTACTTCATAGTTTTAATCTGTTTTCCAAGTCCACTCATAAAATTTGCCATGTGCAAGGAACAACATAGTATTCAGCTAATTTGTTTGGCGGATGAATAAACTTTACTATTTCACCTTGGGAAATCATTTTTTTAAAAAAGCACATTCAAAGGAATATGCTTTTAACTTCTGTAATACAATGGAAGCAAAGCAGAATATCACAAACTTCTTACTCAATATGGTAGAATTGTTACGTACAGAACATACAAATTCCGTACAATATAGTTACAGTGAAACTCAGAAGGTCTGTTTCTTTGGATCCACACCGAAGGAGACGGAAACTTAAACTTTCTCAGTTCCTATTGCTTTTTTTTTTTTTTTTTTTTTTTTTAGAGACAGGGCATGGCTCTGTCGCCCAGGCTGGAGTGCAGTGGCTTGATCATAGCTCACTACAGCCTCAGACTCCAGGGCTCAAGCAGTCCTCTCCTCTCAGCCTCCCAAGTAGCGAAGACTACAGACATGCGCCACCATACCAAGCTAATATTTTTATTTTTATGTAGAGATAGGATCTACCTAGCTGATAGGATCAGCTGGTGGCGGCGGGCGTCTGTAGTCCCAGCTACTCGGGAAGCTGAAGCAGGAGAATGGCGTGAACCCGGGAGGCAGAGCTTGCAACGAGCCGAGATCCCGCCACCACACTCCAGCCTGGGAGACAGAGCGAGACTCCATCTCAAAAAAGAGGAAAAAAAAAAAAAAGAGAGAGAGAAGAGATAAATAAACTGAAGCTCTGAAGGTTAAGTAAAATGTGTAAGGTCATTGAACTATTACATAATTGAGTGTTATTTACACGTGAGTTTCTCTGGTGATTAGTCTCCCGTGCTTTTTCACTAGACTACAATGCCACCTTTTACTCGATCACAATGACTGGTTAGCAAGATGAGCTATATGTTCAACAAGGTACAAATATGTGCACAATTTATGTCTTAGGTTTACCTCATTTTCCTTTGCTCTGATTTAGTAGGTCTGTGGTGAGGCCCACAAATCTGTTTTTAACACTTTCCCCAGGTGATTCTTAGGTGCAGCCACAGTTTAAGCACCTTGTTCTAGGTGGTGCCGTATCAAGGACAGTGATACTGTTTCGTCTATGCCAATGTGGCTTGCTGAAGGGTGTAAAACCAGTCCTGCTGAGCAGATCCCTCTGAACAGCTGAGCCACCTTTCAAGACAGTAGCAGGATTCTCACCTGAGATAGAGGATTTCTCCACATGGGGCAGCCTCACTTTTCTCCTAATGATACAGCCTGAGGAACAGAGGGTCTGACCTCTTGTCTGGCCTTCCTAGCCTTCCTAGCGCACATTCAGTAGAGAAATCAACTCTCTCAAAGATGGATCTCCAGGCCTTTTGATGATCTTTCTCCCTCTGCCTCAAATGCTTCAGGCTGGAAGCACTGGAATGCATTGGAAGCATTGGAATGCATTCACACAGGGGCCAGCGTCCTTCTGGCAAAGGTTCTGCTAAGCTTCAAGGCAACCTTGAGTCACTCCTTTGAGGTGGCTCAATCATTTCCTGCCACTTAGCCATGACATATCTCAAAGTTCATCAACTATCTACAGATAAAGTGTCCATATAGATATATAGATATATACACACATATATTTATATATATATACACACATACATATGTATACATATATATACACACACATATTCTAAGATCATTGTGTGAGACTATTCCTTTTAAAAAAAAATTTAATCAATTCTTTGGCCAGCCACTGTGGCTCACTCCTGTAATCCCAGCACTTTGGGAGGCCAGGGTGGGAAGATTTCTTGAGGCCAGGAGTTTGAGACCAACCTGGGAAACATGGTGAGACCTCTGTCTCTACAGAAATTTTAAAAGTTAGCTGGGTATAGAAGCACATGCCTGTAATCCCAGCTACTCAGGAGGCTGAGGTAGGAAGATCTCTTGAGCCCGGGTGTTCAAGGTTACAGTGAGCTATGATCACACCACTGCACTCCATCCTGGGCAACAGACTGAGACCCTGTCTCAAAAAAAAAAAAAAAAAAAAAAATTAAATTAATTCTTTGCATAGAAAAGGAAGGCTTTTAAGCAAAAGAGTGCTTTTGTAAGATAACATGTGATTACCCGTAAGATAACAGATGAAGTAATGAGGAAGGAGAACACAGAGGAGAGGGAAGAGAAGCAGTGTGTGCTTTTTACTCCCAAACATAAACTGATCCCAGCAGAAGCCAATGATAAGAGCCAAACAGAAAATTATCATGCTCCCAGAACTACACCCCCATCTCCACCTTCTACCGTGTGTCCAAACCCTACACTAATGTTCATTCTAGTTCCTTACTCAAATTTTATCTTATATTTTTGATCCACTCAATTCCTATCACATAAACACACTTATGAAAATGTGTGTGAGGTGGGGCATGGTGGCTCACACCTGTAATCCCAGCACTTTGGGAGGCCAAGGCAGGTGAATCACCTGAGGTCAGGAGTTCAAGGCCAGTCTGGACAACATGGTGAAACCCTGTCTCTATTAAAAATACAAAAATTAGCCAGGTATGGTGGCGCATGCCTGTAATCTCAGCTACTCAGGAGGCTCAGGCAGGAGAATTGCTTGAACCCAGGAGGCAGAGGTTGCAGTGAGCTGAGATCACGCCACTGCACTCCAACCTGGGTGACAGAGTGAGACTCTGTCTCAAAAAAAAAAAAAAAGTGTGATATGAAAATCTCCTTTCTTAGTGGAACTGAATGTTCCTTAAGTTTAGTCTTTCATCTTGAGACATCAATCCCACTGCTGTCCACAATGTTTCGGCCATGGACATTCTCAAGTCCTATGCCCTGCTTCCAGTCAATCAGTGCCCTTGGATTGCCTTTGCAGAAACTATCAAATCCTGGAGCATTCATTGGAACAGTTGTATTTTAGATGCTGTCACAAGGGAGTAAGTAGAAACCAAAGGAGCTGAAACTTCTTCAACCTCTAAGCTGACTCACTCTTTATTTCAGAGTTCAGATACAAGTCATATTTATTTCGCTTTAGCTAAGCACATCTTCATGGTAGCTGGCTCATTTTTGTTCAAGTAATTTACATCCATTTCCTCTTATTAAGTCATTTGCCCCTCCTTTAAGTCCTTTTAGGCAGTTAGTAGTCCATTGTTTTCTCTTGGGACCTATTTCCTTCAGCTTTTATACTTTTTGGTACTCTAATATCCTGAAACAGCAAAGTTTCCAAAGTGACTAACTTAACCTAAGATGTTACTCATACATCAGAGGAATCGTTTTCAGAAATGTCTTAAACAGCTTTCTCCTTTCTTCAAATAAATTTTAATGCAGAGGCTTGATATATAAAACAGGTAAGTGTGGAGTGCCTCAGTTTTCAGGATAAGAGAACTCGGATGGGTAGGCTTGTGCTCATTCTTGTCCCCCGAGGCTGCCCAGAAGGACCTTTCCAGAAATCTAGGTACCTGTAGAGCACATTTTAATAACACTTGTGCTAACAGAATCTGAATTATTTAAATACTATATGTGTGCAGATAGATAGATAGATGATAGATAGATAGATAATAGATAGATAGATAAACTTCTACCCTGATTTGTAGACCATGCCATGCCTGGAGAGATCTAAATATTCACAATGAAATGAACAACAAATAAATCTATATAGAATCAATGAAAAGATACTGCAATAAAGAAGGAAGCCAAATATAAGGCATGAAAACTCAGGAGAAAAGTAGACTCTAAAAAATAATGAGATGACTTCCAGAAGAATCAGAAGAAAATTATGGTACAGTTTCCTAGTGTTCCCAGAGTTATAAGAAGACATGACCTTTGTAAAACAAAAACTCCAAGTTTTAATGGGGAATATAGTTAAATGAAGAAAGAGATGCAGAAGGAACTAGCTGAAATGAGAAAAACAAGTACAAAAAATCTAATATATTATAATAAAATTAAAATCTCCATTGAAGAAGGTAATGAGCAGAAGTGACATTGAATAAAACTGGAACAATAATATTGAAGACAAACTTGAGAATCTATCACTGCACAGAGAGAAAATAACAACAAAAATTAAATACTGACAGGAAAAATGATATTTTTCAAAAACAGGGAAGTCAGAAATATTAGGACCCAAAAACAAAATGAACAAAAAACATAAAAGAAAGAAAAAAAATTTTCTGGAATTAAAAAAATAGAAATCCTGAGTCTATTCAAAAACAGGGTTCAGGATGTTCCGGGAAAAATTATTGAACTAGAACCCATTCCAACACAAAAGGCAAACTATTTTAATGATGTGGATAAAGAAAAATACTATAGAGTATAAGAAGAAGAAAAGTTTATCTAGAAATGGAAAAAATTCAAGCTTCATCACATGTGTAAATTCAAGAAGAAAATGGAGGTGTGTCTGCCAGATTTTGAGGGGAAAAACATAGTGAACTAAAATTCTGAACTTTGTCAACTTTCTTTCACAAACAAAAGCAACAGAAAAAACTTCTCATGCAAAGATACAGCAAGAATTCCACAAATGCACCTTTGACAGAAATGTCTTCAATTACATTCTAAAGCTAAAGTAGTTGAAAGAGGATTCAAGAAGTCAAAAGTCAAAATATAAAAGCACTAGTGTCAGTACAGACAAGATAACATAACAATATACACAGAAAATAACTACAAAACCTGTTGCAAATAAAATTTTAAAATTTCACTCAAAGCAAACATAAGACTGCCATTTATGGTATCATAATGGACTAAAGACCATGATTGACCCTCCTGGTGAAAATGACTAAAAAATGCTAGATTAAATATATATTTTTAATAACTCTTTTTCTTGAGATGAGATCGCACTCTGTTGCCCAGGCTGGACTGCAGTGTGACGCGATCATGGCTCCCTACAACCTCGGTCTGCCAGGCTCAAGTTATCTTCCCATCTCAGCCTCTGGAATAGCTGGGACCAGGTATGCACCACCACACCCAGCTAATTTTTGCATTTTTTGTAGAGATGCGCTTTCGCCATGGTACCCAGGATGGTCTTGAACTCCTGAACTCAAGTGATCCACCTGCCTTGGCCTCCTAAAGTGCTAGGCATGAGCCACCATGCCCGGCCTTAAATATATATATAGTTTTTAAACTTTTTTTATTTGTTAATTAGCTTGATTTAATCATTCCATAGTGTAAATATGGATCAAAACACATCCTGTATCCCATAAATATACAATATATATGATTATTATTTTTCAATTAAAAATAAAATTTAAGAAAGAAAGTACATTACCTGTGGAGAACAAATGCTATATATCTGTTAATGCAGGGCTGGAATTTAAATTATTTAAAGCTTCATGTCCTTATTTTTGTCTACTTAGCCTGTCAGAGATTGAGAATACTGTATTACGGCTTCCACTATAATTGCCTCTGACATTGTTCTTTTGCAAAAGGTTTTATTGTATACATTTATTTGCCTATTTTATATATTTCTTAGTTGCTATATATTCAGTATGGGGATGCTTCATTATAAAATATTTCTCTTTTACCATAGTCATTGTCTTTTTAAATACTCAATAAGCTGATAAGAAAATAGACAACCTTTGGACAATAAAAACTGAAGAGAACAAAAAAATACCTAGAGGAATAAGTGGAGAACTAAACCTGGCTTTGTTTTGAGGCATTTTCTGAATCCAAGTGACCTTAGGCTTCTGTTTTCACAGGCTCATGGGTTGCAGAGGACAGAAGACGAAGCTCACCTGTGATGCACAGTCTCATGGAAAACTGGCCAAATAACAAGTGGGTTCCCAAAGAACTACTTGTACATCAGTGTAAGATGAATAGAATCAAACACCTCACACACCAAGGGCATAATAGAGAAAATTGCCTGTTTGAAACCTTGGATGGGGTAAAGAAGGTATGCAAATTCATTCCAAAGCTAACCCCCTCAGGAGCCTCAAATTTTCTCTATCTAGATGATCCAACAAACCTGAGAACTTAATTTAAAGTTATCCCCCTGGGTTTTCAGTGTCCCTAGTCTCATGGAAGAAGCAAATGTAAATATTTTTTCAATGAACCAACCCTCAACAAAAGCCTCAAAGAATTCCTACCAAAGATATTCCAAGGACCATGAGCAGCTTACAGTCAAAAATTACAAAATACACAAGGAAAGAAGCTACCATCTGAGAAAGCCTGCAATAATAACAGACAACAAAATCAGTCTTGCAAAGAGTTCAGATATTGGAATTATTGGTAATAGAATATTTTTTAAATATGTTGATTTAAAATATATTCAAAGAAATGAAATGTTTTAAATATGATTAAAGAGCAAGGGATTATAAGAGTAAGCAGATTTGAAAAAGAACCAAACTGTGCTCCCAGTATCAAAATATAAAATAAAATCATTGAAATGAAACAAATTCCATGAAGCAGTTGAACCAGACGATTAGACACAGATAAAAGTATTAGCAAAAAGTTAGTTATACAGAATTAATTTAGTATGCTCCTTAGAGAGACAAAAAGATGGAAAACAATAAAAAGGAGGTTAAGATATAGAAGATAAAGTGTAATATACATGTAAATGGAGTTTCATAAAAAGGGAGAAATAGAATGGAGAAGAGGTAATACCTAAAGAGATAATGATGAGTAATTTCCTAGAATTTATAGAAGAAATCAATAGCGAATCCAAGCAGGATACATAATAATAAACACATAGCTAAATTCATCATAATAAAATATCAGGATATTACAAACCAGGAGATTTTTCAAACAGGAACTAGAGTGGAAAGAAAAATTAATGCCAAAGGAGTAACAACATTAACTGACATCTTAACAGCAAAAATGGAAGCCAGGCAGTAAAATAATATTCTCAATATGATAAGAGGAAATAACTCAACCTAGCACAGTAGATCCAGTGGAAAAACATTTCAAGAGCAAGTACAAAATAGACATTTTCAGACAAAACAAAACTTCATAATTTGCCATCATTAAAGAAAATTCTAAAACAGAATTGTCCAATAGAAATATAACATGAGCAATATGTAAATTGAATGTTCTAGTATCCACATTTTTAAAGCAAAAAAAAGGTAAAATTAATTTTAATAAGTCTGTTTAATCCAATATATCCAAAATATTATCATTTCAAAATGTAATCGATATAAGAATCATTAGTGAGATATTTTGGGTTTGGTACTTCCTTTGAAACCCAGTGCGTACTTTATACTTACAGCAAATCTCAATTCAGACTAGTAATAACTCAAGCGCTCAATATTCACATGACTAGTGATCACTGTATTGGTCAGCACCGTGTTAAAAGATACACTTTAGATAGAAGGAAAGTGATTCCAGATGGAAGGGCTGACGCGCAACAAGGGAGGTTGAGGAAAGCAAGTGGTAAATATGTGGGTAAATCCAACGTTCTAAAACAACATTGACTATATATATATAACAATAATACTTGGGCCAGGCGTAGTGGCTCACACCTGTAATCTGAGCACTTTGGAAGGCTGAGGCAGGCAGATCGCTTGAGGTCAAGTCCAACCTGGCCAACATGGTGAAACCCCATTTCTACTAAAAATACAAAAATTAGCTGGGTATGTTGGTGCATGCCTGTAGTTTCGGCTACTTGGGAGGCTGAGGCACGAGAATCGCTTGAACCCAGGAAGTGGAGGTTGCAGTGAGCCGAGATCACGCCACTGCGCTCCAGGATGGGCTACAGAGACAGACTTGTCTAATAAAATAAAATAAAATAAAATAATAATATTTGTATTCTAAACCAGAAGTTAGGGAAAGGTCTGATCAGGTTCTGTTTAAATAGTTTTGGGCAAGAACGCTTCATGAACATGTATATTTCATATTGCCTGACATTAGGAGGTATGCAACATCTAGTCAATGACAACAGGACTGGATCAAAGTGAAACAGACCAATCACAAAGTTATATTTTTCCTGCTTTTTACCAAAAGTCAATCTGTGGGGTGAAACCTTGGCAAAAGATACAAATACAAAGTCCCTGAGACAGAAGCATGTGTGGTGTATTTGAGAAATAGTGAGGAGTAAGATTTCCTGTAGTGTAGACGAAGTGAATATCTGATCAGAATCATTTACCCAACAATTTTTTTAATATAAAATGTATTAGAATCACTAAATACATTATTTTTAATTACTGAAAAGAATTTCTTCAGAATTATTACCCAAATACCTTTGCAGCAAACTACTACTGGTACTAGACCCAGATCCCCCTGAAGCCCTTCTGCCATTTCTTTGTACCCACTTCAACACACCTCGAGCTTTTCTGGGCTTCTACTTCCATGGGCCTGCACCTATGACCATCTTCAGAAGACTGCCCTCAGCCACGGATGCCACTTGGCCTGCCTGTACAGTGAGCTGCAAAGATCTGAGAGTTTAAGACTCCTAAGTGTCCTTTCGATAATGTCTGACTTATGAAGGTCCAGCTCCCTTGCCTCAAACTGGGACAAGTTCTGAGCTATAATTAAATCTCCACTGTTCATCTGTATAATATAACTGAGGTTACAACTTTGCCTGAAATTTTACCCTTGGCTGGATTCCTTCCTTTCCCTGATCTGCTTCTCTTACTTCTTTACCACTTTTTCCCTGGGAGCAATTTCCTAATACAATTTGCACATAAATCCTCGATTCAGTGTCTGCCCCTGGAGTAACTCCTACAAGACAATCCCTATTGTTGAGTGCCACATTACATCCAGAATGTGTACGACAGTTATAATCAAATTCTATATGCTTATATGCAAAACTGAACCTCCACAAGACTTCGTTCTACTCTCATTTGAAGTCACTGGGTGAATTACTAGTAATTCATCATGAAAAGTCCAAAGCTGATCCATGAGTGGCAGGTATATAACAGTCAGGATACAATACTGTACACATCACAGCATTAAATCACACTCCTACATGCAGTATTAGCAT
The DNA here is from genome assembly GCF_000001405.40 of Homo sapiens. Lineage (NCBI taxonomy): Eukaryota > Metazoa > Chordata > Mammalia > Primates > Hominidae > Homo > Homo sapiens. The sequence continues at coordinate 111,294,755 of NC_000009.12, forward strand.
TATTGAAAACTCAGCTGTGAATCACTTTTCTAGATGTGTAAAACTTCTATGCTTCTTGAATACAAGCAAATTGGTCACCATTTCTAAGGACTGAATGTGGCACTTATTGTTTCAGAGACAATGGGTCCAGTGTTTGCTGCTCAGACTACATGTTTCAAATGGAATCTTTGTCTGGTTAACATGAAAAAAAATTAGACTCTATATTTATTGGAAAAAGAGCAATTCAGCAGCCATCACTCAAAGAAACAAGCCCTGGCAGTCTTAAGTTACAGCTGTTGAGTAAAACCATGGGTAGCCATTTAGTAGGACAAACCAGAGACTTCTGAAAGGGGCCAAGAAGAAACCAGTAAAGAGAACCAGCTTCTCACCTTTCTTTAACCATTTTTAATCACTGAGAAACTCTTTTCACAATTACATAAATGCTTTCAAGCACATTTCTACAATAACTTTTCACAAGCCAAAATCTCTCCCAGTGACACTGTTTAAATATTTACAAATATAACACATGATGGCTTGAAGTGCTGCAAGTAGTGTAGAGAAATCTCATCAGATTGCACTCCCCTGGTTTTTAAAAAATATCTTGGAAATTATCTGCTGATGTTCAGCATTCTCCTTTATAGGAAAATATACGTGCGCATGTGTGTGTGTGTACACATATATACATATATCAAGAATGTAAACAAGGTCATTTAAAAAAACATTTCTCCAACCTTACGTTATGAGTGTAACTTTGTGGTGTTGGGCAGGGCAAAATGCACCTGTCATATACAACAGATATTCCCAGGAATACTAAAAAGTAATTGGCCATACAAATGGGATATTTCTAAAGCCAGTGCCAGAATACCTCACAAACGTTCTTCTTAAACTAAAGTTGTCTTAAAAGAACCAGTCAAGAGAAGGACTAGTTTCAGGCTCATCAGAAGCATTCATTCACAGACATACATTCAATGTGCCAATTAAAATCACTTAGCTCCATTCATCAAGCCTTACTTTACTCTTTGATATTGTGTGTTCTTTAATAAAATCCATTTCTATAATTCAAATTGGTCTCTCCCAACCCTTTTAGAAATATTTTTATTATATTTTTCAGAGTAAAAGATAATTCCAGTAGAAAGGAAGAAAAAAAATTCTCTTAAAATGCAATGTTCTAAACACTAAACACATCGAAATACACATAGGGATTCAGCATGTGGCAAATTCTATGTTTTTATAATCTTAGAATGGTTTGGTTACAAAACAATTGTATATGTCTGTATATTAAAACTTATATAAATGGCCAAAAGACAAATAGAAGGCTGGAAAAACTGTAATTGAGATTACAAAGGTCTTATTTTCCTAATATATTTAAATATTAATAAGAAAAAGATGAAGTCCAATTAAGAATGGGTAAAGGATACGAAAAGACAATTCACAGAAAAAAAGTGAAAATTGCTCTTAAAAGTTGTTTACAAGGACAGGCACAGTGGCTTATTCCTGTAATCCCAGCATTTTGGGAGGCTGAGGTGGAAGAATTGCTTGAGCCCAGGAGCACAAGACCAGCCTGGGCAACAAGGCAAAATCCTGCCTCTACTGAAAATACAAAAACTAGCCAGGCATGGTGCCATGTGCCTGTAGTTCCAACCACTCAGGAGGCTGAGGTGAAAGGATCACCTGAGCCCAGGAGATTGAGGCTGCAGTGAGCCATGATCGCACCATTGCACTCCAGGCTGAGTGACAGAGTGAGACCCTGTCTCAAAAAAAAAAAAAAAAAAAAAAAAAAAGAACCCTTTCTGTCATAAAGCTACACTAAAATATTTTAACCTATAAAATAACGGATGATCAAAAAAATGCTGTTGAAGCATATAGGCATTGCTGATAAGAATATATATTTATGTGCATATGCGTGTATGGAATTATAGAGAGAAAGATATATATTTATAATAGTTATATGGCTACATTGCCCTCTCAACCTCTACAGAGGGCAATGTAGCCATATAACCATTAAAAATGCACAAAGACTTTGATCAGCAATTTCTTCTAGTAATTTATCCTAAAGACATATCCCAAATGTGTGAAAAGATTATGTCTACATCTATAACTATATCCATATTTATATCCATTGGTCTATCTCTCTCCATAGAAAGACACCCAAAAATCTATCAGAGGCTGCCTCTGGGAAGGACAATGGATAGTGGAGTACAAGGAAGAAAGAAAAACTATTTTCTTTATATCCATTTATACTACATTCATTTGTACCCTTTGGACCTCAAGCCCTACTACCTTTTCAAAATTTATTTTTTATATTTTTTCATATTTTTTAAATTAAGAAAACGCACTTTTATTACAATGCCTTTCTTTAACTTTTCCTTTGCATTAATTAATGTAATTAGAAATGTAAACTATCTTTTTTCCTGTTTTTATTGTATCTATTTACAGGGTATGATGTGATGTTTCAATACATGTATACACTGTTACACTTAACAGGCTATTTACCATATCCATCACCTCAAATATTTGCCATTTTTGTGGCCAGAACATTTAAAGTCCTCTCTTTTAGCTATTTAAAGTATGCAGTGCATTATTACTAACTATAGTTAACATGCTGTGCATAGATCACCAGAACTTATTCCTCCTGTCTAATCGAAACTTTGTGTCTTTTGACAATATCTCCTCTTTCCCTATCTACCTCCCCAATTCCCAGCCTCTGGTAACTATCATTCTACTCATTATTTCTACAAGTTCAACTTTTTCAAAACTCCACATATAAGTGAGATCATGTGGTATTTGTCACCCTGGGCCTGGCTTATTTTACTTAGCATAATTCCCTCCAGGTTCATCCATGTTGTTGCAAATGACAGAATTTTCTGCTTTTTAAAGGCTAAATAGTATTCCATTGTATACATATACCACAGTTTTTTAATCCATTCATCCATTAGTGGGCACTTTGGTTGTTTCCATACCTTGGCTATTGTGAATGATGCTGCAATGAACACGGGAATGTAGCTATGTCTACAACATGCTGATTTCATTTCCTTTGGATATATACTCAGAAGTGGAATTGCTGGATCACATGGCAATTCTATTTTTAGTTTTTTGAGGAACCTCCACGCTGTTTTCCAAAATGGCTGTACTTCATGTAAGTATGAAGTACTCAAATGTTCTAAATATGAATTTGAAGCATTAAAAAAATGCAGACTGTATTTCTGTTGATTATTTGATTCATTTCTTTGATCTAAAGTTATTCACAAAACTGATTAAAATATTCAGGAGTATAAATAGCTCAAATTTATTCTATAAATAGTTCAAATTTATTCTAGGTTTTAAACAGCATATATGTTTTTTTCTTTGACATCATAATGTAAGAAATAAGCATTCCCCCTTTCTAATTTTTTTTTTTGCCTTTGTGATACTTTTCTAGGATCATATGGGAACACACAACAATGCAGCAGATTGGACCCATTGTTTCTGTATATTACATCATTGCCGTTCTTAAGTGAATACAAAAAGGAGCACACTAGATCCCATTGAATACTTTGCCAACTTGGCTACTCTACATTAATGCGTCATTTAATTCGTACAAAGCCACTATGATGAAGGTATTATTATCCTCATTAATGTGAGACTCAGAGAATCAAATACACCCGCTGGGCTGGGATGCAAACCTGGGTATATTTGGTGCCTAGTGGAGAGTGGACATGGGGTCAACAAGAATCACAAAAAACGGGTTGTGCATAGCGACTACATAAACAAATGTGTGTTTTTAATAAATGGTTTTTAATGGAAGTTAATGAGGGCATATCATTTCTAAAATATTTGTAAAATGATAATAATTATATTAAGTATAGATAATAAAACAGACTTAGATCTGACTCTTAATACAAAAGGTCAAAAATTAATGTAAGAATCTTTTGAAGTTCAGCTTAAATAATATTGCAAACAGTTTAGATGCTACGTTAGCTTTACTACTGAGAAAACTCAATCATCCTGGCCAATTTTTGTAAATTTTTGCACTGGTATATCATGATAGTGGTCAAATATTTGTGGCTTATTTTATCCCAAATCTGCACATTTAATTCTCTGTTGAATGGATTTGGGTTTTTAGGTTTACTTTTCAGTATCTGGTTTAAAGGAAAAAGAACTCTCCATCACAGCAGGCACCAAACTTGGAAATAGCAGGAAGAACTTAGAACGTAAATTCTTTCTCAGTCCCAAAAGAGATGCTGTTCCAGCAAGACTCGGGTCAGAGGGCTGGGCACTGCTGGGGCAAGTCATGTGGCTGATCTGAGATGAACTTGTTTTGTAAAGAAACAGATGATTTCTAGCTATGAGGCTGTTGTTCCTGTAACTTTTTAGCAACAGTTAAATCCATTCCAAAATGACAAGCAACAGAAAAGAACATTCTGAATAAACTACAGATGAATGGAGTTTTCTCCTGCCTCCTTGGGAATATTATGAGCATCTTACAAAAGGGGTCATATCCTGTTTCTTTCTCTGGTTGCTACAACTGTGGTTTGTATATTGGCTGTATCACTAATGTGAATTTATAATCCAAAAATGCCAAAAGAAAAAAAAATTAGCACTCCTTCACAAATATGCATTTTTTTTTCTTTCCCCACCTTCCAACAAGCACTGTTCTAAGTCATCATTATTTTTTTCTGTGCTGGAAGCAAATCCACACGTCTTTTTCATATCCTACTGTTAGTACGGAAGGTGAAATACTGACATAAATGAAAGGAGTTGCAAGTTCAGCATTAATATAAAACAGGCAAACAGTGTTGAGAGCGTTTATAACTCAACAGTGCCCCCTAGTGTAAGTTCAAAAGATAACAGGCTGGAGAAAAGTACATTAGAAGACATTGACGAATTTATATCCTTTTAAACTATCAAGGAATTTGTCTTTTGGGGTAAACCTATTTACTTTATCAAGATACATATATTATTTTCAACTAATAATAGGGCATTAAAAAGATCACATTCTGCAGCCATAAAAAAGAAAGTTCATGTCCTTTGCAGTGACACGGATAAAGCTGGAAGCCATCATTCTCAGCAAACTAACACAGGAGCAGACAACCAAACACCGCATGTTCTCACTCATAAGTGGGAGTTGAACAATGAGAACACATGGACACAGGGAGGGGAACACCACACACCGGGGCCTCTCAGTGGGTGGAGGGCAAGGGAAGGGAGAGCATTAGGACAAATACCTAATGCATGCGGGGCTTAAAACCTAGATGACGGGTTGATAGGCACAGCAAACCACCACGGCACATGTATATCTATGTAACAAACCTGCACGTTCTGCACATGTATCCCAGAACGTAAAGTAAAATTTTTAAAAAATAAAAATAAACAAAAAGATCACATTCAAGTGGGAGGCAATGGCATCAAGGTGTATGGAGACAGTGAAAAGTACCAATGCACATTTTGAAAGAAAGAGAGAGAGAAGGAGGAAGAGAATGGATTGCCACCAAAGCATACCAGCTAGAAGGAATAGCAAGAACTTGGGTGATAGTAATACGGTATTATTCTCTGAGCCAATACCCAGGGCTGTTGTTTCCTTGTAAAGTTCTTCTTGACCACCCGCTAGCACTGATGACCTCTGGCCACCAGGGCTCCTCAGTTTTCTATGGAATAATTTGTGCTTTTGTTCCGCCAAAGCTTGGGAAGCTGGAAATTAATCTTCTTTGCTTAAATAACCATGGCTCTTTCCAGAAGTTTCTGATCCCTGAGAATTACAATACTTTGGAATCATAAAAAGGAATGCTATGAAGCCAGACAAGAAGGTACTCAGCAAGCCAAAGACTCCGCCTAACAACCCTGGAGTGTGTCATGCTTTAAAGAATTTCTCCTTACTGGACCCAATTGATGTCCCAAGATGGAGCATCTATCATGCATATTGGCTCTCATATCTTCATTTTTCTCTTGTTTCACCAAGAGTTTATGTAGACTACTTATCCCCTCTTTGTTTGAATCCTCATGTTCTCAACATTCCCTTCACTATTTTAAAGAGGACTTTTATCTCGGTACTCTGTTGCATGAAGTTTTATCATGACTCCTGTATGGAAGATCATCAGGATCTACATTATGTGAAAAGAGAAATCTATGCCTGATAGAATAAAGCAAACTCTCATAGTTACACACTAGTTGTAAATTAATATCAAAATCCCACTAGATATGATTTATAGTTTATTGCATATGATTCTGCTTATGTTGACTATTTAACAGATTATGTAGACTCCTCATTTTTTTATCTTCAAAAAGTTTAAAGACTCCTTCCATGTACTGCTTTGGAAATATATTTAGATGAAGTCAATCATGCTTGGGATATTGATTCAATATCCCATTTTCAAAACAGGAGGGAGTACAGGTAGGCAGACTCATTCTGCCTTAATAGAATTAATTCTTACTTATGTGTGTGTATGTTCTATATCATAAAACCACAAGACACAATGGTGAAAGATCTTCAGCAGTTTTTAAACCAGCACGAAAGTCATATAAAAGAGTGCATGTTTTGAGTAAATAAAGCTTATTAAAGATGTTGAGTTCAAGGACTGTCTTTAGTAAAAGCAACATCACAGAGAATTAAGAATTTATTTTTGTTCCACCACAGTAAACAGACATGTGGCAATTCTAAACAGAAAAGACAAAGCTGATGAAGAACAGCAAATATCATCCAGACTGAATCCAGCCAATGTGGAAATAATGAGTCAGAGAACACTGGGACAAAATTTGCTCCTTGACCATTGGGCAAATTAAAGTTACTCAAGAGGAGAAACAATGAGTATTCAGAGACATACAAAGCAATATTAAAATTATGACCTACTCTCATAACAGAATACCTTGCAGTAATTAAAAATGATATATATCTGTATTCAACTGAGGAAAAGTCATGTGACATGAAAAGGCAAAAATATTTATATATGAAACATTTTTATATTATTTTGAGATAGCATGTCCTGAAACCTGTCAAGGCAAACAAACTGGAAAAAAAATCAAGTCAGAAAAATTAGAAATTATACAGGTTGCTTTCACTTATTTGTGGGAGCTAAAAATTAAAACAACTGAACTCATGGAAATAGAGTAGAATGATGGTTACCAGAGGTTGGGAAGGGTAGTGGAGGGTGGGAGAGTAGAGTTAGTTAATGGGTACAAAAAAATAGTTAGAAAAAGTGAATAAGATCTAGTATTTGATAGCACAGCAGAGTGACTATAGTTAATAATAACTTAATTGTAACTTTAAAAATAACTAAAAAGGTATGATTGAATTGTGTGTAACAAGAAGAAAGGATAAATGCTTGAGGTGATAGACACCCCTCTTACCCTGATGTGGTCATTACACATTGCATGCCTGTAGCAAAATATCTCACATATACCCCATAAATATATACACCTAATATGTACCCACAAAAATTTAAAATAATTTTTTAAAATTATGCAGGGAAACAAGGTATTTTAAGAGAAGTAAAAGAAGATATTGCATTCCTGAAACATAAAGTCCCATCTAGGACATTGCTAGAAATATGTATTCTCACCTTCCACTCCAAACCTACTGAATAGAATTTCTAGGGTGGGCTGGGGGATCATGTTTTCCCAACATGATTATTAGTGTACTAGTTTGCTAGGGCTGCCATAACAAAATTCCATAAACTGGGTGGCTTAAACAACAGAAATTTATTTTCTCACAGTTTTGAGACTAGAAGCCCAGGATCAAAGTGTCAGCAGGCTCGGTTTCTTTTTCTTGTTTTTGTTTGTTTGTTTGTTTTGTTTTGAGACAGAGTCTCATTCTGCCACTTAGGCTGGAGTGCAGTGGCATGATCTCAGCTCACTGCAACCTCCACCCACTGGGTTCAAGCGATTCTCCTGCCTCAGCCTCCCAAGTAGCTGGGATTACAGGCACCTGCCACAGCGCCCAGCTGATTTTTTTTGTATTTTTAGTAGAGCTGGGGGTTTCACCATCTTGGCCAGGCTGGTCTTGAACTCCTGACCTCGTGATCCACCTGCCTCGGCCTCCCAAAGTGCTGGGATTACAGGCGTGAGCCACCGCGCCCTGCCAGGCTTGGTTTCTTATGAGGCCTCTTTCCCAGGCTTGCAAATGTCCACCTTCTCGCTGTGTCCTCACATGGCATTTTCTCTCTGTGTCTGAGCATCTCTGGTGTTTCTTTGTATGCCTAAATTTCTCCTTCCCATAAAGACCTTCAGCCTCCCAAAGTGCTGGGATTACAGGCATGAGCCACTGCGCCCGGCCCATTGCTTGTGCTATTTAAAAACACAAGAAAACCTGAAATAATTTTTTTCAAGGATAATGTACTCTGGAAATACTTGCATAAAACATGGCATAGCCCCCATTTTTTGTCAATGTGTCTTGCAAATTGGAATGCTAGTCTCTAGATGTAAATTTCATCCACTGCTAACTTTGGATGCTAGCTTTTTTCCAGTTTGTTTGCCTTGACAGGTTTCAGGACACACTATCTCAAAGTAATATAAAAATGTTTCATATATAAATATTTTTGCCTTTTCATGTGACATGACTTTCCCCCAGTTGAATAAATACAGATATACATCATTTTTAATTACAGCATGATATTCTGAGAGTATGTCATAATTTTAATATTGCTTTGTATGAATCAGAACCTCATTTTAACTCAATCACCTCTTTAAAAGCCCTATTGCCAAATAATTACATTCTGAGGTACTAGGGACAAGGGCTTCAACAGATAAATTCTGGGAAGACACGATTTAGCCCATAACACCAGGTGATGCTCAAACACAGTAAAGTTGAGAACTATTATAATATGACTTAAGAAAGGTCCAGAGAGATACATGCCAAACTAATTAGAGAAATTAACTCTAGGAGTATGGCTGGGATGGGGTGGGAATGGGGTCAAAGGAGAACTCTGGTAAAGCATATCACTTTAGTGGTTTTTACAAGAATATATTGGTTCATTGCTTATGCTAGCTATTTATTTACATACTTATTTATTTAGAGACAGGCTCTTACTCTGTTGCCCAGGCTAAAGTGCAGTGGGAGTATCACGACTCACTGCAGCCTTGACCTCCTGTGCTCAGGCAATCTTCCCACCTCAGCCTCCCGAGTAGCTGGGACCACAGGTGCACGTCACTATGCCCAGCTAACTTTTTAATTATTTGTAGAGACAGGGTCTCCCTATGTCACCCAGGCTGGTCTCAAACTCCTAGGCTCAAGCAAACCTCCCACCTCAGCCTCCCAAAGTGCTGGGATTACAGGCATGAGCCACTGCACCCAGCCCACTGCTTGTACTATTTAAAAATATACCCAAAGGATTATAAATCATGCTGCTATAAAGACGCATGCACACGTATGTTTATTGTGGCACTATTCACAAAAGCAAAGATTTGGAACCAACCCAAATGTCCATCAGTGATAGACTGGATTAAGAAAATGTGGCACATATACACCATGGAATACTATGCAGCCATAAAAAAGGATGAGTGCATGTCCTTTGTAGAGACATGGATGAAGCTGGAAACCAACATTCTGAGCAAACTATCGCAAGGCCAGAAAACCAAACACCGCATGTTCTCACTCATAGGTGGGAATTGAACAATGAGAACACTTGGACACAGGGTGGGGAACATCACACACCGGGGCCTGTCATGGGGTGGGGGGAGGGGGGAGCGATAGCATTAGGAGATATACCTAATGTAAATGACGAGTTAATGGGTGCAGCACACCAACATGGCACATGTACACATATGTAACAAACCTGCACGTTGTGCACATGTACCCTAGAACTTAAAGTACAATAAAAAAAAAACAACAAAACCTGAAATAATTTTTTAAGGATAATGTACTCAGGAAATATTTGCATAAAATATGGCACAGCCCCCATTTTTATCAGTGTGTCTTGTAAATAGGAATGCTACTCTCTAGATGTAAATTTCATCCATTGCTAACTTTGGCCTACGGCTGAAAGACAACAAATACTAGAAAGGAAATTAAAATGGATTTTGATGCCATACCTAAATTCGTTTCCTCTAAGCACAGCTGGCAGGCAATCTGGTACTAGGAGTAGCCTCCTGTGGACCAGGACTGCTCAGAATAATTACTAAAGTAGGTGGTATATTCCAACTCAACTTAGCAGACACAGTGGAAATAGTTCTGACCGATGCAGGGTAGAACGGAACTAGCCCTTGACTTGTCCTGGGCACTGTGCTAATATTAATACAATGTTTAGGAATCATTCTTCCCTAACAATTGAACAATAGAGCATGAAGATAAAAGAAAATATTTTGGTTAATCTGCAGGTGCATTAGAGGCAGAAGAATGGAAGATGGGGAAAGGAGCTGGAGTCCTACTGGGAAGGGCTTCTTTGCCCAGGGAGCAGTAAAATGCATGCAGCCCCTCCACCTAGCCTGTCTCTCACTTCACCAGTCCTCTCAGAAGACCTTCCTGTGGCCTTCTGGGAGAAGCAGCCAATTGGCTTAGCTCTGCAAATAGCCCAAGAGTATGTCTTTGTTGACAAAATATACCAAACCAACACAATCATAATGCTTTTCTTTTTCTTTGGCACCTCAGTTCATTATGACGGTATTCCCACTACACCAAGTACAAGTTATAGACTAATCCTCACTGTTCTGGAGGGAGCTGAGTTTCAAGAGACTTCATTACAGGTTAGAAACAAGAGGCATTGCTGCCCTGGAATTGTTCACAGGTTAAATAAGATACCATGAGACTCAGACCCGAGGGTAGGCAATAGCATAGGAGTGAGTGTGTACAAATACAACTGGGACTTATTAGTAAGAAAACTTTTCTTCTCAGAAAGTTTCCTAAGGGGAATTTGAAGTGGATTCCAGGTGAAATTGATTTCTCCTTTTGAGTAACAATGAAATACTGAGAAGTGAGAGTAGTTGAAAGTGTTCATAAAAGGGTCCATAAAAGAGTGGCATAAAAGTGTCACTCTCGGCCGGGCGCGGTGGCTCATGCCTATAATCCCAGCACTTTGGGAGGCCAAGAGGGGAGGATCACTTGAGGTCAGGAGCTCGAGACCAGCCTGACCAACATGGAGGTTTCTCTACCAAACCTTTATCTACTAAAAACACAAAATTAGCCAGGCGTGGTGGCACGTGTCTGTAATCCCAGCTAATCAGGAGGCTGAGGCAGGAGAATCACCTGAACCCGGGAGGTGGAAGTTGTGGTGAGCTGAGATCGTGCCATTGCACTCCAGCCTGGGCAACAAGAGTGAAACTCAGTCTCAAAAACAAAAAAAGTCACTCTCAACTTTAAGAAATTTGCTTTATATTATATATTGCCAATACTATGAAGTTTCATAGGGGGATGAGAGTGAGTGCAATGTTTCTGCTGGAAACGGTGGACTTTACTCTAGAACTCTGTCCCTCGAAATGTGGCCTTTGAACTACGTGCATTGTGTAATCAACTGGCGTGCTCATAAAGTGCAGTTTCTTAGGTTCCACCACAGGTCTACTGAATCAGAATTACTGAGAATGAGGCCCAGGAGTCTTCATTTATAACAAGCTCCCCAGGTGAATGTTATCCACACTGAAGCAGAGAAAGGCAGGAAATAAATGTCTGGGCTTCCACAATCCACAAAAATAACCTATGCAATCCCTTCTACTTAGTGCTGATTTCTGCCCATCTCAAAGCAGAACTCTCAAGCATTTGGAAGAAATTCACCTCCTTCCCACAGGCAGGGCTATATTTTCCTCCATTACTGACCTAGTCCCTAAATAAGCCCACTGTGCTCTGCTCCGCAGCTCCCACGCCTTTCCTGGGCAGGAGCAATGAATATAGGATAATGTAATTCAGATGATTTGGGGCACATCCTTCAGGGTAAGCTCTGGCTGTTCCTCTTCAGCAGAAGTGACCATTTTATTATCTCAGTTGGCATAATATCCACGTCCTGAACTGGATCCTTCTCTAGGTAAAAGAAACTGCCTCTATTTCTTAGCACCCAACAAAATAGAATACTACAATGACAGTAAACTAAAGCAGCCAGAAAGCATTAGGCTGTAGCATTCAGTTTAGCTCACGTCAGAACACAGAGGATCATTACTAGGTCAAGCCATTTGAAAGACTACTCCATATGCATATTGAATGTATCTATGTGTAGTCCAGTTTATGGCTAGGTTATTAGCTCACCGTCAGATCTGCTTTCACGCTCTCATCTTCCCCAGAGTCATCCTTGTATCCTCCCTACACCCTTCCAGCTAACGTAAGTGTCTAGTGTAAAGAGATTTGAGGGTCTACAAAAGTTAATATCTCAATGGTGATTAACCGTTCTCAAATATTACGAATGCCAGCTCATAGGCATGTCCCATATTTCTGCAAATGGATCCATGCTCTTCTTTCTAGGTTTTATATCCACTATCTGGCTGTATAGCCTAAAGTCTGTCCTCATTTCCTTGGGTGAGTTAGAAATGCACGTTAATTTTTTAATAAAATGCTAATAGCACCTGAACCAAGCATAAAATGGCTTCATTTCTCTAGGACTAGTGAGATTAAGCTGGCATTTTGGCTACATTTGTACTCACCCATATCTGGAACAAAGATGCCATAAATATTTCAATAAACTGCAATAGAATGTATATTTGTCCAGTGACAATTTCAACACATTCTGTTCAAAAAGATAAACTCTTTAATAAGTAGTTTCCTATGAACCTACAAAGCTCTTCCAGGCATAGCTATACTGCCCAAATACATTAGCAGTTCCCTATAATTAATTTCCCAGCACCATCTCCATGAACCACGCAAAGACATTATGGCTCCAGAGATGTCCATACCAAAATTGGAAAAAACTTAATGGGCAAATGAAAGCTATTTGCTTCTAGTTTTATTTCCCACAAGTATCTGGTAATACCCACGCCACTCCTTAAATCAAGCACTAAGAACCACCAGCTCCCAGAAAGCCAAAGCAAAACATCCTCAATTTGTTTCGTTGGTAAATCTTAGATTATTTGTTCAGTGCGCTTTAACCTTAGTAAGATTCTTGAACCTTCCGTCTCTGATAAAGTCATAGTTCTACAAGGATTTCTAAGAGGCGGTGGGCTTCTTAACTCTATCTGGGGCTACCTCTTTTTCACACAGCCCTCATCGTAGTCCTAGGTAATACCTTTTACCTTCTTTACATTTCTTGGGCATCAGAGAATTACCGAAGTCAAAATGTTTCTATTTAACCTTCCTACCATATTCCTGCTGCCAATCTTCTGGCCTAGCTGTGTTGGAATCTATCATCTGATGGTGCTATGGTTTCAACATTTTTGTCCCTATTCAAATGTATTTGTTGGAAGCTTAATCCCCAGTGCAAGCATTGGAAGGTAGAGCCTAATAGGAAGTGTTTCGGGTGAGGCCCTCGTGAATGGATTAATGCTGCTATAAAAATGACTTGCAAGAGAGGATTCACTCTCTTCTGTTCTTCCGCCACATGAGGAACAGCATTCATCCCCTCTGGAGGACACAGCATTCAAGGCACTATCTTGGAAGCAGACATCCAGCCCTTACTAGATACCAAATATGTGAGTACCTTGATCTCAGACTTCCTAGTCTCCAGAATTGTGTGACATAAATTTCTGTGTTTACAAGTCTCAGGTATTGTGTTACAGCAGCACAACAGACTAAGATAGACAGTATCCATTGGCACAGAGGGCACATATGGGAAATGTGGTAAGATACCATTCTCTTATGTATCTTCATAACAGTGAGCTAATACCACAAGCTGAGAAATGCAATCAAGACCACAATATCAATTTATATTAATATTGGCAAATATTTAAAAGTCTGACATACCAAGTATACATAGCATGTGTATTAACAGAATCTATAGACAGCATGTGTGTTAACAGAAACATTAGTGGTTGGACTATAAACTGTTAATGGCCACTCTGGAAACCAGTTTGGGATTATTCTTTAAAACTGAACATTCACATTTCATACAAGCTAGTAATTCCATTCAACAAAAACCAACAGGCACACTTTCATATTTATACCAGGAGAAATGTTCAAGATTGTATATAACGACACTGTTCATGATAGCAAAAAACAAACAAACTGAAAAAATAGCCCCAATGCTCTAAACAGGAAAGTGTATTAACTTTGGTATGTTCACACAATGGAATATTATGCAGAAGTCAGAATGAATACCTACTCGCACAAAACATAATAAAGATGCCTCTTAGAATATAATATAGTGTGAAAAAGCAAACACCTTTAAGAGAGAATGTGGCACACAGTGACAAAGAAGACCCTAAATACACCTCGTTATATATGACAAAACCACATAAAAATAAGGCAAAAGAATGATAAACACAAAATTCACGACAGTGTTTACCTTAATAGGGAGGTCAAGGAACAGGCTGGGAATCAGCCTATAGGTAGACACAAGTTATTTTGTCAATATTCTAATTTATATGCAAATGAATGAGCTCATGACTGTTCATGCTATTATTCAAAATAAACAATGAGACTTGAATGATGAAATTGTTTAATGAACCAAGGACTATAATTACTACAATTCTATTCACCCATGGTCCATAAAGAAAAAGAAGAAAAAGAAAAACTCCAGTGAGTTCTACCAAATACTTAAGGAAATATAATTCCAATTTTTATACATACTCTTTCAGAGAATAGAGAAAAGGAAACACTTGCGAACTCATTTTATGGTGCTAGCATTCTTTTATATCCAAACCCAATAAATCCAGCCTGAGAAACAAAAATTACAGACAAATATTGCATGTTCTCACCCATATGTAGGAGCTAAAAAAGTTAATCTCATGAGGGTAGACAGTAGAATAATAGTTACCGGAGGCTTGGAAGTGGGGGAGTCGGGGGAATGAGACAGGTTGGTTAATGGGTACAAACATACAGGAACAGATGGGAGGAATAAGTTCTGCTGTTGGATAGCAGAGTACGGTGACCACAGTTAACAATGTATCGTATATTTCAAAATAGCTAAAAGAGAGGCCTTGAAATGGCAGTGGCTCACACCTGTAATCCCAGCACTTTGGGAGGCCGAGGCAGGTGGATCACCTGAGGTCAGGAGTTCAAGACCAGCCTGACCAACATGGAGAAACAACATCTCTACTAAAAACACAAAATTAGCAGGGCGTGGTGGCACGTGTGTGTAATCCCAGCTACTCAGGAGGCTGAGGCAGGAGAATCGCTTGGACACAAGAGGCGGAGGTTGCGGTGAGCCGAGATCGCGCCATTGCACTCCAGCCTGGGCAACAAGAGCAAAACTCCATCTTAAAAAAATGTTCCCAACACATAGCAATGATAAATGCTCGAGGCAATGTGTATCCTAAATACCCTGACTTGGTCATTACACAGCCTATGCATGTAACAAAATATCACATGTACCCCATAAAAATGTACAAATATTATCTCAATTAAACAATTAAATTATGAGCTAACAAATTGTGCAAAACTGAAAACAAAATGCTTTCAAAATTCACAATAAATTTTGTCCAAGTTAAGGAAGTTCGTATCTATTTTAAGTTTGCTGGCAGTTTTGTAAAATCATGAAAGGATGTTAATTTTATCAAATGGGATTTTTTTCATCTGTTGAGGTGCCAACATAACTCTCCCCCTTTAATCTACTAATGTGGTAGTTGATGTTTTTATTAAAACAACTTTGCAGGACTGGGTGCAGTGGCACACACCTGTAATCCCAGCATTTTGGGAGGCCAAGGCAGGTGGATCACTTGAGCCCAGGAGTTCAAGACTAGCCTGGGAAACATTGTGAACCATGTCTCTACAAAAAATACAAAAATCAACTGGGAATGGTGGCA
The DNA here is from genome assembly GCF_000001405.40 of Homo sapiens. Taxonomy (NCBI): domain Eukaryota; kingdom Metazoa; phylum Chordata; class Mammalia; order Primates; family Hominidae; genus Homo; species Homo sapiens. The sequence continues at coordinate 111,310,514 of NC_000009.12, forward strand.
CGCACAAGTAGTCCCAGCTACTCGGAAGGCAGAGGTGGATCTCTTGAGCCCGAGGGGTCAAGGCTGCAGTGAGCCGAGATTGCACCACTGCACTCCAGCCTGACCACCAGAGTGAGACCCTGTCTCAAAAACAAAACAAAACAAAAAAACAAAAACTGCATATCTGGGGTATGTCTTGCATGTAATACAAGTTTTCCATGTATTACCTTTTTTTATACATGATTGGATTTCGTTACTTGTTTAATTCTGATTTTAAAACTTTTTTTGTTGAGGTAAAATATACATATATAAGTTTTCACTTTTACCATTTTCAAGTGTACAGTTCTGTGGTAATAGTAAATAAATACAAGTATATTCTTTTTCTTTCCCTTCATCCCTCCCTCCCTCCTCCCCCTCTCAGCCTCTAGTAACCACCAGTCTATTCTCTATCTTCACGAAATACTGAGAACATGCGATATTTGTCTTTCCATGCTTGGATTATATCACTTAACATATGGCCTCCAATTCCATCCATATTGTTGCAAATCATAGGATTTCATTCATTTTTATGGCTGAATAATATTCCATTGAATATAGGTACCACATTTTCTTTATCATTCATCCACTGATGGACACTTAGATTGATTCCATAGCTTGGCTATTGTGATTAGTGCTGCAATAAACATGGGAGTGCAGATATCTCTTTGACATACTGATTTCCTTTCTTGTGGGTATATACCCAGCAGTGGGATTGCTGGATCATAGGATAATTCTATTTGTGGTTTTTTGAGGAACCTCTATACTGTTCTCCATAGTGGCTGTACTCATTGACATTCCCACCAACAGTGTATGAGGGTTCTCCTCTCTCCATATTCTCACCAGCATCTGTTATTGTCTGCCTTTTGTATATAAACCATTTTATCTGCATGTTTATCACATTGTGGTTTTGATTTGCATTTCTCTGATGATTAGTAATGTTGAGTATCTTTTCATACACCTGTTGGACATTTCTACATCTTCTTCTGAGAAATGTCTGTTCAGTTCCTTGGGCTTTTTGTTAATCAGATTACTTGGTTTTTTGCTATTGAGTTTTTGGAGCTCCTTATATATTCTGGCTATTGATCCCTTGTCAGATGGGTAGTTTGTAAATATTTTCTCCCATTCTGTGGGTTGTCTCTTCACTTTGCTGATTGTTTCTTTTGCTGTGCAGAGCTTTTTAACTCGATGTAATCAAGCTAATTTGTCTATTTTTGCTTTGGTTGCCTATGGTTTTGAGGTCTTACACATAAAAAATTTGCCCAAATGTCCTGGAGCATTTCCCCAATGTTTTCTTCTAGTAGTTTCACAGTTTTAGGTCTTAGATTTACATCTTTAATCCATTTTTGTTTCATTTTTGTGCATGGTGAGAGATAGGAGTCTAGTTTCATTTGTCTGCATATGGATGTCCCATTTTCCCAGCCCCATTTATTGAAGAGACTATCCTTTCCCATTGGATGTTCTTGGCCCCTTTGTCAAGAATAAGTGAATTGTAAATGTGTGTTTGTTTCTGGGTTCTCAGTTCTGTTCCATTGGTCTATATGTCTGTTTTCATGCTATTTTGGTTACTATAGCTTTGTAGTAAATTTTGAAATCAGGTAGTGTGATACCTCCAGCCATGTTCTTTTTGCTCAGGATTGCTTAGGCTACTCGGGGTCTTTTGTGGTTCCACATAAATTTTAGGACTTTTTTTTCCGTGAAGAATGTCATTCGTATTTTGATAGGGATTGCGTTGAATCTGGAAGTTGCTTTGGATAGTATTGTCATTTTAACAATATTAATTCTTCCAATCCATGGGCTTGGAATATCTTTCCTTTTTTGTGTGTCCTCTTCAATTTCTTTCACCAGAGTTTTATCATTTTCCTTACATTCCTTTCACTTCTTTGGTTAGATTGGCTCCTAGATATTTTCTGGTTTTGTAGCTATTGTAAATGGGTTATCTCTGACATTTGCATTTATGTTCTTGAATAAAAGTGGCCTATGATTTTCATTTTTTATATACTCTTCCATATATTTTGGTATCAAGATTTTGATAGCATCACAAAATGAGTTTGGAAGCATTCTCACTTCTTCCATATCCTGGAATTGTTTTTTCTAAGATTAGAGTTACTTATTCCCTAAATTTCTGGTAAAATTTACAATTTTTTTAGTGAGAAAAATTTTTAATTGCTAGGTAATAAACTCTCAAGTATTCTATTTCATACTAAATTATGACAAGTTATATTTTTCTAACAATGTGGTCTATTTCATCTAATTTTTCAAAGCTTTTGACATTAGTGTTCATAGTATTTTCTTATTTTCTTATTGTAGTAAAATTCATGTAGTCGTTTTAAACACCTTAACATGTACAATTTAGTGGCATTTACCACATATACAGTGTTGTACAACCATCACCACAGTCTATTTCCAGAATATTTTTATCACCCTAAAAGAAAACCCCATTGAGCAGGCAATCCCCACTTCTCACTCTTCCCAGCCCATTGCAACCACTAACCTGCTTTCTGTCTCTATGAATGTGCCTAACCTGGATATTTTGTAGAAATGGAATCACAGTATATGGCATTTTGTGTCTGGCTTATTTCATTTAACAGTGTTTTCAAGTTTCATACATGTTGTAGCGTATCAGTACTTCATTCCTTTTATGGTTGAATAATATTTTCATTGCATGGATATACTACATTTGTTTATCCATTAATCCGTTGATGGATGTTTGGGTTTTCTTCACATTTTTATGATTGTGAAGAGTGCTACAATGAGTTTTCAGGTACAAGTATTTTCTTAAACACATATTTTCAGTTCTATTAGATATATATCTAGGCATGAAATTTCTGGGGCATATTATAATTCTAAGTTTAACTTTTTAAGTAACCACTAAGTTGTTTTCCATGGCAGCTGACCCCTTTTATGTTCTCATCAGCAGTGTATGAAAGTTTCAATTTCTCCACATTATCACAAGCACTTGTTATTTTCCATTTTTTAATTATAAACACTCCAGTGGGAATCTTATTATGGTTTCCAGCTGCATTCCTCTAATGACTAATAACTTGAGTACCTTTTCATATGTTTGTTGACCATATGTGTATCTTCTTTAAAAACAGGTATACAAGTCCTTTACCTGCTGTTTAAATTTTTTTTTATTTTTTAATTTTTGAAACGGAGTCTTACTCTGTTGCCTAGGCTGGAGTGCAGTGGCTTGATCTTGGGTCACTGCAATCTCCGCCTCCCAGGTTCAAGTGATTCTCTTGCCTCAGCTTCGTGAGTAGCTGGGATTACACGTGCGTGCCACCATGCTCAGCTAATTTTTTTTTTTTTTTAGTAGAGACCAGCCTGTTGGCCAGGCTGGTGACACACCCGCCTCTGACCTCTGGTGATACACCCACCTCAGCCTCCCAAAATACTGGGATTACAGGCGTGAGCCACCAAGCCTGCCCTTTTCCTGCTTTTTAATTGGATTGTTTCTCTTTTTGTTATGGGGCTTTTACATATTCTATATACTAGAATCTAATTTATGATTAGCATAAATCCAGGACCTAGATTTATGGTTAGCAAACATTTTCTCCCATTCTGTGAGTTTCCTTTTCACTTTCTTAATAGTATCCTTTGATGTTACAAGTCTTTTATTTTGATCAAGTCCAATTTATCTATTTTCTCTTTTGTTACTTGGGCTTTGGCTGTTATATCTAAGAAACCATTATTGTAGCCAAAGTCATAAATATTTACCCCTCTGTTTCTTCCAAGAGTTTTAGCTTTTACATTTGGGTCCTTGATCTATTTTTAGTTAATTATATATATAATATATATATTTACATATATAATATATAATTATATATGATAGTATATATTATTTTGTTATATGTTATATAATAATTATATATTTATTTATATAATATAATTTTATATTTATTATGTACATTATATATAATGTATATTATATATTTTAATTTATTGTTAATTGATATTTATTTTATTTTAAATATATTTTAATTTAAATATTAGATAATATTTATATATGTTATAATAAATATATCATATATAATTCACTATATATAGTGAATTATATCTATAATGTGCATTTTATATATAATGTGAATTTTACATATAATGTGAATTATATATATGTATATATAATATGAGGTAAGGGTGCAACTTCATTCTTTTGCACGTGGATATCCTGCATTTCCAACATTATTTGTTGAAGAGACTATTCTTTCCCCCATTGAATGTTCTGGGTGCCATTGTCAAAAACCAATAGACAACAGATGTATGGATTTACTTCTAGACTCTCAATTCTATTCCATTGTCCTATATGTCTATCTTTATGCTAGTACCACACTGTTTTGATTACTGTAGCTCTATAGTACATATTGAAATCGAGAAGTGTGAGTCTTCCAAATTTGCTCTTCTTTTCCAAGATTGTTTTGGCTATTTGGTGTCCTTTATAATTTCATATGAAAAAAATCCATTAGGATTTTGATATGGATTGCATTGAATCTGTAGGTCACTTTGGGGAGTATCACTTTGGGGGAGTATCTTAAGTCTTCCAGCGCTTGAACATGGAATATCTTTCCATTTAGTTAGGTCTTTAATTTCAAAAATTTTATAGTTTTTAGCACACAAGTCTTACAATTCCTAGGACAAATTTATTCCTAAGTATTTTATTCTTTTTGATACTATATAAATGAAATTGTTTTCTTTATTCTATTCAGAATGTTCACTACTAATTTACAGGAACATCACTGGTTCTTGTACATCAATCTTAGATCCTATAACTTTGCTGAATTCATTTATTACCTCTAATAGTTTGTTTTTCTTTTCTTTTTTTTTTTCTGGTCACTTGTTTAGAATTTTTTTACATAACATCATGTCATCTACCTAATGAGATAATTTTTCTTCTTCCTTTCCAGTTTGGAAACTACACAAACTACCAAATCTGACTCAAGAAGAAACAGAAAATCTATACCAACCTGTAAGTAACAAAGATATTGAACTAAAAATCAAAAACCTGCAGAAAAAGAAAATCCCAGGACCAAGTGGCTTCACTAGTGAATTCTACTAAACATTTAAGAAAATGTTTAACACCACCCAGGCGCGGCAGCTCACGCCTGTAATCTCTTTGGGAGGCCAAGGCAGGTGGATCACGAGGTCAGGAGATCGAGACCATCCTGGCTAACACGGTGAAACCCCGTCTCTACTAAAAATACAAAGAAAAAAAATTTAGCCGGGCGTGGCCAGCGCCTGTAGTCCCAGCTACTCGGAAGGCTGAGGCAGGAGAATGGCGTGAACCCGGGAGACTGAGCTTGCAGTGAGCCGAGATCGCGCCACTGCACTCCAGCCTGGGCCACAGAGTAAGACTCCGTCTCAAAAAAAAAAAAAAAAAAAAAAAGAGTAAAAACAAAAGTAACACCAACCCTCTAAAATTATTTCAAAAAACAGAAGAAGCAGCTCCGAGGAATTTGCAACTGCAGTGACCTATGATCACACCACTGCACTCTAGCCTGACCCATGGAGAAAGATACATATAGTGCAGTATCATTCTGGGTCTCTGGGAATTGGAGTAAGCTGTGAATCAGTGTTCAGAAATCCAAAAGTTCTGAATGTTCTTGTTTCTTGCTGCAGTTATTTTGAAATCAAGTTGTGGCAAAAAGAATAATGGCCCCTAAAGATGTCCATGTCTTAATCCATGGAATCCGTGAATATTTTAGTTATACAGCAAAGGAGAAGTAAGGTTGAAGATAGAATTAAGGTCGCTAATCAGCTGACCGTAAGACAGAAAGATGATCGAGCTTGGCCCAGTGCAATCACAAGAGGACTTGAAAGTGGACAAGAGGGGCATAAGAGGGAGTCAGAGAAAGAGAAGTGGTGACAGAAGCAGAGTCAGGGCGTTGCTATATGAGAAAGCTTAGAAGACGGAGGAAGGGGCCATAAGCCAAGAAATGTGGGTGGCCACCAGAAACTGGAAAAGGCAAGGAAACAATTGCTACCCAGTGCCTACTAAAAGGAATACATCTCTGCCCATACCTTGACTTTAGTCCATTGAGACTCATGTCAGATTTCTGACCTATATAAATGTAAGATTACAAATTTGTATTGTTTAAACCACTATGTTTGGGGTAATTTGTTATGGCAGCAATAGAAAACTAACACAAATGGTATGCAGACCCCTGAAAGTCTTCAAGTCCCTTTCTGTGAGGTCAAAACAATATTTATAATTATAAAAAAAAGTTTCTCTTACTTTTTTACCTTGATGATATTTTCAGTGGTTGCAAAAGCAATGGTGAATAAAACTGATGGCACTGTAGTAGAAATAAAAGCACTAGCACCTAACTATACTAGTAATTATTGTATTCTTCATCATAATGCACTCATAGAAAAAAAATCCAGTTTCACTTAAGCATACATGATGAAGCAGTAAAAAAAATAATAACATTATTAAATCTTGACCTTTGAGCACATGTGTTTTTAATAGTCACTGTGACAAAATGGGAAGGATGCCGCTCTGCTGCATCTGGAAGTTTCATAATCACCTTGAGGAAAAGCATTTGTTCAGTTGTTTTGTTTGAGTATCCATCACTTTTTTCATGGATCACCTTTTTTGTTTTTTGAGAAGGAGTTTCACTCTTGTTGCCTAGGCTGGAGTGCAATGGCGCAACCTCGGCTCACTGCAACCTCTTCCTCCCGGGTTCAAGTGATTCTCCTGCTTCAGTCTCCTGAGTAGCTGGGCCACCATGCCCAGCTAATTTTGTATTTTTAGTAGAGATGGGATTTTTCCATGTTGGTCAGGCTGGTCTCAAACTCCCAACGTCAGGTGATCCGCCTGCCTCGGCCTCCCAAAGTGCTGGGATTGCAGGCATGAGCCACCGCACCCAGCCATGGATTACCATTTTTTTCTTCAAAAAACAACTGGAAGATAAGTGTTAGTTTTTCAGACATATTTTTTCAATCTTTTCTCTCTGTTATTTAGTCTGGATGATTTCTGTTCATCTGTCTTCAAGTTCACAGACTCTTTCTTCTGTAATCTACATTCTATAATTGAGCATATTAAGTACACTTTTTATTTTAGTTGTATTTTTTAATCCCAAGATTTCCACTTGTTTCTTTTCTTAACTTCTGTTTCGTTGCTGAGGTTCTCTTACTTTTCATTCATTTTAAGAATGCTTGCCCTTACGACCTGGAGCATGGTTATAATAGCTGCTTTTTTTTTTTTTTTTTTTAATTATTATACTTTAAGTTTTAGGGTACATGTGCACATTGTGCAGGTTAGTTACATACGTATACATGTGCCATGCTGGTGTGCTGCACCCACTAACTCGTCATCTAGCATTAGGTATATCTCCCAATGCTATCCCTCCCCCCTCTCCCCACCCCACAACAGTCCCCAGAGTGTGATGTTCCCCTTCCTGTGTCCATGTGATCTCATTGTTCAATTCCCACCTATGAGTGAGAATATGCGGTGTTTGGTTTTTTGTCCTTGCGATAGTTTACTGAGAATGATGATTTCCAATTTCATCCATGTCCTTACAAAGGACATGAACTCATCATTTTTATGGCTGCATAGTATTCCATGGTGTATATGTGCCACATTTTCTTAATCCAGTCTATCATTGTTGGACATTTGGGTTGGTTCCAAGTCTTTGCTATTGTGAATAATGCCGCAATAAACATACGTGTGCATGTGTCTTTATAGCAGCATGATTTACAGTCCTTTGGGTATATGCCCAGTAATGGGATGGCTGGGTCAAATGGTATTTCTAGTTCTAGATCCCTGAGGAATCGCCACACTGACTTCCACAATGGTTGAACTAGTTTACAGTCCCACCAACAGTGTAAAAGTGTTCCTATTTCTCCACATCCTCTCCAGCACCTGTTGTTTCCTGCCTTTTTAATGATTGCCATTCTAACTGGTGTGAGATGGTAGCTCATTGTGGTTTTGATTTGCATTTCTCTGATGGCCAGTGATGGTGAGCATTTTTTCATGTGTTTTTTGGCTGCATAAATGTCTTCTTTTGAGAAGTGTCTGTTCATGTCCTTTGCCCACTCTTTGATGGGGTTGTTTGTTCTTTTCTTGTAAATTTGTTTGAGTTCATTGTAGATTCTGGATATTAGCCCTTTGTCAGATGAGTAGGTTGCGAAAATTTTCTCCCATTTTGTAGGTTGCCTGTTCACTCTGATGGTAGTTTCTTTTGCTGTGCAGAAGCTCTTTAGTTTAATTAGATCCCATTTGTCAATTTTGGCTTTTGTTGCCATTGCTTTTGGTGTTTTAGACATGAAGTCCTTGCCCATGCCTATGTCCTGAATGGTAATGCCTAGGTTTTCTTCTAGGGTTTTTATGGTTTTAGGTCTAACATTTAAGTCTTTAATCCATCTTGAATTGATTTTTGTATAAGATGTAAGGAAGGGATCTAGTTTCAGCTTTCTGCATATGGCTAGCCAGTTTTCCCAGCACCATTTATTAAATAGGGAATCCTTTCCCCATTGCTTGTTTTTCTCAGGTTTGTCAAAGATCAGACAGTTGTAGATATGCGGCGTTATTTCTGAGGGCTCCGTTCTGTTCCATTGATCTATATCTCTGTTTTGGTACCAGTACCATGCTGTTTTGGTTACTGTAGCTTTGTAATATAGTTTGAAGTCAGGTAGTGTGATGCCTCCAGCTTTGTTCTTTTGGCTTAGGATTGACTTGGCGATGTGGGCTCTTTTTTGGTTCCATATGAACTTTAAAGTAGTTTTTTCCAATTCTGTGAAGAAAGGCATTGGTAGCTTGATGGGGATGGCATTGAATCTGTAAATTACCTTGGGCAGTATGGCCATTTTCACGATATTGATTCTTCCTACCCATGAGCATGGAATGTTCTTCCATTTGTTTGTATCCTCTTTTATTTCCTTGAGCAGTGGTTTGTAGTTCTCCTTGAAGAGGTCCTTCACATCCCTTGTAAGTTGGATTCCTAGGTATTTTATTCTCTTTGAAGCAATTGTGAATGGAAGTTCACTCATGATTTGGCTCTCTGTTTCTCTGTTGTTGGTGTATAGGAATGCTTGTGATTTTTGCACATTGATTTTGTATCCTGAGACTTTGCTGAAGTTGCTTATCAGCTTAAGGAGATTTTGGGCTGAGACAATGGGGTTTTCTAGATATACAGTCATGTCATCTGCAAACAGGGACAATTTGACTTCCTCTTTTCCTAATTGAATACCCTTTATTTCCTTCTCCTGCCTAATTGCCCTGGCCAGAACTTCCAACACTATGTTGAATAGGAGTGGTGAGAGAGGGCATCCCTGTCTTGTGCCAGTTTTCAAAGGGAATGCTTGCAGTTTTTAAAGCCTTTATCTGATTACTTCAACATCTTTGTAATGTTGGGGTTGGTATTTGCTGCCTTTTCCCTTGCAAGATAGTGAGATTTTCTTAATTCCTCATGTGTTGAGTGATTCTGGATTACATCTTGGACATTTTGAATATTATGTCATGAGACTCTGGCTCTTGTTCAAATCCCGAAGAAAATTATGATTTGTGTGTGTATGTTTCAACAAGCCATTGACCTGGTTGGGCTCAGGCTATGAGGTTCTACCCATCTTCTTTAAGGTATGGTTCACTGTTACCTAAATTTTCAGAGACTTTGCAGCATTATTTAAATCTGCCCTGTATACATGCCATCCAGTGGCATATTTGGGACTTAAAAGTGGCCTACTTTACAGAGTTTAGTTCTCAAAGCCTTTGTTACACTATTTAGGGTCATAGCAATTCATGTTCCACTTGAAGATGGCCCAAGTGTTTATATACAACTTTATGGGATTGCTTTATTTACTCCCTCCTCTCCGTGATCTTTCTGAAACTTTCCACTCCCCAAAAGTCCTCCTTCTCTAGCTAAAAAGCCAGGGCTATTATTTCTCCACTCTGCTGTGCACGTCTCACAACCGCATCTGTCTCAGGAGCCAAATGGTGAGAGGATAGAGGGAGGAAAGGGAAGAATAGGGACTCCCCCATCTTCTTGGGACCACAGTTCCTCTGGTCAAAGAGAAGAGTTCTTCTTCCTGAGAATTCTAGGTGCCTGTACAGCCACCACTGTTGATGCTACCACTGCCACCACAGGATTTCCTGGGGATTTGGGTATAATAGAAAAAAATGAGAGCATTTACTTCACTCTTTCTGATGCATTGGGACCCCGTTTCCTTCTTTTTAAGGAGCTTTCTCTTAGAGCTTCTTTTAGAACTTTCTGTCTCTCCCCGTTGTGTAGGTTTGTGTTTCAGGTTGCACTGGAGTCACCCAGCCAAGACATATTGGGGGTGGGGGTGGAGGAGTCCTCAGCTGCCCCATGCATTCTGTCTAGGGTTTTAAATTGCTACCAGGGGCAGAGGCAGAGTGGAATGTGCTTACTTCATCTCGAGCAAAGCTGGAAGCAGTCTCCTAGTTTTTATCCTCCCCCTACTTCAGGGGTTGTTTCTTCTCAGTGCCCCTTGGTTAACTTTTCCTAATTGGTTGGCTTTAAATATTAGCATTTCCCTAGTCTCACTTTAGGCAATGTTCTCACTCTACTTTCTCTCCCTAGTTAATGTTAACCATGTTCATTACTTAAATTATCATATACATGCAAAGTTTGTATCTCCAAACTGACTTTTCTCATTAATTCCAGACTAGCATATCCAGCTGACTCCTTGATATTTCCACCATATATCTCAAAATCATGAGAAAATTCAGCATGTCTAGAATACAAATTATGACCTACCTTTCAACCTCAAACTTGGTCCTCTTTCAGGATTCCCTGTGTCAGTTAATGACACCATCAGTCTTCTGTTCTACAAACAAGAAACCTAGGAGTCATCTTTGATGTTTTTGCCTCTCTCTCTGCCTATGTCTAATCTTGTTGATGTTACCTCTTAAATTGTTAAGAGGTTACTTTTTAAATAGCTCTCAAATCTGCCTACTTTCTCCACTGCCCCATGCAAGTCCAAGCTTCCAGTAACATTCACCTGAACCACTACAATTTTCTCCAACTTGATCTCCCTGTGTCCACTTCTATTCTCTATAATCAGTTCTCCATATGGCGGCCAGAATGACTTTTCTATGAAAATACTTGCTAAACCCCCACTCAAGCCATTTCAATGGCTTCTCAATGTGCTTACGAGACGGAGTCTTGCTCTGTTGCCCAGGCTGGAGTGCAGTGGCGTGATCTCTGCTCACTACAACCTCTACCTCCTGGGTTCCAGCGATTCTCCTGAGTCAGCCTCCAGAGTAGCTGGGATTACAGGCATGAGCCACCATGCCCAGCTAATTTTTGTATCCTTAGTAGAGACAGCATTTCACCATGTTGGCCAGGCCGGTCTTGAACTCCAGGCCTCAAGTGATCCACCCATCTAGGCCTCCCAAAGTACTGAGATTACAGGCCTGAGCCACTGCACCCAGCCCCACTCCTCCCTTTTCTTTCCGTGCCTCTACACATTTGTCTTCTTTCGGTTCTTCATGCCATGTTTTCTTTTGCTCCCTTGCCAGAGATACTCTCTACCCTTCCTCACATCATCTAACTTTTTCTTCACATATCAACCCAATATTTACTTCCTATTTCTGTGCCTTATCAAAGAAGAGAGAGTAAAACTTGTATAACCCAAGTCAGTCCAAGAGCTTCTGTTCATGTCCAGGTCACTTAACTGCAAATGATACTTATCTTCTTTTCTCCTATCCACTGAGACAAGTTCTAAGGTTAGATAGTTTAGATAGGTCTAAAAATTGTAGCTATTTATATTGCTGAGAATAAAGGAATGCTAAAAGCCTATTATGTTATAATTATTATTTTGCAAATGAGGAGTCAAGGCTGTAAGGCACATATGGCCCAATCATTCACGTGATGCTTGAATCCCTTCTATGAACAGACCGAGTACTGATTCTATTGTGAGCACTCTTCCAGTGTTCATCTTATTTCTCATAAAGAGAGAAAGAAGAACTAATCCTACATTTCTGTTGGAATGATAGATTTTTTTCTGCAAATAATGTCCCCCAATATATGGTCATCTCACAATCTATATCAGAATTTCTTGGTGCTCCACCTATAACGACAGATTATTGAGGACCCACCCTGGAGTCACTCAAATTTTCAGTCATCCATAAATGTACATAGAATTCTCCATCTTGATCATTAGAATTTGCATCAAATACAGTACCAGAGGCCAAAGTCCTGAAACAATAATTTCTAGCATATTTACCTTTTTTAACAATGTGCCATTTCTTTTTTTTTCAATTACCAATTTATTTTTTTAATTTTTTTTTATTTTATTATTATTATACTTTAAGTTTTAAGGTACATATGCAGAATGTGCAGGTTAGTTACATACGTATACATGTGCCATGCTGGTGTGCTGCACCCATTAACTCGTCACTTAGCATTAGGTATATCTCCTAAAGCTATCCCTCCCCACCTCCCCCCACCCCACAACAGTCCCCAGAGTGTGATGTTCCCCTTCCTGTGTCCATGTGTTCTCATTGTTCAATTCCCACCTATGAGTGAGAATATGCGGTGTTTGGTTTTTTGTCCTTGCGATAGTTTACTGAGAATGATGATTTCCAATTTCATCCATGTCCTTACAAAGGACATGAACTCATCATTTTTATGGCTGCATAGTATTCCATGGTGTATATGTGCCACATTTTCTTAATCCAGTCTATCATTGTTGGACATTTGGGTTGGTTCCAAGTCTTTGCTATTGTGAATAGTGCTGCAATAAACATACATGTGCATGTGTCTTTATAGCAGCATGATTTATAGTACTTTGGGTATATACCCAGTAATGGGATGGCTGGGTCAAATGGTATTTCTAGTTCTAGATCCCTGAGGAATCGCCACACTGACTTCCACAATGGTTGAACTAGTTTACAGTCCCACCAACAGTGTAAAAGTGTTCCTATTTCTCCACATCCTCTCCAGCACCTGTTGTTTCCTGCCTTTTTAATGATTGCCATTCTAACTGGTGTGAGATGATATCTCATTGTGGTTTTGATTTGCATTTCTCTGATGGCCAGTGATGGTGAGCATTTTTTCATGTGTTTTTTGGCTGCATAAATGTCTTCTTTTGAGAAGTGTCTGTTCATGTCCTTTGCCCACTTTTTGATGGGGTTGTTTGTTCTTTTCTTGTAAATTTGTTTGAGTTCATTGTAGATTCTGGATATTAGCCCTTTGTCAGATGAGTAGGTTGCGAAAATTTTCTCCCGTTTTGTAGGTTGCCTGTCTAATTAAACTAAAGAGCTTCTGCACAGCAAAAGAAACTTCCATCAGAGTGAACAATGTGCCATTTCTATTGGAAAAGTAAAGATGGTTAATCAAATGATTTAGTCTTAAAGATTCCATGCTAAGAACTAATGACATTTTTGTTCTTTAAATCTAGATAGATGTTCTTACTACCACCACCACCACCTAACCACCACTAGCAATCAAAGAGAGGCATTCAACACAGAAATGGTCAAGTACCTAACTGAATAGCTATTAAAAGCTTATTACATGTATATTTTTATTCAAACAATGTTCAGTAAGCACTTAATTTTTTATAAAAAGTATGCAGTGAATGTCTGTCTTCTCTATGCCAGACTTGTGCTAGGTCCTGGGTATACAGTAGTAAATGAAATTGATATGGTCATTGCCTCAGTGAACCTACAGACCAGTGAGGGACATAGCCATCAAACAAGGAAACCCACAAATTATTATTGAATTACAAATTATGATAATTGCTATTAATTAAAAAAAGAAACAAGAGTCCAGGTGTGGTGGCTGACGCCTGTAATCCCAGCACTTTGGGAAGCCGAGGTGGGTGGATCACCTGAGGTCAGGAGTTCAAGACCAGCCTGACCAATATGGTGAAACTCTGTCTCTACTAAAAATACAAAAAAGCCAGGTGTGGAGGTGTGCACCCGTAGTCCCAGCTACTCGGGAGGCTGAGGCAGGAGGATCGCTTGAACTAGGGAGGCAGAGGTTGCAGTGAGCCGAGATCATACCACTGCACTCCAGCCTGGCCGACAGAGTGAGACTCTGTCTCAAAAAAAAAAAAAGAAAGAAACGAGAGAGCATAACACATTCATGAAACAAGAGAATTTTGGTGTGCTTACAGCAAAAGATATGAATGGTGAGTAATCAGATTATGAAAGTTTTTGCATGTCATCTTAAGGACTTCAAATGTTAGGGCAGTGAAACAGTGCTAAGGGATTTAAGCAGAGAAGTGGCATATCCAGGTTTTTCGAAAGCATAAATCTAGTCACATAATCCTTCATGTAGGAATTGGTTCTCCATCAGAGGTAGTTATAACTTCTCTGTCAAATGTATTCCTCTCTTTAACAGTACCTCAAAAGGATCTCTTACCTGAGGCACTATAAAAGTAACAAGTGAAATTAGTGTTGATGGAGATCCAAAGAAAAGAATGCACTGTTTTACCAATAATTAACTTAAGTATTGCATATCATATATAAAGCACACACACACACACACATACATATATATATAGTTGTGCGCAGCCATGTTATGGAACATATGGCTTTAACTACTACTCTCTCAGCAAGATCTGCAAGGAGATACTCACCCAGGTTCTGTTCTGAGTCCTCTTCTGACATCTGGGTTATTTCTCATCCATTTTGTTGTCCCATTCTGGTCTATATCCCATTCTAAAACACTTGGTTCCATGCCAATCTGCTCAGTTCCTTGTGTCAAAGCTGGCAGACTGACTACAGAGGGTGTTCAGTCTGTGTCTCCAAGGTCTCTCATAGTTCCCTCTTTGAAGTAAAGCTTTCAGCTATTTCTATAGCTCTAGCTATTTCTGTTTATATTTAGAACCACACATAATGAATTCCAGAAAGCAGACAATTCAGTTATATTATAATAAAATTTAGCTCTACTCGAATAAAAACCTACTATAAAATTACACTACAACATAACACTGAAATTGCCAGGCAATGATTGTGCCCATTGCATCGGGAAGACTGAGGTATCTAGGAAGAAACATAGTTACTTCTAGGATAAATGCTTCCCAGTCAGCTTTCCCTTACCATTCCAAAACCATTACTCGGGGCATAATTCCATTCTCTACTATCAAACGTCTCTTGGCAGCAAAATCTGGCATCAAATTTATCCCGTTGTTGGCCGGGCGCATTGGCTTACACCTGTAATCCCAGCATTTTGGGAAGCCGAGGTGGGCAGATCACTTAAGGTCAGGAGTTCGAGACCAGCCTGGCCAACGTGGTGAAACCCCGCCTCTACAAAAAATACAAAAAATTAGCCAGGCGTAGCGGCATATGTCTGTAACCCCAGCTGCTTGGGAGGCTGAGGCAGGAGAATCACTTGAACCTGGGAGGCAGAGGTTCCAGTGAACCGAGATCGTGCCACTGCACTCCAGCCTGGGTGACAGAGTGAGACCCTGTCTCAAAAAAAAAAAAATTGTTTCATTGCTTCATCTCCAGAATTTTGCTATATAGTTATTTTGAGTTTCTTTATATATGGGTTACACATCTAGGAACATGTAACAGAAGTCCTAGATGTATGTTTTTTAATTTTTTTATTATACTTTAAGTTCTGGGACACATGTGCAGAACGAGCTGGTTTGTTACATAGGTATACACGTGCCATGGTGGTTTGCTGCACCCATCGACCCATCATCTACATTAGGTATTTCTCCCAATGCTAGCGTTAAGTAATCCAAAACTCAACATCTAATGCTAAAACTTTTAAAGTATTTTATATTTTTAATTTGTCCAGTGAGTTTACATTCTTCCAGTCAAAACCCTCTTCGCTTCCCTACTCTAGAAGTAGAGATAGACAAGTAAGAAGGTACACATGGAGGCAGAAAGAATGAAGGAAAAAAAATCAAATAAAAAAGGAAAAAGAGAGAAATAAGAACTAATCCTACTTTTCTTTTTGAAAGATAAATTTTTGCTGGAAATAATGTCTCCCAATGTATGGTCACTGCACAATCTGTATCAGAATTTCTTGGGGCTCCACCTGTAACTACAGACTATTGAGGAACCACCCTAGAGTCACTGAATCAGAATATCTGGGAGTGAAGGCATTTTTAACAAGCAATATTTGTATGCAAATAAATGATTTAAAACAACTAATATAAACATTGTCTCTGTAATGTTTAAGTATTTATAAAGCAATATACCTCATTGCCTTTGTTTCTTCTTTATAATTTTCACAAGTGGTACCTTCTTCTCAAATAAAGTGACTGGTGTAAAGCTGATAAATGTGTTAATTTACTGAATGAGTGCTGTAAACAGAAAAGGTACAAAATAACAAGAATACATGTCTCTGTGAAGTCAATCATCCAATGAAGAAAAAAGGCAAACATGAATGAAAAAGACTTAATTAGTATATGAGTAGTATACTGGCATAAAAGCAGATACAATTTGCACAAGTATTTATGTGCTTAGAAAAGCAAGGCTGGCAAGTGGAAAAATCAAGTAGGCATCATTGAATGCCTTACTCAGGGAGATAAGGAGTTTTAATCAGGAGTTTTGAATAATGCGGGGTAATTAGAGAGCCACCATCATGTGGTAGAACAAGCTCTGGCCAAGAAATCGGAAGGATGTCATAGTCCCAGTTCTACAGTTGTGTGATGTTGAGCTAGTCTTTTACATTTTTAAATTCTGTTTTCTCACTTGCACAATTAAGGCCAGTCTTTATTTGTTTCTTTATGCTCCCACCTCCTTTGAGAAAGGATTAAATCACAGAAGATATACACGATTTCTTCTGTAGCAAACATTTAATGACTCTATAACTCAAAACCTCACAACCACAAAACACAAAAAGGAAATATTAACAAATGCAAATTGAAACCTACTATTATTAATAGGCAATCACTCTGTGTATGCAGCTCATAACTGTGAAATTATATAGAGATAAGATCCGATCAGAGTTCTAAGAGGTTGTATGTTGTCTCGAATTTCTCTGATGAGCTCTGCCAGGGGCACATCTCTGGTAAAACCATAGGGACCCAATCAGAGATGTTCGTGTGTTTGATGCAATGTTATTTTGCCCAGCAATTTCTTCATAGCATCTTTGACTTCCTTGTTTCTTAAACTGTAAATTATGGGGTTCAACATAGGGGTAAGCACTCCGTAAAGCAACGAGATGATTTTGTCTATTTTTTGTGCATTTGATGAAGAAGGCTTTAGGTACATAGAGAGGGCAGCCCCATAATACAAAATCACCACAGTCAAATGGGCACCACAGGTAGAAAAAGCCTTGTTTCTTCCCTCTGCTGAGGTGATTCTCAGAATAGTGGAAAGGATGAAGATGTAAGAGATGCAAACTAAGAGCATTGGAATTGGCAAGAGGAGAATGCTGACCACCAGCATGATGGTGTTCATGAGCAGTGAACTTGTGCAAGCTAACTTTAGCACCGCCAGAATTTCACACGTGAAGTGATCGATGAGATTCCCACAGAGGGGTATCTGCAGGGCAAAACTGGTTTCCAGCAGAGCGGTCAGGCAACCCGTCACCCAGGAGACCGTAGCCATCCGTGCACAGACGCACCTGTTCATGATGATGGAGTATCTCAGCGGGTTACAAATGGCCACATAACGGTCATATGCCATCACGGCCAGGAGCACACACTCTGTGGAGCCCATGGCAAGGGACAGATACATCTGTACAGCACACCCAGAAAAGATAATGGTTTTCTGGGATGACAGCAAGTTCACCAGCAAAGTAGGAACAGAGGCAGATGTGTAACAAATATCCATGAAAGAGAGATTTCCAAGGAATAAGTACATGGGGGTTTTAAGGCGTGAATCTAGGATAGTGATCAAAATAAGAGTGCTGTTGCCCAAGAGCGTTGTCAGATACATTACAAGGCTGAAGACGAAGAGAACCACTTCTAACCCTGGGTACTGGGAAAATCCCTCCAAGAAAAAAATGCTCCAAATGGTGAAGTTTTCTCCTTGCATTTTCTTTCTTTCATCTATATTTCTTCCAGTACTATTCCCTTCATTTAATCTGAGGACATAAAGAAATGAATAAAGTGTGATATTCATTTAGTTAGGAAAATACTCTCAAACTTATTTTCACTATTATAAATGCAATTTTACTACAAGAAATCACAGGATAGTGTGTTTATTGATGTAAGGGGGGGAGCAGGTTGATGTACATAAGTTGATTCTTCCACAACAAAATTTAGAAAACAGCAAATTTGAAAAAAGAATATACATATTTAATACTTGAAACTGAGCTCCTAAACCTATCCTTGGCACACAGTAGGTCTTTAATAAAGATTTGAAAGTGACCGAATGAGGAAAAATATGAATGTACATTGAAGAAGTTATTGAGCTCAAATCAGAAAAGTAATCCAGATAAGTGAGGAAAAGAAAGCTCAAATGTACAATAAAAAGCAATATTGATCTTCACTAAAAGAAGAGGAGGAACCTTGAAAGAAACAAATAAATTTTAGGCCGGGCACAGTGGCTCATGCCTGTAATCCCAGCACTTTGGGAGGCTGAGGCGGGTGGATTGCTTGAGCTCAGGAGTTTGACCAGCCTGGGCAACATGATGGTGAAATCCTATCTCTACGAAAAATACAAAAATTAGCCAGATGTGGTGGCGCACATCTGTGGTCCCAGCTACTCAGGAGGCTGAAGCTGAGACAGGGAGGCAGAGGTTGCAGTAAGCCGAGATTGCACCACTGCACTCCAACCTGGGTGACAGTGAGACTCTGTCTCAAAAAAAAGAAAAAAAAATTTAAACCAACTTCATAGTCGGAAGCTCTGGGTCTAAATGAACTCTGCCCTTTCCAGCTAACAGTTTGGGGGGGCTGTACACTGGTTTCAAAAAGGACAACAATGCTTGAAGCATTGTAGATACTAATTTGTGATTATATTTAAGAGCCAGTTTATGTCACACAATTTAATACTAATACGTTTAATACTAATACATCCACCGTACAATTTCATTCATTGTTGAGCCCCATATCTTTGTGAGTTTGTAAAGAGCTCTAAAAATTATAGCCAGGCAATATACGAAAACCCATATATCCAGGAAATGCAGAAACTAAACTCCCTTGGAAGATTACCATAAGATCTCTTTAAAAATAAGATTACAGAGCACATAGTTATAAATAAGTACATTGGAATTGGCAAGAGAAGAATGTTGACCCACCATCATGATCATATCCATGAGCAGTGAACTTGAGCAAACTAACTTTAGCACTTCCAGAATTTCACTTGTGATCAATGAGATTCCCACAGAGGGGTCGCTGCAGGGCAAAACTAGTTTCTAGCAGGACAGTCAGAAACTTAAAGTTGTATATTTTTTCCTTACATTTCACATTATTAACAAAAAATTATTACAAAAAACTTACCTTGCTTCTGCACTCATATTGCCTTTTAATAAACCTTCAACCGTTTTCTTTCTCCACTGAGTCTTTCCTATTTTCATATATACATGTTCTTAAAAATTGCTTTCATCTTATGAATTTCTCTGCCAAATTTTATATTTAATAGATTTCTCTAATAATAAAAAATTTATTAGATTATTATAAAACATTACTTCAAAGAAGCTTAATTTTTGTGCTACTCTTAAGACTAACAAGCACAAGTTTTTAAGTGAAAAAATCAGCCCAGTTACCTGAGATTTGATATTCAAAAGTATTTAATAGTAGCCAAGAAGAATTGGTCCTCCCATCTGAATTCCGTATCAGCAACTTCAAATAAAACGTTGTTTTATGATGCACTTCATAAAGTTAACTACGTCCAAGAAATAATAAATTAATTCATATTTTAAAATGTTAAATATTATGTACAAATCAATAGTGCGATTCATTTCTTTTGAAATTATTAACTCTTACCACCATAACTAAAAATACCAAAGGATAGCAACTGAAATATTAGGTAAATTTAAATCATTTATTGTTTTGGGGGAATATCTGTTGTCCCTGAACA
Source organism: Homo sapiens (assembly GCF_000001405.40). Lineage (NCBI taxonomy): Eukaryota > Metazoa > Chordata > Mammalia > Primates > Hominidae > Homo > Homo sapiens. The sequence goes on from NC_000009.12 coordinate 111,330,420, forward strand.
ATTTAAAGTTCAGGAGCTAAGATATATAGAGGTTTGAAATTTCAGATCCTTCAGGGATATTGTCCCAAAGATCCAATTATATCAAACTTTTAAAAAGTTAAATAGAGAGTGAACCACACAGTTCCTCCAAAATACTTTGGAAAAACTCAGAAAACAAAGTTTTCTATTCACTTTCTTCTTGTCAATCTTTAGCTATGTCAAGACTTTTTAATGAATGATTTCAGCGTAGAATACTTAACAGAATACAGAGAAAAGATGTCCCTACAATACTAAAATACATTTTGTGCATTTGTGAAATTACTCCCTGGTTTTCAGAAATTAGGGAAAGAACATTTACTTTTTAAAGCCACAGAGAAATCACTGACTGCCCCAACAAGTGATCAGAAATGTTATTTAATATACACATATTGAGAGGATTGTAAGGCAATGAGACCTCGGTAGTAATGGGCACATCCTAGATCTTTGCTTTGTTTTGTTTTGTTTTTAAGACAGAGTCTGGCTCTGTCGCCCAGGCTGGAGTGCAGTAGCACGATCTCAGCTCACTGCAACCACCACCTCCCAGGTTCAAGGGATTCTCCTGCCTCAGCCTCCTGAGTAGCTGGGACTACAGGCATGTGCCACCACGCTGGGCTAATTTTTGTATTTTTGGTAGAGACAGGGTTTCACCATGTTGGCCAGACTGGTCTCGAACTCCTGAGCTCAAGCAATCCACTCACCTCAGCCTCCCAAAGTGCTGGGATTACAGGCGTAAGCCACCACCCCCGGCCCCAGATATTAGTTTCTAAACACCATTCTTAACTAGAAGGAAACATGGCTCCTTGGGAAAATGACTAATACCAGAGCTAGGATAAGAAAGAACAAGATTAACTTAGAGTATCTTACCATACCAGAAAGTAAGAAATATGCAAAGAATGGTAGGAATATAGCAAAGGGTCATAGACGCCCACTTGATGAAGCTCCCATTGCTAAATTTAGGACAGATTATTTGGAGCATCAAAATAAAAATGATAATAATTGATCATAATTCATAGAATAATATAAAAATGTACGTTATTATATAAATAAATAGGAATAGAAAGCTCTTCTTCACAGTAGGATGCCAAAAAATATAAATTTAGAGGAATGATGTTAGAAAATAATCAATCACAGTTAAGGGTTTTGTAGGCAATAGATTACCACAGGTAAAATGTTGTATTAGGTTAATGTAGGCAGTGTCGTTTTTGAAGGTAAAAGTTGGATGAACAGTATATTTACATGGTGTCAAAATATCTCACCACAAATTACTTAGTAAGTTTAAAGATAAAATAATAACTTTATGGTGGGGAGGCCTGAAGGATAATCATGTTAAAATCACCAATATTGGGACAAATAGACTCCATGTGCCTTCTAATATGAGGTACTGAGAACACACTATCACTTCTGAGGTATTCCCATCAAAATTAAATCACCAGAATCTAACCATGAGTGTAAACCAGACAAACCTAAATTTAGGGATATTATGCAACATAATCAGCCTATGCTTTCCAAAAGTACAGACAATTCTCAAAAAAGGATATACAAATGGCCACAAAACATATGAAAAAATGTTCAACATCACTAATTATCAGGGAAATGCAAATCAAACCCACAGTGCAGTACCACCTTACTCCTGCAAGAAGGGCCTTAATCAAAAAATAATAGATGTCGGCATGGATGGGATGAAAGGGGAACACTTTTACACTGCTGGTAGGAAGGTAAACTAGTACAACCACTATGGAAAACAGTGTGAAGACTCCTTAAAGAACTAAAAGTAGATCTACCATTTAATCCAGCAATCCCACTCCTGAGTATCTACCCAGAGGAAAAGAAGTCATCATACAAAAAAGATACTTGCACACATGTTTATAGCAGCACAATTCGCAATTGCAAAAATATGGAATCAGCCCAAATGCCCAACAATCAATGAGCAGATAAAGAAAATGTGAGATAGATAGATATACATACACACACACACCATGGAATACTACTCAGCCACAAAAAGAAACAAAATAAAGGCATTTGCAGCAACCTAGATGGAATTGGAGATCATTATTCTAAGTGAAGTAACTCAGGAATGGAAAATCAAACATGCTATGTTCTCGCTCTCTCACTCATAAGTGGGAGCTAAGCTATGAGGATGCAAAGGCATAAGAATGACACAATGGACTCTGGGGACTCAGGGGAAAGGATGCGAGGCTGGGGAACAAAAGACAACGTATTGGGGATAATGTACACTGGTGGGTGTACCAAAATCTCAGGAATCACCACTAAAGAACTTACCCATGTAGCCAAACACTACCAGTTCCCCCAAGACCTACTGAAATAAAAAAGAAGAAATCATAAAATAAAAAACTCCTAATTAAAAAAAAAAAGTGTCACAATCAGGAAACAAAAAGAAAAACCAAGAAAATGTTCCATACCTGAAAGAGACAGGACAACTAAATATGATACATGCCCCAGCATGAATCTTAGATTAGGAAAAATGGTCTGTAAAGGACATTATTAGGACAATTGACAACATTTGAAAATGGGCTGGGGATTAGATATTAGCATTCTATCAATATCATATTTCCTGATCTTGATCACTGTACTATGGTTATGTAAGATAATGCTCTTATTCTTAGGAAATACACACTGAAGCATTTAGTGTTAAAAGGGCAAAATGTCTCCAACTTACCCTCAAATCATTGGTAAAAATATTTTTTTAAAAGTTGTGTGTGGAGAGAAAATGCACTTATTGCCACATACTTTTTGCAAGTAATGCCTTCTCCATATTTTCTGTGTCCTTATGACAGTTCATTTACTCTGGATCACTGATGGCAAACGTCCAGAAAGAAGACCCTCAGAAGAACTTGGTCCTACCACATGAATAGGCAAATTGTTTCCTTCTTAGGAAAAGAAGAAACAACAACTATATTGAATAATATAAAATATAAAATAGAGCTAATTAAATGGTAGGATTATATTTTGGGGATAATGGGCTAGAGTGGCCCATACAGCATGAGCTTGGAATAGTGAAACTGGCTAAATCCAATAGGCTTGTTTGATTGTAAAACATAGGAAACATGATAACTAATGACTTGAAGTTTTAATAATATTAATCTTGAAACTTTATTTTTCTAAAAGTCAGCACTCACGACAAATCCCTCCCACCACCAGGCAACAAGACAACAAGAATTTTATAAGAAAATTGACAATGAGATGACCGTCTATGTAGAAAATCTGAAAGAATCAACAAAAACCTGCTGGAACTAAGAATAAGCAATTCCCAATAAGGTTTCAGGACACAGGGTTAATGTACAAAAGTCACTTGCTCTCCTGTATACCAGCAAAGAAGAAATGGAATTTGCAATTAAAAACACAACATTGTTTACACTAGGATCCCTCCCCCACAATGATATACTTGAGCATGAATCTAACAAAATATGTGTATAATCTATATAAGGAAAACTATAAAACTCTGATAAATGAAATCAAAGAAGAACTAAATAAATGGAGAAATATTTCATGTTCTTGGATGCTAGGAAGACAATATTGTCAAGAAATCAGCTCTTTCCAAACGGGCCTGGCAAGATGGCCAAATAGGAGCAGCTCTGGTCTGCAGCAACCAGCGAGATCAACCCAGAAGGCAGGTGATTTCTGCATTTCCAACTGAGGTACCCGGCTCATCTCACTGGGACTGGTTAGACAGTGGGTGCAGCCCAGGGAGGGGAGCCGGAGCAGGGTGGGGTGTCGCCTCACTCAGGAAGCACAAGGGGTTGGCAAACTCCCTCCACTAGCCAAGGGAAGCTGTGAGGGATCATACTGTGAGGAATGGTGCACTCCAGCCCAGATACTACACTATTCCCACAGTCTTTGCAACCTGCAGACCAGGAGATTCCCTCAGGTGCCTACGCCACCAGGGCCCTGGGTTTCAAGCACAAAACTGGGCGGCTGTTTGGGCAGACACCAACCTAGCTGCAGGAGTTTTTTTTCATACCCCAGTGGCACCTGGAACTCCAGTGAGACAGAACCATTCACTCTCCCTGGAAAGGGGGCTGAAGCCAGGGAGCCAAGTGGTCTAGCTCAGCGGATCTCACCCCCATGGAGCCCAGCAAGCTAAGATCCACTGGCTTGAAATTCTCACTGCCAGCACAGCAGTCTTAACCTGGGATGCTCAAGCTTGATGGGGGAGGGGGGTCCACCATTACTGAGGCTTGAGTAGGTGGTTTTCCCCTCACAGTGTAAACAAAGCCGCCAGGAAGTTCAGACTGGGCGGAGCCCACCACAGCTCATAAGTCACTATAGCCAGACTGCCTCTCTAGATTCCTCCTTTCTGGGCAGGGCATCTCTGAAAGAAAGGCAGCAGCCCCAGTCAGGGTCTTATAGATAAAACTCCCATCTCCCTGGGACAGAGCACCTGGGGGAAGAGGTGACTGTGGGTGCAGTTTCAGCTGACTTAAACATTCCTGCCTGCCAACTCTGAATGAGCAGCGGATCTCCCAGCACAGCACTGGAGCTTTGCTAAGGGACAGACTGCCTCCTCAAGTGGGTCCCTGATCCCCGTGCCTCCTGACTGGGAGACACCTCCCAGGAGGGGTCAACAGACACCTCATACAGGAGAGCTCTGGCTGACATCTGTTGGGTGCCCCTCTGGGACGAAGCTTCCAGAGGAAGGAACAGGCAGCAATCTTTGCTGTTCTGCAGCCTCCGCTGGTGATACCCAGGAAAACAGGGTCTGGAGTGGACCTCCAGCAAACTCCAGCAGACTTGCAGCAGAAGGGCCTGACTGTTAGAAGGAAAAATAACAAACAGAAAGGAATAGCATCAACATCAACAAAAAGGATGTCCACACAGAAACCCCATCGGTAGGTCACCAACATCAAAGACCAAAGGTAGATAAATCCACAAAGATGAGGAAAAACCAGCACAAAAAGGCTGAAAATTCCAAAAACCAGAATGCGTCTTCTCCTCCAAAGGATCACAACTCCTTGCCGGCAACGGAACAAAGCTGGATGGAGAATGACTTTAAGAGCTGACAGAAGTAGGCTTCAGAAGGTCGGTAATAACAAACTTCTCTGAGCTAAAGGAGGATGCTCTAACCCAATGCAAAGAAGCTAAGAACCTTGAAAAAAAAGTTAGAGGAATTGCTAACTAGAATAACCAATATAGAGAAGAACATAAATGACCTGATGAAGCTAAAACATATAGCATGAGAACTTCATGAAGCATACATAAGTATAAATAGCCAAATCGATCAAGCAGAAGAAAGAATATCAGAGATTAAAGATCAACTTAATGAAATAAAGCATGAAGACAAGATTAGAGAAAAAAGAATGAAAAGGAACAAACAGAGCTTCCAAGAAATATGGGACTATGTGAAAAGACCAAACCTATGTTTCATTGGTATACCTGAAAGTGACAGGGAGAATGGAACAAAATTGGAAAACACTCTTCAGGATATTATCCAGGAACTTCCTCAACCTAGCAAGATAGGCCAACATTCAAATTCAGGAAGTTCAGAGAACACCACAAAGATACTCCTCGAGAAGAACAACCCCAAGACACATAATCATCAGATTTACCAAGGTTGAAATGAAGGAAAAACTGTTAAGCACAGCCAGAGACAAAGGTCAGGTTACCCACAAAAGGAAGCCCATCAGACTAACAGTAGATCTCTCTGCAGAAACCCTACAAGCCAGAAGAGAGTGGGGGCCAATATTCAACATTCTTAAAGAAAAGAATTTTCAACCCCGAATTTCATATCCAGCCAAACTAAGCTTCATAAGCGAAGGAGAAATAAAATCCTTTATAGATGAGCAAATGCTGAGAGATTTTGTCACCACCAGGCCTGCCTTACAAGAGTTCCTGAAGGAAGCACTAAAAATGGAAAGGAACAACCAGTACCAGCCACTGCAAAAACATACGAAATTGTAAAGACCATCAACACTACAAAGAAACTGCATCAATTAACAGGCAAAACAACCAGCTAGCATGCAAATACTCATTATTGGACAGGAAAAATGATTAATCCTAGTTGTCCTGGAGGACTTGGAGCCACTGTCTGTTGGGCTTACTTCACCCATACTGGTATGTCTGATGGGGGTGGAGTTCAAGATCAGGCAAGAGAAAAACACATAAAGGAAGTAATCTCCTAACTGACCCAGGTATATAGCACCCCTAGCTCCTACAAAGGACTAGATCTCTCAAAACTACATGAAACCCTCCGTACCCATACTCGCCTGGTAAACCTATTTAATACCACACTCACTGGGCTCCATGAGGTCTCAGACCAAAACCCTACTAACTGTTGCATGTGCCTCCCCCTGCACTTCAGGTCATACATTTCAATCCTGGTACCTGAACAGTGGAACAACTTCAGCACAGAAATAAACACCACTTCCATTTTAGTAGGACCTCTTGTTTCCAATCTGAAAATAATCCATACCTTAAACCTCACCTGTGTAAAATTTAGCAGTACTATAGAAACAACCAACTCCCAATGCATCAGGTGGATAACTCCTCCCACATGAATAGTCTGCCTACCCTCAGGAATATTTTTTGTCTGTGGTACCTCAGCCTATCGTTGTTTGAACGGCTCTTCAGAATCTATGTGCTTCCTCTCATTCTTATTGCCCCCTATGACCATCTACACTGAACAAAATTTATACAATCATGTCGTACCTAAGCCCTGCAACAAAAGAGTACCCATTCTTCCTTATGTTATTGGAGCAGGAGTGCCAGGTGGACTAGGTACTGGCACTGGCAGTATCACAATCTCTACTCAGTTCTACTACAAACTATCTCAAGGACTAAATGATGACATGGAACAGGTCGCCGACTCCCTGGTCACCTTGAAAGATCAACTTAACTCCCTAGCAGCAGTAGTCCTTCAAAATCAAAGAGCTTTAGACTTGCTAACTGCCAAAAGAGGGGGATCCTGTTTATTTTTAGGGGAAGAATACTGTTATTATGTTAATCAATCTGGAATTGTCACCGAGAAAGTTAAAGAAATTCAAGATACAATATAACGTAGAGCAGAGGAGCTTAAAAACACTGGACCCTGGGGCCTCCTCAGCCAATGGATGCCCTGGATTCTCCCCTTCTTAGGACCTCTAGCAGCTGTAATATTGCTACTCCTCTTTGGACCCTGTATCTTTAACCTCCTTGTTAAGTTTTTCTCTTCCAGAATTGAAGCTGTAAAACTACAAATGGCTCTTCAAATGGAGCCCCAGATGCAGTCCATGACTAAGATCTACTGCAAACCCCTGGACTGGCCTGCTAGCCATGCTCCGATGTTAATGACATCAAAGGCACCCCTCTCAAGGAAATCTCAGCTGCACAACCCCTACTATGCCCCAATTCAGCAGTAAGCAGTTAGAGCGGTTATCAGCCAACCTCCCCAACAGCACTTGGGTTTTCCTGTTGAGAGGAGGCACTGAGAGACAGGACTAGCTGGATTTCCTAGGCCAACTAAGAATCCCTAAGCCTAGCAGGGAAGGTGACCACATCCACCTTTAAACATAGGGCTTGCAACTTAGCTCACACCCGACCAATCAAATTGTAAAGAGAGCTCACTAAAATGCTAATTAGGCAAAAATAGGAGGTAAAGAAATAGCCAATCATCTATTGCCTAAGAGCACAGTGGGAGGGACAATGATCGGGATATAAACCCAGGCATTCGAACCAGCAACAGCAACCCCCTTTGGGTCCCCTCCCTTTGTATGGGAGCTCTGTTTTCACTCTATTAAATCTTGCAACTGAAAAAAAAAAAAAAAAACAGCTAGCATCATAATGATAGAATCAAATTCACACATAACAATATTAACCTTAAATGTAAACAGGCTAAATGCCCCAGTTAAAAGACACAGACTGGCAAATTGGATAAAGAGTCAAGAGCCATCAGTGTGCTGTATTCAGAAGACCCATCTCATGTCCAAAGACATACATAGGCTCAAAATAAAGGGATGGAGGAAGATTTACCAAGCAAATGGAAAGCAAAAAAAAAAGCAGGGCTTGCAATCCTAGTCTCTGATAAAACAGACTTTAAACCAACAAATATCAAAAAAGATAAACAAAGGCATTACATAATGGTAACAGGATCAATGCAACAAGAAGAGCAAACTATCCTAAATATATATGCACCCAATACAGGTGCACCCAGATTCATAAAGCAAGTTCTTAGAGACCTACAAAGAGATTTAGACTCCCACACAATAATAGTGGGAGACTTTAACACCCCACTGTCAATATTAGACAGATTAGCGAGACAGAAAATTAACAAGGATATTCAGGACTTGAACTCAATTCTGGACCAAGCAGATCTAATAGACATCTACAGAACTCTCCACCCCAAATCAACAGAATATACATTTTTCTGAGCACCACATTGCACTTATTCTAAAATTGACCACATAATTGGAAGTAAAACACTCCTCAGTAAATGCAAAAGAACGGAAATCATAACAAACAGTCTCTCAGACCACAGTGCGATCAAATTAGAACTCAGGATAAAGAAACTCACTCAAAGCCGCACAACTACATGGAAACTGAACAAGCTGCTCCTGATTGACTACTGGGTAAATAACAAAATTAAGGCAAAAATAAATAAGTTCTAGGAAACGAATGAGAACAAAGATACAACATACCAGAATCTCTGGGACACATTTAAAGCAGTGTGTAGAGGGAAATTTATAGCACTAAATGCCCACAAGAGAAAGCAGAAAAGATCTAAAATTGACACCCTAACATCACAATTAAAAGAACTAGAGAAGCAAGAGCAAACAAATTCAAAAGCTAGCAGAAGACAAGAAATAACTAAGATCAGAGCAGAACTGAAGGAGATAGAGACACGAAAAACCCTTCAAAAAATCAATAAATCCAGGAGCTGGTTTTTCGAAAAGAAAAACAAAATAGATAGACCATTAGCCAGACTAAGAAAGAGATAAGAATTAAATAGACACAATAAAAAATGATAAAGGGGATATCACTACTGATCCCACAGAAATACAAACTACCATCAGAGAATACTATAAACACCTTGATGCAAATAAACTAGAAAATCTAGAAGAAATAGATAAATTTCTGAACATATACACCCTCCCAAGACTAAACCAGGAAGAAGTCAAATCCCTGAATAGACCAATAACAAGTTCTGAAAATGAGGCAGTAATTAATAGCCTACCAACCAAAAAAAGCCCAGGACCAGACAGATTCACAGCAGAATTCTACCAGAGGTACAAAAAGGAGTTGGTACTATTCCTTCTGAAACTATTCCAAACAATAGCAAAAGAGGGACTCCTCCCTAACTCATTTTATGAGGCCAGCATCATCCTGATACCAAAACCTGGCAGAGACACAACAAAAAAGAAAATTTCAGGCCAATATCCCTAATGAACATCGATGCAGAAATCCTCAATAAAATACTGGCAAACCAAATCCAGCAGCACATCAAAAAGCTTATCCACCACGATCAAGTCGGCTTCACCTCTGGGATGCAAGACTAGTTTAACATATGCAAATCAATCAACGTAATCAATCACATAAACAAAACCAATGACAAAAACCACATGATTATTTCAATAGATGCAGAAAAGGCCTTTGATAAAATTCAACACCCCTTCATGTTAAAAACTCTCAATAAACTAGGTATTGATGGAACATATCTCAAGATAATAAGAGCTATTTATGACAAACCCACAGCCAATATCATATTGAATGGGCAAAAGCTGGAAGCATTCCCTTTGAAAGCCAGCACAAGAGAAGAATGCCCTCTCTCACCACTCCTATTCAACATAGTATTGGCAGTTCTGTCCAGGGCGATCAGGCAAGAGAAAGAAATAAAGTGTATTCAAATAGGAAGAGAGGAATTCAAATTGTCTCTGTTTGCAGATGACATGATTGTATATTAAGAAAACCCCATCATCTCAGTCCCAAATCTCCTTAAGCTGATAAACAACTTCAGCAAAGTCTCAGGATACAAAATCAATGTGCAGAAATCACAAGCATTCCTATACACCAATAATAGACAAACAGAGTACCAAATCATGAGTGAACTCCCATTCACAATTGCTACAAAGAGAATAAAATACCTAGGAATACAACTTACAAGGGATGTGAAGGACCTCTTCAAGGAGAACTACAAACCAGTGCTCAAGAAAATAAGAGAGGACAGAAACAAATGGAAAAACATTCCATGCTCATGGATAGGAAGAATCAATAACATGAAAATGGCCATATGGCCCAAAGTAATTCATAGATTCAATGCTATCCCCATCAAGCTACCATTGACTTTTTTCAGAGAATTAGAAAAAACTAATTTAAATTTCATATGGAACCAAAAAAGAGCCCACATAGCCAAGACAATCAATCCTAAGCAAAAAGAACAAAGGTGGGGGCATCACGCTACCTGACTTCAAACTATACCACAAGTCTACAGTAACCAAAACAGCATGGTACTGGTACCAAAATAGACATATAGACCAATGGAACAGAACAGAGGCCTCAGAAATAACATCACACATCTACAACCATCTGATCTTTGACAAACCTGACATAAACAAGCAATGGGGAAAGGATTCCCTATTTAACAAATGGTATTGGGAAAACTGGCTGGCCATATGCAGAAAACTGAAACCGGACCCCTTCCTTACACCTTATACAAAAATTAACTCAAGATGCATTAAAGACTTTAACATAAGACCTAAAACCGACCAGGCACAGTGGCTCATGCCTGTAATCCCAGCACTTTGGGAGGCCAAGGTGGGCGGATCACGAAGTCAGGAGATAGAGACCACGGTGAAACCCCATCTCTACTAAAAATACAAAAAATTAGCCAGGCACAGTGGCAGGCGCCTGTAGTCCCAGCTACTCGGGAGGCTGAGGCAGGAGAATGGCATGAACCCGGGAGGCAGAGCTTGCAGTGAGCCGAGATTGCGCCACTGCACTCCAGCCTCCAGCCTGGGCAACAGAGCGAGACTCCATCTCAAAAAAAAAAAAAAAAAAAAGACCTAAAACCATAAAAACCCCAGAAGAAAACCTAGGCAATACCATTCAGGACATAGGCATGGGCAAAGACTTCATGATTAAAACACCAAAAGCAATGGCAACAAAAGCCAAAATTGACAAATGAGGTCTAATTAAACTAAAGAGCTTCTGCACAGCAAAAGAAACTATCATCAGAGTGAACAGGCAACCTATAGAATGGGAGAAAATTTTTGCAATCTATCCATCTGACAAAGGGCTAATATCCAGAATCTACAAAGAACTTAAACAAATTTACAAGAAAAAAACAACCCCAGCAAAAAGTGGGCAAAAGATATGAACAGACACTTCTCAAAAGAAGACATTTATGTGGCCAACAGACATATGAAAAAATACTCATCATCACTGGTCATCAGAGAAATGCAAATGCAAATCAAAACCACAATGAGATACCATCTCACGGCAGTTAGAATGGCAATCATTAAAAAGTCAGGAAACAACAGATGTTGCAGAGGATGTGGAAAATAGAAACACGTTTACTCTATTGGTGCAAGTGTAAATTAACTCAACCATTGTGGAAGACAGTGTGGCGATTCCTCAAGGATCTAGAACCAGAAATACCACTTGACCCAGCAATCCCATTACTGGGTATATACCCAAAGGATTATAAATCATTCTACTATAAAGACACATACACACATACGTTTATCGCAGCACTGTTCACAATAGCAAAAGACTTGGAACCAACCCAAATGCCCACCAATGATAGACGGGATAAAGAAAATGTGGCACATATACACCATGGAATACTATGCAGCCATAAATGGATGAGTTCATGTCCTTTGTAGGGACATGGATGAAGCTGGAAATCATCATTCTCAGCAAACTAACACAGGAACAGAAAACCAAACACCACATGTTCTCACTCATAAGTGGGAGCTGAACAATGAGAACACATGGACACAGGGAGGGGAACATTACACACCGGGGCCTGTTGGGGGTGGGCGCTAGGGAGGGATAGCATTAGCAGAAATACCTAATGTAGATGACAAGTTGATGGGTGCAGCAAACCACCATGGCACATGTATACCTATGTAACAAACCTGCACGTTCTGCACAGGTATCCCAGAACTTAAAGTATAATAAAAAAAAAAAAAAGAAAGAAAGAAATCAGCTCTTTCCAAGATGAGCTATAGATTTGATAACAATCCCAATCAAAATCATGGGAAGTTCTTTTGTAGATAACAATAAATTGACTCTAAAACTTTTATGCAAAATGGTACAGCCACTTTAGAAGACAGTTTGGCAGTTTCTTTCTTACAAAGCCAGACATACTCTTACCACATGATCCAGCAATTGTGCCCATTGGTGTTTACCCAAAGGAGTTGAATACATGTCTATACAAAAAATGTGCACAAGGATGTTTGTAGAAGCTTTTTTCTTAATTCCCAAAACTTTGAAACAACCAAGATGACCTTTAGTAGGTGAATGGATAAACGATGGTATGTGCAGCCAGCAGAACATTATTCAGCACTCAAAAGATATTAGCTATTAAGCCCTGAAAAAAAGATATGGCGGATGAGTTTCAAGTCAAGGCTAAATGAAAAGAAAAAAAAAAAGACACGAGGGAAACTGAAATGCATATTACTCAGTGAAAGAAGCCAATCTGAAAAGGCTACATACCGTATGATTCCAACTATATGATATTCTAGAAAAGGCAAAATATGGCGACAGTAAAAAGATCAGTGGATGACAGGACTTGGGAGTAAGAAGAGGGATGAATAGGAGGAGCACAGAAGATTTTTAGGACAGTGAAAATACTCCCTATTATACTATAATAATGGGTACAAGTCATTATAAATTTTCTAAAATCCATAGACTGTACACCACCAAAAGTGAACCCTACGGCAAACTATGGACTTTGGACGATTATGGTGTGACGATATTGGTTCATCTATTGTAACAAATGTACCACCCTGGAGGGGGATGTTGATAACTGAGGAGGCTATGGATGTGTAGGGGCACAGAGTATATGAGAAATCTCTCAATTTTGCTGTGAACCTAAAACTGCCTTAAAAAATAAAATCTTAAAAAATAATAATTACAAGAATATGTTGGTGAACATTAAGCTAACTTTAAGATAAAGTAATAATTTTCATATCAACAACTGTCATTTATTGAATGCTCACCACATGCCAAAGTATTATGCAAAGCATTTTATAGATTCTTTCTGTAAAATTATATGATGTAGGAAAAATTAACATCTCAATATTATGAAAAGCGAATAAGCTGGGCAAAGGATGCATTGTGTCAAGGCCACAGAGCTAGCAAGTTTAAGTTAGAATTTGAAAACCAAGTCTGTATATCTCTAAACCTGGCCTCATCATCACCTAAGGTTGCTTTGGTTGGTTCCTTGGTTGGTTGGTTTGCTTTTCTCTTTAAAGACAGGGTCAGGCTTGAGCGCAGTGGCGCAATCACTGCTCGCTGTAACCTCAAACTCCTGGGCTCAAGTGATCCTCCTGCCCTGGCCTCCCGAGTAGCTGGGACTACAGGTGAGGGCCATCATGCCCAGATAATTTTTTAAAAAGTTTTTAGAGATTAGGTCTTGCTATGTTGCCCAGGGTGGTCTTAAACTCCTGTTCTCAAGCAGGGTTGGTTGTGCTTAATGGAAATAAAAGAGTTATTATGTGTAAAGTTCTTAGAGCAGTGTCTGGCCCTGTATGACCATGAGCAGTTATGTATTCAGCTCTTGGCTAAGAACGTGGACTCTTCACCGTGTGCCCCACTGCTTGGTTACTTAGCGTTTTCTTGAAAGCTCTGTGCCTTAGTTTACTCATCTACGAATGAGTATAATAATAGTATTTTCATTATGTAATTATTAGAGGACTAAAATATCTAATAGAGAAGTACTTAAAATGGTGTCAGGAACAGGGCAAGGGCTGTGTCAATAAGCGCTACTACTAATTGTTGTGTCTATTTCCCATCATCAAAGAGTGAAAACGGGAAGCAACATAAATGTCCAACAAAGGAGAATGATGGATTTAAAAATTATAACCAAATATTGGGATACTATTTGATCATTAAAAAGCATGGTTTGGAAGAGTATGTAAAGACAAAAGATAATTCTCACAATACAATGTAAAATAAAAAGCAAGATTCGCAAATGTCAGTAGAATGTTTTTTGGTGTTTGTTTTGTTCTGTTTTGTTTTTAAATCAAAGATGGTCACTATCGGTAGAATGTTTTTAATTTTTTTATATAGTATTTGTGTGGTTGTACATACAAACATATATACACATACAATGATAATGTGCAGAAAACAGATAATGAAATAAATATTCATAATGGTAAAAAAATTGACAATCAGATGTTAAATAGGAATAGTCACAAACATTGAAGAAAAGCATGTAAAATTATCACTAGTAAACTATATGATTTTATAACTAAAAAAGAACAAGAGAATCAACTAAAATGTTCCCCAGAAGTGAAAAGAGTTTAGTAAAGTAGCCTAATAAAAGAAATAAATAAAAACCAATCATTTTCTTGCAGCCATTTGGACGATATGGTAACCAGAAAAATATTCCATTATCAGTGGCATTAAAAATGTGAGCTACTGGCCAGGCACGGTGGCTCATGCCTGTAATCCCAGCACTTTGGGAGGCTGAGGTGGGTGGATCACAAGGTCAGGAGTTTGAGACCAGCCTGGCCAATATGGTGAAACCTTATCTCTACTAAAAATACAAAAATTAGCCGGGCGTGGTGGCAAGTGCCTGTAGTCCCAGCTACTCAGGAGGCTGAGGCAGGAGAATAGCTTGAACTCGAGAGGCAGAGATTGCAGTGAGCCACCAAGATCGCACCATTGCACTCCAGCCTGGGTGACAGAGTGAGACTCCATCACAAAAAAAAAAAAAGTAAGCTATGTTAGAATCACTCAAACGAGAACAGTGCAGAACTTACATAAAAGGAACAATAAAATTTTAATAACAGGAGTACCCTAGCCAATAAACTGGTTGAATACCGATGCAAAATCTAGAGTCTATCTCTCTAAACGTGCATTATTTTTATCAATAAATGAAAATAATTCTTTCCTGATGAAACAAAAAAATGCTATATTAAAATGAAACCTTCAGAACTAAGCAGGTGTTTCCCTAAAA